>NC_000009.12:134185536-134877066 GCF_000001405.40 Homo sapiens
TTTCATGAGATCTTCTGCCATGTGACTCAGTGGTGTGTGGTTTGTGGTGTGTGTAGTGTGTCTTAGCCTGTGATCCCAGCACTTTGGGAGGCCTAGGCAGGAGGATCCCTCAGCCCAGGAGTTTGAGTACAGCCTGGGTCACACGGAGAGACCCCTGTCTCTACAAAACATTAAAAAAAATGAGCTGGGCATGGTTGCTGGCGCCTGTGGTCCCAGCTACTCCCGAGGTTGGGATGGGAGACTGAGCAATAGAGCTAGACCTCCCGTCCCTGAAAAAAGAGAAAAAAAGCAGTAACCACGAAGTGTTACATTTTATAAAACAAGAGAAAGTGTGCAGACTGCACCTGGCTGTGCCCCTCCCACTGAAGAGTTGTTTGAAGGTCTCTGCCTTGGAAACCCCCACATTAGACAAACACCCTCGCCCATTCCTCTGATCAGGGAGGCACGAAGTAAAATTCCTGGGCCGAGGGGCTGCCCATGTGTCAGATGTTTTGTGTGTGGGTAAAAATTGCTACTGTATTTCCTTCTAGAATGGTAGTGGGGAAACTGACGGCCTTTTCCCTCCGTGTCATTAACATAAAAATCATTGCCAATTTAGTAGGTGTAAAGAGATGTCTTCGTCCTTTTAATTGTTACATTTGGAGCTTTGTGCAGTCACACATTTGACGGACTTGTTGGCTGCATTGTGTGAGTTGGTGATCCTGGCCATAGCCTGTTTTTTTTCCTAATGGGATGGCCGTCTTTCTTAAACGCATTTGCAGGAGCTCTTTATATTAATAATATAAAATCTTTTTCAATTGCGTGGATTCCGAATGTTTTCCCAAGATCATCTTTGTCCTTTAGTTTTGTCTTGGGCTACATAATTTACATTTGCAGTTGAACTTTCACTTTTTCCTTGGTGGTGGTCTTGAGGGTGTGTGTGTTGGGTGGTTTGAAGGGTGAGGCCTGGGAGGGGGGGCGCTGGGACAGTGGCCCCGGGCCAGGTGCGGTCATGGCGTGGCTGGGGCTGGGGGTTGGCTGCCCTTTGAGGCTCTGCTCTGCGCTCTTGGACGCTTTCCGGCTGCGGGTTGCGTGTTGGTCCGATGAACTCTTCCTGGAAGTGCGTTTCGTGGTAGGATGGTTCAGGGTCACCCCCGTTGGCTCCTGTCAGCCTAAACAGGACATTCTGTTGCAGTAACACAAATTATGCTTTGTTTGTTGGAAAATCGGCAAGATATGCAAGTGTGTGTGTGAGCTTGTGCAAGGAAATGGGGCAAGAGTCACCCAATTAGCAGTTTTAAAAAGCTCATCCTTAAAAATCCACTTCCTTTGGCGTCTGAGGGGCTGGGCGCCTCGCCCAGGGCTCAGCTCTCCGGTGTCATGGGAAGTCCTTCTGAGGGGGTCACAGTGAGCACGAGGGGAGCTAGCCCAGGGCAGCAGCCCACGAGCATCCAAGGCAGACAGGACCCTGGATCCCCATGCCTCTGTTCCCCCTGACCTAGCCCCCCTGCCCCCAAAAAAGCAGGCAAGCCAGGGGCTCCCTGAGCTTTTCCAGTGCATTCCATCAAGGGGCATGGAGGTCACGTTTGCTCTGGACAAGATCACACCTGAATGGTGCCAGAAACCTGCTTCCTAGCACAGTGTTCTGGGTGGTGGGCACTGCTGAGGCTTCTCTTCAGACCCATTTTACAGATGGGCATGCTGAGGTCAGGTAATGGGGCCAATGTGCCTGACACCCAGAGCAGGCCTGGGAGCGAGAGGCCCAGGCAGGGCAGGAATCCCTTCTGCTTCTGCCCCAGTGCTTTCTGCCCCACCGTCACAGGACTGCGGGGAAAACAGCGAGATGCAGGTCCTGCCATCTATCGGCAGCCTAAGAAAAGGCCGGGGAGCCGACCTCTGCCTGTGGAGGAACCCCGACTTCCCACTACTGAAATGAGGTTGGTTTGGCCGGGTGCAGTGGCTCATGCCTGTAATCCTGGCACTTTGGGAGGCTGAGGCGGGCGGATCACGAAGTCAGGAGTTCAAGACCAGCCTGGCCAACATGGTGAAACCTCGTGTCTACTAAAAATACAAAAATCAGCTGGGCGTGGTGGCAGGCACCTGTAATCCCAGCTACTCAGGAGGCTGAGGCAGGAGAATCACTTGAAACCGGAAGGTGGAGGTTGCAGTGTGCCAAGATTGTGCCACTGCACTCTAGCCTGGGGGAAAGGGCAAAACTCTGTCTTTAAAAAAAAAAAAATGAAGTTAGTCCCTGTTCCCAGTTTCTGCCTCCGTGGGATGGGACAGAGCTTCTGGGATAGGGTCGCAGATACTGAGAACATAGTCACTGGCACCCAGCAGGTGTTTGGTTGGTGGTGACGATGCTGTAGGACAGGCAAGGGATGCATTTGTACATGTTGATTGTTCTAACGTGAATGCCTCCTGGAAGATGGCGCCGGGGCTCTCTGCCTGGAGAGGGAGGAGTGATTTGATGGTTTTCCTGATGCACCTATCCGGCAAGTGCCCTCGTTCCCAGATGTGCAAAGCTTCAGCCATCTGGAAAGTGGTCAGTTGGCCAGCCCCCTCAGGATGCGCTGGAGCCAGTCCACCTTGCACCTCCCAACCACCCCCCTGGGTGACGAGGATCGTGGCCAGGCCCAGGTCCTTGGACTCCTGAGGACCAGGAAACTTGGAACGGAGGACCTGCCCTGGGGTCCTGAGGCCTGGTAGCAAGTCCTGGCTCCATCTTTCTCCAGCTGGGCGATCCCTTGTCAGAGCCTCAGTGTTCCCATCCATAAAATGGGCCTGATGAACGCTGTCTGTTTGTCCCACCCCCCTTAATGAGAACCGTGAATGGCAGTGTCAGTTTCTGAGGTCACCTTTTAGGTGCCATCCAAATGCAGAGCCTTCTGACCCCGAGTGTTTGTCCTGTCCCTCCTGTGGGTCCACAGCTCCTTCTTGCCTGCTGCCTCCTGGTCCTCCCAGGTCCCCGGGGAGGTCACAGACGCTCCTCCAGCTGTCTGCAGAGTCTGGGTCTTGGATTATGGAAGCTTGGGGTGGCCGTCTGGGAGGACACGCTGGCTCCCATACCCACGTGGCTGCCTCATTTCCACCGGCTGAGCCAGCAGACACGTGGCTCCAGGCCAGCGCCCAAAGACTTTCCATGGTGGGGGGCAGGGCGGAGGCTCAGGGAAGCCGACAAGGGGCTCTGAGCCCACATGCTGCTGCTCACGTCCAGAGCCCAAACTCGGGATACGCTGGGTGTGGGGGACACAGCGTCCTCAGGACGGAGGCCTGGAGCTTCTGACCTGCTGGGTGGGCAGTGGGAGGGGGCTAGAGGCAGGGTTGTCTCCAGCCTTTCCAGACAGGAGAGGGGTGACCCCAAAGTCCCCCTCGAGCCAGCCACAGCCGGCCTTGGAGCTGGAGTCCTGACCCCCGACCAGGTTTGAGGCTGAGCTAAGAGGACATTATGGGGGCTCAGAGCCCAGGGGACCCCCCACACCTCAGGCTGGGCAAGGGTTGGCAGGGCGCCTGACCTAGCTCCAAAGCTTCCAGGTACTTGGAGGGTTTGATTTTTCTTCCCATCCTCCCTGCCCGGAATTCAATTAATCAATAGAAGAAATCCCTGCGTCACACCTCTCTGAGCCCCGCAGGCTCCTACAAGACCGATTAACACAAACATCAATTTCTTGGGCTGCGCGCCTCCGAAAACACGGTACTTTTTCAGATTGAATTGCTACTGTGTGCCCGGTGTAAATAAAGGAGAGGGAGTAATATGGAAGATTTGTGACTGTGTGCGGCGCGGCTCCGCTTCCCACTCCGCCGGTGCTATTAGGCGCTGCAGTGCGGGGTGGAGGGAGGGAGAGACAGAAGGAGAGTGGAGGGACAGAGAGGGGGCAGACCACTGGGCAGGGCGAGAGAGGACAGAGAGAGAGGGAGAGAGAGAGATGACAGGGAGGGAGACACATACACTCAGACAGAGAGACAGACACAGAGGGAGATACAGAGACAGAGGGAGAGTGGAGAGGCAGAGAGGGCGGGAGACCATTGCGGGGATGAGAGAGGACAGAGAGAAAGCAACAGAGAGAGAGAGGCAGAAATTGAGAGTGGTGGAGGGAGGTTGGGAGCAAGAGAGAGAGAGAGAGAGGAAGAGGGAGAGAGAGAGGAAGAGGGAGAGAGAGGGAGGTGAAAAGAGAGCAAGGAGGTGCGGAAAGGCAGGCGAGGGAGTGGGCGTCCGGCGCAGGGTGGCTGGGAGGGATAGCTAATTGCTTATTCATTTTTCCTGGCAGTCTGAAGGGGGTGGCAGCTGAGAGGGGGGTGGCACTGCTGGTCTTGAAGCAGCTGCTGGTGGGGTGGCCGAGGTGGCCCTGCCATGGGAGGACGGGCTCTCCTGCTCCCTCCCTCCTTCCATCTGGTGCAAAGCAGGGCCTGATGGAGCAGGTCCAACCCAGGCGCGTGGTGGGAGTAAGGACCCGAAGGTCTTGCTCAGAGGCCGAGAAGGCCAAGTCCGGAGCAGGGAGACTTGGTGAGACCCCGGGTGAGGCCCAGGGCACTGAGCAGAGTGGGATAGGGGCTCCTCCTCGCAGCCACACGCCCCCCTGCTGGGCTCCCTGTGGCTAGTGCCCTCCCCAGTGTGTCCCCAAGGCCCTGGGCCTCTCCGTCCTACCATGCGCCTCTCCATCCCACCGTCCACCTCCCACCTCCCCGCAGCCGGGTTCCAGACCGGCGCTGTACAGGAACCAGAATGCGTGTGAGCCACACAGCAAAGTTTCAATTTTGTAACAACCATCTACAAAGGGAAAACGGGACAGGTGCCATTAGTTTCAATAATGAGCTTTGAACTCAACGTACTCCAAATGCAGTCATCTCAACAGGTAATCAACACAGAACAATGCCTCCTGCAATCACTTTTCATGTTGAGTCTTTGGGACAGGGCTGTATTTCATAGGCACATGGTCCCCTTAAGAGCCGGCCACCTGCGAGCACTCCGGGGCCAGCGAGGCCAGCAGCCCCATGGTGGATGGTGCAGCTCTGGGCCCTGGTTCCAGCCCCTGTGTCCTGACGGTAAATGCTGAGGCCTCTCTGAGAGCGGATGCTGGGTCCTGGTGACAAAGCTGCCGGTGGCTCGTGGGTCTCCCCTTTACCCGTGAAGGGGCCGGCACAGTGCCCAGCATGGAGAAGCTCGTGGCAGAGAAAGAACTGCATGTTCCAGGGCAGAATTTCAGCCAGTTCAGCTCCGAGCCACCTGCTCTTGCCCCACTTCCCAACTGTGGAGGCCCCGGGAGCCTTCTGGGGGCTGAGCACGGGTCCCGGCAGGTCCCAGGCCTTGAGATTACTTCCATCCTTGCTGCCATCGGCTCTTGACCCTTGGTCCCTGCGTCGGCTCCTGTTGGGCGGCTTTGTGGGGCCGGGTTCTGGGTGTGGAGCGTGGCCTGGACTTCCCAGTCGTCCGAGTGGCTGGAAGCAGGGCCACTGCTCACAGCACTTCTCCCGCCTCTTCCCAAGGCTGACTCCTGTCCTTCTGTTCCCTCAGAATGGGGCTTGCAGCTTCGGGCAGGTGTTCACCAAGGACTCAACAGGTGGGGCCCTGACCCTGGAGCTTGAAGGCTGACGGTCCTACCTTCCCTCTGGAGGTGTCCCCCAAAGGGGGTGGTGGGGTCTTCCGTTTATGTATAACTTTTTAATTTAACAAAACACAGATTTTGTTGTATTTTTGAGAGGGTATCACTCTGTCAGCCAGGCTGGAGTGCAGTGGCGCAATCACAGCTCACTGCTGCCTCAACTTCCCAGGTTCAAGAGATCCTCCTGCCTCAGCCTCCCAAGTAGCTGGGACCACAGGCGTGAGCCACCATGTTCAGCTAATTAATTAATTAATTATTTTTTTTTTTTTGGTAGAGACAGGGTTCCTACCATGTTGCCCATGCTGGTCTCGAACTCCTGGGTTCAAGTCATCCTCCTGCCTCAGCCTCTCAAAGCACTGGGATTATAGGCATGAGCCACTGTGGCTGGGCCAAAACACAGACTTTAGCAGAGTTTATAGGAATCAGCGCCATTGTGGTGGTTAGAGAGGTGATAATGCCGCAGACCAGGCTCCCTTGGCAGAGAACTTGACTTTTACCACCTCCCTGCTATCCAGTGAGCCAGGAATTACTGTTTGCGGCCATCAGGAGAGGTCACTATGGCTGAGAGAGGGCAGCAGTCACGGGTGGGAAAATACCATGCTGGGCTGATGCCAGTGTCTCTGGACTCTCATTCCAGTGCTCTTTGCACAGCAGCGCACCCTATCTGGGGTCCCTTCCCCAAGGAGCTTCCCAAGAAGCTGAAACCACCAGCCCCATGGCATGGAGCTTTGAGAGTGCTGTCAGCAGGCACTCATTCACTCACTCATTTAGTCACTCACACATTCATTCATTCACTCATTCATCCTTTCAGTCATTCATTCGCCCATTCATTCATTCATCCTTTCAGTCATTCATCCACTCATTCATTCATCCTTTCAGTCATTCATTCACTCATTCACTCATCCTTTCAGTCATTCATTGACTCATTCATTCACTTATCCTTTCAGTCATTCATTCACTCATTCACTCACTCACTCATTTTTCACTCACTCATTCACTCATTTTTCACTCACTTTCAGGATTACAGGCTTGAGTCACCATGCCTGGCCCACTCATTCATTCTTTTGTTCAATTGTTCAACAGGTGTCCACAGACTTTGCTGCGTACCAAACACTGGGCCGATCTTTCAGATGCAGTGACGCAGGAATGATTATCCCCAGGTTTATATGAGAAAACCAAGGCTCAGAGAGGGTCAGAGACTTGCCTGAGGTCAGACAGCCAGAGAGCAGTGGGGTAGGAGGGACTGAACCCGGGCAGAGCTCATCTGAAAGCCCCTTGACCTGCCTTCTTAGAGTTTCACCCCCGCACTGGATTGGCCCCAACCAGCAGGCCTTCTGCTGCTCCGTCAGTGACATTGGGGGTTCTTGGTGGGATAGGGACAGCACGGGTCTCAGCAGGAGCACCAGGAGGAGGTGTGGCGAGTCGGGTTGGTGGGGGACACACCGAGAGGTGGGCTGGTGGGGGACACAGCGGGAGGTGGGCTGGTGTGGCTGGTGGGGGACACACTGGGAGGTGGGCTGGTGGGGGAGATGCAGCGGGGGTTCTCTGGGCTTCTGCATCTCTGCCCTGGGGTCAGTCCTGGTGGGGGCTCAGGGGAATGCAGAGACCTGGTTTACCATGAAACTCAGTCTCCTGGAGGAGCAGGTGACTGCCCAAGGCGTTCAGCAGCTACACCAAGCCAGGGCTTTGCGGGCTGTACCCTGGGACCTGGAGCCCCTCTGTTTCCCCCAGGACTTGAGCCCCCTGGGTTCACCTTGCTCAAGCCACCCAGAGAGGCCAACGGGAGGACTCAGGAGGAAGACTCTGAGGCTTCCTCTCTCCTGGGGCCTGATTTGGACAGCCTGAGGTTTAGATCTGCTGCTGTCTCCTCTTGCACAGGGCTGCTCTTACGGCAGATGACTGAGCTGCCCCCGCAGAGCTGCAGCGAAGCTGCGGGCACAGCTGCCTCCTTAAATGGCTGGAGCCCCCACTCTCTGCCCCTAGCCCCTTAAAATGAGCTCCTGCTGAAGTCAGGCCCTCGGCAGAGCCTTGGGTGGAAGGCGAGGGCTTCCGGGGAACTGTGCATTTCGAGTGGCCTCAAGTGAGTGAGTCAGCTTCTGCAGGGGGCTCAGGCAGCGGGCACTTAAGTGTGGCTAATTTGGTACAAGAACACGATGCCACTAGCAGGTTCTGCATCTTGGAGAAGCTTGGGGGCCATCAGCACAAAGGGGCTGGGGGAGGACGCTGCATCAGGGGCCTAGTGTGCGGGGGTGGTGAGTGCGACAGAGGCACTTGGGCTGGGGCCCTGCCAGCCACTGCCTCCTGCCAGGGCCTGGGCTGGGCACCTGTGGCCAGTGGGGACTCGTGGAAAAGGCACCCTCCCGCAGGGCAGGGCAGAGCCTCCTGGGAGCGGCACCCTGGGCGAGCTCAGTGTCCAAGGCAGGTCCCACACACCTGCCCACTGCCCTCACTCTCTCCCTCGCTTCCCTTTTTCGTCCCAGGAGTAACAGGAGGGGTCCAAGGTGAGCACGGTGAGGCAGGGGCTCTGGGTCATCCTCTGCCCGCCTTGCCCCATGAGCAGAGCCAGCAGCCATGCCAGGGTCACAGCTGGCTGTGAGGTGAAGCTGTGGTTCAGGACTTGGCATTTCTTCTCAAACATGTCCTTGCCTCTTGGTTCAGAAACACAGATGCCCCCTCAGGTTCCATAAGGAAAGTGAGAGTGAGAGCAGCGGGGTGATGCTGGCGCCACACACCAGACCCTGGCTCCCTATAGCACTGCTTCCTGCAGTAAGCCTTCCCGAGTCCTGGGGACACCTCCGGAAGTCTCCTGTCCCACTTCTGCTCTGACACCAGACCCTCCTGGCTGGGTGACCTTGGATAAGGAATCTTAATGCTCCCTACTCCAAAATGAGTGCCGTGCGCTCAGGGACATCAAGACTAGGAGGTGCTAACCCACTCTCCCTGGCCAGCAGTGAGGCCAGTAGACACAGAGCTACCCAGGGAAGGACCCGTCCCCCTTGGAGCATGGGTGAAGTGGGCCCTGGGTGCTAAGAGGGGCCCAGCATCAGGAAGACTGCAGCCCTAATGCCACCCCAGGCGGGATGGCCTGAGAGAGTCTGTGCTGGGAAGGCATTCAGGAAGGCCTGGGAACTCTGATACAGCCTCTCTCCTTCGAGGCGCTCTCTGGGGATTGGCCTGGGGCAGTGCAGAATCCCAGAGTCCCCGCCTATGTGTCCCCCAGCCCCTGCTTGTCTTGTCTGCCCAGGGCCACAGGGGAATGGTTAACGGCAACGGAAATTACAACATATTGGAATTGAATGAAAATTAAAACGCAACATATTGGCTGGACACAGTGGCTCATGCCTGTAATCCCATCCTAGCACTTTGGGAGGCCAAGGCAGGAGGATGAGTTGAGGCCAGGAACTCATCCTGGGCAACATAGTGAGAACCTGTCTCTTAAAAAAACAGTGGGTGCAGTGGCTCACACCTGTAATCCCAGCACTTTGGGAGGCTGAGGTGGGTGGAGCCTTTGAGGTCAGGAGTTTGAGACCAGCCTGACCAACATGGTAAAACCCCATCTCTACTAAAAATAGAAAAATAGCTGGGCATGGTGGTGCATGCTTGTAATCCCAGCTACTTGGGAGGCTGAGGCAGGAGAATTGCGTGAACCCAGGAGGTGGAGGTTGCAGTGAGCCGATATCGCGCCATTGCACTCCAGCCTGGGCAGCAAGAGCAAAACTCTGTCTAAAAATATAATAATAATAATAACAGCAACAACAACAAGAAGCAAAAAACACAACATATAAACTTTTTTTTCTTTTTTTTGTTTTGAGATGGAGTCTCACACTGTCGCCCAGGCTGGAATGCAATGGCACCATCTTGGCTCACTGCAACGTCTGCCTCCCAGGTTCAAGCAGTTCTCCTGCCTCAGCCTCCTGAGCAGCTGGGATTACAGGTGCCCGCCACCACGCCCAGCTAATTTTGTATATTTTTAGTAGAGACGAGGTTTCACTACATTGGCCAGGCTGGTCTCGAACTCCTGACCTCGTGATCCCACCTCGGCCTTCCAAAGTGTTGGGATTACAGGCATGAGCCACTGTGCCCGGCCCCATTTTTTTTTTTTTCAATCCTAAAAATTAGTTCTGACTTTAGAATAGAGATTCTGAATATTTTTAAGGCATTATTATATAGTTGAAAAATAAGGTCAAGATCAGATTAAGCTTTGATAGTCCAAGTTAGCAAAAATACTAATAATGCCTCTACATGGATTTCCTTGAATCTTGTCCTGTGTTTTACTGATATTGAAAGTGTTTTTTATGTTGCTGTGCTTAATTTTATTTAAAACGTTTTTTCTCTGTTTTTTTAATTTAAGGAAAGCCATGCTATTAAACAAACAAACAAACCTATGAGCTAAGCTCTCGGGTTATATTTGAAAATAAAAAGTGTTTCCTGGACTGAAAGAGCTCATAAGCTAATTGAGGAAATACACATATAAATAACTCGAATGAAGGAATTAGGTAAAAAAAATGAGATTCTTCCTGTTTGCACATCTTCATGCCTTAACAACAACCAAAAAAATCTGCACACACACAACCACAGGAAAAAGGAAGTCCTCTTGCAGTCTTCTTATCTCATCATGTACTTGATTACACAAACTAGAAATCTAACGTTCCTCAACCCTCGCCCCCAAATCTAGTCTGCCCCATGATAGTTGATGTGACCACTTTACACTGGTTTTTCCATCGACTTTCCTAGAGCAGCTGCCATCACCACCAACACCAGTGCCAGCTTCTTAATCCACATCATTGCTTACATGATTAAAGTGGCTTCTGGCTGGGCGCGGTGGCTCACACCTGTAATCCCAGCACTTTGGGAGGCTGAGGTGGGTGGACTGCCTGAGGTCAGGAGTTTGAGACCAGCCTGGCCAACATGGCGAAACCCCATCTCTATTAAAAATACAAAATTAGGCCAGGTGCGGTGGCTCATACCTGTAATCCCAGCACTTTGGGAGGCCGAGGTGGGTGGATCACCTAAGGTCAGGAGTTTGAGACCAGCCTGGCCAACATGCTGAAACCCCGTCTCTACTAAAAATACAGAAAAAAAAAAAATTAGCTGGGCCTGGTGGTGAGCACCTATAATCCCAGCTACTAGGGAGGCTGAAGCAGGAGAATTGCTTGAACCCAGGAGGCAGAGGTTGTAGTGAGCCGAGATTGAACCATTGCACTCCAACCTGGGTGAAGAGCAAAAACTCCATCTCAAAAACAAAAAACAAAAACAAAAACCCAACAATGACAAAAATTAGCCGGGCATAGTGGTGGGCACCTGTAATCCCAGTTACTCAGGAGGCTGAGGCAGGGAGAACTGCTTGAACCCAGGAGGTGGAGGTTGCAGTGAGCTGAGATCACAACGTTGCACTCCAGCCTGGGCAACAGAGTGAGACTCTGTCTCAAAAAAAAAAAAAAAATACAGTGACTTCTAACTACTTTGCCCACATGTGCTCTGGCACCTCTGCCTCTACGGAGGGAAGCTGCAGTGACCTTTCTAAAATACAAACGCCATTGCCTCATCCCTTTGCTTAAAACTCTTCAAATATTGCCTATTGTTCTTTGTATTAATACTAACTTTCTTTTTTATCCTTATCATTATTTTTTCTTTTGAGACAGGGTCTTGCTCTGTCACTCAAGCTGGAGTGCAGTGGCGCAATCACATCTCACCGCTGCCTCGAGCTCCAGGGCTCCAGTGATCCTCCTGCCTTAGCCTCCCGAGTAGCCAGGAGCACAGGTGTGTGCCACCATGCCTGGCTAATTTTTGTATTTCTCAGTAGAGATGGGGTCTTGCTGTGTTGCCCAGGCTGGTCTCTAACTCCTGGCCCCAAGTGATCCTCCTGCCTCGGCCTCTCAAAGTGCTGGGATTACAGGTGTGAGCCACTGCACCTGGCCGGTATCAACTTTTCCTACCTGACTTGCAGAAACCTGCACAGCTTGGCCACTGCTGACCCCTCCAGCTTCATCACAGGCCAGAAGGCCCCTCCTCTTCCTCATGCAACCCCTTGAAGGTCCTGCTTCTGTCAAGGGCTCTACGCTTGCCAGTCCCACTGCCGTGCTGGTGCTCTGCACTGCGCTAGCTCTTCCTCAGCCTCCAGAGGCTGACCCATGCTGCATCCTCCTTAACCTCTGCCTCACAGCATCGTATATTTATTTATGTGATAGTTTGATGAATAGCCATCTCTCTGACCAGACTAGCATAGTGCTTTATATACACTAAGCATCACAATGTTTGTCAAATGGATCAATAGATGACTAAAAAATTAAACTGGGATTGTAAAGTGGGATTCTGGGGGTCTTCGACAACTTCATGGAAAATGCCTATTATGAATAAGCTACATAGGAATTTCAAAGTTTTTTGCCCAAAATAAACTATACTGACTTCTTATAACATGTCTGAACAGAACATATTGACTTTGTGTGATATAGCTAAAGCAATGTTTAAGGGAAAATTTATAGCATTAAATGCTTATATTAATAAAAGGAAATCAATGATCTATGCTTCCATCTTTAGAAACTAGAAAAAGAAACAAATTAAACTTAAAGCAGGCTGGGCGCGGTGGCTGACTTCTGCAATCCCAGCACTTTGGGAAGCCGAGGCGGGCAGATCACTTGAGGTCAGGAGTTCGAGACCAGCCATGCAAACATGGTGAAACCCTGTCTCTACCAATACAAAAAATTAGCTGGGTGTGGTGGCAGTGCATGCCTGTAATCCCAGCTACTGGGGAGGCTGAGGTAGGAGAATTGCTTGAACCTGGGAAGCGGAGGTTGCCGTGAACCGAGATTGTGCTGTTGCACTCCAGCCTGGGTGGCAGAGCGAGACTTTGTCTCAAAAATAAAAAACAAAAAACAACCTTAAAGGAAACAGGTGGAAGGAAACACTAAAGACAAGAGCAGAAGTCCATGAAATAGAAAATGGAAAAGCAATAGGAAAACATAATCAAGGAAACCAAAGTTGCTTCTATGAAAAGATTAATATAATTGACAAGGCTCTGATCAGACTGATCAAGAAAAAAAGAGACACAAATTACCAATATCAGAAATGAAAGAGGGGATATCATTACAGATCCTACAGATATTTAAAGGTTAATACAGAACATTATAGGCTGGGCGTGGTGATTCATACCTGTAATCCCAGTGCCCTGAGAGGACAAAGCAGGAGGATCACTTGGGAGGCCAGGAGTTTGAGACCAGCCTGGAAACATAGCAAGACCCTGTCTCTACAAAAAAAATTTTTTTTAATTAGCTGGGCTTGGTGGTTGTGCCTGTCATCCCAGCTACTCAGGAAGCTAAGGCAGGAGGATTACTTGATCCTGGGAGTTAGAGGCTACAGTGAGCTGTGATCGCACCACTGTACTCCAGCCTGGGTGACAGAGCAAGACCCTGTCTCAAAGAAA
Source organism: Homo sapiens (assembly GCF_000001405.40). Classification (NCBI taxonomy): domain Eukaryota; kingdom Metazoa; phylum Chordata; class Mammalia; order Primates; family Hominidae; genus Homo; species Homo sapiens. Next base: position 134,198,536 of record NC_000009.12, read on the forward strand.
AAGAAAAAAAAAAAAAAAAGAAAGTTGGTATTAAAACAATAAAACGATAGAAAATATTTGGAGAGTTTTAAGCAGGGGGATGATGCAGTCAGGTTTGTGACTTTTGGAAGGTTCATTCCAGCTCCCCTCCATAGAGTAGATAGGAGAGTTGCTGGAGCAAGGTGGGCAGAGTAGTTAGAAGCCACCTTAATCATGTAGGCAATGATGTGCATTAAGGAGCTGGTGCTGGCGCTGGTGCTGGTGGTGATGGCAGCTTCTGGAGGAAAGTCTGATGGGATAAACAGTGTAAAGTGATCACATCAACTAACGTAGGGACAGACTAGATTTGGGGGTGAGGGTTTGAGGTTTCTGGTTTCTGGTTTCTGTAATTAGGTAGATGATGAGATAGAGAACACTGCAAGAGGATTTCCTACAAAAACCAAGCCAACAGACAAATAGCTGGGCATGATTGTGTGGGCCTATAGTCCCAGCCACTTGGTAGGCTGAGGTGGGAGGATTGCTTAAGCCCAGGAGTTAGAGTCTGCAGTGAGCTATGATCGCACCACTGCACTCCAGCCTGGATGACAGAGAGAGACCTTGTCTCTAAAGAAATAAACAAAAAGAATGTTACAAACAATTTTATGTTCCCACATTTTACGACTTAGAAAAAATGGGCAAATTCCTTGAAAGACAGTTACCAAAGCTCATTCAAGAAAAAATAGATGGTACCATATAAATTAAAGAAATTAAATTTGTTGTTAAAAACCTAACAACAATACAAACTCTGGGCCTAGACGACTTTCCTTGTGAATTCTACCAATACTTAAGAAAGAATTAATGCCAACTCTACACTATCTCTTCCAGAAAATGGAAGAGGAGGGAACAATTACCAACCCTTTTTATGAGGCCAACATTACATTGATATCAAAACCAGACATTGCAAAAAAAAAAAAAAAAAAAAAAAGAAAAAGAAAGCTATAGAGCAATATTCCCCATGAGCAAAGACACGTAAATCCTCAATAAAATACCAGCAAATCAAATCCAGCAATATATGAAAAGGATAACACATCTGACCAATGAGGTTTATGCAAGGATGCAAGTCTGGTTCAACATTCAAAAAACAATCAGGGCTGGGTGCAGTGGCTCGCATCTGTAATTCCAGCACTGGGAGGCCAAGGTGGGTGGATCACTTGAACCCAGGAGTTGGAGACCAGTCTGGGCAACAGGCAAAACCGTGTCTCTATGAAAAATAAAAAAAATTAGATGGGCATGGTGATGCACACTTGTAATCCCAGTTACTCGGGAGGCTGAGGTGAGAGGATCACCTGAGCCCGAGGAGGTTGAGGCCGTAGTGAGCCACTGCACTCTAGCCTGGGCAACAGAACGAGACCCTGTCTCAATAATAATAATAATAATAATAATAATAATAATAATAATAATAATAACAATAATCAGACCAGGTATGGTGGCTATAACCCCAGCACTTTTAGGGGTTAAGGTGGGAGGATCACTTGAGACCAGGAGTTGGAGACTAGCCTGGGCAACAAAGTGAGACCCCTATCTCTACAAAAAATTAAAAAAATTAGCTGGGTGGGGGAGCACACCCATGGTCCTGGCTATATGGGAGGCTGAAGCAGGAGGATTGCTTGAGCTGAGGAGGTTGAGGCTGCAGTGAGCTGTGTTTGTGCCATTGCACTCCAGACTGGGTGACAGAGAGAGAGAGAGAGACCCTGTCTCAAAAAAAAAAAAGGAATTAATGTAATTCATCATACCAACAGATTAAAAAAGAAAAACCATATGATCATCTTAATAGATATTGAAAAAAGCATTTGACAAAATTCAACATCTACTCATGAAAAAAACCTCTCAGCAAACCAGTAAGAGAAAGGAGTTTCTTCAACCTCATAAAAGGCATCTACAAAAAACCTGCAGCTAATATCTAATTAATAATGAAATACTAAATATTTTCCAAGATCAGAAAGAAAGCAAAGGTATGCAGTGTCATTATTGTACTGGAAAGCCTAGCCAGTGGAATAAGGCCAGAAAAAGAAATAAAAGATATACAAATTGGAGAGGAAGAAATGAAACAGCTTCTATTTCCATTCAATATGATTATCTATATAGAAAATCTCAAAAAATCTATGAAAAAGTTATTAGAACTAATATTAGTGTGCCAGGCATGGTGGTGTGCACCTGTAGTCTCAGCTACTCAACAGGCTGGTGTGGGAAGATCATTTGAGCTCAGGTGTTTGAGACCAGTCTGGGCAATAAAGTAAGACCCTTTCTCTAATAATAATAATAAAAGTAGCACACTGTTTCTGGTCACCTTTGAGACTGGCTTACTCTGGGTCTGTTGCTCCAGACTCAGCTTTCTTAGACAGAGCTCATTTTGTCAAGTGCAGTGGCTCATGCCTGTAATACCAGCTACTTGAGAGACTGAAGTGGGAACTCCAGGAGTTTGAGGCTGCAGTGAGCTATGATTGCACCACTGTACTCCAGCCTGGGCAACAGTGACCCCATCTCTAAAAAACCCAAAAAACCAAGTGTAGCGATGTCATAAGATACAAGGTCAATATAAAAAGAAGTAATTATAATTTTGTGGACCAGAAATGAATCCTTTGAAATTGAAATTAGAAAGGAAACAATACCATTTACCATAGCACCAAAACCTGTAAAATGCTTAGGTATAAATTTAACAAAACATGTACAATGTCATTATGCTGAAACTGAAAAACACCAATGAAAGAAATCAAAGAAGACCTGAATGGAGAGATATACTATGTTCATGAATTGAAAGACTCAATATGGTTAAATTGTCAATTATTCTGAAATTTGGGATTTAATACAATCTCGATCAAAATCTCAGCAGGAGTGTTTATAGAAATCAACAAGCTGATTCTAAAATGTATATGGAAAGGCAATAGACTAGAAGAGCCAAAATATCTTTGAAAAAAGAACAAAACTTGGAGGGTTCTCACTGTCTGATTTGAAGAGTTACTTTAAAGCTATGATAATCAAGACAGTGCAGTGTTGGCAAAGGGTATACAAATAGATCAGTGGAACCAAAATACACTACCATGTATATATACTTAATTTATTTTCATCAAAGTTACAATATAACTCAATATAGGACCATCTTTTAAACAAATGATTCTGGAACAATTGGACATTTGTATGCAAAAAAAAAAATGAAATTTGACTCACACATTGCACCACATACAAAAATGAACTCAAAACACAACCTAGGCCGGGCACAGTGGCTCCCGCCTGTAATCCCAGCACTTTGGGAGGATCACCTGAGGTCAGGAGTTTGAGACCAGCCTGGCCAACATGAAGAAACCTTGTTTCTACTGAAAATATAAATATTAGCTGGGCATGGTGGCCCACGTCTGTAGTCTCAGCTACTTGGGAGGCTGAGGCAGCAGAATTGCTTGAACCCAGGAAGCGGAGGTTGCAGTGAGCCAATATCGTGCCACTGCACTACAACCTGGGCAACAGAGCAAGACTGTCTCAAAAAACAAGCAAACAAACAAAAAACAGAACGTAAACTAACTTTTAAATCTGAAACTATAAAACTTTTAGAAGAAAACAGAAAAAAATTTGTGGTTTTGGTTTTGGCAAAGATTTCTTATATCTGACAACTAAAACACAACCTGCTTAAAATTTGATAAATTAGACCTTATCAAAATTAAAAAAATTAATGAAAAGACAATTCGCAGATTTGGTGGAAACATTTCCAAAACACAATTCTGATAAAGAGTTTATAGCCAGGATATATGAAACACTCTCAAAACTCAATAATAAGTAAGCAACCAAAATAAAAAGTGGACAAAAGATATGGACACTTCATCAAAAGAATATTTATGGATACCAAATAAGGCCATAAAAATATGCTCAATGTAATTAGTCATTATGTAAATGCTGAGATATCACTATACAGCTGTTACAATGGCTTTTTTAAAACCTGACAATGACAAGTGTTGGTGAGAATGCAGAGCGACTGCAACTCTTGTACATTATTGATGCAAACACAAAATGGCATGGCTACTATGGAAACAGTTTGGCAGTTTCTCATAAAGTTAAACATATACTTATGATATAACCCGGCAATCCCACTCCTAGATATTTATTCAAGATAAATCACATGAAAATCTGTGGATGAATGTTTATAGCAGCATGATTTGTAATAGTCCCAAACTGGAAAAACAATTCAAATATTCTTTAAACCATGGTATGTCCATATAATAAAATACTACTCAGCAAGAAAATTGAATGAGCTATAGATAAATGCAAAACACAAGTGAATTTCAAGTGAATTATGCTAAGTAAAAGAAGCCAGGCCAGGTGTGGTGGCTCACTCCTGTAATCCTAGCACTTTGAGAGGTCAAGGCACGAGGATTGCTTGAGCCCAGGAGTTTGAGACCAGCCTGGGCAACATAGCGAGACCCTGTCTCTATTTTAATAGAAATAAATGATTTTTCAAAAAAGAAGCCAGACTCAAAAAGGCTGCATAGTTATAATTCCACTAAAATTACTTTCTAGAAAAGGCAAAACTATGGAACAGACAACAGATCAATGGCTGGGGGAATAAATTTACTGGGCTGGGGGAGTGAATTTATTACAAAAGGGTCTGGGGAATTTTGGGGAGCAATGGAAGTGTTCTATAGCTTGATTACAGTGGTGGTCACATGACTATTTCAGTTTGTTAAAACGTACAGAACTATACACTAAAAAAAGGTAAGTTATACTCTAGATAATTATACCTCAATAAAACTGACTTTAAAACAAGAATTTGGGAGAATTAACATCTTCATAATGTTGAGTTTTCTAAATTATGAACATGATATATGCTGCCCATTTATTTAGGTCTTAGTTTTCTCATAGTTTTGGTGAGGTTTGATTTTAAGTTTATGCTATCCTTGCAAAATAATTGAGGAGTATATCCTCTTTATTTTCTGGTAAAGTTTATGCAGGATTGGAATTACTGTAACTTGTACTTAAACATTTGGTACCGGTGAAGTCATCTAGACCTGAGGTTCTCTACTTAGGAAGTTTTTTTCTTTTAAAATTACTGATTAAATTCATGGAATGGTTATAGGACTACTTAGTTTTTCTATTTCTATTAGTTTTCTATTCCTTCTTGAGCTTGTGTCAATGAGTTATGTATTTGTTCTTAAGAATTTGCCCATTTTGTCCAATTTCATACAATTTTTGGATATATTGATATATTATTCATTTTTCAATAGATGTGAGACTTTATGTCATTATGGAACACAATGTTATTTTGAAGTGTTTGTCAGATTGCCATACAAAATCAGTTTCTTCCTCTACCATTTCTTCTTGTGTTTTAAAATGTTAGTTTGCTCATTTCGATTGGGAGGAGTTGAGGTTTTTCTTCATCTGGTTTTATATCGTTTGCTCCCTTTCTCTCCCTGATTAGTCTAGAATCAGGTATTAAGGTGGTGTTTCTGCAGTGCTGTGACATGGAGCACAAAGCAGATACGGTCCTGGAGGCAGAAGGCATCTTGGTGAGGCTTCTCATTTTGAGGTTGTGGCATCAGCCCTTCCCTGCTAACCCCACCACCTGCCTCCTCCATAGACTGCAGTGTCCCTAAACTATAACTTCAGCACCAAGGCTGCTGGGCTGTTTTCTTGCCCTCTTTCCCAAGCCTGTGTCCTGGCCCGCACTGGACTCCAGTCCCTGTTGCCCTTTGGGAGTGCTGAGTCCAGATCCTGCCACTCCCAACCTGGAGCCCTGTGGGCTGTGGTGCTCACCCTGCTCCTTCTGTTTCTGATTTGTGAGAGGCTTGTCTTGTTTTCAGCCCAGGCATATGTTCTGGGCCCCCTTGTTTATATTGCACTGATGGCTGCCTTGTGGTGGGGCAGTGGGTGTGAGCAGCTGTGCACCTGCAAGTGTTTTGATCAAAAATCCCTTTGTTTTGAAATGCAATTTGTTCTCTTTGTTGGTCTCAGACTCTCCAATCCAGAGTAGAGAGGTGGCCTTACCTTGACAAGCAAAGGCGCTTAAGAGGGTTTTCTGAGTAACAAAGCATCTTGCTTGCCCTGTAATGAATTCTGCCCCTGCCACCCTGGAATGCAGACATGGCTGTGGGTTTTTAAGCCACGTTTTTCTTTCCTTCTCCTAGATTTCTGTACTTACGCATTTCCACACATGTGACATTTCAAGATGGTGGTGCAGTGGAGTGGCCTCTCTTAGTCACAGGGCTTTTTGCTGGCCCTTCCCTGACTGCTAGTGTCCTCCTCAGCCCTCCTTCCCTGCAGCCTCCTTCCCTGCAACCTCCTTCCCTGCGACCTCCCTCACCCTTCCAGTTTCAGCTTAAATACGGCTCCCTCAGAGAAACCCCGAGCAGCCGGACCCTCTTTATACTCCTCTGCACTCTGTCTTTGCCTTCTAGGAGTTCGATGCCCATGTGGGCACCCTGGCCCATCATCCCAGATGGGCTGAATGAAGGACTTGACGTTTCTTTCCCACCTCCCCAGGCCTGCTTCCGTCCCAACACTGCTCCTGTCACAGAGAAAGGACCAGAATAAGACTGACTCTATCCCCTGTCCCCATCGCTGGGCATCTGATCTTCTCCGCGCCCAGTCCAAGGATCGTCTGCATGCCTTCCCTTCTCCCTCTCCCTCTCTGAAGGGAGCGAAGCAGCTCAAATTCGGTATGTGCCCTGTCTCTTTGAGAGGTCCAGTGTGACTTCCTGTTTGAAGATCTTCTAAGTTTATGGAATTTTAGAAACGCTCTGCTAATAAGGCAGAAGTGACCTTTGACCTCCCCTCCCCGCTTCCATCCTGTAACAGGAAGCCAGTGATTCCTTTCTGCCCCACCTACCAGAGGGGCAAGAAAACATCCCTGGGAGGAAGGCCGCTGCCTTTTGCTCTTCATCTTCTATCTGGAAAGTTCCGTGCCCTCTTCCCTGGGGGGATGAGTAAGACGGCACACAGGGCTTGGGAATTTTTAATAAGGGCCAGAGCTCTGCAGGGATGCTTGATGGGGGTGCTCGTTTTCGAGGTGGGGAGGCTGGAGGAGAGGCAGATGCTTCCAGGAGTAACTGTCTGGTTACCAGACTGCAAGACCCACGAAGCCCAATTCTCCACCCAGGGAGGGGCGGTGGGGAAGAGGCCATCAATTTAAGACTTTTATTTACCTTGAACTACTCAGCCAAGCAGACACATTATTTAGGAACTAGAATAAAAAGCCATTCACTTTACTTCAATTGACCATTTAGTTCAATTTGTGTGTTACTGCAGGTAATTACTCCAGTAATAACACGCGGTAATCGGCGCTGATTGGGAGCCGGCCCCGGCTCTGTATTAATACCGCGTGCCATATATACTAATTATCCGTGTGTTACCATGGTTATTTGCATGGACGCCGTGTTAACGACACCCTGGAAACACAAAGCAATAGCGAGTTTTGAATTAAATCTTTGTGTTCTCTTAGAGCTAAAAGTGCATTTCACATAAAATAATCATGAATAAAATGAGATCATCTTGGCGGAGTTGCCAGGAAGCTGATTAACTGAACTGCGTAAATGTGACTTTATCCCACTCAAGAATTAGAGCCTCCCAAACGTTGTCGGGGTTGCTAGGCAACCCCCCGAGATGACATCACTCACACAAGCCACGCTGCGGCGATGTCATCTCTACATATTTATAGCGCCTCTGCAGAGAGGGTGTGCATTATGGAAATGACATGATTTTTCTCCCGGTTGATGGGTATGAATGGCCGTCAGACCTCTGAGGGCTGTGGAGAAAGAGAATTTGGGAATACCTGTGTGACACTTTCCTGGGGTGTGACAGATGCTTTATTTCCACCAGGTTACCCTAATGGGTCCAAATGAAAAGGCGTGTGTCACAGCTGATGAGTCGTCTGAGAGCTTGGTCAGTGGAGGCCGCCATCTTCCTGCCTGTGCACAGCAGCTGCACATGTGCCCAGGTCTCCCAGGAGACCTGGGACGCTCCCCCAGCTGGGGAGAGCCCCCACCCCTGCACTACGATGGGCCCCGGCTCCCTGCTCTGGCCCTGAACTCATACCAGGGGAAAACCCAAAGCAGGGACACAGCTGGCTTGAGTGATGCTGAGCACCCCGTCATGGGAGACATTCGAGAAGAAGCTGGATGACTAGAGCAGAGAGGAAGGGGAGGGTGGGAGGTCGAAGGTTAGGGCTCTGCATTCGTGTCTCAGTGCCCACCCTGAGCCAGGCTGGACACACAGCTGAGGCCTCTGAAGAGTTTGGGACCATGAGGAGTGAGGCTTACCAGGGGCATGTGGAGAAGGCCTACGCAGTGCCTGAGGATGAGGCAGTGCTTCCTACAGGGGCTTGAGAAAGGGCATGGCTGGAGCTCAGGCCTCCTGAGCCGGAGAGGGACTCGGGATTTGCTGGGGAGCTGCAGCTCGGTCTTCCCTGAACCCCAGCCTCCTCTGGCTGCAGCATGAAGAGGGATTAGGGGTAGGGATAAGAATCAAAAGGCAGCCGGGGGGAAATCTAAGTTTGGGGTCAGGATGGCTTCAGAGCAGCTCTCATCCGCCCTGTCAACTTCCCTGTGTGCGGGCTCATTCCTGGCCACCCCCAGCCAAGCTGGCCCGCCAACCCCACAACACCCCACAGCTATTTCTCTTTATAGACTCCTCTTCCTCAGTCCCTGTAGAAACGAATCTGGCATAAAAGAAGTCTCGCCAAGGTCTCCAGCAACCTCTGTGTTGCCAAACCTACTCTATTCTCCAGCAGCCCTGTACTGCTTTCTTCTGGTGCCTTCTGGGGGCCCCCACCCCATCAGTCCTCCCCACGTGTCCTCCCCACCTGTCCTCTCCACCCGTCTCCCCCTCCGTCCTCCCCACCTGTCCTCCTCACCTGTCCTCCCTACTGGTCCTCCCCCCATCCTCCCCACCTGTCCTCCCCACCTGTCCTCCCCATCGGTCCTCCGTACCAGTCCTCCCCCATCCTCTCCAGCTGTCCTCCCCACGTGTCCTCCCCACCTGTCCTCTCCACCCGTCTCCCCCTCCGTCCTCCCCACCTGTCCTCCTCACCTGTCCTCCCTACTGGTCCTCCCCCCATCCTCCCCACCTGTCCTCCCCACCTGTCCTCCCCACCGGTCCTCCGTACCAGTCCTCCCCCATCCTCTCCAGCTGTCCTCCCCACGTGTCCTCCCCACCTGTCCTCTCCACCCGTCTCCCCCTCCGTCCTCCCCACCTGTCCTCCTCACCTGTCCTCCCTACTGGTCCTCCCCCCATCCTCTCCACCTGTCCTCCCCACCTGTCCTCCCCACCTGTCCTCCCCACCGGTCCTCCGTACCGGTCCTCCCCCCATCCTCTCCAGCTGTCCTCCCCACCTGTCCTCTCCACCTGTCCTCCCCACCTGTCCTCCCTACCTACCTGTCTTCTCCACCGATCCTCCCCACCATCCTCCCCACCTGTCCTCCCCACTGGTCCTCCCTACCGGTCCTCCCACTACATAATGGGCCACACCTTCTCAGTGTCTCTCCATGGCTCTTTTGCCTTTTCCTCACCCAGGAGGGCCTGGGTTAAGCCCCATCTACACCCCTCCCCAGGATCCTCCCAGTCCAGTGCCTTTATTTTATTTATTTATATTTTTTATTTTTATTTTTTTGAGACAAAGTCTCACTCTGTTGCCCAGACTGGAGTGCAATGTCGCAATCTCAGCTCACTGCAACCTCCGCCTCGCAGGTTCAAGTGATTCTCCTGCCTCAGCCTCCCAAGAAGCTGGGATTACAGATGTGTGCCACCACGCCTGGCTAATTTTTGTATTTTTAGTAGAGATGAGGTTTCACCATGTTGGCCAGGCTGGTCTCAAACTCCTGACCTCAGGTGAACCGCCCGCCTTGGCCTCCTGAAGTGCTGGGATTACAGGCGTGAGCCACTGTGCCCGGCCGACAGTCCAGTCCCTTTAAATGCCATTCCTATGGTGATAGCCCCACATGCGTCTACCCAGCTCTGACCTCTCTGATCTCCATCCTGCGATCCTCTGACCTCCACCCTGCGATCCAGATGTTTGTCCGCCCACTCAGCACCTCAGCGTCTCAACAGCTTACAGGCTGAATCGGACAATTGCCAACAGCTCACAGCAGCACGTCCATGCCGGAAACCTGACCTCCCCCGTCTTCCCATTCCTTAAATAGCCCCCATTCTCCATCTGGCTCTGCCAACCCCGTGACACCCTCCTGGGCACCCTGCCACACTGTGTTCTGCCAGGTTCCCTGGGTCCAGCGTGTAGCTCATTCCCACCCCAGGGCCTTTGTACTCGCCATTCCCTAACCTGTAATGCCCGCCCTGCACCGAGCTATTCTCAGGGTCCCCACCCTCACTGTATTCAGCCTCAGCTCATGTGTCCCCTCCTCAGGGTCCTGCCCTCCCCCACACCTGCTCCCCACTGTTCCCAGTCCCTTACTTGTTCGATTTGCTGTGTAGAAACTATATTCATGTTCACTAATGAGTTGTCAGTTTCCCTTCCTGGAATTGGAAGCTCCACTAAACCAGTGGAGCATTGAGCATCAAAAGAGGTCTCACCAAGGTCTCCAGTGACCTCTGTGTTGCCAAACCCACTCCATTCTCGAGGGGCACTGTACTGCCTTCTCCTCATCCCTTCCGGGAGCAACCCCTCCCCACCACCACTGCCGTCCTCCCAACCTGTCTTCCCAACACACCAGGGGCCGCACGATGAACAAGATGGTGCTCCATCTTGTTTACGTCTAGGTTCAAGGTGAGTTGTTGAATGAGTGAGAAACTGGAGCTGGTGGACACAGGTGAGACATCCAGCGTGGCTTGGGGACATTTGGGGGACGGCAACGTGTTGGGACATTGTCTCCTGAAGCAGGACAAAGACCCTTTGTCCCCAGCTTTGGTGAGATGATTCGAGTGCTTAGTGACTCAGTGACTTACCTGAGAGTTGGCGGGTCAGGGGGTGGCGCTGTCACTGGCACAGGAAAGGAGGACGGTGTAGGGCATGAGGAGTGGCCTCTGCGTCCACGGAGCCTGTGCTTTCCGACTGCAGGAAGAGCGACGCAGAGCTGAGGCGTGGGCAAGAGCTCCTGAGGCTGGGCTGGGTGGGCATTCCCTGGGAAAGAACTTTCTGAGCTGGGGATGTGAAGGATGCACCACAAGGGGTGGGTCCTGGGCCCTGGAAGCCTCCAGGGGAAACGTCCCTGTCCCTGTCCCTGAGCTGAGGCCCAGCTGCCTGGGAGCTCAGGGAGACTGGCTACCCAGCATGCTGCCTGGAGGAGGAGTGGCAGGGCTGCCTTGTGGGGCTGGGGGCTCAGCCAAGCATGCGTGATGGCTGCAGAGAATTTCTACTGGTCCCCTTCCAGGATTGGGTCTCCCGGCGTGGGTTTTGAGAAAAACGAATCTGACTCTGGGGCTCAGGCCCAAGGTGTCAGGGCTCACGGCCCCGTACAGCGGGGCGCCCGGGGCTGAGGATTGTTTGGTGGGGGGTGCACTGATCAGTTCTTGTCCCCTGGTGACTGTGCCCCTGGCCAGCGACCTGGCCTCCCTGAGCCCTGGAGTAGGGTCTCACTTCAAATGCTGGCCGGAGCCTGCTGCCACTGAGTGCTTTAAGCAGCAGTCAGAGAGGTGGGGGCGGGGCACAGAGGCAGGGAAGACCCCCACTCGATGTATGCCAGGGTGCACACTAATGGGCCTAGAGACGAGGATCCCAGGTTCCCATGGACAAAATGGTGGCCATCTCCTGGCGCCCCTGAGCTGCCGGCAGTGGAGACGGTGGGTGGCCCCTACACCAGCCTTTCTTCATGAGGCATTTCCAGTCTCTCCTGCCCTTGAGCAAGTTCCAGTGAACACGTGTTGCTTGCTAGGACCTGGATCCCCTGGTCCTAACTCTAACCCTAACCCTAACCCTAACCCTACAGCAAGTCCAGCCCAAGTCTAGTCCAAGCCCAGGGAGCCATCTGAGGACTAACAGAGTGGCCAATTCTTACAGACACTCAAGGAAACCAACCACATCTCCAGATGCCGACTGCAATCGCCAGGACTGCCTAAAATGAAGGACATTTACACACTCGGAGAGGGGCAGCTGCGTGGACTCAGGGTGCAGAACTGCTCATCAAACTTATTGTTTGAGCATCGGCGGGGGAAGACTTTGTCATCAACAGAGCCCAGGCTGGGGAGGGGGCTTGTGAGTCCCTGGTACAAACCTCATCTCCGAGAGGCCCCGGGAATGGAGGCTGGTGGCTGGGGTTCCAGGCTGTCCGCTGTGACCATGGCCCTGGCGCTGAAGGGCCACAGCCCCCAGGGTGGCCCCAGTTGCTGCCTCCGCCGCAGAGGCTCCCCAGCAGCCAGAATGAGCACCCCCAGTGGATTTGGAAACCGAGTCTCAGTGCCCTCCCAGTTTCTTCATCATGTCACCCATGAACACATTGCAATCATCATTCATGGGGCCAAAATGCTCTGCTGGGGTCAAAGCAGCCCCAGCAAATGCTGACTCTCCGCTTTCCTTTGTCTCCTTTAGACACAGCCAGAACACTCTCTGCCAACTCTCTTCTGAAAACCTGTTTGGGAAATTATTTGGCAAGGGAAGTCTTGGCACACACTGGGGGACAAGCAGGGCGAAGAGCTCAGAACCTCGGCTCCCAGGTCCACAGCAACTGGGTGTGTTACTCGGGCCCTGGACCTCCCACACCAGTGTGGCAGGGTCTCTACGCACTAGAGGGGCCCCCGAGGGACCTCTCCTGGCCACGTTGGAGCCAGTTCGTCCCGCTGGTTGGAGATTTCCAGTTCCCCTCTGAGTTCTGGCCCATCAGCCTTTCTGCCACAAACCAACCCAACCACGTGGACGGTGTGTGGCCAACTAGGCCGCAGCTCCACGGAGGCCTCCCTTGCTGGGGGTGCTGGGGCTGGAGCTGCCTGAACTTGGCAGGGCTAGGCCCATGGGGCCCTATGGATTAGCAGAAGTGAGCCAGAGCCGCTGCCCAGCGGCCTCCAAGGCTGCAGGGGGTGGGGGGCTGAGACTCGGGTTGGTGGCTGGAGAGAAGTCCAGGCGGTGGAGCCGGGAGCCAGGGGCTCACCCTTCTCCTCAGGAGGAGAGCTCGGGTGGCTTGTGCCGAGAGGTGGGGTGCTGGGGCATTCCCTGAGCTCCATGCCACTGCCTTACTTATTGTGCCTCACTGAAAACATACCACATCCTCGTAGCATAGGCACCCATTTTACAGATGGGGAAACTGAGGCCAAGAGATGCCATCACTTATGAGCTGCTCATCAGCAGAGTCTGGCCTCCAGATCTAACGCCTCCTCCCTGGCCTTTTAGCTGCTGTGGAGAAAGAAGGCAGAGGGTAGCCCACAGGGGAGGCCCCAAGAGAGGAGTGATGGCGACTCAGGGCTGGGAGATGGGGCTGCCATTGGAGGCACCCTGGAGTGGAAAGGAGGGTTGAGGTCAGAACGGGGAGGGTGTAAGTCTCTCCCACCCTCCCTGCCCCCCTGCACCTGAGGCTTGCTCTTCCCTGCTCCTACCCCCAAGAGCTTCACCCAAGCCTTGCACTCCTGCCCTCACTGGCTTCATACCCCAAGTCCACCTGGCTGGGGTTGTGGAGGAGGCCACATGGCACGGCCACTGTGGGCAGCAATGTCATTGTCCTTCCAGGACCCTTAGAAGCCACAATCCCACTGCCCTCTGGCCTGGCAAGGGTGTGACTGCCCCCAGCCCCTGCAAAGGGGATGACATGTCTCATTTGTTGCTGTTGGCACCATGGCAGGAATTGTCAAGGGTGACTTATTCAGGACCAAATGCACAGCCCAGTGGATGCTGCCAAGACCTTGCATTCATCTGCTGATTGGAGGCGGTGGCGTTTAAGACCCACTTTATAAATCACGCCTGTGTGCACATGGGGGATGATTAAAAACCCCACAGGGCTTTGAACAACCATGAATACATAGGGCAAGGGCAGCTGGTGCCCTTGCAGATTGGTGGAGGATGTGCCCTCTGGGGTGGGCGAGGGGCAGTGTTTGCAGCTGTAATAGTCTTCAGGGGCTTTCTGTCCTATGACCTTTGTTGAGCACCTACTATGTGTCAGGTATCACGAGAGCCAGTGTGGGGTGGTGTCAAAACCTGGGGCTCAAACTCCAGGGCTGCCTCTAGCTCCCAAGTAATCAAACTCAAGTAATTTCACCTGTTTGGGCCTCATTCTCCTAACCAAGGGAGACCATCTGACTCACCAGTAGGAGTTATGAGGGGAGGTGTAGATAGAGCAGCCGGCTCAGCCAGGCCCTGGGGAGCATGTGGTAAAGGGAATTCCCTCACCTCCTGGCCCCCATTTCCTCCCTTCTTGGGCCAGTGGAGCATGTGAGAACCTGGTCTCTGCCTCAACTACAGGGTGGTCCCTCTGCAACTCCAGGAGTGGCCTGGTAGGTCAGCATTTTTCACTACCTACTGCATGCAGGTTGTGTGCAACATGCTGGGAACAAGAACGAGGAGGATACACAGATAAGGGTTCTAGGGCTCATCGTCTCTGGGGACAGGGATTGAACCATCCAAGCCTTCTTGTAGAAGTGAGGGTGTCTGTGGTACTGAGTGAGGGGCCCCTGAGGGGATAAGGAGGGACATGGGATGTGAGTAGTGGTAGACAGGGCCAGGTGGGGTGCCAATTTAACCCTTCATGCCTCAATATTCCCATCATGGAAAAGGGACCTTTCGTCACTTTCTAAAAAGGAACAGGAAGTAGTAGGAAAACCAGAAAGTGGAAGGTGGGACCTGTCTGACTTCAGGTCAGACAGTAGCTCGGCTGCCTCTGCCTCCCCTAGTGGCATCTGAGGGCGTCAGTGGAGTGCTGCTGTGTGTCCTCTGTCCACATGGCCCCTGCTGCTGGGCTGTCACTTGGCCCCTGCTGCTGGGCTGTCACTCAGCCCCTGCTGAGTGGGGTTGCTGTGAGAATTACAATATTGAAAAGCTTGTCCTCTGGGAAGAGCATTGTGCCCACTGGCTATTACCAGTGTGCATTTTGTTTTCCCTCATCCTGACCTCAGAGTGGGGCTGCCTGTTCTGACCTCAGAGTGGGGCTGCCTGCTCCTGCCTGCCCAGGATGCTGATAAGGGGACACTCGGCTCAGGGAGTGGAAGCTTGGCCTGGAGGTTCCCAAGACTGGGACAAGAGGGTCTGATCCATCTGGGGAGGGGCCCTTCCTTCCAGAATCCCAGGGGAGGTCCAGGAGGGGCCAGTGGAGAACAGAGCAGAGCCAAGAGAGAGCAAAGGTTCCCAGGCAGTTTCCCTCAGGGAGCCCACCTGGTTTCCAGCTGGCTCCATCCACTGGTTCTGGACTATGTGGGCGGGAGGAGCCCAACAGAAGGGGCTCAGGCTGGGAGAAGACTCAGCCCCGGGACAGAATCCTAGGCCTGGGGGAGGGGAAGCAGTGACAGGGCCATCCTATCTGAATTCTCCCCACCCTCATCTCCTAGGTCTGCTGGGCAATGCCTCCTGCACCTCTGGGGAGGGGTGGGGCAGTACAGGAAGACCCCTCTCCCAACTTGGGAGAGTGATGGGCAGCCCCCAGCCCCGCCCCATATCCGTCAGCTCTTGGTTCAAGGCTGGGGTCAGCCTGAGGTCGCAATGCCTTTGTGTGTGTCTGTGAGGGGGTGGCCCCTCTGTGGGCCTTTCACGTGGCTGTAGACCCTGCTGGCTTTTCAGCCAGGGCCCTGGAGGGAAGGAGGGCTGTGAGCCCCCAGATGCTCCGACACGGCCCAGGCACTATTCATCAGAGCCGATTTGTCAAACGGGTTTGGAGGCAGCTGCAGACAGTGAGGGGAGGGCTGGCCTCATGGGCTCTGCCTGGGCAGGTGCTGGCCGAGAAGTGCCAGCCCCAGGAGCTGAGCAGGGTTTTGGGGTGGACAAGGTTTCTTGACTTTGGACTTGGGACACGTGGGAGAAGGGTCCTGGCCTGGCTGTCTTTACACAAGAGCCTGGGGCTTGAGTAGCAGAGGGGAGGCCCGCCAGGGGCTGTCCCATCCTGTGCAGTGTGGCCTGGGGTGAGTCACCTCGGTTTCCATTGGAAGAGGGGCTGCGTGATAGCCCAACAGCAGGGGCCTTGTGGACAGGGGACACACAGCAGTGCTCCATTGACGCCCTCAGATGCCACTAGGGGAGGCGGAGGTGGCTGAGCTACTGGAGATGGGGAGACTGAGGCCCCAGTGGGAGCTCAGGTGGGGGGGGTCCCTTTGTCCTGTGAGAGCCCCTCCCCTCCCCAGCTGAGGCCCCAGCCTCCTTATCACAGGTTGTACCCAGGGTCACCTGGGGTGGGGATTTCTTTGTCCCTTTGGGGTCCTCAGGCTCTGTTGTCAGGGAGCCAGCATGGACGGATGGCCCGTCGTAGGGGGCAGGTGGCCTGAAGCCAGTGAGGACAGACAGACGGACAGCAGCACACCAGAGCTCCTGCCCAGCCACCCTGCCCTCGTGCCAGCCTCCCTCACTTCCCTAACTCCTGATTTTTCATCAAAACAGCACACAGGCTTTCAGCCTGTCCAAGGTCACGGGGCTGCAAGGGGAGCTGAATGAGGCCATTACATTGGCTTCTAATGTCCCTGTGGCCGCAGCTCAAAAGCTGCCTCGATCAAGCACCCGGGACATTCCAATTTCCGCCTGTCCCGAAGCGATCGTATCAGGGCCTGAGTGATCTCCTCGCTGGCGGGCAGCGGAGATGCAAGGGCAGGCAGTCGGCCAGGAGCCCCCACCCACAAGGCCACCCCTGAGCCCAGCCATCCCCTCCCTCGGGAACAAAGGGAGTCTCGGGCCATGGCCGACAGGGCTGAGAAACAGCTGCATGCTGCCCGTAATCGTCTCCCTGAGTCCCACTCAGGCCCTGTGCTGGGGTTGGGCTCAGCTCATCACTAGCTGGCACCCTGTCATTCCATTCTTTTTCCCCTGGAGGGGCTGGGGGAAGGCAGGAGCAGCCCTCACATGCCACCCATGTGGGGAGGCGAGGGGGCTCAACGGCTCAGGGGCTCAGAGGGGCAGCAGCCCTCCTCGGGCGTCCTCAAGACCGCAGGCCTCTGTCACTCCCTTATAAACGGCCCAGGGTTCTAGGGAGTTGGCTGCAGCTGGGCCTCATAGCAGCCCCCAGCCTGCCAACTTTGGGCAGGAGCTTGGAGCCAGATGGCCTGGGGTTGAGAATGTGCTGGTGCCTGGGGGTCCCTGAGCCTCACCCCCGGGGATCTCCATGATCGCCCGGATGTCAGCGCACAGCCGCTCATTTGTAAAGATCTTTGTTCCCGAGCTGGTGGCTGTGGGATGAGAAACCAGTTTTTAGAACCTGACTAAGCAAAAACAGGAAACAACCCAGATGTCCCTCAGCTGGGGCTGAATAAACAGGCTGAGGCCCACCCCTGCAATGGAATACTACTCGGTGACAAAAAGGCGTGCATCGCCGGAGCTGCCCCGCTGATGCTGCCTCCCGAGGCTGTGCTAGTCGGGTTCTGCTGTCGGCACAGAGCTCAGGCTGCTGTTGCCAGGGCCGTGGGGCTCCTTGTGGGGATGGAGTGTGCTATATCTTGATTATGGTCACAGTTACGTGACCGCATGCATTGGTCAAACCTCCCAGAGCTGTGGATGAAGAAGCGGCGTTTTCCTGTATGTAATGTGCTGTATGTAAATAAAACACTGGAAAGGGCTCTTTCTTTGCACGCGACACAGACAGCAGCCTGCAACGGGCCCAGCTGGGCTCTGCTGAGAAAGCAGAGGCGGCTCCACGCTCACCGTGACAGCCGGGAGAGGACCTCACGCCGTTTGTCCCTTCATCCCTCGCTGGGCCTGGAGCCCAGGAAGGGCTCTCAGGATGGGGGTCTTCTCTCACAGGCCTGGCTGCCCGTGGACAACAGTGGGGCCCTCCCCAGCACTTGCCTGGCCTGGGGGAGAGTGGCCAGCGGGGCGGGCCTCGAGGGGGGACTGGGAGGTGTCCTTGGGCTGAAAGGCAGGACTCTTGTCAGGAGGAGCCCTGCTTCCATTGACATAACAGCTGGGGAAGTGTCACCAAACTCACAAACAAGCCAACACCAAAAAGGTTAAGCCATGTGGGGGAGGGCGAACAGAGGGCGAGGAGTGGCACCTCAGAGCCGCTCAGCCCCTCGGCTTCTCTCTCGTTCTAGCCAGATGCCTTCAAAGGTCGTTGGCTAAGTAAGCATTGGGACTCCCATTTCCTCCTGCACGGCAGCAACAGAGATTCCAGGACTGCTCCGGAGAAGGGCCGGCTCCCTCCTTTCCTGCAGACTGGCTCCCAGCCTCTCCCCCAGGGCCTCCCACAGCCCTCTGCGGGAATTACCTGCAGGTAAAGCAGCCTCTATGTGTCCTCTCCTCCCTGAGAATCTCGGGCCTTTGCCATGGCCCTGGTAACACACAACTACTACGTACGCTGGGGCCCTATTATCCTATTGGCCAATTATCCTATCGGCCACATTAGATTGGCCACCTGTAACTGAGTTACTTTCCCTGACAACGGAGGAATGGGGAGCCCCGGGTAGGCTGTCCCAAGGAGGCGCAGGCTTTCAGCTCCTATACCCTTCAGGTCAGGAGAACTGGAGGGAGAATGAAGGAATGAAGGCAGCCATTCCCAATGTCTGTGGATGGCTTTGGGCCGTCTCATCATTCCCATTTCGCTGATGAGAAAACGGAGGCTGAGAGCGCCCAGATAACCTCCTTGATGGGACTGAATGCATCCGGCCCGGGGACTCCTAACCTCAGCTGCTCTGGAGAATGCCCCCAGCCCAACCCAGGCTGCTCCTGGACCACATATATCAGTATCCTGGGGTGCAGCCTGGGCACCAGCATTTTGTAATGCTCCCAGGTGAGGGGCATCCTGGGCCACTGACGACCCCTCATCCTCACCCTCCTCAGGCCAGGGGCACTCCCTGTACCATCTGAAAAGAAAATCATAGCTGAGAGATAACTCACCTCACACACAATTTTGCAAGAGTCAATATAACGCCCTGTTATATGGAGGAGGAATTAAAGGGAAATTGTATGATAAAATCATATGTTTTTCAATATGTAAAGGCCTGGCTCTGTCTCCAAGGGGAGCCCAGAAGCCCCCCCGAGGCATGCCTGTGTCATCTTATCCCCGTGCCAGCCCCCATGGCTGATGCGGACGGGCCAGGCCTGGCGTTCCAGACTCCAGCAGCTGAGCATGTACCTGTGATGTGACTTTCCCAGGTGGTCAAGTTCCAAACGCAGCAACGTGTCCTCCCTTCAATGGACACAGGAGATGCTTTCCTGGAAAAGCCAGCGAGGATTAACTGTGCAGCAAAGATCCCCAGGATATATTTTCTAAGGTTCTAGCTCAGGTAATTATAAGCAGCCTCTTTGCTTACCTGAACGTCTGGCAAGACCAGGGACAGAGTTACCTGCAGGGCTGGCCTGTGTATTTACTGAAGGTCATTGTGACAACTCAAAACAGCCCTTCCTGAAGTTCCAAAATGCCCCTTGGGAGGGGAGCCACCTAGTGTTCAGCCATTTTGATGTGTCCTGGTGACAACAGACACTCTGGGGACAGGAGGAGCTTGCAGGAGGGTTACTTGCTGCAGGGCCTGGTGGGCCACCCATGTAAAGCTTGCAGCCATCAGTGTCTGGAGGGCTGGAGAGGGGTCAGGGTGGCAGGGACATCCCACAGAGAGGCCAGGGTGGGACCAGTGTGAGGAGAGAGGCAGAAATGATGTTTTAATGCAATGTTTTAAATAAAGTTAATGCAAAATGAATGCAAGATATCTATGAGGAAGGAAATATTGAAGTTTTGGAGGAAAAGGGTCGGTGGTCCTGACGTTCCCTTTTGCCCCAGGCTCTGGGGCCAGGCAGGGCGCTGCCGGACACTGGTCTCTGATGGCCTCTCTCCATGGTAGAGGCCTCCTTGGCTCAGGGTGGTGGAAACCCGGTCTTCTGTGCATCTGCAAGATCACATCTGGGTGATCAGTAGCTCCCCACAGATGGCTGCAGGGCTGTGGGGCTTGGGCAGAGCCCTCACAAGGTGGCTGTGCTAGGCTGGGTGTGGCTGACCCACTTGGGGTGCTTTGCAGCCTTGAGGCCCCTTCAGGCAGGCACAGAGGTGGGAGCCACTGGAGGGTGCCCTGTGGGGCACAGGTGTCAGGCGGTCTGGGCTGGCAGTTCTCAGCCCAGCCGGACACATGAGGCTGGTTCTTTTTTTTTTTTTGAGACAGAGTCTCACTCTGTCGCCCAGGCTGGAGTGCAGTGGTGCAATCTCCACTCACTGCAAGCTCGGCTCCTGGGTTCACGCCATTCTCCTGCCTCAGCCTCCCGAGTAGCTGGGACTGCAGGCGCCCACCACCACACCTGGCTAATTTGTTGTATTTTTAGTAGAGACGGGGTTTCACCGTGTTAGCTGGGATCGTCTCGATCTCCTGACCTCGTGATCCGCCCGCCTCGGCCTCCCAAAGTGCTGGGATTACAGGCGTGAGCCACGGCGCCCGGCCCACTGGGATTGGTTCTAAGCATCCTCTGCCCGGGCCACACTCAGGCCAGTAAAATCCCAGTCTCTGGGGGTGGTGTCTGGGCAGGAATGTTTTAGAGTCTCTCCCCAGGTGACTCTACCATTCAGCAAGGATTGAGAGCCCTTGGGACCCACCTGACCTGCCTGCCTGAGTTTGGGTGACCATGCTTCTGTGTGGGCGGTGCCACTGCTGCCTGTCCCTTTCTCGGAGAGGCCTCACGGCCGAGGCGTGCGTTCTTTTTTCCCGGCACCGTCACCACCCGTGTTGTCCTCACTTGAAAGGTGGCCATTTGAGATCTACAGGACCGTGCCTAGTTCACAGATGGGGCGGCCACTAACATTCTTACGGTCTTCACCTTGCGCTAGAACTTTCCAGGTGTGTTCTTAAAGCTCTCAGGGGAGCCCTGGGCTGTCAGCACTCTCCTATTGCCCCATTTGACAGACCTGGAAGCCGAGGGGCAGAGGGCCCAAGTCTCTCGGCCCAGTCCCTGGCAGGACGAGGAGAGAGGGAGCTGGAACCCGGGTCTCCACACTCGCTCCAGCCCCTGCCCCACGTTCTCTCCCTTCAGGGTGAGACCTTTCTGTGCCCTTTCTACGTCACCTGGAGCCCGTGACGCCCGCTCATCTGTCTGGCTGGAATCGCCGCCTGGCCCCTCACCACGGTTATTGCCTTTCGTGCCGAGTTGCCCGGGTTTGCTGTGTTATTGGCTCGTTTTTCATTCTGCATCTGCAGTAGCCAGACTTGGAGATGAAAAGCATGTGGCGCCTAACCATGATGAAAGAGGGGCGCCTGCGAGTGCCTGAGCGTCTGAAAAGGACCTTTTAGAGGCGGAGGAGCAGAGGAGGAGAGTGACTGCGGGCTCAGCTGGCCCCGTGGCCCCGTGGCCCCGTGGTCTGGATGGCGTGGCTGGAGTCTGGCCTCTCAGAGCCGAGGCTTCCCGAGCTGTGAGGCGAGAGAGAGAGAGAGATTCACCTTGCAGAGTTCTACGGCGCGGCACGGAGCGGCCATTCCATAAGCATCGTTGCCGTAGCTGTAATATGTTATCACTATAACGTATATCTATGAGTCATAAAATAATAGAACTATTTTATTTTGGAGATCTCTTAGAAAACATAAACAGGAGAAAGAACCATGAAATGGGTGACTTGAGAATAGCTTCCGCTCCGATATTCAATTACCCTTCCCGCTCTCTCCCCCTCTCTCTCCTTCTGCAATTTGATTATTTCGGGGCCCACAATGCACCTGTGCCAACATCCCTGGGCCTCTCCTGAGGGCGCACACGAGTGAAATAAACAGGCCTTGTCTGCGCCCTCTCTCTTTGGGAGTGTCGTGGGTATGGAGACCCCCTACAAAGTCATTTTATCTCTCAGGTTCGTGGGTGAGCAGGAGCGTTGGGGACACAGTGCCAGTCTGTGTACCCTGGTGGTGTTTTCCTCGTTCCGAGAGATTAAGTAACACGCACCAGGTTACAGAACAACCGAGGGGCAGGGCTAGGCTTCTAACTCAGGTGTCTGGAACACAGTGTTTTCCATTTCAATATTCAGTCGTCATTCAACAAACAGTGATCACATGGGTTCCAGGGCGCTATGCGTGGGGGGCTGGGTGAGTAAGAACCCGGTCCCATGGCAGCCGCATTGTGGTGGGAGAGTGAGAAAATAAACATAGGCCAGGCAAAGGCCCAGGATAACTTCAACGCCACCGAGGGCTTTGGGAAGAGGCCCCAAGGGGATGTGTCAATGGCGATGGGGTCTGATACGCAGGGTGGGCAGCAGAGGGCTCCGGGGGAAGGCAGGGCCGCAGACACCTGCTGCTGTCTCGACAGCTTGTGAAGTTTCCATGTGGGCTCATGATTTGGGGAAATTTGTCCCTTGTTGTAGCTACAGATGAGAATAGGATGAGGGTGCCAGCTATTGGTCAGTTTGCCACTGGCCACCGTCTAGCCCTGCCCTTCAGTGGCTAGACCCTCACCAGAGACTTGGGTGCCAGGGACCCATGAGACCTGCCCCTTGCGGTATATGGGAATTCTGTACCTTCCTCCCAGTTTTGCTGTAAACCTAAACAGTTCTTAAAAAATAGAAAAAAAAAAAACAAACAACCCCACAGAACTCCACCCCACTAACTGGCCCCTTGGAGAAAATGGTGAGCCCACCCTGAGAAAAGGCCAGTGCTCTGGAAATCTCTCTTGTTCTGTTCATGAGGCATCATCATGGGTGGGAAAGAAATGCATAGATTTTCTGTGATATTTCTCTGCTTTTCCGGGGGGTAAGTACACCCCAAAGGGTATGTGTGCATTTGGAAGGTTTGCAGGTTCTGTGGCAGGCCTATTTCCTGCCAGTCAAGCAAGGTTCCCAATACTGGAGGCTTCCTCCAACCTGGTCCGAAACAAACGTGGTGAGTCCGTCACAGCGCAGCTCCTGGAGCCTCGGAACCCCCACAGCCCCGGCAGCCACTGAACTGCAATACCGGTCCCTCTGTGCTTCTCTCCTGGCTTCGCTCCACCTGTGCTCTGGCACCTGAGGTCTGTTGACAGTGTTGCCTCACCATGCATGGGTGCTGCCATGTGGCAGGAGGCAAAGGTCTCAGCATCTTTTTTTTTTTTTTTTTTTTTTGACAGTCTCGCTCTGTTGCCCAGGCTGGAGTGCAATGGCATGATCTCGGCTCACTGCCACCTCTGCCTCCCGGGTTCCAGCGATTCCCCTGCCTCAGCCTCTCGAGTAGCTGGGATTACAGGCACCCACCACCACGCCCAGCTAATTTTTGTAGTTTTAGTAGAGATGGGATTTCACCACGTTGGCCAGGCTTGTTTTGAACTTCTGACCTTAGGTGATCTACCCGCCTTGGCCTCCCAAAGTGTTGGGATTACGGGCGTGATCCGCTGCCTCGGCTAACATCTTTTTATCCTGTTACCGAGGTGGGCAAAAGCCCAGGAGGCCGGGACGGGGTGCAGCTGGTCAGCAGGGATGCTAATGGCTGAGAGGGATCCTGAGATCCACCTCACTGGTGGTCATGTGTGTCTGGGACCCTCCTCTGTGGCCCTGGGCCATGGCAGACCTTCTCTCTGGACAAGTTGCTATGTACTGTGCAGCTCTGACTCACCGGGGGAAATTTGGAGTGGGAAGTTTGGGAGGGATCTGGAGAAGTCAGGAGGGGACAGCATAGCTGGAGGACAATGGGGAGAGGAGTAGGCCCCCTGCAAGCCTGGGCAGGTGGCAGCTCTGCCCCAGCCCCTGCAGGTTGGATCCCATGGCAGTCACTGTCTGGCATCCACGGCCAGCATACCTGAGAGCTTGTTCGAGCCGCCCTTAGCCGTTTATAACACATCCCCCCATCGATGATCTCCAGCTTAATTTAGCTCTTCCTGCAGCCCCAGGAGGCAGGCTTCGCCACTGCACTTCACAGATGCTCCAACCTGACCCCCCATCCTCCCGCCGGCCATAACCACTGGGCACTGGCCTGCCAGCCTCTGTGCTGCCACTGTCAGCTGGAGAGAGAGCCGATGGCTCCTGGCACAGCCTGGAGGGTTAAAGGAGGCACGGTGTCTGGGGCTGGCCCAGTGGGCATTCCGTGTATCATGCTTGTGTGTCTGAATTTCCTTCATTAAAGCATTTGTTTTTATTGAAGTGAAATTAACACAGCATAAAATTAACTATTTTAAAGTATACAATTCAGTGGCATTTAGTTCATTCAGAATGTTGTACAACTACTTCTATCTAGTTCCAAAACATTGTCACCATCCCCAAAAAGGAGACCTATACCCATGAGCAGTCAACTCCTCACTGTCCACCCCTCATCCCCCGAAGCCACCAATCTGCCCCTTCCCCTCCCCTCTTCTCTCCTCTCCTCTTCTCTCCTCTCCTTTCCTTTCATTTCCTTTCCTGACAGGGTCTCACTCTGTCACCCAGGCTGGAATACAGTGGTGCAATCTTGGCTCACTGCAGCCTCAACCTCCTGGGCTCCAGCGATCCTCCCATCTCAGCCTCTTGAGTAGCTGGGACCACAGACACACGCCACCACGCGTGGCTAATTCTTTTGTATTTGTGGAGATGGATTTTGCCATGTTGCCCAGGCTAGTCTCAAACTCCTGAGCTCAAGTGATCTGCTTGCCTTGGCCTCCCAAAGTGCTGGGATTACAGCCGCGAGCCACACATCACCTGGCCTGCTTTCTATTTCCAGGGATTTACTAGTTCTGGTTATTCCGTGTAAATGGAATCACACCAGACTGGCCTTTCATGTCCGGCTTCTTTCACTGAGCATGGTGTTTCCAGGGTTCATCGACATTGTGGCCTGTGTCAGTGCCTTGCTCCTTCTCATGGCTGAATCGCATTCCACAGCAGGGAGGAGGATGAGCCACATTCTGTTTATCCTTCATCCGGGGAAGGGCCTCTGGATGTTTCCATCTCTTGGTGGCGGTGAATGGCGCTGCTGTGAACCTGTGTGTATGTGGAGCTGCCTGGGTGCCAGTTTTCAATTTTCCTGGGCATACTGTAACCCTAGGGGTGGCACGCTGGGCGCTAGGCTGATTCTATGTCTAACTTTTTCAGGAACTGCCAAACTGTTTTTCTCAATCTCTCTCTTTTTGGTAACATGTCTCAAGTTCCAGCTACCGGCTGTTTTCCATACTTTATTTTATCCTCACGCTGACCCTACGATGTAGGCGCCAGTGTGGTTCTCATTTGAAAGACAAGGACGCTGAGGCTCTCCAAGGTCAGGGACTTGCTGGTGAGCATGGCAGGCAGAACCCCAGGCTCCGTTACTTCCATGTGCCTGCATTTTACACACCCCTGGGGCCCCGGCCTCTTCCCGGAGCCCTCGTCCCTTTGCTTCTGAAGTTTTAGCTTCCGAGGGTAAGTTCCTCAGGAGCTGGTGAGCTTGTGTCCTATTTCTTTGCACCCCTCCCCACCCCCGACCATGCACACAGTAGGTGCTTCATAAATTACCAGGGCATGACTGTTAATGGACTCTACCAGATTCTGGCTGATCCCCGGACATGGCCTTGGCCTGGATAGACTCAAATCTCTCAGCAGCCACCATGGGGGACCGGCGCCTGCTGTGGAGTTCGGTGAACTCTGGGTCAGCCCCAGTTTACTGAACCTTTTTCTGACTTAAAGGAAAACCATGTGCTTGGGAGAGGATGCTGCCAGGAGAGCCCGAATCTCTTACCTTTCTTCTGGAAAAAATAGATCATGTTTTTTCCTTCCTCCCGACCCCCCTCGCCCCGACCATAGCAGAGCAGATGTTAACTTTCCAATAAATGAGGGAAAAAAATAGATGAGAGGCATTTAGTAAACGACAGCTCTATCGCTGAGCAGGCTGGAGTTAGCACTCTGATTTCAACTGGGACTATAAAATTTTATGAGCTATTAAATTGTCCTAAACCTCCTTTACCACACAAACTCGAGTGTCTGAGATTACCCATTAAGAAAAAGTGGGTTACATCAGGAGAACTTTTACTACTTACACTCGTGTTCAATCAATAAAACTTTTAACTTGCCTTGGTGCTCCATGCAGAGCGAGGGCCCCAAGGTGGACGGGTGTCCTGGACAGGCCCCTGAACTTGGTGGAGCTGGACAGCAGGGCTTTCTGATGGGGTGGCTCACCTTTGAACTTCTGGAAGGTTCTGGCTTCTGCTTGGGGTCCCACGGTCATGACATGAATTGAGTAGCAGGTGCGGGCCCAGAGACCGGCATTGCCCACCCAGAACCCGGCAGGGAGCCCAGCAGCCAGGCTGAGGCCCGAGTGAACATGGGGACCTGAGCCCTCCCGAGAGGACAGTGCTGTCACCATCAATGCACTGAGAACCCAGTCACACACCAGCTTCTTAGGCCCCTCTCCTGTTTACAAGGCACTGAGGCCCAGGGAGGGCTCTGGCTGTCCAGGGCACGTGACTGATGAGC
Source organism: Homo sapiens (assembly GCF_000001405.40). Taxonomy (NCBI): domain Eukaryota; kingdom Metazoa; phylum Chordata; class Mammalia; order Primates; family Hominidae; genus Homo; species Homo sapiens. Next base: position 134,224,866 of record NC_000009.12, read on the forward strand.
CATCAGCCTGACCCACCCCTGGGCACCAGTCTGGGGTGTTCCTGCCTCCCCATGTGAGGTGGGGGGCTTGGTGAGCCTGAGGCTGAGCGGGGCCCAGGAAAATCTGATTCTGAGGTGGAAGGCCCAGGGGAAGCCCCTGGATGGCGGACCCCTCACCAGGGCAGTGAGTGAGGAACTGGGGGTCCCTTAGGGGTGGGGGCCACCTCTGAGGTTGACCCTGCAGCCAAAGGACTGTTACAGGGAAGCAGCCCTCCCTAGACAGCTGTCCTGAGCCCTTGCAGAACGACACCTGCAGAAGTGCCTCCACCTGCAGAACCACATCTGCACAAGAGCCTCCCCCTGCAGAACCACACCTGCAGAAGCGCCTCCCCCTGCAGAACCACACCTGCAGAAGCGCCTCCCCCTGCAGAACCACACCTGCATAAGCGCCTCCCCCTTTTGAAGAGGCACAGGGAGGCTCAGGCCACAGTGAGTCTGTCTGACGGGGTGCTCTGCCCCCAGGGGTTGTTTGCCTGTGCCGGGTCCACTGCCCACTGGAACCAGGTGATCCGGGCTGGCCAGTCAGAAGGAGTCTGAGGCAGGAGATGCTGCTCTGCTGGGCAGTGGGAGGTGGGCAGGGGCAGAGCCTGGCTCTCCCTCAGAGCAAGGCAGATGGGTGCTCACAGGAGCAAACGCTGCGGCTCTGGGCTGTGGTCCTGGCCATGTCCTGTCACCTCCCCCAGCCTCAGTTTCCTCACCTGTAAGATGTGGTGATGACACTTGTTTCATGGTGGGTTCCTGGAGACGAGATGGGGTCATATCTAATGGTGCTTTATAAAGCGCTCAGTCATGGTGGGAAGACTAGGGAAAAATAGATTCTGTAGACAAAAGGAAAGACTGGTAAGTGACAGAGAGAGGAGTGGGGTTGGTTTTGCCCTTTGTTCGAGAGAGGAAAGTGGGGAAGTGGTGTTTAATGGTGGCCTGTCTGCATTGTGACCCGGAGGAGAAGCTAGGGTGTTTGAGACCGGAAGAGGATCATGAGCTTGGGGGCTTCCTGAGGTCGGAGCTGCATTGGTGGGAGCAGGTTTAAGACCTGTCCTGCTCCCCAAGGGCCCACCAAGCTGTGAGGAAGAGGGGGGTCCCCGCTCATGGCCCGACCCTGTGGGAGGGCTGCCAGGCCGCAAGCCACCCAGGAGTCTTTCCTGCTTCCTGGGGTCAAGCAGATGACCTTCCTGGGACCCTTCTGGAAACGAGAAATGGTCCAGCCCTGAGTCCAAAGCTCCATTCTGCCCCATGGCCCAGAGGAACCTGACATTTCAGCCCCTGCTCTGGGGCCATAGTCTCCCAAACCTTGGCAGCTCCAGGGGGGCTGGGAGGCAGGGGGCTGGGGAGTCGGTTCCACTGGGAGGCCTGGCCCCAGCAGCATCTGGAGGGCCGGTGGCGCGGGAATTTGAAACCGTTGCGACAGACCCGTTAGGCGATTCCTGTGGGGGAGACGTTGTCTGCTGGGAGCTGGGCTTTCACATCCACTGTTTGGATAAGCGCAGCCACGGCTCACTGTCACTGTTTATGTGGCCAGCCCCCATCTCCTCCTGAGCCCCTGGAGCGTGCGTGTCTCTTGGCCGCCCAGCCCCCTGCCTGTTGTGACATCCCGGGGTGGGAAGCTCCCAGACACCCTGGTGCCTCCTGGCTGGGAAAGGGCCGGGCTCAGAGGCCTCCTGGGGCAGCCCAGGTGGGATGGAGCTGGGTCAATTTGGATTTTGGGGTGTGTGTCGTGGCGGGGGAGGTCAGCATGCAGGGCTACACATCCAGGCCTGCTGTCTGAGAGTGCACTCTGCCAGACCCCAATTAGCCTGGTATGCAGGACAGTGACCTCCCGCCCGCCTGGTGATAGACCCTTGGGATCCACTCCCAGACCCCTCTCTGCCCTCGCCAGACAACTGCTGGAGTCCCACGACCCAGGAACGCTTCTGGGGGTCAGAGGGTGCTCAGCTCCCCAGTCGTAGCCCCTCACGGGGGAGGGGAGCAGAGACTTGCCTGCCGTCCAGACCCCAGGGATCTCAAACGAGTCCTGCCACCAACTCTCTAAGGGGCTGGTGGGGTCACTGTCCCCCTGAAGGCCTTGGTTCTGAGAAGGGAGGGGAGACTGGGGGAACTTGGAGGTGACATGGCAAGTGGGGCAGTGGAGGTTCACTCGGCTGATCCAAAGTCCAGAAGTCTTCCTTGGCCTGAAACTCCATGCCTTCAGCTACGGGGTGACTTCTAAGAGCCCCATATACATACTGATATGTGACCGAGAAAATTCACCCAGACCATCTTGGACATAGCTGCAGTGGGCAGGGGGATGGTGCTGGGGGGGTGAGTCATTGGAGGGGCAGGCACAGACTGGGGGGTACCTTGTGGTAAAGCTGAACGTCTTGGGGGTCTTTGGGAAGGGGCCCTGGGAGGAGGAGCTGTGACATCTGTTTTGGGAGCTGAGTTGGGAAAGGGTCAGCGCTGGGTGGTGGAGCCTGTGGATGGTGAGCTGAGATGCCTCAAAACCTTCACTGGGGTAAGTGGGGGCCCAGGAATGTTGTCAGGCAAGGGGATCGTGGGTTAGCCCCTGTCTTTTAGGAGTCTGTGATGAACTGGGGTAGGAGAGATGGGCATAGGGCCCTGAGCACTTAAATGACCACTCACCCTGTGAAAAAAGTCTTGGAGTCTTCCTCGGCCTCTGGGGAGTGGCGTCTCCTCTGGGTCACCTGTGGCGCTGCTCTCTGCCTTTTAGCTGGGTGGCTGTTTGATGGCTAAGAGGTCCTGCCCGCGTGCAGCCACATCAAACCTTAAGCCCAGGGGCACCCTGAAGCACCACACTCTGGGGCAGTGGAAGGCATTCGGTTGCCCAGAGCGTTGGAAGCTGCTCCTGGAGCACCAGCCCTGCGGAGGGAGCTCTGTCAGAGCTTCCCGAGGAAAGGGCCCTGGGGTCCGAGGTCTCAGGAATCCTGGTTCAGGTCCAACCCCATCTTTACCGAGAGACTTCCTGAGCCTTGATTTCGCACCTGCCTGGCCTCCTGCCAAGCCTGCTCAATATGCCTTGTTCTTCAAAATTTTGCCACTCCAGGACTTGTGCCACTCTGCCACTTGGGCAGGGACCCCCTTTGGGTGGGGTTAGCCTATGCCTGCCTTCACCTCCTGCGGGAGAGCAGGCAGGGAGGCCCCGGCTGTCTGGATGGGGGCTGGGAGGGAGAGTCTGGCTGTCCAGCGCTCCGAGGCTCAGCACCGAGACTACACAGCCTGCCTGAGCCTCCCAGCAGCCTGCGAGGTCCGTGCTGCAAGGGTGGGGGCTATACAGAGCAGGACACTGAGGCACACAGAGGTTCCCCCATCCAGGCGACTGCAGCCTCTCCCCAGCCTGGCCCTTCGCAGCCTTACTTACGGCCGCGGGCTGGAAGAGGGACAAACATGTACTTCCCACTCCCGCCCCCGGGTCTTGCGGCCTCTCTGGTGGCCTCTTTCCTTGATGGCCTGGGTCACCCCACCCCCTGCCCTTGGCTGCTCTGTCTTTGGGATGCCACTGGGTCCTGGGAGGGCCGTTCTGTTGTCGCCTCCCACCTCGCCCCTCTGGCTCAGCGCTCTCATTCTCCTCTCTCTCCCTCAGCAGCCCCCTGGGGGTCTTTGCCTAGAGAAATTTCCCCAGGATCCATCCACGCGTCAGTGTTCATTCTCATAGGCCCTGGCATCTGAGCACCCTACCCTTCTCCCCGCGGGTCCACCGCCTGAGCAAGGCCCGCCTTCTATAAGGCAAGGGTTCTGCTGGGTATTTGAGGCAAGGGGTGGGGGTTGCTGGAGTCCCACCCCGGGATGCTGGGGCCCCCTCCCCAAAGGGAGCACCTTCTCCTCCCTCTGCAGGGCGAATGCATGGCTTTGGGGAGGGACGCCAGCCTCACAAAGTCCTTCATGTCCAGTGTAATGGCTGAGGAGTTGACCACCCTGCCGGGGCCTTCTGAGGACGGGTGGGGCAGGACCTGGGGCTGTGCCCTGAGGCAGAAGGAACCCCTCTCACAGGTGCAGAGGGAGGAGCTCAGGTGCCGGCTGGGCCTGGCCAATGCCCACCCTGCCTCCTGTGCATGCCCAAGCACACCCCTGGCTCTCTGGCCGAACCCACCTCCCCTCTCCCTGCCACTCCACGCTGGGTCCCTGTCCCCCTTCCTCCTTTCTCCCCTTTTGTGGGGGGTTTAGCTGAGTCTTTGTCCCTGAGATTTAGCTCTTGGGACCCTGGGTTCAAAGCCCTGTCCCTTTACTGACTGTGTGACCTTGGATGAGTTTAGGTGACCTCACCTGGTGTCGTGGGGCCCAGCTCCTGGGCGATGGGGTCTGTGGCACCCAGCGACGGTAGGTCTAGGGTGCTGTGCAAGCACTGTGGGCTGAGGGACGGAGGGACAGCCAGTCCTGTCCTGTGAACACCTGGTCTGTGGGAGGAAGATGGTGTGGGCCAGGGGTTGGGTCCTACTGCTGTCTGGTTGGCATGGCTGTGCCACTTTCTCATCTCGTGGCTTCAGCCCACCCCCCACCGGCTGGAACAAGGCTCTCGTTGCCTTTTGGGAAGAGAGGTGCCCAGGTGTTAGGCCTCTGAGGGCCAGGACAGCGCTGGACACATGAAAGGGTCCTTACTGCATTCCTACCACCCGCAGTCCACCCAAGGCTTAGGACTTGGGGACAGGTCAGGGCACACCCCCCAACCCCAGGCCTTTTGGTGCTTTAAGTGGGCTGGGGCTGCTAGAACCCAAACCGCAGTGCCTCCCTCTCTCACTGGCCACTTTAGAAAGTGGATTTATTGGCCTTGTGGTTTCTGAGCGGTTTTGGCTCACAGGTGCCCAGAGCTCAGCCCGGCTGTGGAGTCCCCCGCCAGTCGCTGGGAGCCAGAGGGGTGGACAGCCTGGCAATCCTAACACTGGCTGGCCCTGGCTCGACACCCAGTTCCCAGCTGGGCCTCTGACTGGGCCGTGTCCCGCTGCAGCCAGGTGGGAGGATGCTCCTGTGCCCCCAGGGGCTGCCCCCGACGGTTCGGCTGGGGTCCTGGGGTTGGCTGTTCCAGTGCCCTCTGGCTCGCGGCAGCCCCAAAGCCAGAGCCCGCTACTGGTTATAAGCTCAGACGTGGGGAGGCGTCTACCCCATGTAGGGAGCGGCGGGCCGTTGGGGGCCAGGGCTCTGCCCTTCCCAGCTAGATCCGCCTCTTCCCAACCACGAAGGCAGGGCAGGGCCTAGGTCAGGACAGGCAAAAATGGGGGCATCCTGCTCTGCAGCTTCCCACCTGCCACCTTGGAGGGACACCCTCTCTCTAGGGTTCGGTCTTCTCCTGCCTCATAGGGTCCATTCGGTCACTCACCAGGCATTAACTGGGCACCTACTGTGTGCTTGGTGCAGCTCCAGTCCCAGTTCTTGTTGGTCCAGTCCCCACTCCACCTCTCACTTTACCTCCTGCCATGCTTCTCCCTCTGGGGAGCCTTCCTGTCCTCCCCACCCCGAGTCGGGCCCAATGTTCTGCTGTGGCTCCCTGGTCATGCGTGTGTTTCTCCCCGCAGCTCGACACCTCCCAGGTGTCTAGGCAGGTCCTGGTCTGCCCGTCCCTGGGCGAGGGCCATTTCCACGCGGGGTGCTGCCTCCGAGGCTCATGGGTGTTGCTGGGTGAATGATGGTGGGCTTAGGGCCAGGGGGACTCGAGGAGGTTGGCAGGGTGAACCTGATGCCCCTGCTGATGCCATAGATGCGGGCAGTGCCAGGCACCTTGCCTGGCGGCACAGACTCTGGGAGGGGAGGCCACCCAACAGCTGGCGACACTGGGCCTTGGAGGGTAGAGCCACTCGCCAGATCGACAGAGGGTGCCGGGGCTGATCTGGCCTCGGGACTGGTCCCTGTCACTAAGGCTGGCCTTGGCATCTGTGCTGCATGGAGGCCACACCTCCCCAGTGCCTGGCCGATCCCCAGGGGAGCTCCGTGTGCCCTCAGCACCATCATTACGGGGTGGAGTGGTCCTAGAGGAGCTAAGGACCGCCCCGTGATGAGGTTCTGCCCTCAAAGCGTGCTGCTCGCCAGGCTCCGTGCAGCTGTGTAGATGAGGGTCCCATTCTCCACTGACCCTTTGGTAGCTCTCTGCAGAGCTGGGCTCCCGGCTCCTTCCTATCCTTGGGGGTGCTCGGCAGCCCCGGCTGAGAATGACGTTAATCAGGGTTTCCTCCTGGCTGGTTCCAGGAAGATTCAGGGTGAGGAGGGAGGGGCTGTATCCGCACTCAGGAGCCCTGCGTCTGTGCAGACAACCTGCAGACACAGGCGGACCTGGGGCCCTTCCACAGCGTGCACACACGTGCGCCCGCAGACACCACATCTGCCCATGGAGGCCATGGTATGGGGCACACATGCCGGTGGGGCTGTGGGCAGCCTGCGTGCCCCCTGTTGCCGCCCCCCACCCTGGCAGCTGGGAGCCTCCTTTTGCAACTCTCACATTTATTTTACAGTGCTCTGCATCGGCAGAAGCTTTCAAAACACTTTCTGCTTGTTTACCGAGCTGTGCAAGAACATTTTGTCTCCACTCCAACTTAGCCTTCCTTCCAGAAGGATCAGGAACGTGCCCATCTCCAAGCGGCGCCAGCAGTGGCCCCAGCTTCTTAAAGGGCCAGCTGGGCTCACCTCAGAGGGGGCAGTGGGGGCTTGGACAGAGGCCAACAGGCCGGTCTCTTGCCACCCTCAGGGACTGCCGGCCGCTGACACTGGGCTCCCGGTGAAATGAAGCGTTAAAGGGTTGGAGGCTGGGAACCAGCGCTGGGGTGACTGGACAGGCTGCCTTTCACCCTGGCAGAATGCTGAGGGGATTGCAGAGAGGACAGCCTCGAGTTACTACCTTGTAACCTCAATTTGGCAAGATTGCCCTGCCCGGGTACCCTCCGCTTGGCTGCTCCCTGAAGCAGGGCCAGGGTTATGGGGGCAGTGGGGACTTCTTTACTGTTCCCATCTGCTGAAGGCCTGGGCTGCGGGACAGGCCCCTGCACACGGGGCTCATGAGGCAAACCCCGGCTGCTCCCCAGGTGACCTCCGCTTTGGCAAGGGCCAGCTGACCCCCCTGTCCCCAGGGCCAGCACAAGTTCTGTCCTGCAGCAGGGCCTCAGTGGAGGTGGTGGAGGGAACATCTCAAGGGGCTGGGCCTGGCTGCCTGACCCTGCGTGCTGGGGGTTCCGGCTTCCCCGGGAAGGCAGAGCTGCTGGGTGGGGAGGGGCTGCCTGCCTGAGACCCAGTTCCCCTCCTGCCCTCCCCTGGGGCTGTTGGTAATTTGTTGGAAATTTGGAGAAGCGACCTTTGTCTTGGCTGTCTCACATGGCATCATCCTGGAGCCCCTTCCCCTGCCCAGCGATCCCCCACCCCCCTCCAGTTTCCAGCCTTGACAATGGCCTGTCTTGACCCCCAGTGCTGCTCACCAGCAACGCCATCGAGAGCCCCAGACCTTTCCCTTCACCCCCTCCTGCTCCCCCGGGCCCTGCTGCCTCCTGAGCTCATGGCCCATTTGGACACTAGCTTTGTGGATGCAGCTCCACCGCAGTTGATATTAAGGAAATGAATATTGAATTCACCATGGTCCTCCAAAGTCTGAGGAGGTTTTTCAGGGAAACACACATATCCCAGGAAGACACGTAGGAGATGGAAAAGTAGAGCCAACCCCAGAGGGCAGGATTAGGTGAGGAAACAAGCAGCCGTGACCATGTGGTTGGACTTGAGTGCAATGTTGAGCTTCCTGGCAGCCAGGGCAAAAAGGGAAATGTGACTGGAGAGGGGCTCTCTCTGTTCATGAGAGGTCTTTTATGACATTATTTGTCAGAGGATCCTTAACTCCGGGCCTGGAGGAGCACGTAGTACGAGGCAGACGCAGACCAGATTCCTCCTGGGGCTCTTGCTCCTAGAGCAGTTGTGAGTGGGGCTGCCCTCGCTTGAGGGTTCAAGCTGTGAGGATTTGCCATCGGCAGGGGAGGAGGCTCTGCGGGGTTGAGGGTCCCTGAAGCCACAGAGCCTGGGTGTGGTGAGCCCCTGCATGTGTGAGCGGATTCACAGTGGTCACTGTGCTCTGGCCCCCCAGGGGCTACTCAAGGACCCCTGGACCTCTCTATGAGATGAGAGCTGGGAAGGCAGTTGGCAGACTAGCTTCGGGCCCTGCCTGGCCACCTGACCACCGTGAGGACTTGGGTGGGTTCCGCCCCTTCTGGGCTCCTGAGTCTCTCACCCCTGACCCACACTGTGAAATAGGAAGGGCAACCCATGCCGACTCTGGCCCTGCTCCCTGCCAGTTTGTGCCCGGGAAACAGGGCACTGCCTGGTCTCGTGGCTTCCTGCCCCTGCCCACGGCCACGGCCGCCTCTCACATCCTGGCACTCCGCCTCGGGCTGAAGGCAGACTTCGCTGTTCCAGAGTTGCTTAAGTAGAAAGTAACCGGCCCAGGTGTCAGCATCTTGTTAACCTCCTTCAGCCCAGGCTGTGACACTGGGAGACACAGGGCCCAGACACCAGAATGGGCAGAGAACCGGTTCCTGGAAGCGGGGAGGGCCCCAGGCCCGCCGTCCTCACCCCCACAGGGTGCCACCAGAAGCCCACCCTGGCAGCTGCCCTGGCTCTCCACCCACCTCTGCGGCCCCCACTCCGGTGCAGCCCATTCCTCAGCAGGATGGGATCGCTGTGTCTCTAGGGCCTCCAGACCCTCCTCTGAGGCAGAGCTGTGTGATTCCTCCCTTTCTCCTGGCACTTCCAGCCTTAATGGTTTTGAAAGATCCCATTTCTCCCGCCTGCCGCCACCCGTCAGGAGCCTTTCCTCTCGCTACCTCCTGTGCGTTTTCTCTTCTAGAAAGTCCCTGTGGGCAAGGTGCGGCGGCTGTGACCCAAGCAGGTGAGGGTGGCTCCAGAACACCCCAAGTCCCTCTCTCTGCCCTCAGATATGAGCCAGGGTCTGGGCTGGGCCAAGCTTCCAGCTCCCCAGCTGCAGCCAGGCTGGCCTGACCTGTGGCCCTGTAAGGCCTCTGGGACCTCCACTGTGCCCAGGAATTGGGTCTTCCCTGTCCATTCACAACCAGCCGCCAACACACAGGCCTCAGCCCTCCTGCCTCCTCCTGGAGAGTGTGGCCGGGCTCCCCACCTGTCCTGAGAGCAGGGGCTGCCCTGCCCTCCTCCAGAGCCCAACTGTGTGGACCTCAGGGTGGATGCTTCAGGCAGAACACCTGCAGGGGGCCAAAGGCACAACATCAGCACAGCCTGTTGGGAACGGAGCCCTCGGTGGTGCGCACAGGCCGGGGTCCCCTTTCCCTGGGCTGCAGCCTCCAGGGGCGGGTGGCCATGGGATGCAGCAGAGCTCAACACGGCTGAGCCCATAGCTTTGAGTCAGTGCCTGTGCAGGCCTGGACAGGTGACTGGCCCCGCGCCTGGGCTTCCCCGCTGGAAACGGAACGGAGGTCTGCCCAGTGGCTTGCAGGTGACTGTCAGACGCTGGCAGGTGGCCCTGGCTGGGATGCTGAGGTCCGGAGCAAGCTCATAGATTCCTTTGGGGCCTGGAGCAAATCAGAAAAGCAGGAGCCCTCACCTCCGCCACACACTTCTCAAGGAGTGGAGTGGGCGCGCTTCCAGAGCCCGGGCTGCTGCAGGCTACTGGAGAGGGGCTTGCTCCATCCCCTCTGGCCCAGCTGTGGAGGATGCATTAGGAGGAAGCATCGACTCTTCCTTAGGCCTGGAGTCACCTCCCTGTCCTCCTCGGCTCTCCTTGGATGACAGGTCAACTCCTGGCACCCTCTCGCCTCCGGCTTCCTCTCCTCCTGCCCTTCCCTACACGGCAGCCAGAAGGATCTTTCTAGAACACAAATCTGATCACGCTGCTTAGGACGGCGTTGCCTCCCATGCCTCTGCATGGCCATCCAGAGAATGAGTCCCCGGGAGACCCCACGTCGTCCCTCTTCCCGCCATACCCTTGGCCCTGCCGCCCACCCCTCTGCACCTTGGCATACACACCCCTGTCCTCTGGTGCCCCTCCTCCCCTTCCTGTCCAGCACGCCCGCCTTCTCCAAGTGCAGCTCTGATGTTGCCTCCCTCTGGAAGCCTCCTGGGGTCCCTCCCTGACACAGGGGCAGGCCCTCCCCCTGCCAGTAGCGGCTATGGAGTCCCAGAGGCGCTGTGGGACTGTGCTTTGACTCCCCCCACTGTGAGCTGAGAGCCCCCGAGGAACCAAGCCTTAGCCCAGGGTGTCCTGGGCCAGGCAGGGGCTGTCAGGCTGCCGGGCCCTCGGTGCCAGTCTCTTGTGGCTGGCACTGCCATGGATGGCCAGGGCGGGCACCCACCTTCCCAGTGTCTGGGGTCACGCGTGGCCCATCTCAGAGGACTTCACCCCCCCACCCCCCGTGAATGTCTATTTCCGTTTCCATGGCAGTGCCCTGGGAGCCAGGGCTCCTGCTCCTGGGCTGTACTTTTCCTCGTTGCTGCCTCTTGTCCTGCTGCCCTGCTGCCTCCACTGTGCCCTTGAGGGTCTGGGACGCCCTTGAGCCCCAAAAGATGGGGCGCTGTGGAAAATCCACACGGTCATGCCTGGGGCTTCCCTGCCTCTCTTTTCCTGGCTACACAATGCCCTGGAACTGCAGCCCTGTTCTCCCTGCAACCCCCACCCAGTGAAGCCTCACCCCTCCCCACCGCCCCTCCTCTATCCCGACCCTGCCTGGTGCTCTGGACCGGCCGAGTCTGCGCCTGGCCCTGGACCAGTGGGCCTGGCTTGAAAGCGACGTGGCCGTCTGGGCCTGGGCCGGGGAGCAATATGATTTCCAGCCGGCCTTGGTACTGCTAGGCGGGGGCAGGAGGAGGTGTGAGGGTGGGGTGCCCAGAGGGGGTGGGGGGCAGCGCTCTGTGCAATGCCAACAGAGACGGTTTCACATTTATTTGGTTTCCAAATCACAGAGTCACTGAGGTGGAGGAAACCCGTTTGTGGTGAGTTGACAGGAGTCAGAGGCTGTTAGGATGGACCTGCTGGTGGGGCAGACACGCCTGTCCCAGCAAGGTGGTTGTGCCCACTGGACAGGCAGATAAAGTGAGGCCAAAAAGGCCTGGCAGGGGCAGTTCACGGGAGAGGGGTCCCAGCTGCAGCCCCCCGATTTTGGCTCCTGGCTGTGGGCTCCTGGGATGCCTCTAGGATGATTCATGCATTGGTGCTTGGGCCAACTCAGCTGCCCACTCCCTGCAGGCTCTGCCCAGGAGCTGTGGCATCCCCAGGACATGCTGGGGCCCTGGGGAGCTTTGTGGGGGAACTAGAAACATACTTCCCATGAATGTTCCTAACCAGTAGAGACTGCCGGGGTGTGTCCTTGCCCGTTTCTGATTTGTTCGCACAGAACTCCTTCTTCTGCATGGGCTCTGCCCAGTCCTGATGGGTCTCCCGGGCCTTTTATCTGAGAAACAGGAAGCTGTGAATTTTGCTGGAAGAAAACTAAGTGACCAGCCTTTGGCCATCTGCCTTGAAGCTGACCTCTGGGTTCAAGCAGCCTCCGGATGGGATGCAAGGCCTCTCTGTACCCCAGCGTCCCAGTGGAGGGCAGGTTGGGGGCAGGTTGGGGGCAGGGTGGGGACCAGGAGCCCAGGCTTTGTGCTGCCACTCTGGGGCCTCAGCTGGAGGAGGGGGTCATTGAATGCACCTGGTGGTGCTTGCTGAATGGCCTCCTTTGACCCCTCCTTGGCCCACACCCAGACCATCCCCCGGGAGACTTTGCTGCCTGCCACGCATCTGTCTTTGTTGGCCTGGGCCTGGGTCTCCTGTCCACCGCTCTGGCCCGGTGGCCTGGGCTGTGCCCGGTGAGGGTGGGACCCTGTGGGCATCCACAGAGAGTGGAGTAGGGAAGGGAAAACAAATCTTATCTGCATGTCACAGATGGGGAAACCGAGGCACAGTGACTCAGATGAGGAAACTGAGGCACAGTGACTGAGATGGGGAAACTGAGGCATAGTGACTCAGATGGGGAAACCGAGGCACAGTGACTCACACACAGGCACAGGGATTGGCTCCACCACAAACACACTCCTGTTTCTGAAGAGTTCTGCTCAGGAAAAGGAGTGGGGGTGCTCCTGGAGGGAGGGAGCTGGGACCACCCTGTGTGGGGAGCAGGAGGGCGTCACCATGGTGGGAGGGAGGCCGTTCCCTCTATGAGTGAGTCCCCTGGAAGGGTTTCCAGGGAGGAGGAGCTGAGTCCAGGCCCCTCTTGCCTCCCCAACCCTGCAGGGCAAGGGCGGAGCACCAGGTGCCAGGCACCAGGGGCTGCTCTGTAGGGGGCAGTGGGCATCGTCAAGACCCCCGTGCCCCAGAGGCCCAGACACCTCTGCCCACAGCATCAGGGCTAGTGAGTGGCAGGGGTGGTGTCCATTCTGCCATGGGCCTTGAGGGCTGGCATCCACACAGCAGCTGCCCAGCGCTGGCACTCCGGTCTCTGATGCTGTAGAATAAGTGGGTAGCAGCCAACCATGCATGTGTCTGTGTGTTGGGTAATCTTTCAGAGAGCCGGGGTCCCCTGAGTGGGGCTCACAGGGAGGAGACCCCTGTTGATTGGACTGGCTGCTGCCTCCTTCCTGAGAGGGCTAAGGGGCCTGCCTGGGGTCCCCTGCTGCCGTGGTGGGGTGGGCGTGGCCTCCGTGAGTGGCTGCCTTGGGCCCTTCCTGGTTTCAACCCCTCTGACCCCGTCCAGTCCAGGTTCCCTGACTGACAGCGGCCAGTGGAACCCTGTCTGGAATTTAAGGGCCCCAGGAGGGAGAAAGGGACTGGAGTGTGACTTGGACCCTGGAGGAATAGCCCTGCTCCATGGTGGGGGTGGCGAGGGCTGACCGTGGGGTCTGATGGGAGCACCGCCGCTGGAGGAGCCCCACTCAATCAGGTCGGGCACCTGCCTTCTCCCTGACATCTGCCCCCTCTGCCATTCTGTCCCAGGGGGCCCCTGCACTGAACAACTTGGCCACTCCTGGGGTGGGCACGCGGGGGTTGCCCGTCAGGCCCCCCTTGGACAAGGCTTGTGCTACTGACCACCCTCAGGTCAAAGCCAGAGCCCCAGAGACCACGTGTGAAATCGTCTCAAGGACAAGGAGGCCTGCGGTTCTGGGCATTCCTGGAGGCTCCTGGTTCCTGGTCCCTGGTCCCCCCTGCGTCCTGAAGGGACCATTTCCTCACCCCAGTGGTCGCCACGAGCCTGGAGCTGAGCCAGACAAACCTCGACAACAGACTAATGGGGGTCACCTCCCAGCCTCAGTTTCCCTTTGGGGTAACAGCTCGAGCTGCACCCTGGGGCTGAGGTGGGGACCAAGTGAGATGGGGTTTGGAAGGAGATGGGGCACTTCTTCTTAGCCACAATGGTGAGCGTGTCTGATGGGCCTATCTCTCAGGCTGGGAAGCAGAGGCCAAGGGGAGGACTCCACTTCCTGGCTCCTGATTCCTGTCTTTTAGCCCAGCACGGGGCAGGTCCAGCAGGCACCAGTTAAGTGAAGTCACCATTTAGTAAGTGCCCACTGGAGCCGGCCTTGAGCCAGGGAACAGTGAAACAGACAGAAACAAGCCACAGTCCCTGTTCTGGAAGGAGCTAATTTTCAAAAAGATTGCAGTAGGCATTGTCATCAAAGTGGTAGAGAGTTTGGGGTGACCCAGGCAGGAATCAGGACTGCCCAGCCTCCCAGGCCCACCCTGGCAGAAGGCAGTGGGGAGATGGGGACAGGGCAAGGGGAATGGGCCAGCTGGCGAGTCCTGGGCCACATTGAAGAATCTGGTCTCTTTTTTTTTTGAGACAGAGTCTAGCTCTGTCACCCAGGCTGGAGTACAGTGACATGATCTTGGTTCACTGCAACCTCCACCTCCTGGGTTCAAGCAATTCTCCTGCCTCAGCCTCTGGAGTAGCTGGGACCACAGGCACGTGCTACCATGCCCTGATAATTTTTGTATCTTTAGTATAGACAGGGTTTTGCCATGTTGGCCAGGCTGGTCTTGAACTCCTGACCTCAGGTGATCCACCCGCCCTGGCCTCCCAAAGTGCTGGGATTACAGGCATGAGCCACCATGCCCGGCTAAGAATCTGGTCTCTTGGCTGGGTGAGGGAGGATTACTTGAGCCCAGGAATTCCAGACCAACCTGGGCAACAGAGCCAGACCCCCATCTCTACAAGAAATAAAAAAATTAGCTGGGCACAGTGGCTCACACCTATAGTCCCAATGCTTTGGGAGGCCAAGGCAGGAGAATCACTTGAGCCCAGGAGTTGGAGGCTGCAGTGAGCTGTGTTTGTGCCACTACATTCCAGCCTGGGTGATGAAGCTAGATCCTGCTCTAAAAAAATAAATAAATAAAAAATAATCTAGACTCTCTCCCAGGGTGATAGGGAGCCTCGGGAGAGTAACACGGGAGTGGCATTGCTGGGGTATTTGTGGGGACCACCTGCTGTCCCCTCCTGCTGACTGGGCCCCTCCTTCACCCCTGCCCTGCCTCTCCTTGCCGCACCTGGGTGAGGCTGGCTGCTGCCGTGCAAACAAATGTACCCCGTGGCCTGAAAGAGCCCCTGGGGCTTGTGAAATAAGAGTAGAGTTAAGGAAGACCCCCCACACCCTGCCCCCAGTGGGAGCCCCTCTTGGCCTGGAAGAGCAGGGGTGCGGTGGCACTGGAGGGGAGAGCCTGGGCTGGGCCCTCACCTCCTCCCTGCCGGCCTTGCGACGGGGCACGTCCAGCCCCTGCTCCCTCCGACCTGCTCCAGGATCCCAGGGAGGGGCATGTTCGGTCTCCATCCCGCCTGTGTTCCCACTGCTGCTCCATTCCCTGAGGAGCGTGTGCTTTGGGTGAGCGTCTCCACTCTGCCCAGCTGGCCGGAGCCAGGCCATGTCCCATCCCGGAGCGCCAGAGGCTCCTCCGTAGAGCGAGTTTGGCGCGGTTGGCTGCGGCTCGAGGCTCCAGGTGGGCTTGTCCGTCCCGCAAGGGCTCACATGCCAGGCTCAGGTAGGTTAGTCAAAGTCCTGGGGGGCCTTCCTGCTTCCGAGGCAGCCCGAGGCAGAGCCGTGGGAAGGGGTCCAGGGTGCCGGGCCTCTGGAGTGGGCAGCCCACTCACCCCTTCCTGGCCGTACAGCCTGGGGAAGTGTCCTCGCTCCCTCGCCTCCATTTCTTCCCTGTAAAACTGAGAGAAATCCTCTCTGTGGGGTGAGGGGGAGCCAGTGTGTGGAGGTCAGGGCCCTGCCTGGGGCAGGCTGTTACTCCTCCTGGGGCAGCCACGGTTCCCCTGCCTTCCCACCTGGGAGAGACCTCCTCACCCTCGGCATTGATTTCCCTGTCTCCCCCGGAGACTGGTGGCCCAGGCATTGCCCCTTGCACCCATGGCCTTCCTCCTGGGCCTCCAGGTGTACCAGGCTCAAGCAACTCCCTTCCAGAGTCTGAGGAGCACAGGGGCCCATCTGTGCTCCTGAAGGGCTCAGAGCCTTGGGGAAAAGTCTCCTAGAAATGCCGGGTGTGGCCGGGGGAGGAGGCGGGGAGAGCCGGACCCTCTGCTCTTCTGTTTGTGGGCTTGTCTGTGCCGTGTGCTTTTGATGCTTATGTGGTGGTTAGAAAGGGCGCTGGTGGGGGATCCAGATGCCTTTCTGGCTGGGAGCCCTTGTGGGGGCCTCAGCTCCCCGGCACACTCCTTCTGGGTGGGCAGAAGCTGGAGCCAGCAGGGCCTGGCGGGAACCCCTCAAGTCGGGAGTGAGCCGTGCAAACCGGCCCAGGCCCGAGGGAGCAGCAGAGCTTAATTAGACCACAAGCCAAGAGGGAGTTGAGTGGAGGGAAAACTTCCTTCCTAATGAGGCCACAGCCGTGGGTTGATTTCCCATGCTCCATCCAGTTCGGGGAGGCTCAATTAGGCACCTACTGTGTGCTAGGCTGGAACTGGCTCAGCATTTCCCAGGCGCACTGGTCCAGAAGGGGCTCCGCAACAGGGGGTCCAGGCTTCCCGAGGAGACAGGGTGGGAAGGAGGAAGTGGCTTTACCATGGAGAGACGGGTGCACCTCAGCCCTTCACTCAAGGCCAGCACCAACCGTGGCGTGCCCCGCTGATGGTGTGTCCCTGATGTGTGTGGGGAGAGGGTGCGTTGCCCCCATGCTCTTCCTCCCAAACTTAACCACCCATCACCCAGCCCAACTGTGAGGCATGCAGCAGACGGATCTCGCCCAGGAATGCCCTACAAACACCTGAGCAGCGCTGCTCAAAACTGCCCAGCATTGAAGACAAGGAAATCGGGAGGCCAAGGCGATCACCTGAGGTCAGGAGTTTGAGACCAGCTTGGCCAACACAGTGAAACCTTGTCTCTACTAAAAATACAAAAAAAAAAAAAAATTACCTGGGCGTGGTGGGTGGCATGGGCCTGTAGTCCCAGACACTTAGGGGCTGAGGCATGAGAATTGCTTGAACACAGGAGGCAGAGGTTGCAGGGAGCCGAGATCATGCTACTTCACTCTGGCCTGAGTGACAGAGCAAGACTTCAGCTCAGAAAAAAAAAAAAAAGAGGCAGGGCGCTGTGGCTCATGCCTGTAATCCACAGCACTTTAGGAGGCTGAGGTGGGCGGATCACGAGGTCAGGAGATGGAGACCATCCTGGCTAACACAATGAAACCCTGTCTCTACTAAAAATACAAAAAATTAGCTGGGCGTGGTGGCGGGTGCCTGTAGTCCCAGCTACTCAGGAGGCTGAGGCAGGAGAATGGCGTTAACCCGGGAGGCGGAGCTTGCAGTGAGCCGAGATTGTGCCACTGCACTCCATCCTGGGTGACAGAGCGAGACTCTGTCTCAAAAAAAATAAAAACCAAGACGAGGAAAGTCTGGGAAACCGTCACAGCCAGGAGGAGCCCAAGGGGAGGAGATATCATATGGTGTCCGGGATGGGGTCCTGGACAGAAAAGGGACACTAGGTAATGAAGGAAATCTGGCTAAAGTGGATTTTGGTCACGAGCAGGTGGATGGCTGTGACAGGCCCACGCCAATGCGGATGAGGATGAGGGGTGGCAGGGCGAGGGGATATGAGTGCTTTCTGGGCTGTCTTCTCTGTTTTGCTGTAAATCTCAAACCATTCTGAAAACATACAATTTGTCAACCAAAAAGGGGTTCCAGGGCAAGCACGGGGGAACGCTGCCCTGCTGTGAAGTCACTGGGCAACCCTGGGTGGGAATATTGGTGTTCAAGGCACTTGGCAATCACCTGGTTATCAGCCACGGCTCAGGCTCCAGAGCTCACGTCAGGTGGCTCCTTAGGGAGTTTAATACACAGAGGGTCCAAAAAGAGGTGTATGGAGGGTGAGATTCGCACCCCTTGGGGGCCCCGTGGAAGAAGGGGCCACCTGTAGGAAGTGAACTACAGAGGCCGCCCCTGCCAGAGCTGGTGCCTGAAGCAGAGATGTGGGCAGATACCTGGGCCTCCCACCCTCCCACCCTCCCAGTCCCGGCCAGAGCCTCTCAGGGTCAGAACACAACAAGAACCTGGAAATGAACTTTGCTGGGCCAGTGCCCCACGCTACTGAGCAGAGCAGGGAAAGTGCAGAGGGATCTGGGGTTCAGCAGACAGAGCCCTGCCGCCCCCAGCGATCAAGGTCCTTGCAGAAAAGAGGCAGAATCAGGGCTCAGAGAGAGAAAGGACAAATCAAGCTCACACAGCCAGGGAGAACTGCGATTGGAATCCGGGGCTCCCGCCTCCTCTAGCCTAAAGATGCTGACTACTTTCTTGGTCACAGACCACGGTGGGGATATGATGCAAGCCGCAGGCCCTCTTCCTGGAAAAATGCGTGCAGGTAAATACTTAGTGCACAATCTCAAGAGATTCAAAGACTCCTTGCAGCCCAGTCTAGGACCCCAGGCGAAGGTCTCTTCAGTGGCTCTTGAGTCAGTTCTGCCCAGAGATCAGAGCCACTAGAGTTCTGCCTAGAGTCAGGCGAGACTAGAGAACTGGGGTCCCGTGGGCCCCGCCTGCACCCCTTTGGAGGAAGGCAGCCAGGCCGAAGCAATCGGGTTCATAGTGGGGTCTTGGGAAGGGCCTGGCTCTGTGCTTTCTCACACGTTGAGCGCTGACGGCACACGCCTGTCTGATGATGGCTGGTCCAGGCTGCAGCATCTCTGTGGCTCACGGCTCCGTGCTGCCCCTTCTGCGCCTTCCTCGCCGTGGTGGCTGTCGGGTCCCTTACGTTTCAGGGACCATCCTGAAAATAAACAGCATGGGAGAAATCTTCCTGCAGGGAGCCAGGAGGACGCAGCGGCTCAGGGATTCAGGCATGCCAGAGCTCAAATCCCGAGTGTCACTTCCCAACGGGGCCTCCTAGACCCTCCCCCTGGACTTGCTGTGAGGGAGACAGGAGAGCTGTGTAAAGCCCAGCAGGCGCTGGCTGATGCGTGGACCATGGCGACCATTGCTGCAATTTTTTTATAATCAGAAATATAGGCTGGGCGCGGTGGCTCATGCCTGTAATCCTAGCACTTTGGGAGGCTGAGGCGGGCAGATCACTTGAGGCCAGGAGTTTGAGACCAGCCTGGCCAACATGGCGAAAACCCATCTCTACTAAAAATACAAAAAAAAATCCAGGCATGGTGGCGGCGTGTGCCTGTTATCCCAGCTACTCAGGAAGCTGAGGCAGGAGAATCACTGGAACTCGGGAGGCGGAGGTTGCAGTGAGCCAAGATCATGCCACTGCACTCCAGCCTGGGTGACAGAGCAAGAGTCTGTCTCAAAAAAAAAAAAAAAAAGAAATAAAGAAGTTGGATGAGCGTCACCTCCACACTCCAATCTTGCGTGTTGACATCTTACCTTTGGGATGCCTTTACAAATAAAATACTTGGTAAAAGTGTCTTGTATTTGGACTCTGTAGTGCTGAACATAGTGTGCGTATGTGTGTGTGTGTGTGTGTGTGTGTATATATATATATATAAAATGCCAATATAGTTAATTAAAATACCACTTAATGACTATTGCTTCTGGCTGTTATGAAGTAGCCAGCATAGATCACTACGTAGACAAGCTGGGTAAAATACGAATGCTCTTTTTGAAGACACTGGTGAGCAGCTGAGCCAATCGGGACTCAAAGGGCTGAGATCTCAGCAAAAGGGGAACCGCGGAGAGATGAGCCAACGCTGTTGCTCGCTTTTCATTCAGGGGATTTCCCAACTCCTGCTGCAAGACAAGAGACCATAAACACCCGTGAAGAGGAAGGGAAGCCAGCGGAGTTTCACAGGGCTGACACTGGAGTTTGGACCTGTCAAGGTAGCCAAAAATTGAGTGGCGATCTGAAGATCCTGGGGAGAAAGGTGGTGAAAATAAGTGAGTTTGATGCTCAGAGGTTTCCCTTCTAGCTGTTTGGTGGATGAACGTGTGCAGAGCAAGAAGCTAAGAAGCCCAGAAGAAAGCTACTGAGGTGTCAGAATTTCTAGAGTGTCAGGTAGCCCAGAATGAGAGCTTAGGACTTGCCAAGGAGGAGAAGCTCTAGAAGACGCTCCAGGCTCTCAGCCGGGATGCCAGGAAGCTTAATCGCTATGAAAGGGAACCAGAGGTATAGCCAAGCCTTCACAAATGTCAAGGAAAACCAAGAAACAGGACCCAGAGAAAAAAAATGATGACAGCAACAGCCCCACAGACTGCTCAGCTATTGGTAGCATCACAGATGGGCTTTCAAATTATTATTCGAGCAAATGGATGATAAAACAGAGAATTTTGCTAGACAACTGGAATCTATTACAAAATGGAAATTCTAGAAAAATGCAATGATTAAAATTAGAAACTTAATAGACAGGCTTAACAGTAGGCTAGGAAATAGAGTTTTAATAAAGTGAAATGATAAGTCAGGAAAAAAACTAGGAAGAAACAGAGTGAGTAGAAAAGGATAAGAAACAGACAGAGCATGCCATACACATGGGGTCTGGGGAGCAGCTCCATCATGCAGGTAACAGGAATTTTAGGAGGGAGAGAGAGAGAAAGAGAAAGAGAGAGGATAGGGAAAAAGCAATGTTTGAAGATAGAATGGCTGAGGATTTTCCAAAATCGATGAAAGAAAACAAACCCCAGATAGAAGCTCTCCACAGGCTAAGCAGGCTAGGTCCAGGGAGAAGCCACCTAGGCATATTATGGTAAAACTACTGTAATCCAAATACAGAAATCTTAAAAGTAGCTGGAGGTAAAGACAAATAGACAAATTACCTTCAAGGGGACAATAAGATTATTTTTCAGCAGAAATGATGGGCTCCAGAAGACAAGGGAGCAACGTGTTTACGGTGCTGGAAGAAAAGAGCTGTCACTCCAGAGTTCTAGACCCAGAGAGGAAGGACATCCTTCAGATACCAAGGAGACTCATCTCAGATCAGAGTTTTGGATGTGTCCATCTCCACCATGAGCTGGGGAAATCTAGGCGATGGAAACACAACTTGTGCCCCTCCGTGCCCCCTGGCACATGGCAGGTGCACACACACAGTGGGTGGAGACAGGAAGAGCGAGACTGGGCGTGTCCACCTGGCAGGCTGGTGAGCCATGAAGCCGAGTGTGGGGCACAGTGCCTGAAATGCTAGTTTCGAACCCCAGCTCTGCCGCTTAGTAACTGTGAGCAATGATTAATCTTATGTGTCAACCTGGCCGGGCGCGGTGGCTTGTGCTTGTAATCCCAGCACTTTGGGAGGTTGAGGTGGGTGGATCGCCTGAGGTCAGGAGTTTGAGACCAGCCTGACCAATATGGTGAAACCCCATCTTTACTGAAGATACAAAAATTAGCTGGGTGTGGTGGCGCATGCCTGTAGTCCAGCTACTCGGGAGGCTGAGGCAGAAGAATCGCTTGAACCTAGGAGGCGGATGTTGCAGTGGGCCGAGATCATGCCACCGCACTCCAGCCTGGACAACACAGTGAGACTCCATCTCAAAAAAAAAAAAAAACTTACGTGACAACCTGAATGGGTTACGGTGTGCCCAGGCATTTGGTCAAACATCATTCTGGATGAGATTAACATTTGATTGGTGGGCAGTCTGGATGAGATTAACATCTGATTGGTGGGCAGTGTGAAGCCAATTTTCCTCCCAGTGTGAGTGGGCCTCATCCAATCCTGAGAAGGAAAGAGTTGCCCTGCCTGGCTGTGGAGCTGGGACTTCGGTCTTCCCTTGCCCTTGAACTGACGCTTACACCATTGGCACTCCTGGGTCTCCACTTTGCCTGCTGCAGATGTTGAGACTTGTCAGCCTCCATGGTCACGTGCACAATTCCTTATTTTATAGATCAGTAGGAATATACATAGAAAGTGATGTGAACGTATGTCTCCTATTTGCCCTGTGTCTGCGGAGAATACTCACTAATACACTGTGTGACCCTGGGCAAGTTACTGAACCACGCTGAGCCTCAGGTTCCACATGGACAAATGGGGACAGGAGTAACACCCATCTCATCTGTCTCATAGGAGCTGATGAACAACAGCATGTAAAGTTTTTAGTTGCTCAATAAATACTAGTGATTGGCCGTGTTAAGGCCTTTAGCCCTAGATGACCACCAAAACAAAAGTGAAAGCAAAATAAACACTTTTCCAGCAAAATAAAAACCAAGATAATCAATTTCCAACAGACCTAAACTACAAGAAATACTAAAGGGGTTCTCCAGGCAGAAGAGAAATCATCCCAGATAGAGACGTGGATATGCAGGAAACAGTGACGAGCCACGGAACAGGTAAAGATCTGGGTCAAGGTAAATAAGTACCGACTTTTCAAATAATAACGATTTCTTGGCCAGGAGCAGTGGCTCACACCTGTAATCCCAACACTTTGAAAGGCCAAGGCAGTTGGGTTGCTTGAGCCTAGGAGTGAAAGACCAGCCTGGGCCACACAGGGAGACCCTGTGTCTACAAAAAATTTAAAAATTAGGCTGGGCGTGGTGGCTCACGCCTGTCATCCCAGCACTTTGGGAGGCCAAGGCAGGTGGATCACCTGAGGTCAAGAGATCGAGACTATCCTAGCCAACATGGTAAAATCCCATCTCTACTAAAAATACAAAAATTAGCTGGGTGTGGTGGCGGGCACCTGTAGTCCCAGCTACTCAGGAGGCTGAGGCAGGAGAATCGCTTGAACCCAGGAGGCGGAGGTTGCAGTGAGCCAAGATCACACCACTGCACTCCAGGCTGGGCGACAGAGCGAGACTCTGTCTCAAAAAAAAATAAAAAAATAAAAAAGAAAAAAAGAAAAAAAAAAAGAAAAAGAAGAAAAAAAGAAAGAAAGTTTGAACTAGAAAGAGTAAAAAGGTAGAAAGATGTTTTATGAAAACACTGACCAAAAGAAAGATGTCTCTATAACACCAGCTAGTATAAACTTGGAGGCAAAAAGTATTACAAAAAATAAAGATGAACTGTTTTTTGAGACAGAATCTCGCTCTGTTGCCCAGGCTGGAGTGCAGTGGCACAATCGTGGCTCATGCAACCTCCGCCTCCAGGGTTGGAGTGATTCTCCTGCCTCAGCCTCCTGAGTAACTGGGACTACAGGCGTGCACCACTATGTCTGGCTAATTTTTGTATTTTTAGTAGAGACAGGGTTTCACCATGTTGGCCAGGCTGGTCTTGAACTCCTGACCTCAGGTGATCTGCCCACCTCAGCCTCCCAAAGTGCTGGGATTACAGGCATGAGCCACCATGCCCGGCTAAGATGGACATTTCATAATAAAAGAATTATACCACCAGCAAAATGTAACAAACTTTTATGCACCTAATTATGAAGCTTCAAAATATGTAAGGAAAAATTTGGCTAAAAGGAAAAAGATGGACAAATCCATAATCACACTTTTTCTTATAACCAATAGGTCAAGCAGACCAAAAAATCACCAGAAATAAAGGAGATCCAAATACGAGGAACAAACTTGAACTAAATGACAAATATAGAACACAGTGTCCAACAACAGAATAGACATTATTTTCAAGTGCATATGAAACATCAGCCAACACTGACCAAAGCTGGGCCAGAAACAGCTAAAATAAGTTTTAAATGATTGAAATCATTCAGAATAGGTTTTCTTACTATAAGATATTTAAGCTGAAAACTCATAACCATCACAACAAAAATAAAACTGGAACATATCCAAATGTTTGGAAATTAAGTAATAACACTTCAAATGGGTCAAAGAAGAAATGACAATTAAGTTAGAAAATATTGTGAAGTATATGATAATTTTAAAAATGCAATATTAAAACTTATGGGATGTGGCTAAAGCTATGCTCACAGGCAAATTTATAGCCTTAAAACAGATGTATAAGAAAAACGGCAGAAAAATCAATCACGTAAGGCACTGTAGTGGATGCTATGATGTTCTGCCCAAATGTCCACTCTAAGACTGAAGTGCCCATGTTCCCAGCTGCTAGCCATGTTGCCAAGCTGAGCACTTCTCCAGGAATTGCCTCTCCTGAAGGGGCTACCTCCCCCAGGTTTAAGCCTGCTTCCTATAACTGGATGATATGGGAGCACAGAGTTCCTTGCTTTAACTGGGGACTCCAGAATCTAGAATGGGTCTGGCCTTGGGACCAGCCACAACGGCAGGTCCCTGAAAGAGAAATGAGGAAGTGAAGAATTGTGTCTGGTGGGTATATGCACTCAGTCCTGTGGAGAATATACCTACTTCAGGACATGAAAAGGCATGCCACAGAGGCAGAGAATGCTGTTGCCATCTAGACATCTGACAAAAGACACATCCAGATGTGCGAGAACTCCTACAGACGGATAAGCAAAAGACAACCAGTAGAAAAAGGGGCACAAGTCTGAACAGTCACTTTTAAGAATTGGATTTCCGGCCGGGCATGGTGGCGCATGACTGTAATCCCAGCTGCTCGGGAAGCTGAGGCAGGAGGATCGCTTCAACCCAGGAGGTGGAGGTTGTGGTGAACCGAGATCGCGCCATTGCACTCCGGCCTGGGCAATAGGAGCGAAACTCCGTCTAAAAAAAAAAAAAATGGAATTGGATTTCCGAGTGGCCATTAAGCATATGAAAAGTTGCTCAACCCCACTAGTTATGAGGGAAATGTAAGTAAAAGCCCTGTGGTACTGCTAGAACAAGTCAAACCGAAAACACGGACACACCCAGTGCTGGTGAGGGTGCACAGCAGCTGGATCTCACACCACTGATGGGTGTGTGGGCCACTTCAGCTCCCCCTGGAAAACAGGTGTTATCTGCAAAGCTGGACACGCTTGGACCCCAAGGCCCAGCAATCCCACCACCCAGTAGCAGGCGGCCACCATTGGAACTAGGCACAAAACCAGGAACTACGCATGTGTCCATTATCAGAATTGATACATTGTGCGTATTCACCGCTGTATACACAGCCCTGAGGGTGGACATGGTAGCTACATGCAGTGACGCCGATGACATGCGGATAGGAAGGAGCCAGGAAAGGGCATCAGAGAGGATTCCACGTGCATGGATTTTGAAACCAGCAAGTCTAACTATGGCTTTGGGAATCAGGACAATGGTTTTGTGGGGGCAGCTGATGGCTGGAGGATGGCTTCCGGTTCTGGTCGCGGCTTACTGATCAGCATTTTGTGAAAACCCATCAATCTGCCCGGTTTGGGGGCGTGCTGTTCTGCGTGGTAGGTGCTGGTCAGCAGTTACCTGTTAGTGGCTGGTGATCTGGGCGCTTGGGCACTCTGCCACCCAGCTCCCTCAGGCCCCTGACTGTCCACTGGCCTGTAACTGGTCCCCTCACCCTTTCCTGCCTACGCAGCCGTGGACCCGGCCAGTTTGGGCCCAAAGTGTTTCTGGTTTCTGGTGGGGTTTCTTGGCCTCAGTGTCTTGGGCCGAATGACCATGGTAGTCATAGCTTCTACTACCTGTTCTGGTGACAGCATCTTCCTCACTATTGTGGACTGAACTGTGTCCCTCCAAATTCATATCTTGAAGCCCTAACACTCATACAGTGAGTATATGTGGAGATGGGACTTTTAGAGAGTTATGGTTAAGGTTAGATGACATCATAAGGGTTGGGGGCCCTAATCCAATAGGGCTGGTGTCTTTAAAAGAAGAGGGGCCGGGTGCGGTGGCTCACGCCTGTAATCCCAGCACTTTGGAGGCCAAGGCGGGTGGATCACTTGAGGTCAGGAGTTCGAGACCAGCCTGGCCAACATGGTGAAATTCCCGTCTCTACTAAAAATACAAAAATTAGTCCGGCATGGTGGTGGATGCCTGTAGTCCCAGGTACCTGGGAGGCTGAGGCAGGAGAATTGCTTGAACCTGGGAGGTGGAGGTTGCAGTGAGCTGAGATCACACCATTGCACTCCAGCCTCTCTGTTTCAAAAAAAATAAAAAAATAAAAATAAATAAAAGAAGAGGAAGAGACACCAGAGACCCCTCTCTCCACGTACACACGGAAGAAAGGGCCTGTGGGGACACAGAGAGAGGGCAGCCTTCAAGAGGAGCCCCCACTAGAAACCAACCAGGTTGGCAATGTGATCTCGGAGTCAGCCTCCAGGACTGCGGGAAACGAGTCTCTGTTGTTGAAGTCACCCGGTCAACAGTGTTTTGTTATGCAGCCTTAGCAGACTAAGACCCCAGACCTAAGGGCGGCGCTGGGGGAGCGGTTTCCTGACCCAGGAGGGCAGGGCCCACTCTGTCTGCTCCCACTGCACCCAAGGTGGGCACCACTGCTTGCTGTGGGCGCCAGCTTGGGTCTTGGAGTCCAAAGCTTCTTGAATCTCGGCTCCTCCACTTTCTGGCCTTACTCCTTAGCCTCCCTGGGCCTCAATGTTCCTGGCTGTCAGAGGGGCCAATGGCACCTACAGCACCTTCTGCTGAGGATCTGGGCAGAGGAATTGCCCCGGGGAAGCGCTCAGTGAATGGGGAGCACTTCCTAAGTGGCAGCAGGCTGTGTCTGCCTGATGACCGGAAGGCTATGCCCCAGGTCCAAGCCCTTCCCTGAAGGGCTATGAGTAGGGGCAGGCACTGGAGTCTGGAAGATCGTCCCTCACCACACCCTTACTGTTCAATAACCCTTGCTATTATTGACTTCCACGTGGAGATGAGAGGAGGGTGGTCGTGAAGCCCATCCTTGGGGACACAGCAAAACTGTCCCTAGGCCGGGCGCGATGGCTCACACCTATAATCCCAGCACTTTGGGAGGCTGAGGTGGGTGGATCACCTGAGGTCAGGAGTTCGAGACCAGCCTGGCCAACATGGTGAAACCCTGTCTCTACGAAAAGTACAAAAATTAGCCTGGCATGGTGGTACATGCCTGTAGTCCCAGCTACTCAGGAGGCTGAGGCAGGAGAATCGCTTGAACCCAGAAGGCGGAGGTTGCAGTGAGCCGAGATCGCACCATTGCACTCCAGCCTGGGTGACAGAGTGAGACTCCGTCTCAAAAACAAAAACAAAAACAAAAACAAAAACTGTCCCCAGGAGCATGGCAAGGCACAGGGCAGACCCATCCTCCCTCTCCAAGTTTCTAAAAGAGGCCATTTATGGCATTGTCACTTTTTAAATAGGCTTAGCAATTAAAGAACCAGGAAGATTCCATGGGGGGTGGGGGTACAAGAGCGAGTACTCCGTCCTGGCAGGGTGCTCGGTCTCCCGACTCCACTGGGCACTGTCTCCAGGCCTTCCCAGACTGAGTCCGGCCTGCCCCGGGGCCTCCTGTGAGCCCCCATCGCTCATGCCCGGCCGCGGGGCTTCTGCTCCTCCTCTGCTCAGGTCCTGACTCCAGGAGCCTCCCGAGTGCCCGGCCCCTGGCTCCCGGCCCCGGGGCCGCTGGAGGCTCACTGTGCTTCTCTTCTGTGCAGGCTGCTGGGTAGGTTCTGGATTTTTAGGTTTGATAACCACAGATCTGTGCACGATGGGGCTGCTGCAGAGGCTGCATTTGGGGTCCTTCCCGTGTCTGCAACCCAGGCACGGATAGACAGCGATGACTTTGCCCAGGCACGGATAGACAGCGATGACTTCGCCCAGGCACGGATAGACAGCGATGACTTCAGGCTCGGCGTCTTCCAACAGCAAATACATAAATTGACGAGAGTCACAGCTCTCAGGAGGCTGGTGCAGATTATATTTGTGCACTGGGTGGAAGAGATTCCTCTAAGTTTAATTATAATTTAAGTGTAAAATATGCAGCTTCTGCAGGAGTCTCCCGCCTTGTGCATAATTACTGCACTGCTCTCTCCCGGCCACAGTTACGACGCCTCTGTGTGCAGCGAGCGATTAATTTATAGGCTGGTAATAGGCTAAAACAATATTTAAAGTCACTTTACCCAATGTAGCTTTTAAGGAGGGGTTGAGATAATTACTTAAAGACCCAATTTGATCCCTTGGCGTGGTTCCTGAGCTACTTCGGCCCCGCCCTTCCCACCCCGGGCCTGTGCACCTGCTGTCAGCTGTGCAGGGCCCCTAGCAGCCCTCATTTGGCAGTGATGATGCACAGCCCAGTCAAAGTGAGCACCCAAGAGATGGAGGCCCGGGGACACTGGCCCCTCATTAACCAGTAAGAGCAGGATTTATTGGCCGCTTGGAAGGCTGTGGACTCTGAGGCTGGTGTTGCAGGAGAAGACATTGTGCCGCCCCCCTAAGTCTGCGGGAAGGGACAGGTGCATTGGCGGTGGGCGTGGAGGGTGAGCCCACCGGTCCCGGGAGACTTTTTGTGGCTCAGTTGTGGCCAGAGACAGCAGTGGTCAGAAGAGAAATGCACGCGCACTTGCACGAAACCCTGGGCAGCCTGGCAGCGCTCACAGGCTTCATCTTCCCTCGCAGAGGGTGTGACCCTGAAGCACAGGCAGAGGTCAAGGAATGGGCTTGGGAACCAGGACAAGTGGGCAGGTCGGGGGTGGCCCTGGCAGGAGGAGGTGTCACGGGGACACTGCTGGGAGGAGGAAAGCGGGGCCTCAGTGACAGCTGCTTCCGGAGTGTCCGGTGACTCCTGGCTTGGATCCGGGGAACATCCCTCCAATGCCTGGGCCTGGGGACTGCCCAGGGGAGGTGGCCCACAGCCACAGCTGGCCACCCTCAGGAAGGATGTGAGCTTCGGGGCCCAGCAGAGCCTAGACTGGGTGCCAGATTTGCTTCTTAATGGCAGGGTAACCTTGGAAACCTCAGGCACCCTGTGCACCGTGCTGGGGGTGACAACAGTGGGGCTCTAACGTGCTGCGCGGGGACCCTGAAGGGCCTTGGGGCAGTAGAGTCCTTGAATCCCTGCATCCCTGCTACCGCCTGGGCTCCTGAGGGGTTTCATGGTTTGCTCCTGACGAAGGATGTCAGGGCATCCTCTTGTGCCGAGAGGCCGGGTTGGGGTGGGCTGGGGAGCCTGCAGCCCCCAGGCAGTTAACTGAGGGTAGGGATGTGTGGGGCCCCACCCTCAAGTGGTTCCTGGAGTCTGAAACTGCGTGGACGTGTGTTCCTTGTGGCAGCAAATACAGGGGTCACAGAGTTCAGAGTGACATCTTCTGGAGCATAAGGGCTCCCTGCCCTGCTGGCTACTTCTTGAGGGCTGCGTTTCTATTCTTTGGAAGTCATTATAGGCCAGACGCGATGTCTCACACCTGTCATCCCAGCACTTTGGGAGGCCGAGGCAGGCGGATCGCCTGAGGTCAGGAGTTCGAGACCAGCCTGGCCGACACGGTGAAGCCCCGTCTCTACTAAAAATACAAAAATTAGCTGGGCATGGTGGCAGGCGCCTGTAATCCCAGCTATTTGAGAGGCTGAAGCACAAAAATTGGCTGAACCTGGGAGGTGGAGGCTGCAGTAAGCTGGGATTTCACCACTGCACTCCAGCCTGTGTGACAGAGTGAGACCCTGTCTCAAAAAAAAAAAGTCATTATAAAATGCTTTGTCTCCTGTATTGTTTTGTCCTTTGATATTTCTAGTGTCTCTGCTCGGTAAATGTTTCGAAGAGTACATGAATGGTTAAAGGGATGAATTAATAAATCCTGGCATTGCCTCATTGGCAAGAAATTCTTGTTGAAGCCAAGTGTTTGGCCTTCCTTGACTGTGTCCGTGACTCAGTCTCAGAGCCACTGCAAGCAATAGATGCTGGAGGGAGGGAGAGAAAGACAGAGAGAGAGAGGGAGACAGACAGAAAGAGAGAGAGAGAGAAAGAGAGAGACAGAAAGAGAGAGAGAAAGAGAGAAAAAGAGAGAGAGAAAGGGAGGAAGACACAGAGAAAGACAGAGAGAGAACGAGAGAAAGACAGAGAGAGAAAGAGAGAGAAAGAGAGAGTAAGACAGAGAGAGAGAGAAAGAGAAAGACAGAGAAAGAGAGAAAGAGAAAGAGAGAGAGAACAAGAGAAAGAAAGAGAGAGAAAGAGAGAAACAGAGAGAAAGACAGAGAGAAAGAAAGAGAGAGAAAGAGAGAAACAGAGAGAAAGACAGAGAGGAAGACAGAGAGAGAAAGAGAGAGAGACAAAGAGAGAAAGAAAGAGAGACAGAACAAGAGAAAGAGAGAGAAAGAGAGAGAGAACAAGAGAAAGAGAGAGAGAGAGAGAGAGAAACAGACAGAGGAAGACAGAGAGAGACAAAGAGAGAGAGACAAAGAGAGACAAAGAGAGACAGAAAGACAGAGAGAGAAAGAAAGGGAGGGAGAAGGAGGGAGGGAGGGAGGAGGAGGAGGAGGAAAGGAAAGTGAGGGGAAGAATGCCATCTTCCTCCCCCAGGAGGCCAGGCTGGTAGGGTGGTGGGTGCTGTGGGCCAGAGGGCAAGGCTTTTGCCTGGAGGTGAGAAGATTCTGTGTGAAGACGGGGACACTGTCCCCTTCCTCCCCTGCCCTTGGTGGGACAGTGTGGTCCACCTTTGGGAAAATCACTTCCTTTCCTGAGCCTCAGTCTCCCCTTCTGTTCAACGGGGTGGGTGAGATCGCGTCTCACTTGTCTGTGAATTGTCTAGGTCACTTCCTTTCCTGAGCCTCAGTCTCCCCTTCTGTTCAACGGGGTGGGTGAGATCGCATCTCACTTGTCTGTGAGTTGTCTAGGTTGCTAAGTGCCCACTGACCGCGAAAATGTGGTATGTACACACCGTGGACTCCTACTCAGCCATACAGAGGAATGAAATGATGTCTTTCGCAGCAGCTTGGATGGAGCTGGAGGCCACTATTCTCAGTGAAGCAACTCAGGAATGGAAAACCAAACAGCGAATGTTCTCACTTATAAGTGGGAGCGAAGCTAAGAGGATGCAGAGGCATCTGAGTGATCTAATGGGCTTTGGGGACTCGGAGGGGGTTTGGCGGGGGGCGAGGGATAAAGGCTACACATTAGGTACAGTGTCCATTGCTCAGGTGATGGGTGCACCAAAGTCTCAGAAATCACCACTGAAGAACTTATTCATGGAACCAAAACCCACCTGTACCCCGAAAACTATTGAAAAATTTTTTTTAAAAAAGCAGTGACAAGGGGTTTTTAAAGGTATTGCATTTCCACGTGGGTCCTCGTGTGCTGAGTTGTATGAGCAAGACAGCAGCGGTTATGTTCCCTACCGCCATTCTTGTGCAGGTGAATCTCAACTGGAGGAAAATCAGAATAATGAAAATCCAGACTTAGAAAAAAGGAAAATATCTGGTACCTTCTACTACGTACCTTGCTAAGGGCCAGGAAATACGTTAAGCATTTTATTTTATTTTTTCTTGACATGGAGTTTTGCTCTTGTTGCCCAGGCTGGAGTGCAGTGGCACGATCTTGGCTCACTGCAACCTCTGCCTCCCAGGTTCAAGTGATTCTCCTGCCTCAGCCTCCCGAGTAGCTGGGGTTACAGGCACCGTGCCCGGCTAATTTTGTATTTTTAGTAGAGACAGGGTTTCACCATGTTGGCCAGGCTGGTCTTGAACTCCCGATCTCAGGTGATTCACCCGCCTCAGCCTCCCAAAGTGCTGGGATTACAGGCATGAACTACCGCACCTGGGCAGCATTTTAGATAGGTTATATCATTTCTTTTCTTGAACGTCCTTGCGAGGTTGGCACTGTCATTTTGCCTCAGAGGACACGACAGCTCCCGAAGGCACAGGAGTTGCCCATGAGCACAGATTAATAAGTGAAGGTGGCAGGTTCCCCTTTGCTGGTCTTGCTACATAAACACACTGACTTACTCTCTGAAAAAAAATCAGCATCATTTGTCTTGGTTGCCCCCTGACACTCTAGGGTCCTGTGGACGGGCACTCAGTAGGGACTCAGAAATGCTGGCAGTCACTATTCTTTCAACAAGGCTGTGCAGGCCCAAGGCAGGCTCAGAGCTGGTCCCTGCGGGCAAGGAGCATGAGGACCAAGCTTTGACACCCTCCCCTGCCAGCCCCCAGTGTGTGGCTGAGGCTGGGTTGTGGTGGAAGCCCAGAGTGGAGCCTTGGAGCCCAGGGGATTCCAGAAGGAAGGGGGCCCGGCGGTAGGTAGGGGTTGGGCGGCGGGGGGGTAGGGGGTGGGCGGTGAGAGTTGCTGGTTGGGGGAGGGGAGGGCTCAGCAGGGGGTCTGTCTGGAGAGGCCTGTCAGGCAGGGTCTTGTGGGGCTTCAGCAAATGCTCGGGATGATCCTGCAGGTGGGAGTCGGGGAGGCAGAGAAAGAGCAGTGGGGACATTTTAGGAATGCTTGGCCCGAGTGAATGCCGGTTGGTCCAGGCCTTGGAGTTAGCTCTTTGTTGAGGACAGAGAGAGAGAAGATTAGTTCACCTGTCTGCACCCCTAGGGTTCATCCACCCAAGACTCTCACTCCTCTTTGGGGTGAGTTTTGCAGGACCGGCCTAGTTGAGAGGACCAGCTTCAAGGGGAGGCGGGTGGCATCCATGCGTCTTTGGCAAAGAGCCTCATAAAAGGGGCCCGGACTGAAAATCGATTCTCTAAAGCTGAAATCAATAACAATAACTAATATTAATACTGATGGTCCTCTCCTTACTGCACTCTGCAGCTGGGGGATGAATTATTTTCAAGGATTAGCAGAGGCGGCTCTGCAGTGCGGCTGGGATGGGATCAGCCGGGAGCCTGGTGCTGGGCAGGAAGGTGGACCCAGGGGACCTGTGCAGCCTGATACTTCCTCTGCCTTCAGTTCAACTTCTCCAAGACCTGGCTTCCTCATCACTGTCCTCAAATGAGTGGGCTCACCAGCTGCATGACTTTTTGAGCCCTGTGGGATGAGGGGAGCCCATGACCTCGGGGGCTTAGGATCGGAGTGCGGTGAAGGGGAAGTGGGGTTTGGGACATTTCCCTGGGGCCTGCGAGCTCCTAGCGTTGGCTTCTGCCTATGAGGTGATGTGAGTGATGCCATAGGGAGGCCCTGTCTCCAGGGAGCCCCGAGGCTGGAGTGGGCAGCCAGGGAGGGCAGCACTGTGCGGGAAGTGGTCACACGGTTCCTGCCTGGCACCTCGGCTCCCACCGGCTCTCTGTGGAGCTCTTTCTGCTGGGAGTATCCCAGACTGTGGGGCTCTCTCTGCTGGGAGTGTCTGGGACTTTTGTCAGAGTCTACAGAGTGAGGAGCCCAGGGTGAAAAGGGGGTGCCCAGATTTCAGGCCCTGGGGCCTCCACTCTCCCCACCAAGAGGCACAATCACTAACTCCCATTTTCCAGGTGCACAACGGGGAGCTGGGTGGGCCTCCCCAAGACCAGGCGTTTATGGGTCAGAGCAGGACTGAGAGCCGCAGCCCTGTGTGCCCTGATGCCCCCAGCACTGTGCACCGGGGGACGCGGCATTGCTAAAAATGGTGTTGGAGCTTGTGGGGATCTGTGAGAATAACAAGTTAATATTCACGAGGTAGGTCGTGGGCATTTTGAGGACACAATTGGAAATTTTTCCTAGACAATGTTAGGTGGCTGAGTAGCCACTTTCTGTGTATAAGTTGGAAATCTGAAAAATGATATATACTGAAACATAGAACTGAAACATGAACATTGAAGAGAAAGTTTGGGAATAGTCTAGTGGGAAGAGGAGAGAGAATTATCTCAGGAGCCAAAGAGGAGCTACTGCTGTTATTAATGTGAGTCTGAGCTTCCTAGTAGCCAGAGCAAGAAAGGAAAGCACTGTGGGCTTTGCAGTTTTTGCCAAGAAGAAGATACACTCAAGATCCCCTAGAGGAGGAATTTTCCTGGTGTGGAAGTCCAGAAATGATGATCAGATGTATCCTCGTAAAAGAGGAAGAGTCCGTGCCTCAGGGGCTTTTCTCTGAGTCCTCTGTAGACACAGGGCCTGATTTGATAAGGTGTTCCCTTGAGGTGTGGTGGTAGCTGAGCGGACACCGTGGCTTCCTGGCAATGGGGTCCCATGTGGACTTAGAGCAGAGTGGGCCGCAGGGCACAGGCTGCAGCCCCCCTCATTCCCCACTAGATCCTTGGAACCAGCTTGGTGGCCACGAGTACCAGGTGCTGGGTTAACCATTGTCCCTCCTCCCCCAGGACAATGAATGAATGGCATTAGGACCTGGGTCATCCCTTGGAGGCAGGAGGAATCATGGGGTGAGGGAACGAGGCAGAGCCCACTGGGGTGCTGCTGGGGTGGGGACTGGGAGAGAAATGAGAGCTGGGTCCAGGGTCCCAGGTAGGTCTGAGGCTGCCTGGGGCTCCTGTTGGACAGGTAAGTGTGGGTGTGCTTGGTGGCCACACCCAGACCGAGCTGCACCATGCCCAGGTCTGGGCTGCAGGTGTCAGGGGCTGTGAGCTCTGATTCCTTCTGGAAATACGGCTCAGGGGGCACGGGGTGCACTCTCTGGCCATTTTGCTGTCCAAGCGTCCTCCCCGCTGCCCCATTGCTAGGGCTCGCAATGCCCATTCCACAGCCATCTGGGCAGATGGCAGAGCGGGATGGGCCGTGGGCCAGCTGCTCCTGGCATGGCCGGGCCGAGGGGAGGCTTGCCCTCTAGGGCACTGTGTTTGTCCTTCTACCACAAACCACATCTGTTTCTCTCAGTGAGAACCACTAGTGAGCCCCTGAGCCCCCAGCCCCCTGACACTATGGTGGTCAGAGGGACTGGCCTAGGTCTTGGTTTTCTCAGAAGTTTCTGGAAGGCCAGTGGCTGTCGGAGAAAAGATTCAAAGCAAAAACACTGAAGAGTTGAACCAGTTCTCTCCCTGAAGTTGTTTGGACGACAGCCTGGGTTGGGTGCTCTGGGTGAGATGGGGCTGGGGGTGCAGCAGAGAGCAGGGCACCCCACCTCCCCTGGCCCCCCGATCCCCAAGCCCCAGGCCCCCATGCCTCGGGGCTCCCTGTCCACATACTAGAGGACTGAGCAGGCAGGAAGCTGGCATGCAGCCCTGGCACTGCTTCTGATGGGTGCCCGTGTGGTGCCAGCCCTTGTCTCTGGGCCCTGGTGTTCCTGCTGTGGGATGGGGGATGGGGGCCATGGTCCCTGGGCAGGGGGCAGCCCTGGGGAGGGCCTCTCCTTCAAGACCTGGTGCCCACTCTGGCCCTGGCTGCATCTGGCCAGTGC
The DNA here is from genome assembly GCF_000001405.40 of Homo sapiens. Lineage (NCBI taxonomy): Eukaryota > Metazoa > Chordata > Mammalia > Primates > Hominidae > Homo > Homo sapiens. Next base: position 134,259,200 of record NC_000009.12, read on the forward strand.
TCGCTGCAGGCCCAGGCCCCTGGCCCTCATCCCCCACCCCTGCCCCTGGCTTCTCCCAGTGGGGGCCGCCCCTTGCCCCTTGCCCCGCTAGCCCTCTGGGCTGTGTTTACCCACTGTCCATCTGCCCCAATGTGGGCAAACAGACTGAGGCCAGGCCCGAGACAGGGGAGATAAGGCCCGGCTGATGGGACCAAAGGTGAAGGGGTCACCTCGCTCCCCTCCTGTCAGTTTATTTACTGTCCTCAAACTGTCACCTGCCCTTCTGGGAACACAATGGCCAAAACCATGAGGGTGTTTCCAAGGGCCCCAAGTCTCGGCTCCAGGAACCCTGTGGGCTGCTGAGCTGCTGAGGAGATGCCCAAGGAGAACAGCAGGAGGGAAGGGGCTCCCCACTCACTTTGACCTGCACACTAACGCCAGGCATGGCCCTGGGCACACTGCTTACCTCCCACTGAGGCGGGTCTCAAGACAAATTCGAATTGTCAGCGTCTCCATTTTTCAGATGAAAAAACTGACACTCAGAGAGGCTGAGCCGCCCATCCTGGGGCGCAGGTGCAGTAAAGTGTTAGGGTCAGGATTTTAATTCCCATCATTCTGATTCTGGAATCCAAGCTGGTCAGGACAGCACCATTCTGCCTCCAAGTCTAGAAAAGACAGAGCAAGGACAGCAGCCAGCAGGGGTGGGCGAGGCGGGGCAGCCCTCGGGGCCGGTCTTACACACTGGCAGGCCCAGGCAGCGGGCAACAGCTCCGCCAGGCCCAGCAAAGACCCCACTGAGCGCCGCGCCTATCACACAGACACAGAGCAGGACAGAACTTCCATTAAACACAGGAAACACACCTTGAACACCCCCAAGAGCGAAGGCCATCACTTCTTGGCCGTCTGGGCTCGTCCTGGGCTTTGGGACTGAGACTCGGTCTATCCTCTTCCTGGTATTTTCCATACTTTCTGCTTCACCCTCTTCCCAGGGTCCCAATCAACAGAGGCAGAAACTGCTGAAACCGCTGTGCCAGGGTCTGCCCATCCGGGGCCTGCCCAGGGTGGCTGCAGAGACAGAGATGAGTAACTGCCAGCCGTGGGGACAGACCCGGGGCATGGGGCCCTTCCTTTGAGTGATGCTGATCAGCCACGGTTGACAGGAAGCCCACACCTGGAAGAAGTTTCTGGAGTGCTGGGAGGATAAGCAGGGGTCTGTCCTGTGACCCCCAGCGATACTTCGAGGTTAAGAAACCTCAGCCTCGACCGGGCACGGTGGCTCACGCCTGTAATCCCAGCGCTTTGGGAGGGTGAGATGGGCGGGTCACCTGATGCCAGAAGTTCGAGTCCAGCCTGACTGACATGGTGGGAACCTGTCTCTGCTAAAAATACAAAAAAAATCAGCCGGGCGTGGTGGCGGGCGCTTGTCATCCCAGCTGCTTGGGAGGCTGAGAATCGCTTGAACCCGGGAGGCAGAGGTTGCAGCGAGCTGAGATTGTGCCACTGCACTCCAGCCTGGGAGACAAGAGCGAAACTCCGTCTCAAACAAAACAAAACAAAACAAAACAAAACAAAAAAAAAGCAGCCCTGGTCTCTGCCCTCCGTGCTGGTGAGGGCGCTGGGGGCCATTCCCATCACACACATTCCCACCCGCCTCCCACTGCCTGCTTGCTCGGAGCCTAGAACCAGCCCCTGCTAGGGACAGACCCTGCCCCAGAGCAGCTCATACTTCATGGCACAACCCCCTGTTCCGGGAGCCTCGATGGAGCTCAGGCCGGGACCCCCCTCATCACACTCCACGGAGACACCGCCCTCGACCCTGCCACCATATAGGAGCCACCGCCGGTGGTCTACAAGACCAGTGAGTGCCCGGCGCCACCCCATCTGGGTCCTGCTCAGGGTGCCCCGAAGGGCTCCGGGGGTCAGGCATTCACCCGCCTGCTCCTGATGCATGTTGCTGCCTGACGTTTTTGGGAAGGAGGCAGGCACCCGACAAGTGACTGTCTGTATATGGCCGGAAATGAGGCCTGAGTAGGGGTGGGGGCGTTTCAGAGATGTGGCAGAGGTTCAGCCAGGCCTGAGCAGGGCTGTAGTTTCACAGTGAGCCTGCTTGCCCAGTGGGCTGAGGGTGGCCAAGCAGGGCTTGCTTCTCCAGAGCCGAGTCCAGCACAGATCCGAAAGAACTCCTGCCTCCTTTCACCCGAATCCAGGCCCCCGTTCTTGCAAAGGGGCTCCCACTCCCCTGCCTGGGGCTGCAAACCCCAGTGGGAGGTGAGGGCAGGGGCCACACGAAGTAGAGCTCCTTCCTGCCACTGAGACACAGACCACCTCTTTCCATCCCTGGCAAAATGCTGCTCAGATTCTGCTCAGATACCTTCCATGATGGGGAACTCACCACTAGCAAAGTCAGAAAGCTTCCCTTAGGGCCAGCGAAGATCTGCCTCCTGGAGGCTCCTGTCCCTTGGCCATTCCTTTGTGGTTTTGTCCAACGTTTAGAGGCCCCTCCTGTGTGCCTGGCCCTCTGCTGGCACTGGGGGCAGAGAGACAATAGAAACAGGAGGGCCCTCCTCCACCGAGCCCACAGCTAGATGCAGGGAGGGAAGTGAGCAGGCTGAGACCTTGGGGGTAGAGGCAGTGCAGGGAGCTGAGGGACATGCAGTGGGGCCCCCTTTCCTGGGACATGACCAGGAAGCCTCTCCCAGAAGAAGTGACAGGTGAGTTGACACCTGAAAGGGGAGGCCGGGTTGGGCATAAGAGTTTCCAGCTCAGGGAAGGCAGGATCTGTGTCAGGGTCATGAGACAGCTGGGTGCATTTGGGCAACTGAAACAATTCAGTGGGTCTGGATCCTGAGACAAAGGGACCGGAGGACGCAGAAGCTTTGCCTCCCAGGCTTTGAGGGTCCAGGCAGGGCTGATGTCTCCCTGTGTCGGGAAATGGCAGGGTCAGGCGGTGGAGAGGAGGTGGATGCCCTGACAGGGCACGAGGCACCCCAAGGCCCTGGCCTAGCCCCACCCTCCTCTCCAGACTCTCTCCAGGCACCCCACCTGCCACGTATCCCACCCCCACGCTGCGGCCACTGCTTCTAGCATGGCCTGAGCCCATCAGCTCCTGTCTTCCTCGGCCAGGACATGCTGTGCCCCTGCCTGAAGCACTGCTCCTCTGGCTAAAGTTGGTCCTGGGGTTTGGCATTGCCTCCTTCAGGAAGTCCCCCCGACCTCTCAGGCCATTTAGGTGTCTTTTCTGTGTGTCTCACCAGCACCCGGATTGTTTACTCTTCTGACACCTCCCAACATGTGCGCGCTTACACACACACACACACACACCCCCAACATGTGCACGCTCACACAACACACACACACCCCCAACATGTGCGTGCTCACACAACACACACACACACACCCAACATGTGCGTGCTCACACAACACACACACACACCCAACATGTGCGTATTCACACCACACACACACCCCCAACATGTGCACGCTCACACAACACACACACACACCCAACATGTGCGCGCTCACACAACACACACACACCCAACATGTGCACGCTCACACAACACACACACACACCCAACATGTGCACGCTCACACAACACACACACACACCCAACATGTGCACGCTCACACAACACACACACACCCAACATGTGCACGCTCACACAACACACACACCCAACATGTGCACGCTCACACAACACACACACCCAACATGTGTGTGCTCACACAACACACACACACCCAACATGTGCGTGCTCACACAACACACACACACCCAACATGTGCACGCTCACACAACACACACACACACCCAACATGTGCACGCTCACACAACACACACACACACACACACCCTGGGCATTGTCTGCCATGACATGGGCGTGGCATGCAGTTCTGTGGGGCAGTGGTGGAGTGGCCAGGCTGGGGAGGGTGCCTTGGGGTGCTTGGACCCGTTGAGGACACACAGCTACCTCTGTGTGGACAGTGGTCCTCCTCTGTCCCTTTTAACTGAGCAGAGTCTGGAAGATAATGCAGTGGCCCATGGTGGCCCCAGCCCCAGGGGGTGCTCAGGGCGCCCTTCCCACACAGGGTCAGAGGGTGATCTCAGAGAACCTTGCTGGAATTGGGCATGGGGGTCTGTGTCTGTGTCGGCCCCTCTCCCAGGCCACGAGGGAATGCAGAGCAGTGTGTGGTGTCTTTTCCTCCGAGGGTCCCCTCTGGTTCGGGTGACACCAAAAGAGCTCAGTCAAGCTCCGTGGGCTGTGGTCAAGTTCCTGCATGAGCCGCACCCACCTGCACCCCTGTACCACCCCAGCTGCCCTCCCACCCCCCGGCTCACAGCTCTGAATTAAAGGCCAGCTCCACCCACGGCCCCTTCCACAGCCTCTCCTCTCCGCTGCTGGCCGACCTATTCCCAGGGACCTTCAGAAGCTCAGGACCAGGCCACCTGGAGGGGTTGGGAGATGGGAGGAAGGGACCCTGGGCCTAGGCCGTGAGCTGGGAGGGAAGGAGAGGGCTTATTTTCACTCTTGGCACATTTGGGCCCCTCCCCTACCCTGAGCCGCTCAGCAAAGGGGTGAACAAGGTCCGCTCTGGGGAGCGCTTTCTTTCCAGGGCTGTATCGGGGCCAAGCCGGGAAACCTGATGCGGGCGGGGAGGGGAAGAGAGCGGGAAGGAGAGGAGGAGGAGGCCTGTGGTCTGCAAGGGGGGTTCGGGGCTCGTGGTTTTGCTGTCAATTATTTGGAGTGTTTCTTCCACCTAATCAGCTGGAGTGTTTCCATGAGGAAAGCACTGAAGTTCCTTCTTGATGAAGATGCTTCAGAGACCCTGGTCTGCCTGGCTGGGGCCCAGGAACGGCCGAGGGACCAGATCTTTACTCGAGTGTTCTCTGAGTTTCATGTGGCCATGATTGCGTTCAGCGGCCCCTCTCCCTCCACTTCTGGATGAAAAGAGGGAGGGTTTCCGTGTCAGCTGGGTCCGGCGGCCCTGGGGCTCCCGTCTCCCATCCTGCCCTCCTGTCCCCCACGGTGGCCTCCTTGGACTCAGGAGAAGGGCAGCCTCTGCGGGTCTCTCCCTGCCTCTGAGCTCAGAGTCCTGCAGACGCAGCTGGTACCTGGAGACTCAGGGAGATGGCCCGAAAATTCAAAGCCCACACCCGGCTCCACCATCACCTGGTGAGGCCACGTGGCCAGGCTGGGCCTCAGTCTCCTCATCTCTGAAATGGGGATGGTGGAGTGTTCCTGGCAGTTTTCCAAGTGAGCAGAGCTAACCCAGGAGCTGAAGGCAGTGACAGCAAAGGTTCACCCACACAGCCCCTGGCTCGTGGGATCTGCAGAATGGCGGCGGGGGTCACTGCGCCCCCTCTTGGCTTTCTGCATTTCTCTGGCCACAGGAGAGGTCAGCTAGAGGTGCTGGGAGTTGATGCCCCTGAATGGCCCTCCAGCCAGGGAGATGACAGGCAGGTGTCCCTCCCGGGGACAATTCCAGGGTGTGCTCTGCCGTCTCACAGAGGCCTGCGGTACGGAGCCACCTTGCCCGCAGCAGATACCCCCCCCACCCCATGAAGGCCCGTTCCTGTCCCTGTCCCTCCCAAGCTGCTCCTCACGGCACTTCTGGGGGTCTCCACCTGCACCTGCATCCTTGTCCCGGGGGCTGCTTTCAGGGGAAGCCCGGCTAGGAAAGGTGCTTGCTGGTTCATCACCCTGACCCTCAGAGAGTGGAGGAGACAGGACAGTGGCCAGGGCCCAGCCCCAAGAGTGCTGACTCCGGTGGGTGCAGGCAGAGTGGGGCGTCAGCTCTGTGGGCAGACTTCTTGGCGGAGTTCCCTTTTGAGAAACTGGGAATGGTGGGTGGAGGAGGGAGTTAGGTGAGGCTCCAAGCTCCTGCGGCCCCCACTGCGTTCCCACCCCGAGACAGCTGGGGAACTAGGATGGTTTTTTACCCCCTGCCCCTAGACTGGGCAAGCCGAGACCCTTGTGGCCAGAGGGACTGTGACGGCTTGGCTGACACCTCACAGATTCCAGGTCGGCTCCTCTGAATGGTCTTATTTGTTCAAGTTAATGTCGTGTCATTAGCAGTTGGAAGCCTCACAGGAGATTAAACATTAAATGGTGTGTGCTTGGAAATGTGGTCTCGTGCCCAGGGCCAAGGGTCAAGGTTGTGGCCCTTGGTCTTCGTTTAGAGGTTCTCTAACAGGCAGGTTTTCTAAGTGGCCATTACTGAAAAGTGATGAACCAGGAGCTCTACCTCCCAGGGTGCCCCCTAGAGATGAGCCAGTTCCTTGAAGAAACTCCCAAATGCCCCCACTGGGCTGAGAATCGCTGGGGTGGGGGCTGGTTGTGCAGGGCAGGGCCAGGGGCTTTCCAAAGACTTGTCAGTTTCCTACGGCTGAGTCTGGCAAGTCTCCTACCCAGGAAGGGGTAGGTCAGTCCCCATCCAGATGTGGGGATCCTGTGGCCTGGGGCTGGGGACAGCAAGAGGGCACCTTCACCATGGGCTAGGATTCATCCTCAAAGAAGGTGCCAGGTGTCACATGCAGATCCACAGAAGAGAGGGAAGGCAGCTCACCAGGCCAGAAGGACAGACGGCCAGGGCCCAGAATCCCTGGTGGGTGGGTCACCAAAGGGAGCTCTGACCATTCCCCCTCCTTCCCTCCCTACCTTCATTTCTTCCTTCTGCAAACACTTCTTAAAAGCATCAGCTCTTGCATTGGGTCTGTGTGGGGATGCTGATGTGAACAGGATAGGACAGGCCCCCTGCCCCTCCAGGGAGCCCCCAGTCTAGAGGAAACAGACAAAGAAGGCTGTTGAGGTACAGTGTGTTAAGTGCTTCTCAGGGACACACAGAAAGCATTAGCTTTGGGCTGCATCTTGAGGACAGGTGGGATTTGGATATTTAGACTGGAGGGAAGGATGTTACTTCTAGAACATGCAAAAGTAAGGGGATAGGAAGCAGCAGGGAAGGCGGGCAAGGGGCTCAGCAGGAAGACCTTCATGAGATGGTGCAGGGATAGTGCACTGCACAACCTCGGCGCACAGTCCTGTTGGCTAAGTGCCATCCACACAGAATGCCTGTACCCGATGTTTCACAAGCATCTGTTTATGTGTCTGTGTCTGTCTTAAGGGCAGACACCAGGTTGGTGCATCTGGACCCTCTGGGACTAAACAGTAAGACACATGATAGTTGCTAAGTGAATTCTGAATAGGCAAATGGATGAATAGATGGATGGATAGATGAATGGAAGGGTAGATAAATAGATACCTGGGTGGGTGGGTGTTAGGATAATTGGATGGATGGATGGATGGATGAATAGATGGATGAATGGAAGGGTAGATAAATGGATAACTGGGTGGGTGGCTTTAGGATGGTTGGATGGATGGATGAATAGATGGATGGATAGACGAATGGAAGGGTAGGTAAATGGATACCTGGGTGAGTGGGTGTTTGGATGGTTGGATGGATGGATGGATGGATGGATGGATAGATGGATGGAAAGGATGAACGTGTAGATAGATGGATGGGTGGATTGATGAATGAAGGGTAGGTAGATATATAAATGGGTGGGTGGTAGGATGGGTGGATGATGGATAGAAAAGTAGATGGATAGATGGATGGGTAGGTAGATAGATGGGTGGCTTGATGGATGAATGGTAAAGTAGATGGCTAGATAGATGGGTGGATGGATGGTTGGTAGGGTAGATATACAAATGGGTGGATGGATGGTAGGGTAGATACATAAATGGATGGGTGGATGGATGAATGGATGGATCCCTTTCATCTACCATTTCAGTCTAGATTAGAAACTGCAGGCTTCCATAGAGAGCTGTAAAGACATACTGCTTGAGCCCCCTCTGTGGGGTGGGAATGGACTGCTTGGTTTGTTAGCAAATGTTCTCTTGACTTTAAGTGCAGTCCCCTGAGGCCGGGTCTCCAGCTACTGAGGAGGGTGATGCTTGCAGGTCCCCCTGCTCCCCTTCATGGCGGAAGTGGAGCCCTCTTCCTGGGGTGCAGTTGCTGAAATCAGGTGGAGGTGGGCTCTTGGGGGTGAGGGTTCTCCTCAGAGTAGTTCAGCAGAAGGTGTACTCCCCATACCCACTCTCCACCCACCACAGTCTGACCGGAGGCTTGGCAAATGGGATCGTAATCCCCAAGCCTTCGGGACCTGAGGGTTCCCTGAGTACCTGCCCATCAGTACTTAGAGAAGCATCCATGCTCTTGTCAGTGGAACCCTCTGGAGAGTCAGGACAGGGCAGCCTTCAGGAAGTGGAGAGCCCAGCCCCAAGCTTCCCTCCCAGAAGGAGAAGAGCTTGCAGCCAGAAGAGGGAGCCAGCAGGTGTGTGGGCCGGCATGGCTGGAGGGGCGCAGGGCTCCGTCTTCACAGAGGAATCCCCGGCCCGGCCCAGGGGGGTTGCTCCTCCTCACCGGCTGTCTTCAGAACCCCTGGTTCTCTTCTCTCACACATGTGCCAGGCTGTGGACAAATTCGGGCTCATGTCCACATCTGTTGGCTGGACATGGTGTCAGCAGGCAAGGCCTGGGGTCGCTGAGGGGGCTGCAGAGTGGCCAGGAAGGTAAGACTTTGGTTGCTTTGGAAGAACAGGATGGTGTGCTTGTTAGTGGGGCCCCAGCTGTCTTCCTAGGTGGCATAGAAGTGACTGTGGCCTAAAATAGGAACAGTTTCTGGAATGAGCAGGGAGGAGGTCGGAAGGGCAGGGAGCAAAGGCTCCTGCTGCTCTGGGTCTAAACCCTGTGCTTGTTGCTGTCCAGCCGGCGAGGCCTCCTACCCGCCAGGATGGAGGGTTCAGGGCCGGAGCTGCAGCCAGCAGCACGCTACAGGCACAAGCACCTCACCACGTGAGGGCTAAAGTCGCCCGCTTACCCTGACCTTGGCAACCGATTGTCATGCATGTCTGCCTCATGGGACTGCTGCTCTCCAAGTGTCACTCTTATCAGGAGCCAGTGCTGGAGCACACAAGGAAGGGCCTGTCATTGTGAAAGGCACCAGTGTCCCCACCAAGCAGATCCTGGTGGGCAGTCTGTCCCTGCCACGGCCCAGCTCTGAGTCTTGGGCTGGGTCATGCTTCTGCTTCCTCGCCTGGACGCTGGGACAGTGGGGCTTCCTTCTGCAGGTCATGGAAGGATCCAGGAGAGAGTGCTGTGGGCGCCTGTGAATGAGAAGGCCCAGGACACGGAGGCGGCCATCAGACTGTTCGTAAATAAATGGAAACCCGATCTCCAAAGCTAACCTCGCTTCTTACAGTGTCTAAACCTCACAAACATCCTGCCGTTTGAGTCTGCAATGAGCTGCCAACACGAGCCCCTGGTGTTGCTCACCACAAGTGAACCTGAGCAGTGCCCCATGGGCTGGTTTCAGGAGCTCAGCTGCAGCCCGAGGGCCCAGGGTCACCTGCATCCTCTGCGGTTTGCGTTGGTCTGGGAGCTGGCGGGGCCGGAGGGGAAAGCCCAGGGGTATGGGGAAGTGGCTGCAGCCCTCGACCGCTCCTCCGAGTCATGTCTCAGTGCAATCAGACCTGGGCCTGGGAGCTTAGCTCCAACACGATTTACAATTCAATTGTGAAATGGGATAAAAATTAGACATCCCCCTTCGGGCATCTCAATTTTCTTTGTTAAAGCTCCGGTTCCTCCTAGTAAATTTATCTATTTCTAGATGAGCTTGTATGTTGTGTTGACAGGCAAAGGGCTGGGTTATGGGAGGGTGGTCTGCTGACTGCTTCCTTCTTCAGTCTGGGAGAGGCTGCAGTGAGGACCCAGGGCCACAGCAGTCACATTCACTTGCCACGTGGGCTGTGACCTGAGTGGTGGAGCTGAACAGTGAGGAGGCGGTCCTGGTGGGAATCTCAGCTTCCCCGTTCACAAGCTGTGTGACCCTAGGCGGGTTACCAACATCTCTCCTTCTATGTGAATTGGGAATTTATAATGCAGGTGCCAGGCTGGGGGCCAGGGGACAGTGCCTGAGACGGACCCCGAGAGCAGGATTCAAGACTGTGTGTGTGTGTGTGTGTTTAGGTCACCACTGTGGGCTACCAGAGCTCAAGGCCACCTGCGACCATGTGAACTAGTGCAGAATTTGCACCACAGTGTTACCCAATGAGGGGTGAGAGCTGGGATAAGTGTCCACCCTTGCCCTGGGAGTGACAAGGCAATGGTGGGTGGAAAGGGTGTGGGTGGCGTACTGGGGTGCCATCGCTGCAAAACAAATTCCCACCAGCTTAGGGCTTCCAGCAGCTCATGGCTGAGCACGGCCCTGTGGGTCGCAGTCTGGCACATTTTGTCTGGATACTCTGCTCAGGGTCTCACAGGCTGAAATAAAGGTGTATCCTGGGCTATGTTCTCACCTGGAGCTCGATTGGGGAAGAGCTGTGTTCAGGTGTGTCCTGGGCTGTGTTCTCACCTGGAGCCCTGACTGGGGAAGAGCTGAGTTCAGGCTGCCCTGTGGGACTGGCAGAGTTGTTTCCTTGCATCTGCATGTCTGAGGTCCCTTTGTTCGCTGGCTGTCTGCTGAGGACTGCTCCCAGCAACTCCAGCACCCCCAGCTCCTTGCCTATGGTCCTCTCCAAAACAGGGCATTTTGCTCCCTCAGGCCAGCAGGAGAGGTCTGCCATTGTCTAAGACACTCTGACATCCTTTGCCTCTGACCTCCAGACCCAGATTTAAAGGGCTCATCTCCCCTTTGATTATCTCAAAATTTTAATTAGAAGCCTAATTACATCTGCAAAGTCCCTCAAGTGTGGGAGGAACAAGCAAGTGTGATGGGACGCACCCTTCATGGAGTATCTTCACGGAGTGCCTTCATCCTTCACCCTTCACGGAGTGCCTTCATCCTTCACCCTTCACGAAGTGTCTTCACCCTTTACCCTTCATGGAGTGTCTTCACGGAGTCCTTCCTATCACACTCACTTGCTCCTCCCACACTTGAGGGGGTCCTGCTGGCATCTAGAATCCTGCCCACCACCGCGGGCACCAACCTTGTTTGTTCACATGGTGACCAAACAGCAAGTTCCTGGCCACCAAGATCTCGCTGTCCAGTTGTAGAGACAAACAGAAGGTATGCACAGATGAGATTCTACGAGGCCTAAGCCTAAGTGGCTGTGAAGGTGAAGAGCAGAGGTCCCGAGACAGGATGATGCAGCATGGTTAGGGTCAGCATCTCTGGGAGAGTAACTTTTTTTTTTTTTTGAGATGGAGTCTCGCTCTGTCGCCCAGGCTGGAGTGCCGTGGCGCGATCTCGGCTCACTGCAACCTCCGCCTCCAAGGTTCAAGCAATTCTCCTGCCTCAGCCTCCTGAGTAGCTGGGGTTACAGGCACACACCACCATGCCCAGCTAATTGTTGTATTTTTAAGTAGAGACGGGATTTCACCATGTTGGCCAGGCTGGTCTCCAACTCCTGACCTCAAGTGATCCGCCCGCCTCGGCCTCCCAAAGTGCTGGGATTACAGGTGTGAGCCACCATGCCCAGCTAAGAGTAACATTGAAACTTAGTCCTGGAGGATGGGAAGGTGCTGGAGTGCGGGTGAGGGAGGGGAGTGTTCCAAGTGATGAGAGCACCAAACAGCCTGTGCAAAGGCCCCAAGGCAGCGAGAGCCGTGTGCATCTGAGGAACAGAGGGAAGGTCAAGTGTGGCTGAAAGGGGTGAGCTGGGGGCAGGGGAGGGGATGGGAGCCTCCAGGGACTGGCAGAAGCAGCCATGCAGGACCCTCAGGGCCAACAGTGAGTGGGGGAGGGAATACCCACCAGCTTTATCTTGAAAGAACTGAATTAAGGGCCAGCCATGGTGGCTCACGCCTATAATCTCAGCACTTTGGGAGGGCAAGACAGGCAGATCGCTTGAGCCCGGGAGTTTGAGACCAGCCTGGGTAACATGGTGAGACCCCGTCTTTACAAAAAATAATTTAAAAAATCAGCCAGGCGTGGTGGAGCACCCCTGTAGTCCCAACTACTCGAGAGCCTGAAGTGAGAGAAACACCTGAGCCCGGGAGGTTGAGGCTGCCATGAGCTGTGATCACACCACTCCACTCCAGCCTGGGCAACACGGCAAGACTCGGTCTCAAAAAGAAATGGAATGAAATTCTATGAGCACATGACTCGGTCTCAAAAAGAAATGGAATGAAATTCCATAAGCACATCAGGTGCCAGCATACAGGCTGGCACTCCACAGGTGCTTGATGAGGACAGAATTTTGAAGTGACCCCCATCCTGTGTGACCTTCTCCCCTAGGTGTGGGTAAATCCTGTGACTTGCTTCCAGCTAGTAGAAAATGGCAGAGGTGAAGGGATTGTGCAGATAAATCCCCTACTCTGCAGGATTTAAGTTAATCAGAAGGGAGATGATGCTGGGTGGGCCTGGCTTAATCAGGGGAGCACCTTAGAAGCGAGCCCAGAGGCAGAGGTTTGCGGGAGCAGATTCCCTCCCCGACCTCCCTGCTGCTTTGAAGACGGAAGCGTCTATGAATTCTACAGCCCCAAGGAAACGTGTTCTGCCAACCCCTTGAGGGACCGTGGAAAGGAGTGCTGGCCTATTTGAACTGCCACTGAGATTTCAGCCCCGTGAGACCCTGAGCAGGGCACGCGGCTCAGTCTTGCTTGGACTTCCGACCTACAGCAATGGTGAGGTCAGAAATGCATGTTCCAAGCTGCTGAGTGTGTGGTAGAACAGCAACAGAAAACAGATACAAAGCGTAAGCATTCTTGCTCTTCCAACCGCTGCCTCTCTGGGGAGTGCACACTGCACCCAAGCAGAAGGAGGCGGTTCCTGCTGCTGCCTGGGACCGCCTCACCCCTGTCATCCAGCAGGTATCCATGCATTAATTATTGCAATTAAGTTATGCATGCCGGCAACCCGCTGTTCATGTTCAAACCCCTGCCCGTGGACCAGAGACGCATGTTCTGCTGTGTCCACTCCACACTCCCACCGTGGCCGTGTCTCTCAGCGGTGCCTCCTGCAGAGCTGGAGTGCACTTCAGCATCCTCTTCAACACCAGGCTCTGGGCAGCGGCACTGGCTCTTCAGAGCTGCTGGAAGATGGCCCTGGTCTGTACCCCTGACCAAGACCAAGCAAAGCACTGCATCCGGCACTGTGAAGCAGCCAGAAATGAGGGGACAAGGTCCTGGGGCCAGCGGGCGGCCCCAGGAAGGGCAGGTGCTATGCTCTGGCCCTAAAGGAGGGATGGGGGTTTTGAGAAGTGCAGAACATAAGGGGGGAAGGGGACTTCCGGGAGAGGAGCACCTGCACCCGAAGCCAAGGGGTGGAGCTACGAAAGGGGCCCTTCCCAGGTGGGCTGTGAGGTGAGTGGCAGGCACGTTCTCATTTGCTCCCGGTCCTCACAGGTGCAGAATCCTGAAGCCGTTTACAGACGAAGAGCTGAACCCAGCCTGCCTCGGTGACTCGCTCAAGGCCACTCAGCTGCTCAGCTGTAAATCTGGTGTCGAATCTAAGTCCATCTGACTCTTCAATCTGTGCAGAGAACTGGGGTACCCCAGCCTCCCAGGGCCCTGCCCCAGGCTGGTACAGAGTCTGTGACCAAGCCCAGCTGCTCGTTTCCCCCCGCAGGGCCCAGGTCATCGCAGTCCCTGCCAGCTGCTCGAAGTCCTCTGTACGTCCCTGTGCCAAACACTCCCCAGCCCTGGCCACTGCGGCCGTCTCCTGCCTGCCACTGCCCAGACCCTGACTGCCCAGGCCCTGACTGCCTGCTGTCCTGACTGCCACAACCTCCTCCGGGAATTCTTTGCCTCCCCCCTCCAGCTCTGGCAGGGAGGCCGGCCCTGGGGGGGGGTCCTGTCCAACTATGGGCCCCTGTGTGCAGGCATCTGTAGAGGGGCATTCACCCCCACTCTGCATGGGAGGGCTGGAGGGATGCCCTGAGCCTGCTCAGCCCCGGGCTCTGCCCGGAATGGGTGATGGGACAAAGGCATCCGGGAGGCTGGGTCATCTCCTGAGCTCCTGGACAGTGGCAGACATACCTGCGCCACTGCCTGCCAGGGGCCTCCAGCCAGAAAGAAGCAGCGATGGCCCCACACTCTTCATGCAGCCCCCACACAGCACCTGGGCACAGCCTTGGAAACCTCGCCCGGCCTGCAGGCCCCCAGGAAGCCTGAGCTTTGGTGTGATCCAGCCTTGCCCCAGACAGGAGCGTCCTGACCCTGACTCCCTGTGGCTCTGGGACAGAGGCTATCTGCCTTCCTCACCACAGCCCCGCGGGCCAGGGTCCCTGTTCCTGCTGGCTGTGCACTTGGGGCCTGGTGGCTTTGCCGGCACTCTGGGCATCCTGCTCTCAGGGTGGTCTGGAGCGAGTCCCGCCCTGATGCTGAGTTACATTTTGTTCTATTTCATTCACTCACTCGCGCACCCCCTGGCCCCTTCATTTGCTCATTCTCTCCTTGGACCATGCAGTACCAGGTTCAGGCCCCCACTCACTGCAGGCTGTAGGGGCTGCGTGACGTCTCCAGAGCTCCCTCCACCCAGGCCTGGCACACAGAGATGTCGCTGCCCAGAGGACAGAGCCCCAGTTCCTCCTCTGCCCACCCTGACCACTCTGTGCTCTGCCCCTTTGGAAGGGACCGGCTCTCTTCATCCACCTGCCTGCTTTTCCTCTCTTCCTCCTCCTCCTCCTCCTTCTTGTCATCTGCATAGCTCCTCCCATCCTTGGTGTCTCTTTTTGGATGCAACTTCTTCCAGGTAGCCCTGCCTGATCCCTTCAGTCTGGATTAGGCGCTCAACATGTGCGCTCTGAGCTCGGCCCAGCCCAGGCCCAGCCACACATCAAAGCTACCTATTGGTAGACCTGCCTTCCCCCAAACCCCCCAGGACCAAAGTCCTCAGGGCCCAGGACCCAATCAGTCACCACTGCTTCCCTTGAGCCCAGCGCAGGCCTTCACCAAATACTCAAGGGAAAATGAATGAATGAGGGAATGAAAAAAGCTGCCCAGGAGTGGACAAGAGCTTCCTTTTGGATGCCATGGGCCAGAAGGGGCTGCCCGGATGCACCTGAGGCCCATGAGCTAGGGAGGGAAGAAGGCTACTCGGAGGAACAGGGTGATGCCCAAGCCTCCCTGCTGGGGAGGGCGAGGGCACTCACAGTTGACCAAGTGGACTGTGCGGCCTCCTGCTTGTCTCACTGGGTCCCTGGTCCCCGTCACAGATGGCCTGAGTTTGGGGGACATTGCTGGTGGCCATCCTGAAGGCCAGGCTCTCTGCACCTGTGGGGTCCAGATGGCACTTCAGGGACAGGGTTGGGGGGCATTCCCCCAGGCCTGGTGTCCCTCAAGGTTCTCACCAGGGACCTCCTGACACGTGTCCTAGGGAGGGCTGTGGAGCTCGGCCCAGGGACTGGAGTCTGGAAGGTTCCAGCTCACTGTGTGGCCTTGGGCAAGTCCCTGTAGGGCTTCAGTCTCTCCATCTGTGAAGTGAGGGCTCCCTAAGCTTTCTCAACTTCCTTAGAGGAAGGCTGTCCTGTGTGAGCCACAAATCCAGACTCAGGACCCAGGTGGACCTGGGTTCAAATCCTACCTCGACTTCATTCTTGCTGTGTGACTCAGGGCAGGTGGCTGAGCCTCTCTGCACCTGTTTATTTCTGACTGTGCCTGAGGGGAGGAGGCATGGTGGGTGTAAGGGCCTGGGCGAAGGAGGTTTCCAGGTCAGAGAGCAGTTGTGCTTGTTTCTGGCTGCTGCAGCCTCTCGACAATAGCCCGAGACCCCTTGAAGGAGCAAGAGGGACCCCAGAAGTTGAGGAAGACCAGGCCCCTCTGCAGGGCGCGTGGCAGACTGGCTTCTCCATCCCTCAGGGGCCATCTTGGCACCTTCATTCCAGACATCACTGGATTCTTTTTGCGGGGTCCCGGGTTGGACTGGGTGGCTGGGGTCTGGACCTGGCTCCGTGCTAGTGAGGAGCAAACTCGCTCATCATGAAAATAAGCCAAGCCTGCTCCAAGCCAGCACGGAGCAGAAGATGCAGGGAAGGTGGCCTGGTGGCCTCTGAGGAGACACAGCCATTTGCTGTTTGCATGTTCAGGACCGAGCTATGGAGACCTCTGGGCGCCCAGTGCAGCAATGCACAGAGGAATTAGAGAAGGTCCCAGGAAATGAGGACAGCTAGCCTTCCCCCACATTTCCACACTGGATCTTCAAGTAACCCCCATTTGATGGAGGGGTCTTCTGAGAAGGAAAGAGGGTATCCAGGGTTTGAGGGGAGGAGAGAACTCCTACCCTGGTCAGGGTCTGCCTTCAGGGAGCTCCCCGTCTGGCAGGGGGAAAACGGCAAGAATACTATCTCATCAGCGACCTAATGAACCGTGAGCTGAGTCCCATCCCTCCCTCCCCGCAGGGGAGGAGCCCGGGTTTCGAGGTGTAGCCCCACTACTTCCAGCTAGGGGGACAAGTCAAGGAGGTTCCCTGAAGAGGGTGCCATGTGGTGTGCCCCTCTGTAGAGTGGGGGCAGCATAGAGTCCCCACTCCCCAACCACAGGCTATTGCAAGGAGTCAGTGAGGTCAGGGCTGAAAAGCAGGACCAAGGGCCGGGCACCCAGGAGGTGCCTGACTATGGCTCAGCTCTCACTCCTGCGGCAGGATGGGGACAGACAGAAGTGGACACCTGAGGCCCTCCCTTCTGGCTCCTCTTTGTGAGGCAGAAGCAGAAAAGATGGGGAGGGGAGGGGCTGCCTCCTCAGTGCGGTGACCGGCAGGCAGGACCAAGAGAGGGAGACGCCATGGGGGTGGGGGGAGAGGAGAAGCGCCCCCACCCCGCGTCCCCAGGGCTAAAGAGAACCCTGCTTGGAGTGAGTGAGCCAGACTGGGGGGGCGGGGGGCCTCAGGGCATTCCCAGCCCTCCACATCTCAGGGCAGCTTTCCTTATGCCCCTTCATATCTAAGAATAGGCACATCCAGGATGAAATCAATAGTGCAGCGCTTGGGCCTCCCCTCCCCACCCACCCTGCTGCTGAGGGTCCCTGCTCCATACCCTGGGGGGCCCAAGCTTCCAGGGGTCACGATACCCACTCCCAGTCTCACTGAGGATGGTGCTGGGACCCTGCAGGTATTTTAGAAGGCAGATTGGAAACGGGTATCCAAAGCATTTTCCTTCAGAAGAGTCACCCCAGGAGGTGCCCACTGGCTGTGGAAGGAAGTGAGCCTCCCGCCGCTAGTGGTAACCAAGCAGAGGTTAGAGAAACATCTCTCAGAAGTCTCATGTCAGATTCAAGGCCACAAAGTGACCTCGGAACCCGCAGCCTCGGCATTGACCTCACGCCCGAAGGCCCCACTGCCCAGTGGATGCCTGAGGAGGCGCTCCCTGGCCATCCACCCCTGCCGGCCCCAGACTCAGGCCTCGTCCCCTCTCATCCCCTCTTGGGAAACCTGACCCTTGGGCTACTTGAAAGAAGAGAGGAACTTGGGTTTGATGTTTTGAAGAAGTGGCTTTTTATCAGAAAGCCCTCTGGGAGTCTGGGGCCCACAACCAGTGACATTATCGCTGCTGTTTCAAGGAGGGAAGAGAACTTAGGCTGATAGCTATTGAGATTTATGGCTTCCCCTGAGTCTAATTGCCTCGGAATCTTTTTAACAGTTGGCCTAAGTGGTGCTAAGAAGGACAACAGTGGCTTGGTGGCAGCAAGTGCTCCCTCTGCCTCTGTCCCTCCCTCCCTCCCTACGTCCCCTTTCTCTCTCTCCTCTTTCCCTTCCTCCCCTTCCCTTTCTCTCTCTTTGAGTCTCTCTCTGCTGGGGCTGGGGAGGCGCAGGCAGCTTCTGGCATCCAGGTCTCTGCATGCCTTGGGCTCCGGATGCCGTGGCTGGGGGCCTGTAGGGGATGGGGTGAGAGGGCGGTGGCAATCCTGGCCGGAGTCGGGCAGGGCTCTGACCTCTCAGTAGGCTGCCCTGCAGTGTCTGCACTCCTCAAGCCTCCAGTCCCAGGGAGTGGTGCCCATGCTGTTATGTGCCGCCAGTAGGATGCTGCATTCAGCAGGTGCTCAACACATGCACACCCTGGTTGTGCCTTGGCTGGCTGAAGATCTGTCCTGTGGGAGCAGAAGTGGGACCTTGGGGTGCTGCTCAGGTCAAATAAGGAAGAGCTTTCTAACTGCTGCCTCAGTGGAAGTGAGACACCTCCACAGTCTCCAGAGGCATGTAAGCAAAGTCAAACAACCTCTGGCATGGAGGCAAGAGGCAGGGCTTCCGCGCCAGGGTGAGGCAGAGCCAGACTTACTGGGGTTTGTTCTGGGTCTCAGAGCCTCTGCTGGGCTCTCCTAGGCAGTTGCCATGCCCCTGTCTTCTCCCCTTGTTCATTCATCAGACAATTCAATGCCAATCACTCTGGCACTTCCCATGCCCCCCTTGCCCTAGAGGCTTCCTGGGCTGTCTTCTCTGCCCAGCCTCCATGTGCACTACGATACCTGGTGGCCGGGTCTGGAGCACTTGGGTTCACTGGTGATGGAGGTTGCTGGGCAGACTCCAGGGCGGGGTCAGGGGCCGCCTCCTCCCTGAGGCAAGCTGTGTTCAACGCCATGCCCCTGGAGCCAGAGGCGACTGTGTGCCTGGATGGGGCAGGTGGCACTAGGGGGCCACATGGACCCCAGATGGTAAAGATGTAATAGTGCCAGGTGCCAACCTGGTTTCCTTGGTGTTGAGTGGCCGGTGGGTGCAGAGGCAGGCTGAGTACAGGGTCTCCTCCAGGCATGGTGGAGTCTCAGAGGCTCCTGCACAACCAGCAGGGGCAGGTTGCGGGGAGACCCCCGGAGGACATCCTGACCCCTTGCAGCTCCCAAGGCTCTTAGGAGAGCCGGCTTGGTCCTTTGCTGTGGCAGGGCAGGGGACTTGGTTTGCTCCTCTGCTGAGCAGTGACAGCTCATGTGTCCTGAACACAGCTCTGCTCACTGCTCTCCAGTGCCTCATGGTGAAGGCAGGGCCTTGGGTATGGTGCCCAGGTCCTCACTCCTCTAATAGGCCACTCCCTGCCTCCCACTATGGGTGAGGAACTTCCCCACTTAGCCGTGTTGGGCCTGGGCTTGGGACTAGCCTGGGCTCGGGGACAGCCAGTTGGGTGAGTGGTGAGGCCGACCCGTGCACGCTTCTGCAGCATCTCACTGTTTTATGCCCTGCTGAGCTGTCCCAGCTGAGCATGTTCCACGGAGCCACTGGTCCAAGGATGATGAGGAAATACAGGGAGCAGACCTGAACCCAACCTGCAGCCTGGCGGGGGGTCCAGCCGAGCACCGCTGAGCCTTCCAGGGCCACCGCCCACCCACAGGCCCACAAGCAAGGAAACCACCATTTGCTGTCAGAAGCCACTTAGTTTTGGGGTATTTTGTTACGCAGCAAAAACTGACTAATACATGTGGGTACTATTATCATCATCCAATGCCACCAATGAAGAAACAGGCTCAGAGAAGCCAAGTCACTCTGCCAAGGCCACCCAGTTCTCAAGTGGCAGACTGAGAGTCAAGCTCAGGCAGTCCCGCCTCTCAACTATCACTCAACCTGCAATTCCCCCTTCCAGGTAGAAGCCTGCCCAGCTCACTGGGCCTTTGGACAAACCTTCAAAATCTGTCTCTGGATTTGAAGGTTTCCGGGCAGACATCAAGACCAGATACATGTATTTGCCAAATGCCTCTCCTATTGCCCCGACCAGGATGGCTTCACTTTGTCCTTCAACACCATGGTGGCCCCCAGCTGGACCTCGGCTGTGGCCTGCCTCCAGTCCAGCCTCCACCAGCACCTAGGGACATGCTGACAGCGTCAATCTCACCCTACCACACTCTGTGGCTTCCTGGCACTGCAGGATCCAGTCCTGGCCCCTGGCATCTTATTGTGATCCACAAGGCTCTGCAACCTGCAGCTTGCACATCAGACCTCACTCACACACTCCCACACACGCATAGCCACACACTCACACACACTCATTCACACACTGCCACATCCTCACCCACTCACATCACACATCACACACACTCACACTCACACACGCTCATTCACACACTGCCACATCCTCACCCACTCACATCACACACTCACACACTCACACATGCTCATTCACATACTCCATCCTCACCCATTCACATCACACAGATTCACACACACTCACACATGCTCATTCACACACTCCCACATCACACACTCACACTCACACATGCTCGTTCACACACTGCCACATTCCCACCCACTCACATCACTCAGATTCACACACACACGCTCATTCACACACTGCCGCATTCTCACCCACTCACATCACACACACACACTCACACACGCTCATTCACACACTCCCACATCCCCACCCACTCACATCACTCAGATTCTCACACACACACGATCATTCACACACTGCCACATCCTCACCCACTCACATCACACACACACACTCACACACATGTTCATTCACATACTCACACTCACACACGCTCATTCATACACTCCATCCTCACCCACTCACATCACACACTCAGATTCACACACACTCATACATGCTCATTCACACACTCCCACATCCCCACACACTCACACACTCAGATTCACACACACAGGCCCATTCACACACTCCATCCTCACTCACTGTCACACACTCAGATTCACACACTCACACACACTGATTCACACACACTCCTCATATTCCCCCTACACCCTCACACACTCAACCCAGCTCCAGCCAGGCTGAGCTCTTGGCTCCTGGAACACCGGGGCTCACCCCTCCTCCTGGTCTTTGTGGCCACCCTTCCTCTGCCAGGCGTCCTCCCTGGCCCTGCTCCTTCACCTGAGCTTGGCTGGTCACCTCCTCCTGGAAGCCTTCCCTGGCAGCAGCCCCCGCACCCTGCACGTACATCCTGCGTCTCAGCAGACACCCATGCCTTCCCTTCATGGTGACAGGAGCCCATGCCCAGGACATAGCAGGAGCCCCTCAACGTGGGTGAGACACTGTTCACCACAGAGCATTGCTGGGAGGACGGCTTGGGCCCCAGCAGCCCCCGGGAGTGGGGAGCGGTCTCCTCTGGAAGGGATCTCCCAGACTCCGGCGTCCTGGGCCTCCTGCAGGCCCAGGGGCTGCTCCTGTCTGTTTATCCTCAGGGCCTCTGCTCCCCACCAGCTCCCTGTGCCCCCCACCAATGCATCTGACTCCTCCTTTCTCCCTAGGTACAGACACAGTCTAGAAGATTTGTCCCCACCAAGATCCAGACACAGGTGACAAATAAATGGAGTCAGAATATCTTTAGGCCAAGCTGCACTTTGCCACCATCAGCGGTCACAGGGGCAGCCATGGCCCAAGGGTTCCATGGCTAGGTGTGGGTTGCAGAAGGACAGTCTCATGACCCACGTCCTGAGGGACCTCTGGCCGTATGGTGGCCTCAGGACGGTGGGCTCTCAGGGGGCCCGCAGGTCCCTCACCTCCCCACGGAGGCCTCTGGCCCTCCATCTGCATCAGGGTACCTGGCCCTGGCAAGGGTAGGGCTGGCAGGATCTTTGGGCAGCAGGAGCAAGGGAGGGGCCCGGAGGGTCCGAGGTGTCCCTCCGCCGTGGGCCAGGCAGACACACGAGCATGTGGCCACCGACACGCAGCACGGGGCCTCACACAGAGCTGGGTGAAGGAAGCCAGACACAAAATAAGAAACGAGCTTGTTTGCCTAAAGCTGGACACAGGCAAAGGCAGCCTCAGATATTGGGAGTCAGGAGAGGGGTGTGCGGGTGTGATTGGGAAGGGCCCGGGGGGCTTCGGGTCTTGCAGGGGGTGGAAGTACCTGCCCTTGGCCTGAGTGGTGCTTACACAGACCATGGCTTTGTGACAATTTACTTATTCTCTGTACACTTCCCTGTGTGTTTTCCATATCTTGATGAAAAAAATAAAGCGTTACACTTCAAAAGGAGGGTGGTGCCCCAGGGAAGCCCTTGGTGACCTGCAAGTCCCAGCTGCCTCCCTGGTGTTTGGGCTCCAAGCTGGAGCCGTCCTCTCTGCCCTAAGACAGGGGTCCGGGTCCGGCCAGGTCTGTCAAGGCTACCTGCCTCCCCCGTCTCCAGGCTGGGTCCAGAAACGTCTGTGGGGGCAGAGGTGAGGACGGAGGTGAGGACGGAGATGGGGGCACAGAAGAGACAATACCTTGTGGGAGTGGCTGGCCAGGGAGGAGACCCCTGGAATGGCGGGATGGGGCCTCCAGCGGACGCTCCTGAGACAGTGCCCCGGCAGCTGCGGGAGAAAAGAACTCCCTGAGTCTATCGGTGCCCTGGTGACCGTGGCTGACATCGGAACAGTCCTGGTGCTGGGCACGAAAGCGCGCTCAGGTGAGACTGAGTGTCTCCGCCGGGTTCGTGTGTGTGGACGCACACACGCATGCACGTTTGTGCTTATGGATGCACATATGCAGTCATGCGTGTGTGTGTGTGCACGTCTGCTCGTGTGTGCATGTGTCCACGTGTGTGCGCTTCGTGTCCCTGCCCAGTTAACACAATGCACACAATTGCCTCCAAAGAAATGGGGATGTTCTTTAGAAAGAGGATGCTTTTTTGCATTTCAATTGACCGCCTCAACAATGTCCGTTTAATTAGTGTGTTTTGAAGGGGAAATGAAGGAAAATTATAACTCATCCGAGAAAATGGCTTGTACGTGCTCAGCTCTTCTCGCGGGTTCCGGTGGAGCCACCACCAGGTCCGGCAGAGCCTGGGCCCAGTGCCGTCCACCCAGAGGAGGAAGGGAAGGGCTGGCATGGTCCCTGGGGTGGGGGACATGGGGGACAAGGGCAGGTGGATGCTGCAATCTATCTGGTGGCCAGGCAGTGAGTGGGCTCAGATGCAGAAGCCGCAGGCGGTACCACCCCATCCCTCGTGAGGCCATTGGGGAGAGGCAGTGTGGTTCAGCAGAAAGAGGACAAGGGCTCACTCAAGACCTGAGTTTGAATACTGGTTCTGCCACTGTCATCTGCGAGGACCTGCCAAGACTTGGTTTTCTTGTCTGTAAAAACATTTGTAAAATGGTGCTGATGGCTGTGAACCCAATAAAGGGATGACCAAGAAAGGGCTTTCTAACATGCCGGTCTCAGAGGGACGTGGCAGGAGGCATCTCGAAGGATCCCGGGAGAGTCCCACATTTGAGCCGCGGCTTGGCTTAGCCGGGGCCTGGCTCCCTGCGTGCTCCTGAGTGCCTCCCGATGGCTCACGGCCGCCCTGAGCCAGCGGGTTCTGCCCTCACCCTGCCTAGGGCTCCTGCCTTGAGGCTGCCTCCAGCAGGGCCCTGAGTACAGGAATCGGAGGGATCCACAGACACAGCTCCCGGCCCCAGCCCTGGTCACGCCGACACTGAGGGCTCCAGTCTCTTCTCCAACCCCCAGACTCTGGGCTCTCCCCACTGGCTGCGTCGCCACCTCCTGAGCTCTGGCCTAGGCTGTGGTGGAGACACAGTTGGGGCCTCCTCCCTACACCTGCGCATCCCCTCTGCTCCTCTGGGCTCCCCTCTGCAGAAGCCAGAGGTCTGTGGGCAGCTGTTGCCTGACAGGCTCAGGAGATCAGCTCACATCGAGGGGTGGCTCACTGTGAGGGTAGGGACAGTACGGGGGCTCCAATTCTGGAAGAGTCAGAGGTTGGAGGCAGTCTGCATTTCCAGGGTCCCCAGAACCCCTTCCACTGGCAACCCCACTGTCCAGTGAGGAAGGTTGCCCCTGCCCCAGCCTAATGGACCCCTGTTCTCTGCCTAATGGAACTACGCCTTCCCCATTTGGAGGTGGGGAAACTGAGGCCCAGCAACGTGGAACCACTGGCCAGCAATGGCACCATTGGTAATGACAGGTCTGGGTTCAGGCCCCAACTGTCTGACTCCAAAGCCCCTTTGCTGTGCCGTCAGGAGGGCAGCAAGACTTGGGGCTCCCCACAGAGCTGGGGACTAGGACACAGAAGACTCCAAGCCACTGTTCCCATGTGTGTCCCCCCCTCCCCCCCCGCCTTGCCCTCTGGCCCACTAAGCGTGATCGGCTGTGTTGCTGTGGCTGGCGCGCCCGTGCCGCCATCCTGCCCCTCCCCGCCTCTGCTGCCAACCCTCCCAGCGCCGTGTGCCGACTGGGCCCGTACAGCTGCCTTCCTGGCCGCTGGCTTCCCCGAGCCCCATTGTTGGGCACCTGGGAGGTTTCCAGTTCTTTGCTGTATGAATAGCGTTGTTTTAACCATCTTGGCACAAGCTGCCTCTTTCCCCTCCCTCTCACGTTCTTTCCCTCTTGCAAGGGTTTGGGCACTTTCCCTGACACGTTCATTCTCTTACGCAGCCAGGAGCTGGCGGGACGCCTCCCAGGAGAAGTTGGCGGTCGACCAGGAGGCCTCAGTCTCTGCCTCTTGCTGCGGATGAGCCTGTCCTGGGAGCGTGGGGCTCCTGCCTCCTTGGCGAGTGAGTGTGCCCAGCATGGTGCCCATTGCTTTACATGCACATTGGTTCAGTGAGGCGAGAGCCAGCGTCCCCATTTCACACATGAGGACACTGAGGCTCTGAGAGGTTCAGCAATGACACAGAGGATGTAGGAGCAGCCAGACTTGACCCAGGCCAGTCTAAGCAGAGGCCAGGCTCAGTGCCGAGACCCTGTCCTTGGGAGCCCCGTCTACATCCACCTGTCCTTGTGCCCACTGCCCTGGGTTCACCCCAGTCCCCTTACTTCCCTGTCCCAGGAGGCAGGACACCCGGGAAACACAGGGGTCATCCATGCCAGACTGAGCCTCTCCCCGCTCCCACCCTAAACTCCTTCCCGGGGCTGGCAGCGAGCCCCCTGGCTGGGTCATCTGGAGGTGCCTCCTGTGAGCCACCCATCACACCTGCTCCAGGGCGGTCTATGTGGGCGGGGACCTGAGCTCCATGGTGGGCTACAGGGCAGCACTGTGAGGAGCCGTGTTGGGAAGCCCACGGCTCCCACTCCAGCGCCTCTGCCTCCCACCACCCCCAACATTGGCAAGAGCTAGTCGGACGGGCAGATAGGTGGATGGGTGGACAGATGGGTGGGTGGACCAATGGATGGGCGGTGAGAGGATAGGCTGAGAGGTGGTAGGATGTGCCATAGAAGCCTTGGAAAGTGCCACAGATGCCCTGAGAGGCTGCGTCTGCCAGGAGGGGAGCACCCCCCTGGACCCCATGCTCTGGCAGGTTGGAGGGCTTCCTGGTGATGGAATCTCAGCCCTCAACTGGACGTGGTAAGCCCAGACCTCCCAACTTGCAGCCAGGCCCGCTCCTGTACTGTGGCAAACATGACCAATCACTCAGGGCTCGCCCTCCCGCTGAGCCTGGCTCCCAGCCCTTCCTGGCACGCCGAGTCCCTCAGAGTCCCTCATGTGTCCTGGGATGGCAGGAGATGCCAGGGTGAGTTTCAGACATGTGAGACCAGAGGGAGCAGCTCCAGTGCAGCTCTGTACCCTGGCGGCAGAGGCTGAGCTCCGCCACCCCACCTCTGAGTTTCTACTGAAAACCCAGGGGCTGAAATGCAAGTGTACCTGGTGCCACCAGCCTGGAGAGCGCACAAGACCCCTGGTGGGGTGGGGCCCAAATTCATTCTCTGGTTGACCCCACCCTCCCTGTCTCCTTCACTTCACTTTCCACAAAGACTGGGAATCAGTGTTCACCCTAAAATGTCCAGGGCCACAGGTAGAGGCCCAGCTACGCGAGGGCATTGTTGGGGGGCTCTGTGCACTGTCCGACCACGCAAGGGCATCGTGGGGGGCTCTGTGCACTGTCTGACCACGCGAGGGCATCTTGGGGGGCTCTGAGCACTGTCCGACCACCTGAGGGCATTGTGGGGGCTCTGGGCACCGCCCAGCCATGCAAGGGCATTGTGGGGCCTCTGGGCACCAGCAGGGGTGCTTTGGTCCCCGTGTGTTTGTGCCGGTGGGTCTGGGGCGGGGCCTGGAAACCTGCATTTTTCACAAGCAGGGGCAGGGGCTCTGGGGACCACCCCCACAAAAGCACAGCCCTGGGTGGTCTGCTCCCTGGGGCCCCAGGACAAGGTGCTGCTCTCCCCTCATGGAAGGTGCCAACTCCTGGAGGAACGAGCTGGCCATGGACGTGCCCCCCGGAAAGCTCCCCTCACCTCTGCGTGTCCCCAGGACCCTCCAGCCTGGGGTGGGCGTGTCCTACTACAGAGTCATAGCTTGAGCTTCACGGACCTCAGAGTCCTGCAAAGACCCCCCACCAAGTGCTTCTCAAGGTGTGTTCCTGAGGAGGGAACCGGCACTGCTGCTGGGCCCGGGGCCGTGTCCGTTCCTCCGGGTGAGCCGCACCTGCCCGACACTCTGCCCGCTGTGGGATCTGTGAACCTCACTGGACCTGTGTCTGTGTGCGTGTGTTTGTGGTGTGTGTGTGTGTCTGTGTGTGTGTCTGCATGTATGGTGAGTGTGTGGTGTGGTGTGTGTCTGTGTGTGTGATGTGTGTCTGTGTGGTGTGCATCTGTGTATATGGTGTGTGTGTGTGTGTGTGTGTGTGTGTGTGAAGTGTCATGACTCATCTCAGAACCCTCACAAGGTAGAACCCAGGTATGCATATTTGAAAATTCTGAAGTCAGCTGGGCGTGGTGGCTCATGCCTGTAATCCTTGCACTTTGGGAGGCTGAGGCAGACAGATCACCTGAGGTCAGGAGTTCAAGACCAACCTGGCCAACATGATGAAATCCCGTCTCTACTAAAAGTACAAAAAATTAGCCAGGCGTAGTGGCAGGCACCTGTAATCCTGGCTACTCCGGAGGCCTGAGGCAGGAGAATCACTTGAACCCGGGAGGTGGAGGTTGCAGTGAGCTGAGATCATGCCATTGCACTCCAGCCTGGGCAACAAGAGCGAAACTCTGCCTCAAAAAAAAAAAAAAATTCTGAAGTCTACCCCAATTTTGAACCCCTGGTAATTCAGCCCCCTCATTGTTTTCATTTTAGGCCTTTTATTTATTTATTTTTAATTTTTCTTTAGAGACAGGGTCTAGCTCTGTCACCCAGGCTGGAGTGCAGTGGTATGATCGTAGCTCACTGTAGCCTCGACCTCCTGGGCTCAAGCCATCCTCCTTCCTCGCCTACTGAGTAGCTGAGACTACAGGCACGCGGCACCATACCTGGCTAATTCTTATTTTTTTTTTGTAGGTTGTGGGGCGTCTTACTATGTTGTCCAGGCTGGTCTTGAACTCCTGGCCTCAACAGATCCTCCTACCTTGGCCCCCCAAAACACTGGGATATACCTTTTGTGTATTGTTTTAAAAATGTCATATTGAAATATAACCAAACACATGGGTCTTTTCATTATTTGCTCCTCAGCATCACTTGGCCCCTGCACCCATCCCCCACCCCCAAACAGTGCCGTCTGCCCCCCAGACAGTGCCGTCCGTCCCCCAGATGGTGCCGTCTGCACCCCAGATGGTGCCGTCCGTTGCCCAGACGGTGCCGTCCATACCCCAAACGGTGCCGTCAGTCCCCCAAACAGTGCTGTCAGTGAAGCTTGCACTTGGGACTTGGCCTGGCAGAACGGCCGCCCCCCAGGCTTCCTGCAGCCCCGGGCCAGTGAGGCATTCTGTCCTGGGAGCCACCTCCCAGGTGGGGGCCGCTGTGCTGTCCGCTGTGGCTGCCCGCAGGCTGCCTCTGCCTGCCAAGTCCGCCACACACAGCCGTTGGCTCCCCCTGAAAGTCAACAGACCAGTTTTAGCAAACGTGGAAGCCACAGAAAAGCAGAAAGATGTCAACAAACTACCCGTTCCCTGCTCTGCCCCAGCTCTGCCACCCTCTGGACTGTCCTTTTCTGCATTCGCTTTTACACACAGTCCTGATAAAAGCACCCAACCCTTCCTCCGAACCAGGGCCATGCCCCAGGCCTCTCTATTCTCAGGACAACTTATGAACTGGCGAGGAAACTGACGAGGAAACTGAAGCACCAGGACAATTGCACAGTGGCCCCGGGGCAGGGGACAGGGAACAGCTAGGGAGCTGTGGCTCTGTGTGGACCCTGGTACTCTGAGCCCAGCTACCTGTGGGGCTTGTAGCCACAGTGGGAGGAAACACTTGGGAGAGGAGATGAGCGAGAGGAGAGCGCAGGAGACATCTGGGTCTCCCGAGAAGGTCCCAGGGCCCCAGGACCAGGCTGTGGTTCAGGCTGGAGTGTTTCAGAGTCCCTCGTGTATCCTGGGATGGCAGGAGATGCCAGGGTGAGTTTCAGATATGTGAGACCACAGGGAGCAGCTCAGTGTCACTTGTGCCTCAGTTTCCACATTAGTAAGGTGGGGCCGGTCGTCAGACCTACCTGGTTGGGCCCTCAGGAGGGCCCTATCAATCAGTTCTGCTGAAAAGCACCCAGAGCTGTGCCCAGGTCAGGCGAGGGCACGCCGTGGCTCCTTCTGGAACTGAAAACGCGTCTTCTGCTGCCTCGCTGGAGCTCGCCATCACCGCCCCCCCGCCCCCCCGCCCCCACCCCAGCACCCCTACTCACCGAGGCCAAGTCCCCAGGTTTTCTCCCTCCTGCTGCAACGGCAGCCGGTTGCTGCATCCGGCTGGGGCAGAGGCAGGGCCTAGGCTCCGAGGAGCTCCCATATAAATCACCCCGACGTGGCAGCAGGCTCAGAGCAGCAGGCCTTCAGGGCCCGCCGCACCTCACCCCCACCTTCCCTCCCGCCCCCGCCCTCCACTTCTCCCCTGGGCCTGCCTTTGTGGCCCGATCAGCGGCTGGCGGACACGGCTGTCTTCCAGGTGAACATTCCTTAGAAAAATGACTTCATTATCACCTTCAACGGCCTAGTGTTGGGGGAGGGATGTGTGTGGCCGAGAGGGGCAGGTGGGGTGGACGTCCCCTCCCATCACTCCTCCTGCAGCCGGGCCCAGGGTGGCAGGAAGGCCTGAAGCCCGGGCAGGCAGGGACCCCCATCCGGGCAGGCTGACGGAGACAGATCTGTGGGATTAAGGGGCTGGAGGGAAATATTACATTATGATAGCAAATCACTCGGCTGATTGGAATTTAATTACGTCTCTTTTATCTTGGTGACAGTCACGCACCTGGGCTCGAGGTCCTGGCTGTTGGAGCTGGGGCCAGGCTGCGGCTGGGTAGGGAGGCCTTGGCCCCAGGGGATTAATGAAGCAGAATCCTCCCCTGCCCCTGCTCCAGAGGAAGCCGCGAACTGCAACCCTCGCCTTCTGCTGGGGTGGGGGAGCCACCAAGGGGGCTGTTCCTGCAGGAGGATTGGGATCACAGGGTCTTGGCAGAGATGATGGTGGGGGTGGGATGGCCCAGGGGGTGTGGCCAGTCCTGCCCAAGTAAACCCAGGCAGGGCAAGCAAGCCGGGGCCAGACTCCGGAGAGAGAGGCCACCGCGGGCGACCCGGTCATCAGCACATACCTATTGGCCATCTTGGATGGATGGTGTGATGTTCCAGGTCCAGGATGGGGACTTGCATGGCTTTGTGGCACCCCAGAATGGGGCAGGACAGGAAAGGGGCTGAGCTGGCTCTAGAAAGGTTGGAGAGGGCCAGCTGGGCCTTCTGGAAGCCCCAACTATGAACATGCCATGTTCAGAAAGCAAAATCCTGCTAATAGCCACCTCTTTTTGAGGACAGACATATCTATGGATTTTTTGGAAATGGCTTTGATTTTAGACATTTTGACCGCAGACTCAATGAAATTCAATATTCTGGAGTTCCCATAGCACTCCTGCGGCCACGTTGTCCAGCAGCGGGGGATTCGCCTCCTGGAATGTGAGTTCACCAGAGGTCTTTGCAGAGCACCTCGGCTGGGTCTTTCATGAGTGGTGAGGCCCTGGCTGGGGGTTGCCCTCTTGGGTCTTGGTCTCCTCATCTGGAGAATGGGGTGAAGACCCCGAGCCTCCAGGTCTGGCTAGGGGCTACATGAGATGCGTTTTCAGTTCTATGGTGAGCCACGGAGCGCCCTCATCCAAGCTGGGCACAGCTCTGGGTGATTTACAAAATTAACTCGCTGAGCCCTTGTGAAGGCCCTGCCAGGTTGGTCTGACATCTGGGCCCACTTTACTAAGGTGGAAACAGGCACAGGCTGGTGGTGTTGCCTCCCCAAGGCCACACAGTGGCAAAGAGGCAGAGCCAGGATTCGGGCCCAGGGCATCCAGCCCAGATGTCTGCTCTTTGGGGCAGCTGTCTTGCCTTCTGTATCTGGCTAAATGCAAGTGCCCCCAGTGCAGACAGTATTAGAATCGTTGTCATTTATACAATGATGGTTCATTCGTCAAACTATAGGTACCTTTGCTGTACTAGGCAGCACAGGGGATCCGTGTGGAAAGGGGTGCATCTTGGGGAGGGAGAACAGGGTTCTCATGCAGGGCCCAGGGCATGGATTGAAGACACCCGGGTGCCCATGGCCCCGGGGACTCCCCTGACCCTCTGAGGGCCCCCTCTTGTGGTGGGGGTGCTCTGGGACTCTTTTGCTCCCCATTAGAGAATGTGGAGCTTGGGAGTTCATCACAGAGGGGACTGTCCAGGTACTCTGCCTCCCAGCTCTTGGCCATGGGGACTGGGTTGGGCGTCCCCGTGCACTGTCCTCCCAAGGGTCCCAAGGGGGGCCACGTGGGTCTGTCTTCTGGATGTGGGGCAGCCTGGCAGTGTGAACACTGTTTCACAGACTGGTGGACGGCTGCTGCATCACCCGAAAGGCGATCCAACAGCCCAGCTGCTAATGGCAGAGAGGAGAATGATGTTATTGCTTTGGGGACAGGGAGGGGGCAGGGTGGGCCTCCGTCTCCCACCCAGTTCCCAGTAAGGGGTGGACAGTTTCTAGAAGAGAGTGGGGTGGGGACGGGATGAAGTATCATTTGTGTGAGCATGTGTGGGGCACATGTGTGTTTGTGGGTGCACACGGATCTGCAGATGTGAGGGAATATGGGGGTGTACACAGCCTGTGGGGTGCACTTTGTGTCCTAGACACTGGTGTGTTACGTGCCCTGGTGCGTCTGAGGCCACCCACAGGCCTGTGCAAATGTGTGCCCAGAAACATACTTGACATATGTGCTCGAGGATTTGCACAAGGACCATGGACTTGAGGGAGTTTGGGGCACAACTAAGCTGGACAGGGAACCCTAGGTCTGTCACAAACAGCCTCTCACCTGAAGATAGTGGACATGGCAGAGCTGCTGTCACTGTCACCTTCACCTTCTGTGAGGACCAGTGCAGAGAGTCCAGCCCATTGCATAGGCTCACAGGCACCGTCGTCAGTGCATGGAGCATGACCCTCGTTCAGCTTCGTCCACCGTAGCTTTGCTTAGGAGCGTGTGCTGGGGTGGCACATTACTCAGGGCTCTTCGGAGAAATGAAGCAATAGGACGTGAGGAGGCTTATTGTAAGGAATTGGCTCACACAATGATGGAGGCTGAGAAGGCCCCACTCTCTGTCTGCACGCTGGAGACCCAGGAAGCCTGCTGGTGGCCTTCGATCAGATCCTGATGGCCCAAGAGCCGGGACCACCAGTGGTGTAAGTCTAAGTCCCTGGGCAGGAGATGACCCATGTCCCATCTCAAGTAGGCAGGACGACAAAGCCCATTCTCCTCTCCTCGGCCTCTGCATTCTATTCAGGTCTTTGCCAAGTCGGGTGAGCCCACCCACAATGGGGGACACCTGCTTTCCTCGGTCCAGCATTCAAATGCTCATCTCCAGAAACACCAGCAAGGACATACCCAGAAATCACTTCAACCAAACATCTGGGCACCCCGTGGCCCAGTCAAGTTGATACGTAAAATTAACCACCCCAGGTGGGTTGGGACACAAACATGTGGCCACTTGTCCCTGCTGGTGTGGGCTTGGGTGTGTGTGTATAGGTGTGTGAGAGCCCCTCAAGTTTCCTGGAGATGGACACATGTCCTCCTACATGCAGTTCTACACATGTGTGCATACCTGTCTCCACTGCAGTGTGACCAGGAGTGTGCGCGTACTCATGAGTACTGCTCTGGGTGGTGTGTTTGCACACTTCCGGGCTTGTACACCACACCTGTGCATGCAGGAGTGTGTGCACACAGGCATGTTTGTGAGGGCCCAGTACAGCATCTCTAGGGACCACCGGTCATTGCTGTGGGTCCTTCCCTCTCAGCCCCAGAAGGTTCACCAGTGGCCCAGACTTCTCTATGCAGGAGACACTGTGTGGACATTGAGGTCCTGGCCTCCCCTGGGGTCTTGCTGGGCCTCAAGGTGCCACTGGGAAAGGGGATCGCAGCCTCAGACAGGAAGGCTCGGCTGGGGTAAGGGGTGTGATGAACTTTGGGATGGCCAAGGGGCTACCAGGGAAGTGCCCTCTCTGCCTGAGACCTCATCACAGAGTGAGTACAGACATGAATAGAATTGGGGTGTCCTGGGGCCTTGGAGCCCTATCCCTAGCCCTCAAGGGAGGGCTGGCAGCCCACGGTGGCCTCCTCCACCCACTGCTGCCCTTCATGGAGGAGTCAATAAAGGCCCTGCCGGGATGGCACCAACATGTTTACTTCCCGCCCATGGTGCTAAATTTGTCCCTGGTGTACAAGGACGCTCAGTCTCATCAAAGGCCAAGAGCCTGCACCTGGAGCTCCTCCCAGCCAGTGCCGCAGCCACGGGGTGGGGCTGGCACCCAAGCCTCTCCTCCCCCAGGGAAAGACCAGAGACAGCCATCACCCCACTGGGCCGAGGCCTGCACGCGGCTGCTCTGGTTCTTTTCTGAGGGCCGGCAGAGGCAGCCGCAGCCTTTTGGAGCCTCTAGCATCAGGCAGGGCTGTGCTGAAATCCAGGATGGGGGCTTTGGGCAGCTTGCTTCACCTCTTGGTGCCTCAGTTTCTCCACCCCTGCCTTGGAGGCTTGAGGACAGGCACCCGTGTCCACGGCGTGGCGGAGCTTGGCCATGGTGTGTGCTCTGTATGAGCGGCCCAGGCTGAGGCTGCTGGGGCTTGGGTGCCTCCAAGTTGCTCCTGGAGAAGGGGCAGGAGGGCAGCCTGGGAGTCCCTTCCACTCTGGGCCTGGGGTTCCTCTGCCAGGGCTGGGGAGGAGTCAGTGAGACGGGGCGGCCACCAGACAAATGCGCAGTGGACAACCGCACGTTGCGTGAATGCGTGAGCTCAGGCTCACCGGGCACCTGTGACAGGCTGGCTGCTGTCGTCCTCGGGACCCAGGCTCCACGTCTCCGTCTGTAGGCTGCCTCATTCCGGCCACCAGGACTCCAATAGTTACATCTGGAGTGCCCCTCCCCACACCCACCGTGAACCGTTCCTGAAATGCAACACTGCCCAGGACACATGTGCAGGTGGAGTGTGGCCAAACCCACGGGCCTGTCCTTGCCTTCTGAGTGTGGACCAGCCAGTGTGGACCGCCCGGATTCCTCCGGGCAAGGTGGCATCCGATGGGGCGCCTCCCTCCATTCCTGCGATGCTGAGCTCCAAGCTCACGCTGTGGATGGAGCTTTGGTGGACACCCCGTCCCCGATGGGGGCTTTGGGCACCTTGGTTTCCCCACCCCTGCCTTCAAGGCCTGGAAGAGACATCTGTGGCCACGGCGTGGTTGGAGCTTGGCTGTGGTGTGTGCTCCGTACCCAGCCCTCCCCTGCAGGACCCAGGGCCATCCCGGTGGGACCCGGGGATGCCCAGAGGGTTGAGGGGCCTGGCTCCAGGTGCCTAAGCCTGAGGCCAGCGTCTGGGACTGGGCCTTTCTGACAGTACAGGCCTCAGCCCCTCAGCACCCCCGCCCTCCCCGGTCCTTGCGGCCCCTCTCCATTTCAGCCCCTGTCCTTGTCACCATCTGGGTCCCTCTCTCTTGCCTACTCCATGTAGGTTACAAGGGCAGGGATCCCGTCTGTGTGGTTCACTGTGGGTCCCCAGCTACTGCAGGTGGCTGCCAAAAACTGGCTAAATGAATGAACGAAGGAAGGAAGGATTAATGGGCATGTCTGAGTCTGGAGCTTGGCTCTCCTGTGCTGTCTCTCAGTTCCCTCTGGGGCCTGACCTTCACCTTCAGCAGAGCAGCAGCTCCGGGTCTCCATGCGGTCACCACTCACCCCTGCGGCTCAGGCCCAGCCACCTCTGGGAAGCACACCCTCACCACCCCGGCAGTCCCAGGCCCTGGTCTCTGCTGCAGGTCGTTCCACCGCCTTGTCCTTGCAGTGCAGGCTGGGGCTCCTGGAGGGGGGACTATCCTTGTGGTTACCTTTGTCTTCATCTCCACTCCCCCCACAAAGCACCTGTGTGAGCCAGGCCTTGGAGGTAGCACGCGGGGAGAAGGGCAGGGCACGAGGTGGCCTGACGCTGCTGGACTCTGAAGTCTGTGCTCACCCCAAACACATGGCCAGGTCTGCAGTAAACCCCGAGGCACCCGAGCTAGAGCAAAGACTGGCAGGGTGGCTTCTGGAGGGGTGAAGCCAACTGGAGCTGGGCCTGGAAGGATAAGGGCGTTCCTAGGGACCCAGATAAAGGGGTTGGGGGAACTTGGGTGCAAAGGCAGGGAGACGGAGGGCTCAGTGACAGCCAGGACCCGGGGGGTGGCTGGGGCAGGCTCTGGCAGCCTCCAAAGCCATGGGAAGGAGCAGATGTCCCCAGGACCCCCACACCTGACGCAGCCGTAAGGGGCTGGTGGAGAGGAACCCTGGCCTCAGCCCCACCCGCAGGGGCTGCTTCTGCCCACGCCCTGCCCCCTCCACAGGCTTCTGTCTCTGCTTCCGTAGACTCTGTTGGCTCAGACTGCAGCCCTCGCCCTGCGCCAACCCCCCCAACCCAAAGTGGAAACAGATGTGTCTGTTCACGCACACGGAAACGCACACACAAGCCGCCTTCACGTCCAAATCCCCATTTCTGGGGAGAAAAATACAAGTGACAATAAGTATAAAGAGACGAAAAAATTTCCATTTCAAACAAGTGAAAGCAGTTTGCACTCCAGTGAGCCCGGGAGGAAGCGAGCAGCTGGCGGGGGAAACAACACAGCGCCAGCTTCCCAGCAAGCCTCCGCGGGGCCTGGTCCTGGCTGGTGCGCGGGTGTGGCCCGGGGGCTGGTCCGGGGCTGTCTCTTGCTCCGTCTGGGCATCACTTTGATTTCCAAGTCAGTTTGCTCCATCCACTGAGCTGGCTCAGGGAGCTCCTGCCGAGTGGGTGGTCCCCTTTCCCGGGCCACCTGTGAGGAATGTGAGTTGGAGGTCGAGTGTGCTGAGGCAGTGACATGGCCTGGGGTCCACACAGATGCCACCAGGCAGCTCGGGCCTCGCCTGGGCGGCTCCTCGGCCTTCCCTGGCCGGCGCACTGCAGCTTTGTCCACCCAGCGCCAGAGAGGGCTCCAGCGGGCGGGGCTGGGGCTGCGCTTTGCATCCGGAACAGACACGCTGCCTGCCTGTGGCCACCTCTCCTTCCCAGCCTGGCCGCAGCTGCGATGAACTCCTGGTGAACGTGGAGGGCTTCATAGGGCTGGCTTCCCCGGAAGCTCTCTGAGGACACTCCTTTCCTCGTGGCACCTCCAGGGGGTCGGGGTGTTTGCTGGGCTCCGCCTGAGCTGATCGGACCACAGTGAAAATGAGTGAGGGCACGGGTGGAACCCAGCAAACACCCCGACCTCCTGGGGGTGCCGCGAGGAAAGGAGTGTACTTGATAGGCCGTGTGCGTAACACGCTCAGGGCGACCTCTGGAACCCTAACCCTGGCTGGAAATGGAGCTTCCGGATGACTCTCGGGATTGTTTTCACAGACACCTGATCCCTGAGGACCTGACCCCTCCAGGTGGAGGCGGGTGACCTGGGTGGAGAGGGCCGGTTTCCACCGTTAGGAAGGGGTGGTCACACGGCGTGAGACGGGCTCGCTCCCCGGCCTTGGTGTGCCCAGAGGTAACTGAGACCACTCTCCAAGTCAGTGGTTCCAAGCAGAGAGGGATTCTCCCAGGGAATCTTTCAGGCAGCCCCAAACGTGGAGCACACAGATGAGGCTCCCCGCAGGTGGGGGTGGTGGGGGGCAGGGCCTTGCCCGGTGCACAGGCCAGCGGTCCACATTAGGGAAGGCAATCTGCTTTACTCTGCCTACTGAAATGTCAGTCTCTTCCAAAAACACCTTGAAGAAACAACCAGGGTAATATCTGACCCAGTATCTGTGCGCTGTGTGGCCTGGACAGGCTGGTTGACGCCTAAAGTGAAGCAACACACTTAGCTTTGCGATTGGATGACACAAACCCTCTCCCCGCCCGAGGCCCTCACCAATGCCGACGCCGCCCCACATCCCATCCCTTACCATCAGACAAGTGATTTTCTGAGGCGGACGATGGTGAAGACTTTGGGGGCCTTTACCTGCCTCTCGTGGCCACTTTTGTGATGCCTCGTAGTCCTCAGCTCCTGAAGACATGAACTCACGCACAGCCCAGGTGACTGACTGAGAGCTCGTTAGGAAGAAATCCTAAATCCCCCGAGGTGCCAGCCAGGAATGCGCCTGCCCCCGTGGGTGGAGAGAGGAGGGAGGTTCCTCGGGAGGGCAGCGTCCTCTGGGGAACGGGTCTGGCAGACACAGTCAGGTGTCCTCTCTGCTCTGCTCCCCTTCTTGCCACGCCCCCGCCGCTGCCCAGTCCGAGTGCCCACACCCAGGACTCCACTGGCCTCCAGCTCCCCTCTATCTCCACCAGCCTCCAGGTCCCCTCTATCTCCACCGGCCTCCAGGTCCCCTCTATCTCCACCGGCCTCCAGCTCTCCTCTATCTCCGCCGGCCTCCAGCTCCCCTCTATCTCCACCGGCCTCCAGCTCCCCTCTATCTCCACCGGCCTCCAGCTCCCCTCTATCTCCACCGGCCTCCAGGGCTTCTTCACACCCGACCATGGCCTGCCTCCCAGTCCTTCCGTGGCTCCACATTGCCCTGGATAAAACCCAGACTCAATGTGACTGACCAGACCCTGTGGGATTCGACTGTGCCCCTCCTGCACCCACTCCAACTCTGCCCACCAGCCAGACAAAGCCACCTGCTGCTTAGGATGGGCAGCGATGGGCAGCGTCCTTTCCAGCCCTTGCACCGGCCATTCCCTCTGCCTGGGATACCCTCCCTGCTCTCCTGACCCCAGTCATCCTTTAGGCTGTTACTGCTTCTGACCTCCCAGGCCTGGTAGGGGCCTTGCTTGGAACTCTTGTTGCCCCTGACACATCACATCCACTTACAAGGACAGGGGTCATATCAAATTAGGCCTCCCCAACACCAGCATGACCTTATTTTAATGAGTCACACCTGCCATGACCCTATTCCCAAATAAGAGCACAGTCTGAGGTGCTGGGGGTAGCGGCTGCAACGTATCTTTTGCCAGGGAGCAAAGGCACCCCCATAACAGGTGGTTTTGAGGGTGAAAGTGCAAATGTTCACAAAAGCATTGCCCTGACCTGGTTCTAGACCTGGGAGGGGGAGCTGGGGGTGTCACCGTGTGGTTCCGCTTCCTGATGGGCCACGTGGCTTCGTCTCCTGGGGGTGGCACTGGGAGACTCCTGGGGAGCACCCACCTCCAGGCAGCTCTGCCTTTTCCCCAGCACCAGGACGCAGACCCCGGCTGCCCATGCGCCACTCCCTACCGGCTGCTGGGACCCATCTCTGATGCTCCATCTTTGCAAAACCAGCAGGACGGTGCCTTGCACCCCTCCCCCGAGGTGCAGCTGGAGTCTGCAGCCCTGCCCTGGGTCTGCAGCCCACCTGGCTTGGCGCTGGACACCGCCTCTGTAAGGAGCTGGGAGGCAGGCACTCCTCTGGTGCTGAGGCTGCTGTGGTATTTGAGGGTGCAAAGGCCGGTGGCGGGGGGGGGGCAGGCCCAGGGGAGGTGCGGTGTCTGCGGGTGCATCTTCTTCCCACAGTCCCCCCACTGAGCTCCGCCTTCCCTGGCCCAGGAGCCATGGCCCCCAAGTCCCTTTCATCTTCCCTGTTCCAGGGCTCGGGGACGAAGGACAAACAAAGGCGTCTGCGGTATCATTTTTCTCCCGGTTCACCCTCTGGCCCACCCTTTTCTTCCTTTTATAATGTATTTTAATAGGGTCGACCAAGACGGATGGCCCCGAACTGGGATGGGCGGCGCCTGTCCCCGCCCGCCCCGGCCCCTGAGCCTGGCACTGTGTGCCTGGAGCCAGGACGGACAAAGCCAGCAGGAGGAGGAGCGCGCGGGGGCTGGAGGCAGGGCGCCCGCTCACTGCCCTGGGGTCTCCTTGAGGACCTGGTCTGTGGCTTCCTGGGGTGCTGGACCCTAATTCCAAACTGCCCCCTGCTCCTGCCTGCCCCAGTAGGGCCCCCCAGCAGTCAAGAAGGCCATATACGGGGCTAGGGAGTCTGGCCCCATGCCCAGCCTTAGTGTGGGAGCCACAGAGGGGACCCCCAAGCCCACCACGTTCCCTGGCTGAGAGGTGGACGGACACACAGCACACCCACACGAGTCTTTGTTCTTTTTAGGATGCATGTGATCTCTTATTTAAGCTGTAGTGGGCTCCTCATCCACTCCTCGTGTTCCTTCCCCATCAACTCAATTATTCACATCCCTGTTAATGACACAGATGTCATTATCCCCATTTCACAGATAAAGAAACTGAGGAGCAGGGATTGAACAGCCGGTGAAAGGCCGAGGCAGCATCCCAGCCCCCAGCCCCTCAGAGGGGCAGCAAGAAGGATTCACCGCACTCTTCAAGTCCAGGGCCTTCAGCCTCCCAGGCCCGAGGGCCTCTGCTGTGCAGTGCTAGGGGCAAGTGGGCCTCCCTGACCCTTGGCTTCTTGGAGTCTTTGGCAGTGTCATGTAACCCCACCCCTCATGGGGAGGCTGAGGCTGGGAAGGACCGGGGACCCGCCCACCACACCTTTGAGTATCAGGAAAATGGGGCTTGAAATGGCGGCTCACGTTTCTGGGCCGACCCTGCCTCTTGCTCCAGGAAAGAAACTACTTTTGAAAATCCAAAGGGCTGTCCGCAAAGAGGTCAAGTCACACATGAAACCAAATCCAAATGGAAACACAGGGATTGATGTTTCCCTTAACAAGAGACTTGTTCCTCAAGTTTTCCCTTCCTGGCGTGTGGGGGTAGCTCTGCTCACAGGAGCTAAAAGACGGGAGCAGCCCCAATGTCCACCACCAGTGAATGGATCAAGGATGCGTGGCAAGTGGAATATTACCCAGCCATGAAAAGCTATCACGTGGATGGACTCTGTAAACTGTTCCATAGGAGAAGCCAGACACAACAGCCAGCATACTATATGACCCTATGAATATGAAGTGTTCAGAACCGGCAAATCTATGAAGACAGAAAGGAGATGAACAGTTGCCAGGGACTAGAGACGGGGGAGAAGGCTAAGGGCATGGAATTTCTTTTTCTTTTTCTTTTTTTTTTTTTTTGAGACGAAGTCTCGCTCTTGTCCCCCAGGCTGGAGTGCAATGGTGCGATCTCGGTTCACTGCAACCTCCACCTCCCGGGTTCAAGCGATTCTCCTGCCTCAGCCTCCCAAGTAGCTGGGATTAGAGGTGCCTGTCACCACGTCCGGCTAATTTTTGTATTTTTAGTAGAGATGAGGTTTCACACCATGTCGGCCAGGCTGGTCTCGAACTCCTGATCTCAGGTGATCTGCCTGCCTCGGCCTCCCAAAGTGCTGGGATTACAGGTGTGAGCCACCATGCCCGGTCAGTGCCATGGAATTTTTTTGGGGGATGGATGATGAAAACTTTCTGGAGTTTGATAGTGGTGGCGGCTGCACAACTCTCTGACTACACCCTAAAAGCCACCTGCTTGATCACTTTAAAATGGTGGATTTTATGGTATGGAAGTTATATCTCAATGTTTTTAGAAAGCCCTAAGGGGGATGTCATGGTTAATTTTATGCCAACTCAACGAGGCTAAGGGATGCCCAGCTGGCAAAATATTATTTCTGGGCGTGTCTGTGAGGGTGCTTCTGGAAGAGATTAGGGTTTGAATCAGTAAGCTGAGGAAAGGAAATCCACCCTCACCAGTGTGGCATCGTCCAGTCCACTGAGGACCTGAATAGAACTGAGGGCGGAGGAAAGGTGGGTTCTTTTTCTCTGGTCTCGAGCTGGGACATCCATCTCTTCCTACCCTTGGACATCAGATCTCCTGGTTCTTGGGCCTTTGGACTCAGACTGGGTCCTACACCATTGGCGTTCCTGGTTCTCTGAAATTTGGGCTGAGACTGGGACTACACCACCAGCTTCAGGGACCTCCAGTTTACAGATGGCTGATCACGTGACTTCTCACCTTCCATAATAGTGTGAGCCGAGTCCCATCATAAACCTCTTTCTACATCTCTATACCTCTACCCTGTTCTTTTTTTTTTCCTTCGGAGAACCCTGACTAATACAGGGCAGCTGTGGTCAGCCAGGGCAACATTCTGTTCTCTGGTGCTTTTGAAAGTGGGGTGCAGGTGCAGCCCTGGCTCAGCCCCTGGAAGGGAGCTTGTGTCAGGAGTGAGGCAGGACTCTTGGATGATGGTCTTGGAATCTCAGAAGCTCACAGCTGGAACAGGCCTTCTAAGCTCAACTCCTTAATTTTGCAAATGGAAGACTGAGGCCCAGAAAGGGATGGCGGCTCCATGGAGTTTTGAATTCCCACCCCTCGGTCCTGAGCTCTTTTCCCAAAGATTGTGGTGGAAGCTGTGTTGATGGGTGTTCTAACCGGTTCATCTGAATTCCTCGAATGTGGATTCCAATCCTTCATCTCACATGTGCCATAGGTTTGCATTCGAGTATATACAAGTTATCAATTGATGAATAAGAAGTTATCCCCCAACACGTAGTGGCTGTAATAAAACCAACAATAACCATTTATAATCTTCCACAGTTTCTATAGGTCAGGAACTGGGGAGCAGCTTAGCTGGGCAGATCTAGCTTGGAGTTTCTCGAGAGGCTGCAGTCAACATATTGGCTGGGCTAACAGGACTTGATGGAACTGGAAGATCCAGTTCCAAGGGGCTCACCCGCATCTCTGGCAGACTGGTGCTGGCTGTTGGCAGGAGTCACCAGTTCCTCCCCGTGTGGACCTCTCCACAGAGCTGCTTGAGTGTCCTTACATGGCAGCCAGCTTCCCCCAGATCACATGACCTGAGAGAGGGCAAGGCAGAAGCCATGAGGTCTTTTATGACCTAGCTTCAGAAGACACACAAGGCATTTCCACAGCGTGCTATTGGTTACACAGGTTGCGGGGCCATCCATGGGCACGAACACCAGGAGGTGGGGATCACTGGGGGCCATCTCGGCATCTGCCTACTACAAGCATGAACTTATTAAGTTTACATTTAAAGATAAACTCTTTCTGGAGTCGGTGAGTGCAAACTCTCAAGCCTTTGCTGTTGCTGTTTTTAGTTCTTCCAAATAAATTGATGATAATTCCCGGTGATTGCCCACACTGCACCAAATCTTGTGGGCATCTGTCTGCCCAAGGCAGTATTTTAAAAGCTGCCTAACACTGTCTCTTTAGCAGGCGGGGAAGCTGACAAACCTGGGTACTGAAGGCAAAAATGTCCCCACGCACAACCTGTCCCTCCCACAACGGCTCACACAGGACAATAAAGATGGAAGCAGATTGTGGCACTGGTGCTCGTGGGATGGTCAATGCCATCATAATCAACAGTGCTCATAAATCAATAAGAAAGGCCAGATGCAGTGGTTCACACCTAGAATCCCAGTGCTTTGGGAGGCTGAAGTGGGAGGACAGCTTGAGGTCAGGAGTTCAAGACCAGCCTGGGTAACAATGTGAGGACCTGTCTCTACAAAAAATTAGCCAGACGTGGTGGTGTGTACCTGTAGTTTCAGCTACTTGGGAGGCTGATGCTGGAGGATCCCCTGAGCCCAGGAGGCCCAAGTTGCAGTGAGCTGTGATTGCATCACTGCCCTCCAACCCGGGCAACAGAGACAAAAAGAAAGAAAGGAAGAGAGGAAGAAAGGAAGAAAAGAAAGAAAGAATAAGAAAGAAAGAAAGAAAGAGTGGAAGGAAGGAAGAAGGGAGGGAGGGAGAAAGGGAGAACAGGGATGGGAGGGGAGGGGAAGGGAGGGGAAGGGAGGGGGGAAAGGAAGGAGAAAGAGATAAAAGGAAGGAAGGTAGGAAGAAGGGAGGGAGGGAGAAAGGGAGGAGAGGGGAGGGGAAGGGAGGGGAGAAAGGAAGGAAGGAGAAAGAAAAGGAAGGAAGGAAAGAGAGAGAGAAACAGAAAGAAAGAAAGGAAGGAAGGGAGAGAGGGAGGGAGGAAAAGGAAGGAAGGAAAAAGAGAGAGAAAGAAAGAGAATGAAATGAAAAAGAAAGAAAGAAAGCTGACTGAGCCACAGGTCATCCTTGGCCTCTTGGGAGCCTCCTCCCTGACCTCCATGTGGCTCTGTGGCCTTGGAGGCTGACCCTTAGGGACTGAACGAAGAGCTCAGCCCTCCAGCCTCGGAGAGGCGTGTCAGGTATGGTCAGGGTATTGATTTCTCCAGCTCCCTCTCTGAGAGGTCACCTTGGGCGAGCTGCATCATACCCCCTGCCAGTGTCCCCTCCCTGCCCTGTGTCTCTGGGCTCAGGTCACTGCCTCCTCCCATTCCCCCGGCAAGCCTGCGGAGAACAGTCCCTCTTTTCTATCACAGCCTTGGGCAGGGCCCAGGCCTTGCAGTTTACCTGCACCCATCACCAACGCTGCCTTCACCAGCACACCTCCAGTTCCTCTCTGTGAGGGTGCCAGAGGTTGGGGACCCTGACCGCATCTCAGGGGGAAAAATGGGCACGGGGCAGTTGACAAATGGACCCTGCTCAGATAAATTCTGTCAGTCTGCAGGGGGATGCCTGGTTATGATCGGTTTTGTGGATGGTGAGAATATGAGAAAAGGTTCACAGGCCTGAGTCATAAAAGAACTGAAAACCAATCCTCAAGAAAACACCAACAAATAGCTCTCAAGAATACCACAAAGGTGGCAGCCAGGCCCTTCCTGAGCTCACCAGGCTGCGGGGACGCAGTGAACACACCTCTGACTTACAGTTTCCTGGCCGGGGAGTCATGCAAAGAAAACAGCCCAGAACCCACAGAGGTGTATGGACAAGGGTATTCGTCAGAGGAGTTATCTTAGGGAGGAGCCGGGTTAATTGCTATAAATCTGTCTGCCAGACCCCGTTGCTACCATTACCAATGAGAGCTTACGGGTATTTAATGGGACAATAAAATGTGCCTAATTGAAAATTAATTGAAAAATACTTATTAAGTTAATAATTTGATGGAAAATGTACAATCATAATTAATAATTAAATAATCAAATTAAATTAATAATTTAATTGAAAAACAGGGTAGAAAGTGGTAAATATAGTATGATCTGAATTAAGTAAAAAAATTTATGAATTTATTCATGATAAAAAAGGCTAACAGGAAATGAAACAAAGCACAAATAATGGTTATTTCTTCATGGTGAGATCACTGGTATTTTTCTTTTGTCTCTTATCCTTTATTTATTTTTGTTTTTTTTGTGTGTGTGTGTTTCTTATGCTTTACTTTTAAAAATTTTCTAAGCTTTCTCAAATGAATTTCTTTTTTCATTTAAAGGGGAAAGGACTTTAAAATTCATGCCTCCTGGGACAACATACGTAA
Organism: Homo sapiens; assembly: GCF_000001405.40. Lineage (NCBI taxonomy): Eukaryota > Metazoa > Chordata > Mammalia > Primates > Hominidae > Homo > Homo sapiens. The sequence continues at coordinate 134,302,625 of NC_000009.12, forward strand.
AAAGGCCCACTTCAGACAGATGACCTAACGTGATGAAGATAATACCTCTTGCACCTGTGCCGTGTACCCTAGTTTACCAATGCCTTGCCCCGCAGAGTCCCAAGGAAAGACTCTGACAGAGGCTCCAGAGAGGTGGTGACAGGTGACCAAGAGCTGAATCAAAACTAAGGAAGCAGGGCTGGACCACGAGGGATGGATGGGGCAGGCTTAGTTTAGCTCTGGGCAGATAAAGCCCTGTAAGCATGGTCAAGAGGGTGACCGCATGGACCATAAACGAAGAACGGCTTTAGGGGAGATGGCGGGAAGTGAAGGTGTGTGGATGGATGGGGCTTTGCTGTGAAGGTGGTACAGCTGGAACTTCTGCAACCTCACTTGTCGCAGGGCCTTCCTGCAAGGCCGTAGACCTAATTTTAGATTCCTAAGTTAGTATCCTTTTTTGTTGAGACGGAGTCTCGCTCTGTCGCCCAGGCTGGAGTGCAGTGGTGCGCTCTCGGCTCACTGGAAGCTCCGCCTCCCGGGTTCACGCCATTCTCCTGCCTCAGCCTCCTGAGTAGCTGGGACTACAGGCGCCCTCCACCATGCCTGGCTAATTTTTTTGTATTTTTAGTAAAGATGGGGTTTCACCATGTTAGCCAGGATGGTCTCCATCTCCTGACCTCGTGATCCACCCACCTTGGCCTCCCAAAGTGCTGGGATTATAGGTGTGAGCCACCGCGCCTGGCCTTTTTTTTTTTTTTTGAGACGGGTTTCACTCTTGTCGCCCCAGACTGGAGTCCAATGGCAAGATCTCAGCTCACTGCAACCTCCACCTCCAGGTTCAAGTAAATCTCTTGACTCAGCCTCCCGAGTAGCTGGGATTACAGGGGTCTGCCACCACGCCTGGCTAATTTTTGTATTTTCAGTAGAAACGAGATTTCGCCATGTTAGCCAGGCTGGTCTTGAACTCCTGACCTCAGGCGATCTGCCTGCCTTGGCCTCCCAAAGTGTTGGGATTACAGGCATGAGCCACGGCGCCTGGCCAGTATTCATTTTCTTAAAGAGGCCTGCAGACTGAACAGGCTTTCTGTCTCTCCCAAATCTAGACCTGCCCTGACATAAACACATCCGAGCTTCTGGTGCAGAATCCCTGGCTTAGGTGAGGCAGGTCCCGGGCACCGTCTCTGCCAGCACCCCTGTCCCTGCTCACCTCCGTCCTCAGCCCCCCTCCCCATGGCAGGACCTCCTAAAGCCTGGTCCGTTCCTCTCCCCTTCTGGATCTGGGCCTTCAACCATGTGGCTCCTTCAGCTGGAAACATGCTTCCCTTCTTTTTGCTTGGCTGCTCTGAGACTTATGCCATGCCCCTTCTTCAGAAGGCCTTCTCCCTTCTCAGCCTGAATTAGGCATCCCCTCTGCTGTCACACCTCTTCCCCCAGCCTAACATTCACCACCTATCCCTGTAATTAATTGTCAAACCGTCAGCCCCAGGGCAGGGACAGCCGCTGCCTCAGTCACTATTGTGTCCTCTGCGTCTGGCACTACCCCTGGCACATGAGAGATGCTCAACATTTTTCCTAAATAGACAGCAGGGCAAAGGAATGGGTAAAACCAGACCCTTCCCAATCCACATGGCCCACAGGGATTTGATGCCTTGTGCAAGTTTCCTAAGCCCATAGGATGCCTGGAAGGCCGTGTGCCTCTTGCTACGGATGCCCTATCTCTGATCCACCCAGCCCTCCTCCGCCTGCACTTCGTACCCTGAGCAGGGCGTGGGCTCTTCCAGAAGCCCACGTCTGACTTCTTTTTCCTGTTCCCCTGGTCTCCCAGCTGGACCCCTGTCTCTGCCCACTTGGGGGCACTGAGCTGGGACTCACTCAGGCCGCCGGCCACCCTGGGCTTGGCAGAAGGGGCGTCTGTTGTCCTCAGTGTGTGCCCTCTCCTCGCTGTCCCCTACTGTCCCTGACCCCCGGCCCCCGCGATCACGCCCCCCATTGAAGCTGAGCCCCACAGTCAGGCGGGCCCTGCTGCTTCACTTCTGACTCCTCATTGTCGATAATACCCTATTAAAAGTTGAAAATACATTTTCCTCCTGCCGATCTCTTTCCTTTTCATTTAGCAAACATTGATTTTTTTCCCCCTCCTGCAGATGGAATAGAAATGAAATCACCCACGTCTCTTTGGGGTGATTTAGTTGTCAGAGCCGGAGGCAGTGGGCAGATGAGGGCTGCTCTTGTCACCTCATCCACGGGTCGCTTTGTGACCTCCGATGGTCGTTTGGCCTCTCTTCTCTGCCGTGTCTCCCCACCCCCAGCTAGAAAAGGAGACCCTGGTGCCCCTGGCTGGGAGAGCAGGAGGCCCCGTTCACCAGCCAGAGGAGCCTCCTGGAGAGGTTCGGATAAAAGCCTCTGTTAGAAAGCCCAGCTCAAGGTTGTGTCAACACCAAATACCATGAAGTGGCAATTATCCAATTAGCTTGATTAGCGTAGAAAGCACCACCAGCCGCTGCTCTGCACAGCCCATCCTGTCGTCTCCCGAGCTCAGACAGCTGTGCAGTGTAGGACCTGAGTACTGGACTCCAGAGGCTGGGCCTCCAGGCACACCCGGGCTCTCCCTCTCTGGGCCCTGATTTCTCCATTTCTTGTTTGGGGATAATAAAGCCTTCCTCACAGTCTGTGGTGAGGATTCGTGAGCTGGCCTCAGCGCAGCCTCTGGGAGACAAGGGGAGCAAGTGCTTTAATGGTAACCACTTGGCCAGTGGTGTGGTATAGGCCAATTTATACTCAGGGCCCAATGCTTCTCTCAGGGTCAGCGTGGGCAAGCCACATTGTGACCCGGTTTCTTCATTGGTTCCAGAGGGATTCTAACAGCACTGGCCTTAGAGATGCATAGGCACAGGGTTGGTGCCCCACAGTGAGGGTGATTGCCATGAGGGTGATGATGATGGTGATGATGACCATGGTGGCGATGATGGTGGTGATGATGGTGCTGGTAAGGAAGATGGTGGTAATGATGTTGATGGTGGTGATCACCATGTTGGTGGTGATGATGATGTTGATGGTGATGATAGTGGTGATGATGTTGATGGTAGTGATGATGGTGATGATGGTGGTAATGATGTTGATGGTGGTGGTGATGATGGTGGTAATGATGTTTATGGTGGTGATGATGGTGGTAATGATGTTGATGGTGGTGATGGTGATGGTGGTGGTAATGATGTTGATGGTGGTGGTGATGATGGTGGTGGTAATGATGTTGATGGTGGTGATGGTGGTGATGGTGATGGTGATGATGATAGATGGTAGTGGTGATGGTGATGGTGGTAATGATGTTGGTGGTGGTGATGGTGTTGATGGTGGTGGTGATGATTGATGGTAGTGATGATGTTGATGGTGTTGGTGATGCTGTGATGGTGGTGATGATGTTGATGGTAGTGATGATGGTGGTAATGATGTTGATGCTGGTGGTGGTGATGGTGATGATGTTGATGGTAGTGATGATGGTGATGATGGTGATGATGTTAATGGTGGTGGTGATGATGATGGTGATGATGGTGATGATGTTAATGGTGGTGGTGATGATGATGTTAATGGTAGTGGTGATGATGATGTTGATGGTGATGATGTTAATGGTGGTGGTGATGATGATGGTGATGATGGTGATGATGTTAATGGTGGTGGTGATGATGATGTTAATGGTAGTGGTGATGATGATGTTGATGGTGATGATGTTAATGGTGGTGATGATGATGATGATGTTGATGGTGATGATGATGGTGGTAAGGATGTTGATGGTGGTGATGATGATAATGTTTATGGTTATGATAAAACCCCTTTCTCATGGGTTCACTATACAGCCAGCCAAGGAAATAGACTTGTCAGAGAGCCCTTCCAGAGCAATCTCCCACCTATTGAGAGGTGGGATCTAATTCCTCTCCCTGTGAATCTGGGCTGGCTCTGCAGCCTGCTTAACCAATAGGATACAGTGGAAATGATGTCACATGGTTTTTAAGCTTGGCCAGAAGAAGCCTTGCAGCTCCCCCTCTGAGCCTCTGGGACATTCTGGGAGCCCTGAACTGTGACACAGAAGGCTTACTGCGAGAACACCATGCTGGATAGGCCACGTGCAGGAATTCTGGGTGACAGTCCCAGCTGAGCCCAGCCTTCCAGTCATGCTGCCAAGGAGCCAGACTCGTGCAGACAACCCTGTTAGAGCCTCCAGACCAGCTGGCTGCCAGCAAATACCACCCAGTGAGCCTCGTTTACACCTCATGAAGCAGAAGCAGCTGGGTGGACCCCATGGGATTCCTGACCTACGCAATTGTGAAATGTAATGAAATGGCTGCCAGGAGCTACTAAATTTGGGGGCAATGTGTTCCATGACAGTCGGCACCAGAACAGTGGGTCTGATGGTTCTGGCCTCAGCCACCTCCTGGACAAGTGCCGTGGCCGCCTGGTTGAGCATTACAGGCTTGAGCTCCGACCTGGGCCTTGTCCTGCTATGGGGTCCGCTGGAAACTGCGGTTGTTTCTTTAAACAAAGAGCCATCCAGACCTCTGACTTCTCAGCATGGGGGAGGCAGGCGTGTTGTGAGGCTGGCACTAGCAGAGCTGTACCAAGCCACAGAAGAAAGGCCGTGAAGGCCATGTGTGGCCCCAGCACAAAGTGAGCCAAGATCTGCCCTGGGGCCCTGGTGGGGTATGGTCACTCCAGAGCAGGGCAGCCCCAGAAGATGAGGCAGGCTGGAGGGTGCCACCCAGCAGCCCCAGGGGTCCCCATGCTACCCACAGCTGGGGACTTTCTTTTGCCAGGCCTGCCAATGGGGAGTCACCACAGGGCCCTGGCTGCCCGGGGCTGCCCTGAGAGGAAAAGGGGCACAGGCAGTGGAGAGGGGTCGGAGTGGGAACAGGGCAGCCTGCCTGCCCCAGAACTGCCCTGGGGGAGGAGGACTTCCTCTCCCACACATTTCATTTACAGATGAGAATTTGGGGGTTTGGAGCTTTGGGGACTGGACTGAAGTCATACTCCTGGGGCCAGAACTTGAACCTAGGTCTGCCTGATCCGCAAGCCCATGCCCCCTGCCTCTTCCCAAGATCACCCCATAAGAAATTGAGGGGTTTATGGTTACAAGGCAGGGTGCTTTCTGAAGCTCTTTTCCTCCTCAGAGGGCTCAGTTTGGTTATGGCATGGAGCACAGCCCATTGATCTTGAGCTAACTGAATCCCGCTCCTTTTAGTGATTAACTCCCCCACCCACATCGGGTGAAGTTCAAAGTCTTCTCTGAGCAGACACACCCAGTACAAATAACTAATTGTATTTTAGGTGTTGGGGTGGCAGGGGGAGCGGTCTTGGAAAGAAAATGCAGCCAAATGCGGGAAGGCTTAGATACGGGGCCAGGGAACCCAGTACAGCCCACTGCTTGCTGTTTCCTGGGGGACAGGAACATTTTTTAACGACTTACAGGAGCTGCTTGTGGCCCGGATATAGAGCCAGACCTTGAGCGGGTGAGGACCGTGGAGGGTACGTCGATGCTGGGACCTGGGATCCCAGTGATTTTGATTTTTGACTGCCCCCAGGCCCCCAACTCACATACTCTTAGGTATGGGTGTTCTTGCCTCTCACTCCAGCTGTACCTAGCACTGACAGCTCGAGCTTCTACCAGAATTCCCTCCAGGGTTCTGGTTCTGAGCCCTGGACCACACAGCCTGTCCCTCCCGGACCATAGACTCTCTTCTTAGGCACCCCAAAACTGTCCAAGTCTGTATGGTTGCCCTGCTCCTTTGCTCTGCTAATGCACTCTCTTCCTGCCTTCACCCAGCACCTGCACCACGGATGGCTGCACCACGGCACCTGCACCACAGGGACACATGCCACAGGAGCAGACACCACAAGAGCAGACACCACAGGAGCAGACACCATGGGAACCCACACCATGGGAGCAGATACCGTGGGAACCCACATCATGGGAACAGACACCACGGGAGCCCACACCATGGAACAGACACCACTGGAGCCAATGCCATGGGAGCAGACACCACTGGAGCCCACACCATGGAACAGACACCATGGGAGCCAATGCCACGGGAGCAGACACCACAGGAGCCCACACCATGGGAGCAGACACCACGGGAGCCCACACCATGGAACAGACACCACTGGAACCAATGCCACGGGAGCAGACACCACGGGAGCCCACACCATGGGAGCAGACACCACGGGAGCCCACACCATGGAACAGACACCATGGGAGCCAATGCCACGGGAGAAGACACCACGGGAGCCCACACCATGGGAGCAGACACCACAGGAGCCAATGCCACGGGAGCAGACACCATCGTGGGAACCCACACCATGGGAGCAGACACCATGGGAGCAGAGACCAAGGGAGCAGACACCACCGGAGCAGACACCATGGGAACCCACACCATGGGAGCAGACACCACCGGAGCAGACACCATGGGAACCCACACCATGGGAGCAGACACCATGGGAGCAGACACCACGGGAGCAGACACCAAGGGAGCAGACACCACCGGAGCAGACACAATGGGAGCAGAGACCATGAGCGCCCACACCAGTGGTGTCCAATGTGGCTCCCCACTCCCAATCTTGGGAGCTGCTGCTCACTGAGCCATTGATCTCCCTCTATGATACATCAAAGCCGAACAGGTGGGCTCTTATATCCTCCCCATTTTACAGCCAAGGAAGTGAAGAATTGGAGAGGGGAAGACACACAGCTAACAAGTAGCAAAACCAAAGCTGGAATCTCCAGGGCCCACAGAGCCTCCCATCTTGCTTCCTTTGGTGACATGTTGCAGGAATAGGGGAGAAAAGCTCCACTCTGAGGGCATCTGCTATGAACACTTACATGCAAGTCTTTCTGAGAACATGTGTCCTAGCAGTGGATGGTTGGGTCATATAGAAGATGGGTAGTTAACTTTAAAAAAAATACCATTTTTTCCCCAGGGTGATAATACCATTGTATAGTCTTATGACCAGTGTAGAAGAGTTCCAGTTGCTCTATATCCTCCCTACCATGTGGAATAGTCAGCCTTTGATTTTAGCCATTTCAGTGGGTGGGTGGTGATATCCCATGGTGGTTTTAATTTCCATTTCCATAATGAGTAATAACGTTGAGTGTTTTCTGTGTGCTTATCGGCCGTTCATATATCTTCCTCTGTGAAATGTATGTTCAAATCTCTTGACTGTTTAAAAATTGGTTGGTCTTCCTACAATTGTGCTTTAAAAGTTCTTTATATATTCTAGATAAAAGTCCTTGGTGTGGGGCCGGATGCAGTGGCTCATGCCTGTAATCCCAGCACTTCAAGAGGCCAAGGCAGGCAGATCACTTGAGATCGGGAGTTCAAGACAGGACCTGGTCAACATGGTGAAACCCTGTCTCTACTAAAAATACCGAAATTAGCTGGGTGTGGTGGCAGGCACCTGTAATTCCAGCTACTTAGGAGGCTGAGGCACGAGAATTGCTGGAACCCAGGAGGTGGAGGTTGCAGTGAGCTGAGATCGTGCCGCTGCACTTCAGCCTGGGTGACAGAGCGAGACTCTGTCTCAAAAACAAACAAACAAACAAACAAAAACTCCTCAGTGTGATATATGTCTGGCAAATATTTCCTCTCAATATGTGCCTTGTGTTTTTATTTTCACTGGTATATTTTGTAGAAAAAAAGTTTTTAATATTGATGAAGTATAATTTACCTTTTAAAAAAGTGTCATGATTTTTGTATTCTAGCTCACAGTCCTTTATTAGAAATTGCAAAGCTCTCCTTCTATATTTTCCTCTAGAGATTTTATAATTTTAGGTGTACATTTAGTTCTATGGTCCACTGCAAGTTAATTTCTGTATTTCATGTAAGGGTGGATATTTAATTTTTATGTGGATATTTAGTTGACACAACACCATTTGTTGAAAGCTTTGCTTTCAACAAATTTTCTATCAAATTGCCTTGGCACCTGTGTGAATAATTGATTGAATATATGTGGGTCTGTTTTTAGGCTCTAATATATTCTATTCCTATTTTATACCTACATATGTATATGTGTGTATGTAGACATATGTGTGTGTGTATATATATAGCCAATAGCAAACTGTCTTGATTAATGTGATTTTATAGAAAGTCTTAAAATCAAGCAGGATAAATCCTCCAAACTTTGTTCTCTTAAAAATTTGCTTTGACTATTCTATTTTTTTTTTTTTTGAGACAGAGTTTCACTCTTGTTGCCCAGGCTGGAGTGCAATGGCACCATCTCTGCTCACCGCAGCCTCCACCTCCCAGGTTCAAACAGTTCTCCTGCCTCAGCCTCCCGAGTAGCTGAGTTTACAGGCATGCGCCACCACGCCCGGCTAATTTTGTATTTTTAGTAGAGAAGGGGTTTCTCCATGTTGAGGCTGGTCTCGAACTCCTGACCTCAGGTGCTCTGCCCACCTCAACCACCCAAAGTGCTGGGATTACAGGTGTGAGCCACCACACCCGGCCCAACTATTCTAGATTATTTGCATTTTCATATAAATTTTTGAATTAGACTGTCAATTTCTATGAAAAATCCTGTTGGCGTTTTGATTGGGATTGTATTGAATCAAATTGGGGAAATTGTCATTTTATCTGATATTCAGCCCTTTACTCCATGAACATGGTATGTCTATATTTACTTGTGCTTCTTGACTCTTTTCTCAGTACTGTCTTGTTCTTTTCAGTACAGCATTCCTGGACAAATTGGTTGGTCTTCCTACAATTGTGCTTTAAAAGTTCTTTATATATTTATATAAATATATAAATTCATATATTCTATGTAAATATGTAAATTTATATATTCTATATAAATATATAAATTTATATATTCATATAAATATATAAATTTATATATTTGATATAAATATATTGATATAAATACATAAATATAAATATCAATATATTTATATTTATATAAATATAAATATCAATATATTTATATTGTATATAATATATAAATTTATATATTAGATATAAATATATAAATCTTTGTTAGATTCGCACCTAAGCATTTTACTTTTTTTGTGCTATTTAAGTGGAATTTTTAAGATTTTATTTTCCAATTGTTTACTCCTAACAGATAGAAATAAAATATATTTTAAAAATATTAACCTTGTGTCTTGTGACCTTGCTAAATTCATTTACTGGTTTTGATTGTTGTTTTGTGCATTCCCTGGGATGTTCTACATAAATCACTAATTATATCATCTGCAAATAGAGACAGTTTTACTTCTCTTCCGGGCTCTACGTATTTTATTTCATTTTCTTGGCTTATAGCAATGTCTAGGATCCCTGGTACAATGTCGAATAGAAGTGGCAAGAGAACATCCTTGCTCGTTCCCAGTCTCGGGGAAAACAAGTCAGTTTTTTACTGTTAAATATGATGTTTGCTGTCAGGTTGTTCTGCTTTTATTTTGTAGATTCTTTTTATCAGTTTGAGGAAGTTTCCTACTATGTTTAGTTTTCTAAATGTGTTTAGCATAAGTGGATGTGGAATTTTGTCCATGGTGTTTCTGAATCTTTTAAAATAATATTTTCCTATAATTTTTCTCCTTTCATCTGTCAATATGGTGAAGTCTATTGACTGTTTTTCGAATGTTAAATCAACATTGCATCCCACTGGTCATGAGGTATCACCTTTTTAACTTAATATTGGATTTAATTTGTTAACATTTTGATAAAGATCTTATTATACTTTTAAAATCTATTTTTCTTAAATGTTTAATAAAAGACTCGAATGTTGATAGAATTCACCAGTGAAACCATCTGGGCCTGGAGTTTTCTTCTGGAAAGATTTCTGATAACAAATTCAATTTCTTTAATCGCTGTAGGGCTGATCATATCTTCTGTTCCCTTTTGTGTTGATTTTGGTAAGTTGTCTTTTTCAAGAAATAATACAGTTTCCTCTACGTTGACATATTTTTGGCACAAGTTGTTTTTAGTATTCCCATATATCTTATTGATGTTTATAGGGTCTGTGATAACAATCACTTTCTCATTCCTGAAAATGATGATTTTCGTACTCTTTCTTTTTTTCCTTGACCATTCTAACTAAGGGTTAATCAATTTTGTTATTTCCAAAGAAACAGTTTTTGCCTTTCTCAACTTTCTCAAAGGTCTACTTATTGATTTTTTGCTCTTATCTTTATTATTTCCTTCCTTCTACTTACTTCTGACTTAGTTTACTCCTTTTGTTTTTGTTTGTTTGTTTTTTTGAGACAAGGTTTCACTCTGTCACCCAGGCTGGAGTGCAGTGGCATGATGATAGCTTACTGCAACCTTTAACTCCTGAGCTCAAATGATCCTCCCACCTCAGCCTCCCAAGTAGCTGGGAGTTGAGGTGCATACTACCATGCCTGGTTAATTTTTAAAAGGTTTTTTAGAGACAGGGTCTCACTATGTTACCCAGGCTGGTCTCGAAATCCTGGGCTCAAGTTATTTTCCCTCCTCTGCCTCCCAAAGTGTTAGGATTGTGGGAATGAGCCACTTTACCCAGCCTCTTTTTTTTTTTTTAAGTCATCTTAAGGTGAAACCTCAGGTCACTGATTTTAGATCTTTCTTCTTTTCTAATATAAGCATTTAATGCTATAAAGTTCCCTCTAAACACTGCTTTAGCTGCATCCCACACATGTTGACATGCAGGGCCATTTTTCAATCGCAATTTTATTCCCTATTTTTGGAGAGGGCAGGCTGGATCCAGAGGCCACAGATATGATACCATTTCCAGGCACTAGGGCAGAAATAGGCCCGTGATTGGGTGAATTCTTGCAGTGCTGGCCTGCTATGGGAGCGCTGGGTAATACCATGGATTCCTGTACAAGCCCCATTTCCCTTGGGCTCCTTCTGCCCCAACATCTCAGACCTCACCAGCCTCCTCTCAGCAGCCCTTCCCAGCCTCAGAAGCTTCCAACAGCTCCTGACTCCTCTTTGGAGCAGGGATTAGTGCCTGTGGGGAATCTACACTGCCTGCCCCAAGCCTGCTTGCAGCCTGACCCTCTCTGTCCATTCATTCTCTGCTGCTGTGGCATGACTAGCTAGCCCTGTCTTGTCATACCCATTGTGTCATTGCTCCAGGCCGCTGGTCCAACCCACATGGTGCCAGAGTCCATTCCTCTCTCTGGACCTCCGTTTCTTCCTGCATGAACTAGCAGTCTTGGTCCTCATGGCTGACATGAGTCCTGTCCTTCTCCTCACTTGGGAATCTTTGTCCCCTCCTCCTCTAGGCTGGCACTTGGTAATCACAGTGGTAGCACAACCCACAGTGCTTTGGTCTCCTCCTCACTCTGGTCCTTGCAGAGACTTTATTGCCCCATTATACAGATGAGGAAAGGGGGTTTGAAGGTGCTGAGAGCCTTGCCCAGGCTCATGGGCACACGATTCATCTATGGAAGCGTGGAAAGCGCAGGACAGGTCTCACTGCTGCCAAGAGCTGTGGCTTCCCAGTGGCCGGGAACCTGCCACTGTGACCGGGACAGCTCTTGGTAAGCATCTAGACAGCTGGCTCGAGGCTAACGTGGAAGTGGTACTGGTGTCTGCTTGTTCTCGCTGGAGCTGCTGGCTGGGCGCAGGGCTGGGCCCTCTGCTGTCAGAAGGAGTGCCTTCTCCTAAAGAGGCCCTGGCAAAGGCACAGGCCGGGGAGGCCGGCTCAGAGGTCTGGGACACACGCCTTGAAGGAGAACAGTCGACCTCCTTTCTCTGCCACACAGATGAAATCTGGGGCATGCCTGGGAGTCTTCCTCCCCTCTTCCCACAGTCAAATTCTAATTTTCTTAAAGCAAAAGTACATGATTTGCCGCAGATGTGCGCTGCGCCCTGCTTTTTGGCCCTACAACTCCCCAGGAGGTGCCACTAGTGGTGCCCATTTTACAGGTGAGGAGGCTGAGGCTCAGGGCCGTGACTTGTCCCAGGACACAGCCAGGAGGTAGTGAAGCCCAGATCTGCCCACTCCCACTGGCCAAACCACAATTCTCTCATCACATGGGACTCCAACCCGTCTTGGCATACCCTGGAGAGTGCTGGGAACTGAGGCCTCCATGGGGCTCCAACCTGTCTTGGCATACCCTGGAGAGTGCTGGTAACTGAGGCATGGAGGCCTTGCCCTCTGAGTTCCATTTCAGAGGGGAGAAGCCAAAAGTTAACTGAGGCCGGTGGGGGCCAGTCTCAGTCCCCTTGGAGGTAGCCACAGTGTGGATCTCTCCCCAGGACACACTGGCAGCTCCAGACAAAGGCCTGAGAACACGCTGGGGGGCAGTCCCAGCGCTGTGGGCACCGCCTGCCAGCACCCAGCAGACCCAGCACATCGATGAGAGTGTCCACCTGAAAGGGATATTCAGGCTCGTTCCAAGTCGGCAGCATCCACTGAGGGCTTCGTTCACCCAACATAGCAAGGACATTTGGCAGGTACACGGGACATCCGACCTGCCTCCTGACGCCGACAGCAGCCTTCACAGAAGGCCCTGCTACTGGATCTGGAGTGGAAGGAAGAAGGGTGCTGCCACGGTGCTCACTTTGGGCCTCATGGACGCGGATTTAACCCGAAGTGCTTAGCAGGCCTCACTGGTTCTGCACTTCAGCACGGCCCCCAGCAGTGTGGGGAGGGCTGCCTGGCCCCGAGAGCTGGCTGTCTGGCCAGGCTGTCTGTCCAGCACCTTTGCCTGCTGGACCGAAATCCAGCTGAGCTAGGAGCAAGGCTGACTGTAAAAGGAAAAGCCATTCAGAGTAGCTCAGGCTGGTCGTCCCGGCCATGGGAGGGGACTTGTGCTAATTCCTCTTCAGACACCAAAGGGGGTAATCGCAGGCGTGGCAGGGCCGAGAAATCCTGTTAGTCCTTTGCCCCCCAAGGCTCCCATCGAGTGGCTCCCTGACAAAGCAGCTCCAGGGCTTCCTGAGGACAGCAGGCTGGAGGCAGGCGGTGCGGACCCCCCACAGACACTAATCCTTGCTCCAAAGCAGATTCGAGGGCTGGGCGGCAGCCTCCCTGGGCTCCAGAGACTGCTGGAAGCTTCTGAGGCTTGGAAGGGCTGCGAGGCCCAGCACACGGGGTAGCATGGGCAAGCTCCTCCCTTCTTCTGGGGACTCAGAGTCCCCATGTGCAAAATTGGGGGGAAGAGCGGGGTCGGGGGAAGAGAAGACCTCCAAGGCGGTTAGGGTGGTCTTGGGCATCCGAGTCTTGCCCAGGGCGAGGGCTCTGCATTGCTCTTGGTCCTCTGGAAGGCAGTCGGGGCAGAGTGAGGCCCTTGGTTCTTCTTGGGGATGCAGGGCACCATGGCCCCAGCAGCTGAACTGGCCTGGAGGGTGCGGGGGTGGGTGTGTGTAGCAGCTCCCCAGCTCCTCCCCTGAGGAGGTCAGGGCAGCTTTGCCCTCTTGGAGCCAGGCCTGGCGGCTTCCTGGGCCCCAGTGACACAGCAGCGCGAAGCAAGTCATCTCCCTCTCAGCAAAACAGAGCCAATAATTGTACCATCTCTGCTGGAGAATGAAGCGCCTCAGGGGCCACACTGGGACGCGCCACCCTAGTGCATGTCCCTCTGGGCTCAGAACCCCCTTTCAGCAGCCTCTCAGCCTAGGGATCAAGGTCCTTCCAAACCTGGGCCACCCCAACCTCGGAGAGGCTCCCCACTGAGCACCCAAAGCACCTGTGACCCCATACCCTGCCGGTGCCCTCCCCCCACCCATGCAGCCCCATGCCCGCCCTTCTCCCCGTGGACCTGCCACCCCGACACCTGGACAGAAGCCGGCTCTGGTCCCTCATCTCCTTCTCTCCTTGGCCTTGTGGTTCAGGCCCTTGTGTCCTGTCCCCTCCCTGCTCTGTGAGTGTCTGGTCACTGTGGCAGCCATAGGGTAGCACCTAGAATCTGTGTTGGACACCGGTGCGTCACCTGTTGCTTCCCGGGCAGGGGAAGCACCTGGCCTGTGTTCCCCCCCTCTGCCCTCCACCCCTTGCCCACAGGAGGTGCTGCAAAGCCTGCGTGGCGTTGGCGGGGTGCTGGGGTCTGGAGGAGCCCAGCCAGTCGGTTGTGTTGGCAAGAGACGGGCCTGAACAAGAGCCAAGTGGCTTCTGCGTCAGCTTTTAAAACCACCAAAAGGAGCTCACTTGTCATGCTGTGGTCCAAATATTTTGGCCATTTAGATGCAACCTTCTGTGCCTCTGAAATTAGGTGTATTATTAATCTCATCCAGCCCAGTGACAGAGTGGGCAGATCAGACAAGGATCCTTGCAGCGGGATGAAGGGTGAGCATGTTCTTATCGGTGCAAAGCTGACACGGGGTGTTTCCAGAATGACACTGATGGAGTGCAGCCTGCCTGGGGGAGGGGTGGCTGGGAACCCCCGGTGATGAGGAGGGCATGGGCACAGGGCTTGCTTAGGGAGGAGAAGAGAGGGCTCCAGAGACACGGTTGCTGGCTTCCAGGGTGTCACATGGGGTGACGTGGCAGGGGGTTTCTGCAGGGGTGCTTCTGAGATAGGGCGATAGGGCCAGCTGGGGTTGGCTGCAGGCTCCAGGAGTTAGGTTCCAGATGGATTTCAGATGGGACTTTCTTGCTAACCCTACTTTTTTTCTGATTATAAAAGTAATAAAGACTCCTTGTAGAGAAGGAGGCAAAATACAAAGAAGAGTGTGAAGCCCCCATCACTCCATTAATGTTCACCAGTCGGGGGGTGGGAGGTGTTTTCCTTCAGATTTCTGTGTATACATTTATAACTGGCATCCTTTTGTGTGCAATGTTAACCGCCTTTTGTTTTCACTAAGCAATGTATTATGTTGAGCACCCATTTTGGGGGAGTAGACAGCCTGCACCATGGTCAGCCCGCAGACAGGCTGCACGGATCCAGGCACCTCGCTGGCTCCAAAACCCACGAAGTGACCCCACCCAGGATGTCAGAGTAAGAGCGTGCCTGCTTGGCTAATGTCTCTCGCGTGCCTGCTTGGCTAATGTCTCTCGCGTGCCCGCTTGGCTAATGTCTCTCTGAACCCAGAGAGCGGAGAGGACCCGTGGCTGGGCTGCTGTGTGTTGGGGGCTTTTGAGGCCAGCCTGGTGGCCAGCTCCTTGGCACTGCCAGTTGCAGGGGCTAACCACCTTGTGAGGGACAGCCCGCTTCCCCCGGGGTCTCTTGGCTCTTCCTCTCTGCCGAGTTGTGACAAGGTATGGGCGTGGTGAAGCGAGAGCTCCCCTCTCTGCCAGTGTCCATGTGGCCACTCTGTGACAGCAGGAATCCATACCCCACCCAGCCAGCTCACAGCAGGAATCCATACCCCCCCACCCCAGCCAGCTCACAGCAGGAATCCATACCGCCCCCTCCAGCCAGCTCACAGCAGGAATCCATACTCCCCCACCCCAGCCAGCTCACAGCAGGAATCCATAACCCCCCACCCCAGCCAGCTCACAGCAGGAATCCATACCCCCCCAACCCAGCCAGCTCACAGCAGGAATCTATACCCCCCACCCAGCCAGCTCACAGCAGGAATCCATACCCCCCACCCAGCCAGCTCACAGCAGGAATCCATACCCCCCCCAGCCAGCTCACAGCAGGAATCCATACCCCCCCACCCCAGCCAGCTCACAGAAGGAATCCACACCCCCCCGCAGCCAGCTCACAGCAGGAATCCATACCCCCGCCAGCCAGCTCAGAACAGCCCTGGGTCCCTGTTGGTGGCACTTCTGTTCCCCTCCTGCCTTTCTGAGTGTAGAACTTCTTAAGAGCTAAGATCCAGGGGGCCAACCCAGCCGGTGCAGCTCATGGGGAGGAACCCTCCAGGCAGCTCCATGCCCATGGGCTCAGGATAGCAACCCATCATCCCATCCAGGGATGGACTTCTCTAAAACGGCCCTGGACCCACCCAGAAGATCAGGGACAAGTCTATCAGTACCAGGACAGTCTGGAAGTTTTTGGCCATGCTTAAATTAGTTAAGGCTGGGGCCTGGCCACGGGCAAGCTTGCCTTTCGCACAACTGCTGGACTCCCTGCTGAGCATGACCACGGGCCATGGGGCTGAGATGTTCCCTGATGGAATATGCCTTGGAGAGCCTCGCCCTGGCCAGTCTGATGATCCCATTCACTAGGCTGTTTATTGAGTGCCCGCGAAGGGCTGGCCTGGGCTGGTGGCTGTATAGACATCTCATTCAAGTTACACGAGGGTGCTGCAGAGGGAGAAACTGAGGCCTGGGGTCTCGCCCGGGGGGGACTCGGGATCAGACAGCGCTGACCCCTGGGCCCCTCAAAGTCCAGGATGCCCTCTCCCACCACCTGGCCAGGGTCTACCATGGATACATAGGTATGATTAACCTGGAACACACCACATTATTTTCTCAAACACTAAATATCCCCAATCACAACAGCAGAACTTCAAACAGCAACTGTGCCACAGAAGCAAATGAAGTCAGCTGACCCCTGGGGTGTGGAAATCAGACGGAGTCCAGTCCCTCCCTTGGCTGCTGGCAGGGCAGGTGGAACCTGGGGGATGCTGGCTTCCTTTCCTGAGCGTGTACAGCCCTCAGCTGTTCCTACAGCCCTGAGCTTCAGCATCGCAGGGCAGAGACATGGGGCTGGGGCCCTGGGGTTACTTCCAGGGTTGGGTGGTCTGTGACTCTGTGGAATCTAGTGGGTGCCTCAGGGCGGGGGCCTAGTGGACAGGCTCCGGGGCCCCCAAGTGGCTTCCAGCAGGGCATGGCACCCCTATCTCACACCCCCTTTCCATGTTCAGGGGATTTTGGGAAAGGGCCTGGTAATTAAACCCTTTTAAAGCCCACTGGTCCTGGGCAGTTGTCCAGGGCGTGGGACCCAAGGCCTCCTGGTCCTATCTCCCTTTGCCTTTCCTAGGTCTCTGTCACTCCCGGGCAGGAGGAGACAGTGATGACGGGAAGGAGGTGAGGACAGGGTGAGGTCAGCCAGCCCACTCTGATAGCGCCTACTGCATGCAGGGGTCCGGCAGGCTTCGCAGGGGAGGCAGGGGAGCCTGAGACCCAGGGGTCTGCTGCCCATGGGAGGCCCCAGCAGGGTGACAGCAAGGCCCTGGAGTCTTGGGTAGGAGGCGGAGGGCCTGGTGAGAGCCCCACACATAGGTGCTCCAGTGGCCAGCCCTGCAAATGAAACAGGAGGCTGGGAACAGGGCGGGCAGGGGCCCGGGAGGATGGGGCCAGGCCTGCAGCTTAAAAAGCAGGCATGGATGCGTCTTTTGGCTCCTCAGAGATGCTCTTTCGGTCCAGCCAACGACCTGCCTACGACGGTTGTGCCTCTGCCCCGAGGAGTGGTGCCGGGGCCAGGCTGCAGACCCCTGGAGCTGGAGGGCTGCAGGCGGCTGGCCCGGCCTCCTCCTGGGTGATCTCATTTCCAGGGCAGCCCCTCCCCTCCCTGCGTCTCAGCTCAAGCGGCTCCTTCCTTGGGGACCCTCGTTAGTGGGAGAAACAAAGGCCAGTTGTCACCAGGAGCTGGCGATTCATCAGCCTCCGGCCTGGGCTCCCCCTCAGGGAGTGTGGTGGCTGTCTGCTGGGGGCTCGGAGCTGGGGGCTGGCAGGGCAGGATCTGGTGGGGCAGTGATATGGGTGGGGTGAAAAGCGTCCCCCCATTCTAATCTTCGGGGGAAAGAAAAAATGTTTTAAAAGTGCTGCCCCCCCACCCTCCGTCCAGCAGATATTTTTCTGGGTTGTCTTTGGTGCTTCCCACAGCAAACCCTACCAGGCTCCCTCGTGGGTAGATGCCCCTGAGCCTTCAAGGGGCCTTCGTCCCCGGGGCCGCGGATTCATTTACTGATAGGTAAACCGAGGCCCTGGGAGGGAAGATAATTTTTTCTAAGTATAGAAGGACTGAGATGTAAACAAGTATCCTGGTTGCCCACTAGGGCTTGGAGAGAAGCCGCTGACCCGGTGGCCTAGCTGGGCCCCTTGAAAATAGCGTCTGTGAGCATTCTGATCCCACAGCTGTGCCCAGTGGGGAAGGCGGAGACTGGAGCTCCCAGTTCCTGCCCTCAGCAAGCTCCGACCGTGGGAAGACACGGCCAGCCCAGGGCTAGAGGCACATGCAGGTTGCTGCAGGGTGCAGAGAAGCCAGCCCAGGCAGTGTGTGCATGCGTGCATGTGTGCGTGTGCGTGTGTGTGTGTGTTGGGGACTGGGGTGGAGATGGGTGAGCTGCTGAGGGCCACATTGGAGCTTAGGCAGCAAGGAATGCGGAGTGGCCAGGTGTGGATGGCCTGCAACAGCAGTCTCTCCTGTGCTAGCCTGGGGGGCTCTTGTGGGAAGAGCTCGGAGCGGGCAGGAGGGAGATGATGAAGGGAAGGGAGGGAGGGAGGGCCTGGTGAGTTTTGCTCAGGAGTTTGGACTTTATCCCAAGGGCAGTGGGCAGCATGAAAGAGTTTTTAAGCTGAGAGTGTCAGGGTTGGGGGCAGGGGGTGCTGCCTGCTTAGGCCAGGCGAGGTTGGGAACAGGCTGACGGAGAGGGGGTGGGGCCAGGGCCTTTGGGGACCTAGCCACACGTGGCTGTCCTGAGGCCTCCTCGGGGAGGATGACAGCCTCATCGGACCCTGAGCTGCAGCCTGGAGCCACGCCAGGCCCTCCACAAGCCAATGAGCGGAACAATGTGTGCCGGGCTGCGTCTGCACCCCCACTTGCTGGCAGTGTGGGGGTGGAGGGAGCCGCATTTTAAAGTACAGTTTATTTTGATGCAAGCACCGAGGGGCGTTAGGCAAACTCCTGGGCTCAGTTCCCCATCCTTCAATGCAAAACGACTCTTCTTTACGGCCCGTCAATAACCGCTGCCATCTCCTCGCCGCCGCAGAGGCCACATAGATCATATTTAAACCACACTGGTGGATGACAGAGACGTACGGATATTTTTAATCCCAACAGACTATTACGGTTCATATCATGTCTGTCAAATAAATATTATGAATCATTTCCCGTTATCTTTATGGGGGCCGCTTGACTACATCGGGGGACTGGGCTCGGGGCCTTCCCCTGCACATCCATCCCCCTCGTATGTACACATATGTGTAGGGGGAGATGTATGTAGAAAGTGTCGATAATAAATGCCCCCGATAAAACACATAATCTCCTTGCCTGATGGGCGTCTGGGGGTGCACGGTGGAGAGGTGTCAGGGAGGGGCGTGCCACCTTCAGAGCCAGGGAGGCTGGGCTGGGCCCCAGGCTGGGAGCGTCAGCCTCAGCCTGTCTCCTTAGCTCCTGTGAGACAGGCTGTCATTCTATTTCCCCGTAGTCATATTCTTGTTTCTGTGATTAGCTGGTTCTTTTCTCTATTTTATAGAAGAGACTGATGTCCAGAGAGTACCCTTGTCCAAGGGCCATGTAAGAGTTGGTGGCAGAGCCAGGCTATGGCCTCTTCCTCCTGGTACCTTCCCCAGCACCTTGTTTTCCAAGTCTGTTACCTATGTCCCTTCTCTCTGGACTTTGGTCTCACCTGGCACCGGCTGCTTTGGCTGGCCGACCTGTGCCATGAGAAGCGGGGAGGTGGTGTGGCTCATTGGAGGCTGGGGGCGGAGGTCGGTGGTTGTCTGGGGTCTTTCCTGGGGGTTCTGACCACTGACCTCAGCCCTGGGTCTGGGGACTGTGGTGCCAGAGTCACCACACGGTTTGGAGTCAGTCACTGCTGCTCTTCGCCTCAGTGTTTCCATCTGGGAAACGGGGAAACCAGAGTCTTGGTCAGCCGGGGTGGGGTTAGAGGGGATGGTACCTGGCAGTGTGCAGCAGACTGGCACCTCGGAGGCAGCTTGGAAAGCTCAGGTTCCTCCTCTCCGGACTCTCAGAACTGTTCCTGCCCTTCTTTGAGCATCTGTGACCCCTTGCGGCTGGCGCTGGGATTCGGTGGGGCTCTTTGGTGGCCCCTGGAGGGAACCCACTGTCTCTTGCCTGGAGCTGCACTGAAATCCTGGCTCTTCATTACAAACCAGCTCCTGTCCCCTTAAGCCTCACTCACCTGAACTCTTTGGCTCACGCCACCATTCAGCTCCCCAGAGTTCTGGAAGTAAGACCCCAGCTGATGACGGAGGCAGCGGCTGGCCTTCGGAGGACCTCACCTTTCTCTTCCCCTGCACTGCTTTGGGTTTGGGGTGTGCAGGGCCAGCCAGCTGACTGCTACCAGGGCAGACGCTGTCAGTGGTGACTGCCCTGCAGGCCTGCAAACATTTTGCCAGAGGGCCAGACCCAGGAGCAGAGGGGTCCTCTTCTCTTCCTCCTCCTCCCCTCCTGTCCTCTCCTCTCCCCTCCCTCCTATCCTTTCTCTTCCTCTCCACTCAGCAGAACAGACTGGAGCCCAGGTGTGGACAAGTGGCTTGAGTGTTTCCCTCTAGACTGATGGAGAGACAAGCTATGACTGAGAAAGGGGGTTCGGGCTGGGACCCCTGGGCCTAGTCCCAGTTCCATGTGGACCTGCCGGGTGGCCCCTTGCCTCTCTGAGCTTTCGGCTCTACTTCCCAGCTCGAGTCATCATCGGTCACCACAGACAAAAGGTGTTGTCCCCAAAGGAGCCACAACGGATGTGAGAGAGAGTCCCCTTAGGCTGAGGTGCTTGGGGACAGATCGGGCCACCTTGCCCAGCAGTACCCAAGCCCTTGGCCTCCCTTGTTGGAGGCTGAGCTCCCCAAACCCCTGTGAGGTCCTGCTAGTGACCAGCTCAGGACCACAGGGAACCTCTGGAAGCAGCTTAGAGCCCCGTTGGTGTCCTGGGAACTTCTGGGAGCAGTCCACCCAGACGCCAGCTTCCTCATGCTCAGCCAGCACAGAGACCAGCCTTTAAAAATATTATTCAACAAGCAATTCCCGGGACTGTTTACAAGACTGAGCCGAGACAGGCATATGAAATAGGCCAAAGTACCTTAAAAAGCGTCCCTCAGGGAAATTAAAAAAAAAAAGACCCAAACAAAAAAACAAAAAAACAAAACCTTCTTAGATCGCAGGTTGTGAATAAATGGATACTACTATAAAAATAGTTTTGGCTGTAGCAGCACATGGTGGGAAGGCTGGGGTGTTTTTTTCCATGGCTGGCTCAGACCTGGCCATTTCATATGGGGCAGCCACTATCCCGGGAGGTTTCGTGTAGAATCATTTGCACCAAAAAGCTCCAAACTGAGGGGGAGGATAAAAAGTAGTGGCCACAGAAATAACAAGCGGCATCGTCATTTTCCATCAAGGACCTGGTGTGTTTTCGGCGGCCGAGCACCCAGGCCCCTGCCCCATGGAAGAGAAGGGCGGGGCTGAGAGCCATTCACCGTCTGTGGGCACAGAGGCTGGATGTGAGCCCAGATCTGCAGGACTCCGGACTCCGTGCGCTCTCCACGTGGTCTCTAGAGCAGGGGATGACGCCTTCCGGTGTTTCTTAGGAACAGAGGGCCCTTCTGGAACCTTCAGCCTTCCCAGGAGGAACCCACATGGAAATCTGTCTGCATGTGCCTCCCCGACTCCAGGCACCAACAGCTCCTGAGTCTTGAGTTTTCAGGGACAAGGAGTGAGATGGGGGTGGGGTGGAGAGTCCAGCATGCCACACCGCCCACTATTGGGAGGTGACCTCAGACACTTCAGCCCAGCCTTCCCACCATTGCCTGGCGTGTCCTGACCTGCCGTCCGCGGCCTGCTGCTCCTTCTCTCTGCAGGCCGCTGCTCAGCCGGCCCTGCTGCCTGGGCGGCCACTGCCTGATGGAACCTCCCTGCTCCAAAACCTGACTCAAGAACCAGTGATCCCAAAAGCTGCCTGAGCCCTTTGGCTGGATAGAGCCTTGCTCTCCCTGCACTGAGCATAGGCGAACGGCCTGCCTAATTCAGCGTCATTTCATCATCATCATCATCACAATAACTGTCACACCGAGCTCGTCCTCCCGAGCGCAGACTCTCCATATTATCTCACTTAGTCATCTCAGTGACTCAGTGAGGAGGGAGTGGTTGTTCCCACTTTACAGATGAGAAAACTGAGATACAAGGAGGGAAGTGACCCAGCTAGGCCACACGGTTGGTAGGAGGTGGACCTGCAATCTGGCCCAGGCCTTGTCTATCTGGGACTCCCCCCCAACCCCCCAACCTGAGTACAGTCAGGAGGGGCCCAAGCAGTCACAGAGACAGGCCTGGAACGCGGCGGGCACATGGCACTTTTGCAGTGTATGTTGGTGCTTACGGGGGCTCTTTCTCAGTCCTATCCTTTGTTTGCCGCCCCCCTCCCTGGCAGGAGGAACTCAGTTTTAGAAGGGCAGTGGGTTGGGCCGGCATGCCATGTGCAGTGGGGAAGTGGGTCTGTTGTGGCTGTAACCACAGTGGGTGAGGACCAGGTGTCAACAGTGGCCCTCATCCCGGAGGGAGTGGGGCAGGCTGCCTGTTGGACAGGGTGTGTGAATAGGGGGACGGGGTGGCCTTTGGTAGGGGCCCAGGGGTCAGTGAAGAGGGGGAGGGGGAGAGGGCTGCCTTGGGCTCTGGCTGTGCTGGGGGTGGGCTGCCCAACCAGGGCACTTCTGTCCCAAGTGGAACCAAGACCTCCCACCGGAACAGGCCACCGGAGCCCTCGTGGAACCCAGCTCCGGGTGGCCCGACTTGAGGGGCACCCAGGCAGCAGGACACCTCTCTGGTCTCGGGCTGTTATCTTTGGGCCGTGTCATGGCTGTCCACACGCGGTCATCACCTCCTCACCTCCCTCCCCATTAGCGTCCCCTGACCCGGGCCACCACGCGCAGCCTGCGTGAATGGTCAGTCCCTGTGCCTCGCAGCCCGGGCCCTTAGGTCTAGGTGGTCAGCAAGCTCGCGGTGGGGGTGCGGAGGGAGGGCGCGGCGGGGCGCCTCGGCGCCTGCTCAGGAAGGCTGGGCTTGGCGGCGCGCAGGTAGCTCACACCCAAATCCGAATTCCAGCCGCCCGAGACGGCGGGCGGCGGGCGGCGCGCGGCGGAGGCGGCCCGAGCTGTCCCGGGGCAGGAGTGCTTCCTTTCGTTTTCAAACAAATCGTGAATTTAAAAGTCAGGCAGAGAACTACCCAGGGTATAAAAATAGCCACCGGCCACAAAGTCTGTGTCCAACTCCGGGCAGCGCCTGCCCAGCCTGGTGCCTTTGAAGAGGGGTCCCAGGAGTGCGGGTCGATGAGGAGGCGAAGCGCGCACCCCTCCTCGTTCCCGGTGGGCTCGTGGGTCTCTCCGTGGGGGTAGGGCGTGAAAGTGTGGGGTGGACCGGGGGTAGCGTCCGGAAGACGAAACCTTCCCCGGACGAGGAGCTTGTCCTCTGCCGTTGGGGCACATCGCCACTCCCGGGCCTCAGTTTCCCCACGTGTCCGCCGCGGCGGGGTGCGAGGTATGGGTGCCGCGGCCATCCCGCCCGGCTCTGCGCTTGCCTGGCCCGGGCCGGGGTCCCCTCGCGGCCACCGCCCGGCCGCTTTGTGTGGCCGCGCAGACAATGGCCCGGCCGCTGGGCTCCCGGCCCGGCTCTCCGCCTCCTCCGGGCCCTTGCGCGCAAGTGTGTGTGTGCGCGAGTGTGTGGCGGGCCCGGGGAGGGAGTTCTGCTCCCGCCCCCGCCCCCGCCCCGCTCCCTCTGCGCCCCGCCCCCTCCCACGCCGCCTCCTCGCGGCTCCCGGGAACCCCTGGCGGAGGCGAACTCGCAAGTTTGCACGGCGCTCTCAACTCGGCGGCCGGGCGGGCGGCGATCGCGGGGCGGCGGCGGCGGAGGGGGGCGCGCTCCGGGCGGGGCTGGGCGGGCGGGGCGCGGGCCGAGCGGTGGCGGCGGCGCTGCGCCGAGTCAGCGCCCGTCGCGGGCCCCCCGCCACCCCCCCGCCGGCGCCGCAGCGCCGCGGTCGGAGCGGGGCGCGGGCGCGCGGCGGCGGGGGCGCGGGCCGGGCGCGCGCGGCGGCGGCGCGCAGACACAAGTAGTTTACATTGTTGGGCGACTTTTGCAACAACTCGCCGCGCCGCGGCCTCCGCGCGCCGCCGCCGCCACCGCAGCCGCCGGCTCCCCGCCGCCCGGGCCCGGGCCGGCCGCGCCGGGGGCCGCCGCGCCCGCCGCCCGCTGCCTGCGCCGCCGGCCGGGCATGAGTTAGTCGCAGACATGGACACCAAACATTTCCTGCCGCTCGGTGAGTGCTCGCCGGGCCGGGCGGGGACGGGGCCGGGGGCCGGGGGCCGGCGGGCGGGAGGGGGCCGGGGGCGCGTTGGCGGCGCGCGCGGGGGGTCGCCGGCCCGGGCCCCGCTCGGACCCCTCGCCGACCTTCGCGTGAGTTCGGGCGCCGGGCCCGGGGAGGGTCGACCCGGGGCAACTTTTCGCGGGGCCGGGGCGGGGCTGGGCAGCGGGCGGGCGGCGGGGCCGGGGGGCGGGTGGCAGGTTCGCCCGGGACGAGGAGGGGTCTCCCGCTCACCGGCGGCCGCCTGCGCCCCGGCGCCCAGCTGCAGCCGCGCCGCACAGGAACCCGGCCGGAGCGGGAGGAGCAACTTCTGCGCTCCGCGGCTCCGGCCTCCCTGGCCTGGGGACCGGGACGGCGCGCTGGGCCCCGAGCGGCCTCTGCGCCGCCCGCCCGTCGGGCTGCGGCTTCTAGCAGGCCGCTGGCCCTTGGGTGTGTGTCCGCCCAGGAAACAGACTGGGACCCTGTTATCCCCAAAGCAGCCCACGCCCGGGTGGGCAGGGTCCCCCGGGGCTGTATGAACAGAACGTCAGACCTGGGAAGGCCCCATTCCAGAAATGGGGCCCCTCACTCTGGCACCCCCGGGTGTTCTCCCAGGCTGGCTCTCCATTTGTGAGCAGGACAGCGCAGAGGCGCGTAGGGTCAGTTTCCCTCCTCCTCCTGCCATCCCGCCCGGTAGCTTCCTATCCCAGACTGCCCGCCAACTCCAGGCCCAGACCTACCGAGAAGGGGGAGAGGGCATGGCTGGGGCCCCCACCCATTGCCCTCCCAAGGGTTTGGAAGCTAGTGAGAAGGGGGAGACTTTATAAATTAGCTCCGGGAAGGATATTAATTTGGTGGTGGGACGGCAGCCAGGCTGTCAGGCCGGGTGAAGGATTTGTGCTGAATGGAAATCGAAACAGCTGATTATGAATGAAGCCCCCGCCATCCGTAGCCCCTCCTGCCCACCCTCCCTGCAGCCTGGGGTGCAGCTTGGCCACCCCAGGAGGTGCTCAGAAGCCAATGTAGCTGCAGGGATGTTTAGTGAGATGGGGCATCAAGGGGAGCCAGCATGGACCTAGCCCCTCCTGGATGTGAGGGTGAGAGTCTGAGTACCTCTGCTACTCACAGGCAGGTGTGCTGCCCCGTGACCGGGGCAGGCGGTGGGTTCCAGGTTTGTCAGACCTAACGCTTACTCCCTGCCTCTGTCATGATGGAGTGGTGGGCTCGAGGCCTTGAATGAGCTCCAGGGCTCAGCCTCCAGGGGTGGGCGCTCATGCCCATTTTGCAGATGAGAAAACTGGCTGGGAGAGGCTGAGCCCCCAGGATACAAGGTGGTGGATTTGGGATTAGCACCCCCAGCTCGTGGTACTGCTGAGTGTGAGGCAGGAGGGAATGCTGCGCTGTCTGTGACCGAGTGCAGTGTGGAGTGGGCTGGGGCTGCCTTTCCCTGTTAAAGCTTTGCACTCACACATGTGCACACACACATCCACACACACAGAGCTAGGCTCTCCCAGACGATTCCTCTGGAACAAGAATGCTCAGCTCAGTGTCTGGCCCCTGGACGTGGCAGGGGCCTGGCTGGTTGCACTTCAGCTGAGTACTGAGAACCGAACAGGTCCCTGTTTCTAATGCTCCGGGTGGGACAGGGATAGTCCACGGAGTTGGTGGATGTAGGGCGAGGGAGCAAGGGGTGCCCAGTCGCCATGGTGGCTTGCTGGAGTCCCTGTGAGGAGGAGAGGTCGTGCCTCCGAGCCACTGCCCCAGGGATCTCCCTGGGCACTCCCCTGCCACAAGGAAGCTAGGAGTCTTCTGTTCTCGAGCAGCAGCTCTCCCGACCGGCCCATGGCCTCCCAGGCAGCCCACGCCCCAGGGCTGAGCAGAGAGCCCTGGGCTCTGATTACATTTTATTTTTTTTCTAAGCTTGTGACCAGCTCTGAAGTCCAGAGCAGTCGAAGGTCCATTTAAGCGGCTACTTTTCTAAGCCCTTTTGTCAACACAGCCTAATCCCTCCTCGGGGTGAGTGGTGGTGGAGGGCCTGGCTTGTCTTGGCCCGGCTGGCCGACCGGTCAGACCTGGAGCTGCTGGGGAGACTCGGCCACCCCTTACAGCTGCCCAGCCGCTTTTGGGGTCTGGGGTAGAGAGGGCTTCCTCCTCCCAGCATTCACTACCGCTGGGCTTGGTGGGCAGGGAGAGGATCCCAGTCGGTGTCCACCGAGCCGCTCAGTGAGGGCAGGGATGAGTGCAGCGTCCAGATCTGGAAGGAAAGCAAGGCCGAGGGACTCGCCAGAGGCAGCCCCAGCTTCCTGGCCCTGCTGCCCGGGGCTGGCCGCGCTCCCACGCCTGCCGGGGAGAAGGCCCCCGCTGGCCTTATCCTGAATGGTGGGACTCAGGCGGAGTCCACAGAGTCCAAAGGTCTCAGACCACACCAGACCCCATGCGCCTGTGGAGAGACCCGGTGGCAAAGCTGTAGGCCCGCTGACCACTCTTGGAGTTGGGGCACTTGGGGGCCTGGGTGAGCTTGCAGCCTGTGTGAGGGGCTTCTGGTAACATCAGAGCCCTTGGGACCCAAAATAGAGCACATTCCGGGGCCTCCCGAAATAACAGGGTCATGTGACTCTCAGGAGGCTGGGCTTGGAGTCCCGCTCGGGCCTGACGAGGGCGTCTTTTAGCGCGGGCGCTGCCCGACGGCAGGGTGTTTGTTTTGGTAAACTCTGGAGGGGCCCTGTTTGTTGACTGGGGAGGTGTCAGGGAGAGAAAAATGGCCCAGTCCGATGGTGGCCCTGGCTTGCTAGCCTCCAACCTTGCCTAGGGCTGGCTGCTGGGCCTGGACCCGAGCATGCAGCTGTGACCCTCTGCCCAGATGTGGATGGGACGAGCTGGGCCCCTAGGAAGGGCTGGTGGGGGGCGGGTGCTCTGAGTCCCTTGGGGTGTGGGGTGCAGGTTGAGCCGGCAGCCCTGGTCACGCGGGCAGCTGCTGTGACTGGCTCCCGGCTCTGCCAGCACCTGGTGGTTCTTCCAGCTGTGCCTGTCCTTCAGGGCCTGTGGGGGGCTCACCTCCACCAGGAGGCCCCTCTGACTGCCCTCTCTTGGCCCCTGCCCCATCTCCCCCGTGGCTGTGTGGGAGGTCGCTGTCAGTGGTCTTTGTTTCCTCCCCTGGGAAAGGGTGCCTGCAGGATTTGCTGTGGAATTACTGTGGGAACAGGGGGTACTCAGGGGTGTGCCCCTCTGCCCCTGGGGCCTGGTCGTGCATGTGGCAGGGGGCTCTGGCATCAGGAGAGGGTGGGACAGACCTCAGCTGCATGGAAGGTGGTGTGGGGGCGGGGTGAAAGCTTTACAGGTCCACCCAGTGCCAGTGGAGGCTGCCTGGGGAGTTTCCTTTCTTGGGTGACGTTTGGTTTTGCCATGGGTCAAATGTTTCAGGGCTGGGACCTCGAGTGGTGAGCAATGCCTGTCCTCTGGAGAAGAGGGCACAGCTGTCCCAGCAGACACAGGGCAGAGGCCCTCCCCAACCCCCAGCTGGCTCAGGGCTGGGACACTGTCCCTGGGACCCGGGCTTTGCAAGCCAAGACCTGCCCCTCCTTCCCTTCTCTGCCAGGCTTGAGTTTGTGTTTTTTAGCTGGCTTTGGTGGCCAGGGCCTTGGGTTGGCCTGTTAACTGGTGTGTTTTCATAGGAATTGGCCATTTGCTGGGCTAGGGATGAGGCTGGGGTCTAGGGCCACAAGGGCCTGGGGGGCTGGCCTGTGGCTGTTGGGGGCTGGTGTCCATTTGGGGGTCACCTTCCAGACCTTTGTCCTGAGATTCTTAAGCTGATCAGTTTCAGGGTGCTATGGTGTGGGTAGAGGGGTCACCCTCCTCCCCCCTGCACCTTGCCCACCTGCCTGTATGTTTCCATTTTATAGGGTGCAGCTCTGTCTTTCATCCTTCCTTCCTCTCCTCTGCCCCCTCCCATTCAGGGCCTTTGTTACCTGCAGGATGGAGGTGGTGGTGGTTTTGCAGGGATCAGCACCTTCCCAGGAAGAGGTTCTGACAGGTGGTGTCCCATTGCTGGGCGGGTGGTCAGGCCACCTGGGGTTGGGCCTTCTGTCCTCGCTGCCTGCCTGGTCTGCTCTTTGGCCTCTTGGGGCTTTGGCTGTCCATCTGAAAAATGGACATACTCATTGGCTCTTCCAAATGCTGGAGAAGGCAGCCTGGTGTGTTGTAGGCTGGCTGGGAGTTTGGGGAGTCTGTTTGTGGGGCGTTTCCCCTATCCTGTGGCTAGGTCCTCTCTGTGCCTCCTGCCTGGGTCAGGTGGGGCCAGGTTTCCAGCACTGGACCAGAACAGGCCATGATGGTCGCTGGGGGCTGTCAGGTGTAGAGGAACAGACTCAGGAATAGAGGACATCGGGGACACTGAGGTAGCCCTTTCTGTGGATATAGGCCTGCCACAGGAGAGCGCTCGCTGCTGCTGGGTCCTTGGGACCAGCCCCTGTGCCACTCCAGGGACCCTCCTCAGAGTCCCAAGAAGGCAGGTGGGGCGAGGGACCGCGGTTTGCACACCCACCCGAGCCTGGTGCGAGATGTTCTGAGCAGTTGTGCCCCAGCGCCTCACAGACAGGGAAATTGCGCCCTAGAGTTACAAAGCAATTGTCTAGCTCAGCAGCTGAATGAGCGTGAAATGGAGCAGAAAGCAGCTAAGGAAAATTGGCCCGGCCGCTGTGGGGAGAGCGGGTGCGGACCGCGTGCAGGGCTTGGGTGTGTGCACGCTCACTGTTGCACACACACAGAGTCACAGGCTCTCACCTGGCGCTGTTGGCCGCTGGCCCGTGTCCTGGCGTGCCCGTGAGTGAGCCAGGCCTCATGGGGTCCCCCAAGGATCATGGTGCTCCCTGCTGGGTTTGTTGGCCTCCTTTTTTTCTAAATCTCCCCAACTTGTCCAGGACTCACCCTACCCCCACGAAGGTGCCGATGGCTGCAGCGGGTGCCTGCTGCGTGCCAGGGACTTTATTTTTGGGACCTTGTGGAGGTGTCACAGAGACAAGCCCACTTAGTGGATGGGGACACTGAACCCTGGGTGAGGTCTGTGGGCCAGCCTTTGTGTCCCGCTGTGGGGCCTGCTTTTTCTCCGGCACTTGACTGGCGGGGGCCGCCTTGAGCTCCAGCTGGGAGGACCTGTCCCCAGGGTGGGGGCTCTGCTGCCCCTGGTCCTCCTGCCTCTCAGCATCCTCAGAGGCTGCTCACCGACCAGGCTGGGTCTATGCCCCATGCTGGTTCCCAGGAGCCCCATTGCTGGTCTTGGCCCGAGTGAGTGAGGTTTTTGTTCAGTGGGGACCCTGGTGGAGGGCTGAGGTCTCACCATGCCAGCTCTGTGCCCTGGGACTGGGCATCTTGGCCTCTTGTGCTGGTTGAAGGCCCTCTAAGGAGTGGCGACCCCTTGATCCTCACTCCAGGGTTGTCCTTGGCTTGGGGTGGTGGCTAGGAGAAGTCCCCACTCCCAGGTGGAAAGCTGTAGTTGGGTGAGCAGCAGAGGCCCAGCCTGGAACTGTGGCTTGCCCACCTCCTCATGCCACCAGGGCAGCACTGTCTGCAGCAAATTCCTGAGGTACCTGGGGGAGTGGACGGAGTGAGATTGGACCCCCGGGTCCCAGGGCAGGGCAGGGTAGGGGCACAGTTCTTTCTGAGGTCCTAACCCAGCACACGCGGCCCACCCCATGCATGCAGGCGTCCGCCGCAGCCTTCCCAGGGTGACCTGGCAGAGCCTTGACAACCCTGGCTGGGGAGGCGGGGATTGCTGGTGGGCTTGTCCACACGTGGCTTAGGGAGCGCCCGCTGGGTGCTGGCCTGGTCCTGCTGCCTGTGGAGGAGGGGTGGGGGAGGGGTGCCCAGAGGTAGGGACAGCAAGGTCTGGCCTGGAGGGGGTGAAGAGGGTGAGGACGCAAGGGTGGGGTTGCAGGGCTGGAACCAGGAGGGGGTTCACGTGTGAGGTGAGGCTGGGTAGGGCCTGTGTGCCGGGCGTAGGTGCATGGGTGCCCGGAGACTGGGGGATCCCAGTGTGGTGCTCATGGCTGGAATGAGGCCACCAGTGCTGTGCAGAGGGTGGTCTGGAGGCAGCCAGGCAAGGCCTGGAAGGAGGAAGTGACTCTCTCCAGGTGGCTCACTGGTTTCAGGTGGGCCTTGGGGCCCCTGTGAATGGCCTTGCACCCTTGCCCTGGCTGGGCTCCTCAGCATGGCAGCCTGGGAAGGGGGGAGGATTCCTAGCATCTTCCTGGGGGCTTAGGCCAGGTCCCTGGGCTGGCCTGGGGGTCGTCTTTCCCGGGCACGGGTATGGGTGAGGCACCTTTTCCCTGGCCCTGGCTCCGGCCCCCCCTGCACTCCCCAGGCTCTGGATGAAGTAGGGGGCAGGCCGTCCAGGGGGAGTAGAGCAGCCGGGCCTCTTGGGGCCGGATCAGGGATGCTGAGACCATGGAGGGGACCAGACTTTGGGGCTGGGGAGTGGGACATTCAGGGGTCCTTCAGGGGATCAGAGCCTCTCAGGGTCTCTGTGTGAGAAGTTGCCACGGGGTCTGTCCTGCACAGCCCACATCTGTCTTTGATGATAGGCTTCAGCCCCAGCTCCTCTTCCAGGCACTGCCTGCTGGGGTGAGGGATGCCGGGAAGCCCTTGGTCACAGTCCTACCTCTGGGGTGACCCAGAGGCCGTGCCTGGCCTCCCCGCACCTCTGTTGGCCCTCTAAGCCATAGTAATTTCCAGCTGGGCCTCGGTTTCCCCAGCTGTACCCGGGGCCAGGGCTGGGGGTGATGGGTGTCGGCGCAGACTGCTGCCGTGCGTGCGGGGTCTGGAGCCTCTGGCGCTGAGGGGAGGGGAGAGTGAGTTGGGCCTGGGCCAGGCCGTGTGTAAATCCTCCAGCCGCCATGGATAAACCCTCGGAGTTCAAAGACAACCCCGGGTGCGGCCGCCGGCTGTAATGAGGTTACTGATTCAACAGGCTTCCTGGTGCTGCAGCCCAGAATGCAGTGAGGCTGGGAAGCCCCGGGGAGGGATCTAAGTATCCTGTAATTGACCAATTTAGCTTAAGTGTCCACACTGGCCCTGGGCAGAGGTCAGGCAGTGACAGCACAGGTGGCTGGAGTCGCTGGGGTGGGCTCCCAACAGCTGCTGTGTCCGAGCCCCTCTGAATCGGGCGCTCTCGGGCCTGGGCAGCCCTGTGCCTCTGCCGGGACTCCCGCTGCCTGCTCTTCCCTCTCCACCTGTGCAGGCTCAGCCTTCCTTCCCAGCCAGAGCCCACCTGCCATCCTTGGTGCCCAGCAGCCCCCTTGGTACAGGGCTTGGGGTGGGGCTGCAGCTTTGGACTTGGTGCCCAGAGCCTGCATTCAGCTCCCGCTGGCAAGCCTGCTGGGTCTGTGCCTGACTATTGCCCAGTTTCCTCCCGCCTGAGGGCCGTGGAGTGATCCCACGCCTGTGTTAGGTGTTGAGGCCGCTGCTGGTGGAGGTGCCTGGCGGATGGGAGCTCTCCACGTGCCAGCCACCCATCCAGCCTCTTTTTTCCCAGGCTTCCTGAGGGCAGGGCCCTTCTGAGGCGAGGGCATCCTTGCAGCACCCAGTACAGGTATGCAGGAAGGACTCGCTTGACTTAGAGAGTGGGATCAGAAGCACCTCTCCTGCCTGTCAGCAGTGGCTTCAGTGCCTGTGCTTGGGGAGGATGTATCTGGTACCTTGGAGAGAGGCTGGCAGGCCGCATCCAGCTCCTGGTTTCCTGTCAACCCAGGCCTGGTGTGCAGAGGGCCACCAAGGTGACAGTTTGCTCCTCAGAAATAGGACTGGGCATTGGGCAGCAGTGTCATTGACTGCCGCAGTGATAGCATGGGCTGTGGCGGTGGCAGTGTGTGCTGAGCCGTCCCTCGAACTCAGCTCTCTACATGGTGGGGCTGCTCTCTGACCAGGCTGCTGTGTAGCCCTGGGCAGGTCCCTTCCCCTCTGTGGGCTTCAGTTTCCCTGGGGCCCTCTGGCTGTCAAAGCCTCTGCCTTGCCTTCTTGGCACCCTGGCTTTGTTCTGATATGCTGTTGGCCATTGGTCAGGGTGGCACCCTGGGGACCAGCTCCCTGGGAAATGGCTCTATGCCCTCCCCAGCTGAGGGGACAGGACTTGGGCTGGGGTAGGGCCTGGGTTGCTGGCGTCCAGGAAGCCGTGGGCTCTGAGCTAGCCAGGGTGGGTGTGGGTCTGGATGTGGACTGGGCATGTTGTGGTGAAGCGCTTTCGGGATGTGCAGCTTATAATGGGGAAGAGGTGGCCTGGGGGCATGGCAGAGCAGAGGCAGTAGGGGCCACAGATGAGTGGGGTCAGTCCCCATGACGGTTATCACTCAAGGCCAGGCTAGTCCTTCTCTCTTTGGGCACTGACCTTCCTTGCCTGGAACCTTCCATGGCACCCCATTGTCCCCAGGATGGAGGCCAGGCCTCCACCTAGTGTCATGTGGCTCTGTAGCCTCTCCCACCTCATTAGGCACCTCTCACTGATTTTCTCATGTCTAAAACTAACTGGTGAGGTAGGCTGCCCCATGCGATGAGTGAGCGCCCCTCTGAGTCACAGGCTGTATGGCCCTGGGCTAGCAAATTCACCTCACTAGGCCTCAGTTGTCTCACCCATAAACTGCCTGGGGGAGGTCAGGGAAGCTTCACAGAGGAGGTGATGTAGTTGGGTTTTGAGGGATGAGTAGGAGTTTGTTGGGTGGGAAGTGGGGAAGGAATCAAGGCAGAGAGAATGGATGGATTCTTTCCAGGGGGATCTGGTTCTAGCCAAGGGTATGGGGAAGGGATGCCCGTGCGGGCGTAAGTAGGGGCTTCCCTGGAGGGTTTCTGAGGGTCTGACTGTGTGACCAGGCTCCTCTGGCCTGCCCCTTGCTGGCTGGCTTCCAGGTCTGTGCTGGTGGGGACCCCTGTGAGCATGAGGCTATGGTCAGCTGGCCTGGGAATAATTAACCCTGGGAGGAGCTCAGGCTAGGGGTGGGCCTCGCTGCAGCCTGGCCGCCCCCAGCTGGCCTGATGTCCCCTCTCCTTCCTGCCCAGGTCTGGAGTGTGACTCCTACCGGCGCCCATGTGCGGTACCCCACCTCGGGGCCCTGGCTCCCAGGGTGTGTCCACTACTGGGAGGAACGGCTGGGGCCCTTCCCTACCACCTATTCCTATACCCCTTGGTCTGTCCCTGTAGTGCCCTGTGGTCCTGCCTTGGTCCCTGCCTCTCCCTGTGGGCAGCTTAGGCGCCATTTGCCCGGGAGCCCCCTGTGTGAGTGCAAGGCTATTGGATGGCTTCTCGCCCTCTCCCCACCCGGAGGGAGGAAAACAGCTCTGACCGTGAGCAGAGTCCACGGGAGGCGGTGGAGCTGCCCCTACCCCACCCCTTCATGGACTTTCTGCCCAGGATCAAGGTCGAGGTGTAGGGCAGGGAGGCGGGGCCTTCGTCAGGGGTGCCAGGTCACTCTGGGCACAGACAGTGGCAAGGCGGGCCTGGCAGGCAGCACCACCGCACCATCCCGGGCCCAGTGGAGGGGTGAGGACTGGAAGGGCAGTGGGGCCTTCCTCTTCCCTCCCCTCAGTCTCCTGGGCACAAGGTCAGAGCCATCCACCCCTCTGTCCTGTGTGACCCACCTTCTCCTGAGGCTGGGATCACAGGGGGCGTCACCCCTTAGCGGCAACGTAGAGCTGGTCTCCAGGCCCCTGCAGACAGTGGGCCTGGGCAATGGCATGCTCACAGCCCGGGTCTTCTCTGCCACATGGACTTTGTGACTTGGAGCACGTTCCTTCTTCCCTCTTCGTCTTGATTTCCTCATTTGGAAAATAGAAGGAAGGATGCCAGGCAGAGTCCACGGCTGGAAGTGTGCCGCTGTGCCCCTGTGGCCGGCCGGAGCCTTGGTGGATGTCGCTGAATGGGCCCTGCTCCTCTTCCCGTGGGGCCCTCAGACCTCAGAGTCTTTTTCAAGACAGGGCTGGCTCCAGGCACCCCCTCTCATGGCTCGGAGCTGGCTCTGGATCTTTGTGGCTGCGGAGCCCACAGTGCCAGGTGCCATATAAGCCTCATGAAGTTTGTGGCACGAATTCATGTGGTCAGCCAACTGATCCCCTCCGCCCCTCAGGTTCAGAAATGTGACGGGTGAGCCCGTTCCTTGCAAAGTTGATTTCTCAAATCGTGACCATGACTTGAATCCCCCTCGTTCTGGAGGCCGGTCCAGTTTCCAGGGAAGGGAAGTCCTGTGTGTCTAGCTCGGTGTCGGTTTCTGGGAGTGGGAGTAGATGGAGGGTCTGGGACTGTCCTCGAGGACTCTGTGGGCCAGCTGGAATCCCTGGGGGCCCTGGGTGGGAGCTGAGGCTGAGGCTTAAGGCTGGGGGGTGCCCCTGCCTGTGGAGAGGCCCCAGCAGTGCTCAGCGTGTTGGAGATGTGGCTGCCACCGGCTGCTGGACAGAGCCTGGGAGTCCTTGAACTCAGATTCCCAGATCGAGAGAGGGAGGGGTGCTCAGCCCCAGTGCCTGCCCTTGTTGGGGACCTGGGTCCTTCCTTTGCTGGTAAGCATGTCTTGTTGAAACTTGTAGCAGTGTGGGGGGTCAAGGCCAGCCACGAGGGAAGTAAGCGCCTCCCACCTGCCTGCTGTCTGTCCGTCCGCTCATCTGTCTGTCCGTCCGTCCATCCACATCCATCAGGCTCCTCCTGGCCACTAGGAAGGCCCAGTAGAGCCAGGCTTAGCCCTCAAGCGGGCAGTAGTGGTCTCTGGGGTCAGATGGCCTGGGATGGACCCCAGTGCTGCCACTTGATGGGATATGACCTTGGACCAGATGTTTTAACCCTCTTTGGGCCTTAGTTCTCTTACCTGTAAGGTATCCCTGACCCCAGTCTGGGGTGGAGATGGTGTGTGAGCGTGGTGGTGGGAGGAGGTACTGGAGACAGAAGGGACACGGAGGAGGCATTAGCGGCTCACCCTGGCATGCAGAGAGTTGGGGCTTTTGAATTGGGTCATGAAGGATGCGTAGGAGTTGGCCTGGGAAAAGCCAATGTCTCGTCCTCACACCTGTGTCTTCACTTTGCGTCGTCGAAGGTTTCCAGGGCAGAGCTCGCTGACTCTGCCTTCCCTTGCATCAGACAGCAGTGCGCCTCCCTCTGGGGGGTCGCCCAGAGACTCTTGGATGTCCTCGGAGCAGACGTAGAATGCAAAACTTGAACCTCTCCAAAAAGAAACGAGACAGGCGGGTTTCGTTCAGTTCAGGTGGCCGCGTGCCAGCCCTGAGAGGTGGCGGGGGAGAGATGGGTGACTGCGCCCCCAGTGCTCACGGAGGGCCCCTCTGTCCAGAGCCGCTCTGAGGATGCGACAGGCAGGTCCTTGCCCTCGTGGGCTGCCAGGCCAGCGGGGGAGATGGGCGGTCAGCGGCAGCCACAGACGACGTAGGGCTCAGGAAGGGCATGGAGGGAAACGCTGGGCAGTGACCACAGGGAGGGACAGAGGTGTCAGGAGCCCTGACAGAAGACAAGCATGTGGTTCTGCTGCACTGTCCCGGGGCCTCCCTGGGCCTCCCTCTGGCTGGTAGCACGGGCAGGTGTGTGGGGCACGGCCATCGCCAGGCATTCGACCCCTGCTGGCTCATTCTTGGCTCCCTGTGGCTGCCGTGGGACATGGTTTCTAAAGAACAAATGCCAGCTGTGGCGCTGAAAGGGCCTCCTCATGTCAGGGTGCCCCTGGCTGCAGGACACAGGCCACTTCTGGTCCCAGATTGACGGGCCTCCAGCCCAAGTGGCACCTGGGTCCCTCTGACCTGGGCTGGCATCCCCCAGGCCATGGGGTCACAGGGGAGGTCACTGCCACTCTTGCTGGCTGGGAGAGGCGTGTCCCCACGTGCGTCTGGCCGCAGTCAGTGGCCAGGACCTGCCTGCGTGTGGACAGTTAGGCCTCCTGCCTAGGAAGCAGTGATGCTTGCCGGCTGCTGGTGGGGGCAGGGGAGGGGCTGGCTGCCGGATCCCACGCAGCCTGGACGTGGCTGATAAGCTGTGAACTCATTATCGGAGGGGGCAGCTGGTGCCCCTCTCCCTGCAGCCGGCACCCCAGCCTTGCCCTGGGGCCAGACCCCTGCACTGTGCCCAGCCTTGCGGGTGAGACTGGGGGAGCGAGCAGGCCTCTGTTGGGACTTGGGAGTCTCCAGGGTCCCCCAGAGCCCAGAGATCCTCCCTCCAGGACTCTGGAGACAGCCGCCGTTCTGCCCTCCCTGCTGACCCCTCTGCCCTCCCTCAGGTCTGCCTGGCCGCCTTTCTGAGAACAAGGAGCCGATTGTTGTCACCACTGCTGTCTGCCTCCTGCTGTGGATGCCTTGCTTGGCGCTGGCAGTGCCCACACCGGCAGGGACCTGGGGACTTGGAGCCGGACCTAGGTCGCCGGCCGTGTGCCTGGTGTCGGGGCAGGGCTGGTGGTCACCCCCCCTGGGGTTGGCCCCGTGGGCTCAGGGCCCTGCCTCCCTGTGCCCTGTCCGTAGGGACCCTCTCATGCCCTCTGGCCAGCCTGGAGAGCTCTTGGCAGAAAGGCCAGGACTGAGGTGGCTGGCATGGCGCCTCCCGCGCTGTTCCTCCCTCCCTGCCTGGCCTTCAGGGGCGCGTCGTCCTCCCCAGACCCTCCTCTGTCTGCGTGTGAGCCCGTGAGCCTGTGTGGGCTTATGTGTGTGGCTGGGATTCCAGCCAGGGTTTGTGCGCGTGAGCCTCTGTCTGCGTGTGAGCCCGTGAGCCTGTGTGTGAGAGTGTGTGGGTGCCATGCCTGTGTGAGTGTGTGCCTGTGTGTGAGCCTGTGTGTGGGTGTGCATGCCCACGCCCTTGTGTGAGTGTGTGTGAGTCTGTGTGTGTGTGTGTGTGAGCCCGTGTGTGTGTGAGTCTCTGCATACCCATGGCCTTTTGTGAGCCTGTGTGTGTGAGCCTGTGCGTGTGTTTCTGTGTGAGTCTCTGTGTGTGTGAGCCTGTGCGTGTGTCTGTGTGTGTGCCTGTGTGTGTGTGAGCCTGTGTGTGTGTGTGTCTCTGTGTGTGTGCCTGTGTGTGTTTGAGCCTGTGTGTGTGTGTCTATGTGTGAGATCCCGTGTGTGTCTGTGCACACCCATGCCCTTGTGTGAGCCTGTGTGTATGAGTCTGTGTGTAAGCCTCTGTGTGTGTGTGTGTGTGAGTCTGTGTGTGTGTGAGCCCATGTGTGTGTGTCTGTGAACATCCATGCCCTTGTGTGAGCCTGTGTGTGTCTGTGTGTGAACCTGTGTGTATGTGAGTGTGCACGCCTGTGCTCTTGTGTGAGCCTGTCTGTGTGCACCCGTGCATGTGTGTTCCTCTGTGCACATCTGTGTCCATGTCTGAGCCTGTATCTGTGTGCACCCATGTCTGTGTCCCTCTGTCCCTGTCCCTGTGTGAGTGTGTATCCGTGTGCACTTGTGTCCTCGTGTCTCCCTGTGCCCGTGCTGTGTCGGCATGTGTGCCTGTGTGTGCTTCTGTGTGTCTTGTGCCCCACACCTTCTGATGGCTTGTGCCTGCGGGTCCAGGTTTGAGACTGGCCACTGCCCGTGCTGTCCGGCTCCCTCCTTAGCTAAGGGTCCTGAGGGCTCGGGGTCCAGGACAGGAGAATGAGAAGCTGTAGGGGGCTGTGGAGGGCTGCAGGCAGATATATGTTCTAGAAAGACTTTGGCCATCGTGGGGATGGTGGTTTGGGGCAGACCAGTGATGCCACCCACTGACCTTTCAGCCAGTTCCCAGGAAGTGTCACAGGGGTGATAATTGTCCAGCCAGGAGTGAGGGCCGAGGGGCTTTAGGAAGTGCCAGGGAGCACTCTGAAGCAGTATGTTTTGGTCTAAGTGGGGCTCACGTGGCACCGGCTCACTGCCTGCCCTCTGGCCTACAGCGTGGCAGGTATCACCGACCACCCGAAGCACTCAGATCCCTTTCTGCAGGCACCCAGGCAGACGGTCTCGGTGCATGAGCCTCGATGCACGCCTCGGCCCGCAGCTGCCTTCTTGAGCAATGCCAGCAGTGCCTAAGCCACATGCCGTCCAGGCTGAGCAGGTAGATTGGATGTGTGAGCTGTGGCCCAAGCGGTCCTCCCTGGCCCTCTAGCTGGGGTGTCTCAGCTCCGGGAGCAAGGAGCCTGTCTTCTGCGGAATTCTGCGCCCTGGGAGAATGAGCTGAGCCAATCCTGAAGCCAGGGTCAGTCACACACGCTTTGGTGCGAATGAGCCTCATGTGAACCCTGGAAAGGCCTCGCAGGAAAGGAGAGGAAGGAAGGCTTCCTCTAATTGTGTGGATGAGGAAATTGAGGTCTGAGAGCGGCATGGCTGGCAAGCGGGGCGAGCTGACAGCCAGGCTGTCTCCTGACCCTGGCCTCGTGCCCTCACCTCTTGACGGCCCACCTTGGGGCGGAGTGAGAGCACA
Source organism: Homo sapiens (assembly GCF_000001405.40). NCBI lineage: Eukaryota > Metazoa > Chordata > Mammalia > Primates > Hominidae > Homo > Homo sapiens. The sequence goes on from NC_000009.12 coordinate 134,341,082, forward strand.
GATGGGAGGGTCCTGGTGGGGACAGGGAGAGGTGGGTGGCTGGAGCTGTGACCGCAGGCCCCGCCGTGGGTGGTGGTACCTGGAGTGTGTGCCCAGCACAGCATGGCACGCTCCCTCGTTCCCTGCACCCCAGTGCTGATGAGGAGGCCGAGCTACAGATAGGGGCTCAGCTGCTTGCCCAATATCATGTGGCCAGTTAACAGCAGAGTCGGGATTTGAACCCAGATTCTTGGGACTCTTCTTTGAGCCACTTCCAGCCTGGGGTTCTGGCGTGTGGTTGGAGTCCTGGGGGCTGCTAGGGTGGGGGGACATTCCTCCTCTGGGAGGAACCTGGAGCCGAGCCCTCCCTGCTGGCTGGGGAGGGGCCTTGCTTCCTACACAAACAACCAGGCCTGGCTGGAGCCATTTTATTTTTATTTCCTATTTTTACTTCCCCGTTGGCTCTTTTTAGCAACTCTGGGTGAGATAGGCCCCCGCCCTCCAGTCTCCACCCGGCTTCCTGGCCCAGGCCAGGACCTTGGAGGAGGCGTGGGCATGGGTGGCCCAGGGTTGGGCTGGCTCGCAGCTTGGCCGGCACACACCTGGTGGCAGAGCTCCTCTCTTTCTGGGAGCTCCAGGGCGGCTGGCCTCTTCCCGCCCTCCATGGGGAGCACCATGGGGCATGCATGGTGGCAGGGGAATGTCTTGGTGTGTGACTGTTTGTTGCCACCCCTCCTCTGGGTCTTGGCCTGAGGTTGGAGTTTGGGAGGTAGAGGCACTGGGCGGTGTGGTCTTGGAGCTGGGTGCGTGACTGGCAGCGTCACTGCCTGGGGCCTGGCTGGGCAGGGCTGGGCTTGGGTTTGTTGAGGCTCTGCCCACTACTGGCCTGGCCCCACTTGCTGAGGGTCCGCTGTGCTCCAGGGTCTGTGAAGCCCAACCCTGGGGGTAGGGGCTGTCAGAGCATCCGGCTAGCTGGAGCCTGCCTGTGGTGGGTGTTGCTGGCTGGGGGACATGAAGACCCCGAATGAGGAGGCGTCTCCCTGAAGGCGCTCTGCTGGGCCCGGGGTGGGGGCTCTCGTGCTGGCATTTGGTGGGTAGTGAGTTCTGAACTGTGAGATCAGGCTGGAGAAAGCCCTGGACCCACTGTGGATCCCAGGCCAGAGTGAGGGCAGGGGCGGGGGTCCGGGTCGAGGACTAGCAAGCCACAGTGCACCAGGTGCCCCGGTACCAGCTTGTGCCAAGCCCATTGCCCTCCCAGAACCCTGGGGGAGGGAGTTGCCCTCATTTACAGAGGGGGCCTGGGCTCAGAGAGGCTGAGCCGATCTTCAAGGCCACACAGCTTGTGGGCATGGAGGGGCCGATCCTTGCCCTTTCCCTGCCAGGAAACTGAGGCACAGAGAGCAGGGGTCCCCCAGGTGGTCAGGCCCCAGAGGCTTGCACTTGGGATGGCGTGCTGTGCGCCCTCTTCCTGCCATCAGCGGGGGGCAGTGGGTTGGTGCAGGCAGAGTGGTAACAGCAAGCTGTGGGCAAGGGACTGCTTGGGAGCTGCTGTGAGCCCAGGCAGGTGGTGGGGCTGCGGGGCTGCGGGAGGAGGCCCCTGTGGTTCCCACAGGGCCATGTGTGGTCTCCAGGGCTGAGATGGCTGGTGTGGGCCGCCCTGACCTGGTGGGTTTGGGGGAACCTGGCCCCATAGGAGAGTGGACAGCGCCGCGGAGGAGGCTGCCTACCTGCCTTCCTGGCCCTTCCTGCTCTGGCTGGCTCAGCAGGTTGAGCGCAGGTGGTGGCTGTGGCCCTGCCACCACCACAGTGACCTTCCCTTTGTATGTGAGTGATGTGGGTGGCATGACTGCGGATGCAGGCACGTGTGGGTGCTGGGGATTGTCTGGTAATCCTTTGATTAGAGGCCAGGAAACCCAATCCCGCAGCCTAGGCAGTGGGGGGACCTCCTTCTAGAGAGGCCCCAGCAGATTATGGGATTTTCACCTGCCCAGCCCTGGGAGGTGTCTTGGACCCAGAGCATTTGGCCTTGGGAGGTGGGGAGGGGGTTCCTGCCCTGGAGCCAGGGAAGCTGTCTGCGGCCCACAGTTCAGGGCCCCACACAGACCTTTTACATGCTGTGTGACCTGGGGCAGCGTGTCTCTCTCTCTGAGTGTCGACTTTCTCATCTGTGACGTGGGGTGAGGGCACTTGCTGCCCAGGTGGTTGTGAGGGTTGACTGAAGTAAGGCCTGTCCTTCAGTTCTTGCCTGGGAGCAGGGAAGGCCCTGGCTGGGGTTGCCTCTGAACCTCAGTGTCTTTGAGGGCTGGGAGGAGGAGTTTCTTCTTCTGGGTTCTGGGGGTTCATGCAGGATTGCCCGTCAGCATCCTGCAGCCCCTGGAATAGGGGGCGCTCAGTGTAGGGCAAAGGAACGTGAGGAGGGCATGAGTGTTGTATCTCATGGGAAGAAGCATTTTTTTGGGAGGAGTGGTTGCAGGGGCAGCTAGTTCTGGAACCATCCTAGGACCTAGAAATTGCTCGGGGCCAGGAAGCGAGACCAGTCACTGGGTGCAACCTTGACATAGGCTTGAGGGGTCACGTCCCCTGCCCTGTCCCCATCTTGCTCAGTGGCCAGAGGAGAGACCGTGTGCACTTGGTGGACTGCCACGGGCCTGGGGGCCTCGGGACCAACCCTCCATCCGCCCGTCCCCAGCCGGGCGCGGCACTGAGCTGAGGGAGCCTGCGTTCTTCCTTCAAGCAGAGGATCTTCTGCAACTGTGGGGAAGAGTGTTTCTTCCCGGAAGGCGGGGCCAGCTGGCTGGGTCAGCAGATGGGCTCCTCTGGCGTCTTCTCACCTTCTGGCCGGTCATTGGCCCTCGTGGCCCTACCACAGTGGGGTGGGCATCTCCCCATAGGCCCTCCCCACAGGATGCAGCCCTTCCTCATGGGGCCTGGTCCTGCTGAGGTTCCCGGGGGCCGTGCCCTATGTGGCCCTACCTCTGTGCCACCTCTCAAACCGTTGCCTCTGCCTGGCGTGTGTGCCTGCTCTGCCCTTCTTTTTCCATCCTTGTAGGCCTGAGTCCAGCGTTCCCTGCGCTTGAAGCTGGCCCCAGGAACCTGGCAGGCCAGGGCCCATGCAGTACAAATGTGGACAGGTCTGCCCCCACCCTGCCCTGGGCCTCCCTTTTTCCCAGCCTCCTCTGGCACCGGCATGTGCGGAGGCTGTGGTGTGTCTCCTCCCTGGGTGGAGGAGTGGGTAGGGGGCTGGCTTTGCAGCTTGGGGTCTATCTAGCCTGGTGTCTGGAGAGACTTGTGGGGTGCAGCTTCCTGCCCTTGCCGCCGGAAGGGGCTGAGATTGGGGTCCCGCCCCTTTGCTCCTGACTCAGCAGCTGCAGGGTGGGGGAAACTGGAGGTTTCTTGACAAAAGCCCCAACCCTGGGCACCCGCCCAAGGCTTAGATTCCTCTTAAAAAGGTGGAAGTGGAGTCCTTGGTTCCTTTCTCTGGGGGCTCCCAACAGGAGGTTGGGACGGGGCTGGATCCCAGGCCCTGGGCCCTGGAGCCCTCTCCTCCCCACCTCCCGGGCCTCTGAGAACTGTGCTTCTCTGCTGCGTAGCGCCCTCTGTGGCTCCCCAGGGTGGAGTTCTCACTGCTGCCTGGCCACGGACGCCCCTTCATCCTCAGGAGCCAGGCAGGCCCCACCACCATACCCCTTAGCAACCAGCTTCCCACTCTGACCGGTGTCTGTCTGTGTGCTGCCTTCCGTAGGAGACTTTCTGAGCTTAGGTTCCCTCGACGCTCTATGGGCACTGGGCTTCCTGTCCCAACACACTGGTGGTAGTGATGGGACGCAGCCTCTGTGCGGGCCCTGTGCCTGGTGTGGACCCAGCAGAGTTGGGCAGCGGATGTAGAGTTGGGGAGGGGAGCAGTGACAACCATTCAGAGTGGGCTCTGCCTCCTGCACCCCTGGGCCGTGTGCCTGGGGACAGCGGCCAGAATCACGAGGCCCAGTGCTCGAGCTGCAGTGTGGATGGGTGGCTTCTCTACCCCAGACTCCAGCTCTCTCCAGCTCAGCGACTGTGGCAGCCCCTGGTCTGCTGGGACCACTGCCAGTGGCTGAGAAAATGAAAGTGGACGTGCCCTGGAGGTTATGGGCTTCAGGGTCCCCACCGGATTAGTGAGGATAACGTATCCCCCTCTAGCTGGTATTTGCACAGCCCACGGCTGTGCTGGCTCTGTGGAGGGCCAGTTGTCAGGTGCTCATGAAGTGTAGCTGCTGGGAAGGAGGTGGAAAGTTTGGGCCAAAGCCCTGATGGGTTTTTGTGTGCCCTTGGGTGGTCAGCAGTGGGGGTACCTGGTTGGTTCATTGCACTTCAGGCCCTACCCTGGCACTGGCATGGATCCTCGTGGAGGGTTCTGGAGTTTGGGGTTGGAGAAGCCTCAGCCCTGGCCTTGGTGGCCTCCATCAAGTAGAGACCAAGGCCACAGGCAGGACGGGGGCTCTGGCGGGAGCCGACATCACATGTCTGGCCTGGCTGCACCCACTAGGTGTTCATCCAGGAGCTGCTGGTAGCCCCGGCAGAGGCTGTCCCACCAGCTGCCTGCCTCCATTCTCCATAGGAACTTGTGAAACCTGGAACCGAAAAAGAGCCAAGGCAGGAGGGAGCAACTGAAGTTGAAATTAGCTGCTGCTATATCTCCCCAGCCCCAGCCGTGCCATTGTCAGTGCAAAATGCATGACGGGGAAGGTGAAAATAATCAAAGTCTTGACTCTCTGGCCCGGCTCATTCATGACTAAACACGTGTCAGTTCCCGGCACAGATGAACATGGAATGGGTACCCCCGGGTGGGACTGTGGCTGCTCCTGTGTCCAGATGTCCCCTCCTCCAGGAAGCCCTCCTTGATTTCCCCATTCAGGAGGTCCTCTCCTATACCTGTGTTTCCTGATACATGTGCGTCTTACGGTGTTCATATAGGGACAGTTGAGAGTCGGGGCAGCAGCCTAGGCCATTTCTGGGGGGTGGGGTCCAGGCGGGGTATGGCTGACAGCCCAGAGTGGTGTGGTATTGGGGGGCCACGCAGGGTCCCTCGGCTCTACCACTGCTGGCTCATTCTAAGCACCTGATCAGGACCATGCCGCCCTCCTCTTTAGTTCCTCCTGTTCCGCTGTGGTCCTAGGGGTGGAGTCCCAGCCCGGGACCTGGCGTTCATCCTTGCCCTGCCCTCCCTGCCCTCCCGCGGCTTGCTGGGGACCAGCTGTGCTGACTAATGTGATGTCTTCAAGCATCACAGCTTTGCACTTGCTGTCCCCTCCCCCAAATGCCCTTCTGCCGTTGCCCCTTCAGGTCTCCCTCGGCTGTCGGCTCATCCAGGAGCCTCCCCAGACCCCCAGCTGCCGTGGCCTCACCCCCACTGGTCCTTGCAGCTGGTTCTGCTTGTTCCTTCTGAGCACTCACCAGGTCCTGCCAGTGGCTGGCCGTTCCCGGGCGTGTTGGGGGCTCTCGTTAATCTTCTTGACCAGGACCTGGGCTCTGGGGACTAGGGGTGCCCAGGGACTGCAGGACCTGCCCTAGGTCCTGGCACTGCCCAGCTTCACATTAGTGGGGGAAAGAAGCGTGTGTCTGGGTGCTGTGGGTGGATGCCCCCAAGGGTGGAGCCCCCATTTTGGGGATGTCATGTACCTTCACCCCACTGTCTGCTCGCACTTGTGTGCTGCTGGAGTCTGAAGCCCAGGGTGGGACAAGGAGCTGCCTCTGAGGGAGGGTCCTCCTGGAGGCCCAGGGGCTTGAGGAGCCCTTGTCGGGACAGTGTGGGTTGGAAGAGTCACAGGTGGGACTGGCTGGGACCCCACCAGCGCTTCACTGCTCCCATCTTACGGAGGGGGAGGGCAAGGCTGGTGGGGGGCAGCTTGAGAGGCACTGCTTCCAGGCACCACATCCTGGACCTGGCCCTTGCGGGGAGGGCCCAGCTGTCACTGTGGAGGTGGCAGGCAGGTGGGAGTAGGGTGGTGGCCTTTCCATCACTGTGGAGGTGACAGGCGGGTGGGAGTGGGGTGGTGGCCTCTCTGTCCCTGTGGAGGTGACGGGCAAGGGTGGGATGGAGGCCTTGCCATCACTATGGGGGTGGCAGGCAGGTGGGGTTGGGGTGGGGACCTCACTGTCATCTGTGGGCAGGATGGGGCAGCCATAAGGAGAGCAGGTAGAGAAAGGGTTAAAGGGCCAAGGGAAGTAATAATGTTTCTAATTTTCCTGTGTAATTTAATGAAAATGTAAATTGCTGGGCAGATGACGCGCCCTGCCGCGGTGTTGACCAAGATGAATTGCGGGTGCTCGTGGTCAGCCTGCCTTTGTCTCTGCGCCCTGAGTGCAGCGCAGCTCCTCCATCTGCCTGGGAGGCAGACACCGTGCCGTCCACCCTGATGGGGGCCGCAGTGTCCGGGCTTCTGCCGAGCAGGAGGGGGGCCTGGTCAGTCAGAGCCAGCCCCTGCTGTGACCCCACACCCCTGTCCGGAGGAGCACAAGGCTGGGGGAGGACGGCCAGGGGCCTGCGTTGATGGGCAGGTTCCAGGTATGCGGAGGGTCACTGGCCAGCGTGGTTAGGGAAAGCCCTCCAGGGGGATGCTGCGGGTGGGCTTGTGCATGGGAAGGAGCAGCCGGTGGGGAGGTGGAGAAGGACCTCTCAGGCCAGGGGAACGGTGTGTGCAAAGGCCCCAGAGTGGGGCTCACTGGCAGGGGCTGGGGCGGTCAGTTCAGAGCTGGACATTGAGGTCTGGTGGCCAGGAGGGGGCTGGTGGGTGACAGAGCCAGGCAGGACATGGCCAGAGGTGCTGGGCCTGTCCTGACAGTGGTGAGCATCCTTCAGAGGCCGTGAGTGCTGAGTGAGGGTCCTGGCTGCCGGTGAGGATGGACCCCAGGGGCAGGAGGGGAGTCCGTGGCCACTTAGGAGGCAGAAGCAGAGGTGGTCATGGCCATGGCTGTGGGGATGGAGGAGCCGGTGGGTCTGGTTGCAGTTACAGCTGTGGCCAACAGGCCGGGAGAGAGGGCTTGGGGTGACCATGTGGTTTGGGCCTGCACAGTGGTGCTGTTTCTAGGGACATGAGGCACCAAGGGGAGTCGAGGGTGCCAGGCGCGGCAGTTGCGATTGAGGTCATGCAGGACCCCTGGCAGGTTACAAGAGCAGTGTGCATTGAATGCCAGAGCTCTGGGGGAGACCTGGAAGCCTCCCAGGAGGTGAAACCCCAGGGTCTGTGGTTGGAGCTTGGAACATTTTGGCGGCAGGACCAGCCAGGGTTTTGAGAAGGAGGACAGAGCAGCATTTGCTGGTGCAGCGGGCATCGTGGTGCGATGATCTTCAGGATGCAGGGCAGTGAGAGCCAGGTGCAGCTCCTCTGAGCTCAGGCTGGCTGAGAGGGTCCCTGTAGCCCAGTTTTGTCCCGAGGTCCCCCAGGGCCCATGTGGCTGCTTGTCCCCTGCTGCAGATGGGGAGGCCAGTCACGGGCAGAATGTTGATCTGATCCCGGGGGACGCAGGTGGCCGACACGTGGGTTGAGTCTTGGCTGAGTTCATCCAGGCTTGAACAGCCACCCTGCTGTGGCACTGCGATGGAGGGCTGGCTCCTGCCCAGTGCTTCCCGGCCTACGTACGCCCTGTCCTCGGGGTCCTAGGCTGCATGGCACCTGCCCATCCATCCGCTGTCAAAGGCATCACGTGTCCGCCATGTGCTGCCTCAGGCACAATGCAGGATTCGGTGGTCAGAAGACTTCCCGGACGCTGGACGTCGAGGTGGGTGAAACCGGGCCTGGGGTTGCAGTCCCTGAGGTAGAGCTGAATTTGGGTGTGTGTGGCTTTGAAACACCCACGACCCCCAGACCTTGGCAGGACCTTACTTTGGACACCAGCTCTGTACCACCTGAGTGCCAACCGTGGCGTTGCGCCAGCTGGGCCTTGAGACTCGGGAGGGGCTGGCATATCCGAGACCCAGTTCTGTCACTTGCAGTGAAGGGCTGGTCCCCGCTGAGAAGGCTGGTGATGCATGGTGGGTACGCTGCTTCCCGGGAGGGGACTTGTGCTGTCCCTGAACTCACCGAGGGCCAGGAGGGGTCCTGAACACTGCCCTGCCTCATGAGGGCCTGCACAGAGGGTCTTGCAGAAGAAGGGTCTGGCTGGGCCTGCAGACCCCAACTCCCTGCACCAGCCTGGCCCCGAGCTCCCACTTCCTCATGCTGGGCACATGGGGAGCCCTGCTGACCCCTGTTCTGCACCTGGACAGCCGGGTGTCATTGGTGGGCCTGTTGGGCCGGGGCGCCTCGGCCTGGTGGAGGGCTTCGCCGAGCTTGGTGGCAGGGAGGGAAGGCCTCTCCACGGGGAGCAGGAGGGAGGAGAGGGACAGGCTGGTGGGTCGGGGAAGAGAAGAGGCTGGCTCAGGTGGGCTGGGGTCTTCAGCTGCCACACCTGGCAGTGGTGCTGCGGGGGTGGCTCGGCCCTGAAGCTCGTGGCGGGCAGGAGTGTGCACGGACAGGGACCCAGCAACTTGGCGAGCATGGGCCAGACAGGGGCAGGGTTCTCAGGTGGCCCCCATGAGTGGGTGACATCAGGAGACCCCGCATCAGGCAAGGTTACCTGTGTGCCTGCTGACTTGTCTCATGAGGTTTGGGGACTTTAGTTCAAGCTGAATGCCTGTCTCCCTGGAGGCGCAGGGCTGTGCACAGGATTCCCCAGGGCTGGGCCAGCCTGGCGGTGTCCACCCAGGAAGGCTGCTTGGAGGAGGGGCAGAGCTGGGCTAGCTCGGGTGGGCGGGCGGGTGCCGCAGGCTCTCCTGTGGTAGGAGTCGGGTGGACAGTTTGCACGATCTCATCCTGCCTGTGACACCTTCCTCTCCTCCTGTTTGGGTCAGCTCCTGGCTGCAGCTGGTGTCTGGAGGTCCCCAGGCACTGCTGGGACCCCTTCCCCAAGCCCAGGACCCCTGATTCATGCCTCTTTCCAGAGCACTTGCTGGCCTATGGTCAGGAAGAGCAGACCCGCCAGATGGCTGTGTGTGTGTGTAGGGGGGGGTGGAAGGTGGGGGTACAGCTGCCCAGAGATGCCAGGAGATGTCATGCCGATCGCATGCTTTGATTAAACAGCCTGTCTGGGGCCGAGTGGGCAGCTGGTCAGTGTCAGGCTCCCAGGGCAGGATGTATGGAAACCACTGGGGGAGGGAGGAACTGGCCCCAGAGAGCCAGTGGGGCTGGGGCCGCGGAGTGGCCTGAACACAGTGCTGGCATCGCTCTCTGGCCCCCGCCTCGCCAGCTGCAGCCTTGGAAGGCCCTTTGCCCCTCCAAGCCTCAGTTTCCTTTTCTGTAAGGGGCATGGCTGTCCTCGCCCCCTGGGTGGTGGCTCAGAGCTGGACATGCTGTGAAGTAGCCACCTGCGTGGCGTGCTGGTGGCTGGGGTCCCCAGGGGCTGCCCGTGGGCGGTCAGCTCCATTCGGAGGCCTGTGGTTTCCGGCTAGTGTCTTCCTTCGGGCACAGCAGGCCCCAGACGATGCCGCATGAGGACTGTGTGGGCCTCTGTGCTGTGCCCTGTGCTGTGCTCACCCACACGGGGAGCCTGAGGCACTGCCCAGTGGGGCCTCCCTGGCCCAGCTCCACCCTGCCCTTCCCCACGGAGAAGCCAGCCTCCCCCGCAGGAGCAGCTCCATCTGGGGCATTCTCATGCCTTCTGCCGAGGTGGGTGGGGGTGGGGATTGGGCCAGTGGCTCTGCTTTCCTCCCCACCTGTCCCCACTGCACGAGGAGATGCATTCGAGGGGCTGAGCGGCTGAGCCTGGGGCCGGCCTGGCCTGGATGGTGCCTCCCCTGCCGCCTTGTCCTCATCTGTACCCAGGGCCAACGTCAGCACCTCGGCTGTGTGATGGTGTGGAGGCCACCTGTCCAGCACCCACAAGAGGCCCTGTGCCTCAGCAAGGGGGGGCTGAGCATCCCTCACCTGCCTAAGTGTCCTTTCCTATAACATGGAGCACCGGCCTCAGACTTCATGGGAAGTGCGTGTGGCCTCAAGGTACAAACACCGCATTGTGAGGAAGCGCTGGCTGCAGGGGGCTGAGCCCTCTGAATGCTTTGCTTAGGAAATCAGAATGTTGGGGCCCCCTTCTCCCACACAGGCCAGGCTTGGAGCCCGCAGAGTCTGAAGAGGTGGCAGGTCTGGGGCTAGGAGGCCCGGCGGGAAATCACAGGAGGCCTTGGGCGAGTGCCTGGCCCTGTGGGCTGCAGCGTCCTCCTCAGAGAAGGGGCAGTCGGGAGGTCACTCGAAAGGGGCCCTATGCCAGCAGCGGGCAGAGGGGAGGGCAAAGTGGTGGTCCCGGGCCCGGCAGGCTGGTTGTGAGGCAGGCTGGTCTCCAGTCCCTGCCTGCATTGCTCTGTTCCTCCAGACAGTCCTGACCCCAGCACCCTAAACTCTGCGTCTTCCCATGTGGGGAGCCCCAATAGGGCAGGGATCCTTCACCTCAGGAAACGCAATCCCTTCCCTGGCCTGTGAATATTTCATCAGCAGATTAAAAATTGAAGCTGAACCTCCCTGCTCCCCCGGGAGGGTGGAGGAGGGTGCCGGCTCCGTTTCAGGCCGGTTTGAGTATTTTTCTTGATAATGGAGCTGCGTCAATTAGAAAATGACATTGCTGGTTAAAATGCCGTTCTGCGGCCCTCTTTAATTAAGGCCGAGATGTAATAACCAATCCGCTGCTGCGAACTTGTTTTTAACCATCAGAACGCGAGGTGAATGACATGGAGTTGGGTTGATCAGAGGCGGGTGTGCGGGGCCTCGGAGAGATTTATGGAGGCCACGCAGCAGCTGCGGCTCTGGCGGGGCGTGGGGTGTGCCAGTGTGTGTTGGGTCAGATGGGTGCTCTGTTCTGTGTGCACGTGTGCGTGCATGTGGCATATGTGTGTTGGGACCAGAAGGGCCTGGGGGCTGAGGTTGAGAGTCCTACCAAGTTTGCCTGCATGGGTCATGGTGCTGGAGCCAGAGGGCGGCTCGGGGCAGCCCGGGGAGGGAGCGAGGCTGCACAGGCTGCGGGAGTCAGAGGCTGTCGAAGGCAGAGTCGGGCTGGGGTGCAGCAAGGGGAGGGTTCTGGGCATGGGATGAGGATGACAGCGCGGCCCAGGAGCCCCTGTGGGTTTGATGGTGCCTGATGAGATGAGGAAAGGGGCAGACTGACTCTGCGCCTCCTGGGGTGCCTGGAAAACCCTGTGGAGGTGCTTGGAGGGCGAGGGGAGGGGAGCAGGGAGGTGGTGTCTGGCCATCCCCTCAGGTGTCTGAAGGGTGAGTACGGGAAGGGGCTGCCTCGGGGACCCTGGATGAGTCTGGGGCATGAGGAAGCCGGAGGGGCCACAATCCTTCCCTGCTTCTGAGCAGGGGCCCTGCTCTAGGCCCCAGGTGGGCAGCACAGGACCTGGTGGGGCTGTCCTGCCCTCCCTGCCTCGCCCCTGCCCAGCAGTGGGCAGCAGTGGTCACCCGGCAGTGTGCAGACTGTGTGGGAACTGGCGTCTGTCCGGACCACCCAGCCTCCTGCTGGCCCCGCTTTCCTTTGGTGGGACTGAAGATGCACCCTGGCTGAGCCCTGCAGCTCCCGGGGTGCTGGCTTGACACAGAGGGTCAGCTGCCCCAAGGAAACGAGGTCAGGGCTTGCCTGGGACTATCTGGGGCGGGCAGTGTGGGGGCCAGCATGGGGCGGGCTCCACAGCTGACGGCTCGCATGCCTGTCTGGGCTGTGTTGGGTCTCGCTTGAGGTTGGAGCGGTCTCCCTTTGGGGACATCCAGGGCTCTTGGGTCTCTCTTTGGCAGGGAATCAGGAGCCCTGGAGACATGGGAGTTCTCTCCTGCTTCCTTGGTGTGAGGAAGTACGTCCTCAGCCTGCTCTTCTCTCCTTGGGGACACTTGGCCCTGCCTTCTGGTGCCCACTTGGAAAGCCAGCTGGGGGCTGTGACGTTTGTTGACACCCTCCCACCACCTGTGCTCTCTGGGCTGGCCTCTGGGGGTGCAGGCTGGGGGGATGAGCCACCCCAGGTACAGGGTCCCCTTCTGGAGGGGGGAGGAGGGGCTGGGGCTGCTGGTGTGGCTGGGAGGGGCAGGCCCATAACTGGGAGGTTCTGGGGCTTGAGGAAGAATCCCAACTTTTACTTTTGAAACAAGAGCAAACAGCAAATTGAGCTCTCCCGGCTGTGGAGGAGGTGGGCTTGTTTTCTTCGGTGGATTTCCTGGAGTCCTTCTCAGGGGTATCCCTGGTGTGCAGAGGTGGGATCTCTGATGGCCCATGGTTGTAGGAGGCCTTGGGCCAGCATACTGGAGAGTGGGAAGGCAGGTGGTCTGGGAAGGTGGTGAGTGCACATGTGTGCATGTGTGTGCACGGCCCCATGCATGTACACCGCACGTGTATGCACATTAAGCTGGTGTCCCGTCATGTGGCCCGGCCACAGGCATCCTTCACTTTGAGCAAACCGTCACTTACTTTCAAAGGCGTGTTCATTGCCCAGTGGTGCCCCAGCAGCTTCCACGGCCCCACGAGTCCACGAGCCCCTGTACCTCCAACACTGCTTCTCCCCACAGCTAGCGGGGAGGACGTTGGCAGCTTTTCTGCCTCCTCCTGCTTTCCCCAGGGTGGCAGGGCAGAGGTGCCCTTGGGGTGGGGGTGCCAGGCCCTGGCAGGCAGGAGAGGGAACTGCTGTCTCCTCATGCTACCCATGGGCCTGGTTGGCCTCCAGGCCTGGGATGTCCCGTTGGGGCCGTGCCTGTTGGGTGTGTACCTGACTTCAGGCTGAGAATCTGGTGGGACTCCAGCAGCCGTACTCATCCACGAGCCCTGCTGGCGGTGAGCTCGGACAGCCTGGCTGCATTTGGGGAACGTGTCCCCAAGGCTGGTGGTGATGGGACTGTGGGTGGATGAGAGCTAAGGGTGCCTGGTAGCTGTTCACTGCGGATGGAGGGGGCCACAAGCTCCTGGGGAAAGGGGGCAGAGGCAAAGACGGAGCCTAGACTTCACTGTTGCCACCATAAAATAACACTTAGGTCCATGCCTGGGAAAGCCTAGAGGTGCATTCCAGCCTTTGTGTCTCTTCTGACGGATGGGATGGGGTGCCTGGGTCCCAGCAGGCACCAGCAGGGAAGGTGGGTTGGTGGATTGGTGATGTCTGCAAGGAGGGCTGTGGGGCACTTCTGCGTGCCGAGTGCTCCCATCCTGGCCCTGCGGTCTCTGCGGCTAATCTAATGTCTCCCTTCTACCGGGAGCTTAGTACCGCAGCTGCGTGTGTTTTCACTGTGACTTCTGCAGAATTTTCTGCCCATACTGCTGGCTCTTCTGGGTCCCCCTCCTTGGACAGTGTTGGCGTGAGGAGGTGGTCGGTGCGTGTGTGGTGGTGGAACGAATGAACTCACCCGGGTTGGAGCCAGCCCCACACTGCCGTGGCTTAGTGGGTCTCACCTGGGCTGCCCATCAGGCACTATTGAAGATGAGGAGCTTTTAAGATTCCTGGTACCCAGGCCACACCCCAGACCCATCAGATCGGCAGCCGTGGGGGTGGTGCCTGGGCACCAGGGCTCCCTGGTGATTCTGTTGTGCCCCAGGGTGAGCCCTGCTGGTGGAGATGGCCTGGGCCGGGCATTCCCAGGGTTCCTCCTGCAGCTGTGCTGTGCACTGGCCTTCGCTGTAAGACTGAAATGTTCAGAGGCCGTGTTGTTGCTCGAAGTCTCAGATCTGGGCCAAACCTGCCTCCGCTGTCTTTGGCCCTCCAGGCTCCCCAGGCTGCAATTGTCCTCGTCCTGGATTTGCCTCTCCCCGTCCCATAGGCCTGTGCACTCCCAGTCCCCTAAGAGCCAGTGGAGCTGGCTTAGGGATGGAGGGACTGAGAAGCCACTGGGAAGCCGTGGTTGGGAGTCAGGGAGCCTGTCCTGGAGTTCTGGGGTGTCTGGAGCAGAGGGGCTCTGGGAGACTGCATGAGCAGGGCCTCTGGTCTAGAAGTGGTCAGGACCATGATCCCAGGAGGCATATACATCCCATCTCCTGCAGGGATGCGGTGGCTCAGCTCCAATTCTGCCCACGTTGGCTTTTGGGGTTCAAGGTGGGGCTGGGGCTGGGCCACCCCATCTCTGCAGGCACATCTCTGCTGGCGTTTGTCCTCACCTGTGGGAAATGCAGGCCCAGTTGTCAGAAGCTGTGCTGTGGGTGCCAGGTGTATGAGAAGTACCTAGTGTGCCTGGGCCCGGCATGGGCATCTCTGTGTCTCTTTGCGCTCCCCGGCCAGGCCAGGCACTGTTAACTGAACAGCAAACAGTAAAAAGCAGCCTGACCCTTGGACAGATCCCCCGACTCCTTCCCAGCTTCAGTTTCCTGATATGCTGGTCTCCGAAAAGCTGGGAGGGTGAACAGAGATGAAGCTGACAGAGCTCACCTGCAGCTCAGTCAGCGCCGGGAACTGCTAGTTGTTATTTTTGGTTACTTTTTCCTTGCCTGGGCTTCACTTCTCAGGGTGGGTTGGGAGGGAGAGGCAGTGGCTCAGAATTACAGTGGAGGGGTGGGGCAGTAGAGTCCGGCAGGGAGGGGCACCACTGTCCACAGACAGGTTTTCAAAGCTGCCCTCTGCAGCCAGGCTGAGGACCCAGAGGCCGGGGAGCTGTGTGCACCCCCGCTGGGTGGGGGAGGTCCTGGGCCTGCTCCTCTGGAGTGTTCAGCTTGGAACGCAGCCTTGCCACACGTTGGAGGCAGGTAGGGACCTGGCCCGTTGTGCAACCTGCAGCTGTGCAGGAGAATTCCTCCCAGGGCCCTGGGCTCACCCTGCCCTGGAGTCTGCATTTTTCGGAAAGCTCCGCAGGTACCCTCTCAGTGGGTCAGAGGCTTTGAGGAGGTCAGGGTCTGCGCCCAGGTGTCAGACAAGCCCTGGGGGAGGGCAGCTGAGGGGGTGGGGGGCAGCTCCCTGCCCTCGGGATGGCCGCTGGGCCCAGACTGCCAAGAGTAGCGGCAGGGAGGTGCTTCCACGACGCCCTCACTGTGGGATCTGGCTTGGGCCTGTCTCAGGCCAGGCCTCCTTTCCCTGGTGACCTGGAAAAGCATGGACTCTGCTGGCATGTCCTTCCCTCCTGCCCCTGCCAGGTGGAGCAGGGTGGGGCCTTTGGGGAAGCTGCCTCACCCTCACCTGGCTTCCTTGCCCCAGCCCTGCAAGGGAGGGGAACTGTGTCAGGCTCTCGTAGGTGACTCTCCCTGGGGGAGTTCTGGGGCCTTGGGTAGGTCACCTCATCAACCTCAGCCTTGCTCTCCTCATTGGTAAAAAGCGGGGAAGAGTTTCTACCTTGGATTTTGGTAAGGGGGAGCCATTGTTTAGCTCCCACCGGGAACACACCTGGGATGGCCTTGGGCTGGGGATTGCATGCTGGCCGGGCCGGGGAGCCAGGAGTTGCTGCCTGTGCTCCTGCAATGCCCACCAGGGCTTTCGGGGTATATAGAGCAGCACGGTCTGCGGGATGGAGGCCCTTCCTGCTGACACAGGAGGCTGGGGAAGGTCCGTGGCTGGAGAAGGTCCGTGCCTTGCCCAGAAGTGTGTCTTATCACCAAGAGATGGCCCGGTGCACTGAGCACCTACTGTATGCTAGCACTGCGGTGGCCGTCCTGCTCAGCGGCTCTTGGATTAGCCATCCTTGGCTGCCTGCAGGGGAGGACGAGTGTTCTCACCGTTGTCCTGCTATGGAGGGGAAGGTGACAAGCTTCTCTGGTGGCACCTGTGCCTCAAAGTGTTGGGAAAGGGTGGTTTTCCCAGGTGGGGGCCCCTGCCCTGCCCCAGCCTCACCCTGCCTGAGGCCCTGCTCAGCCACCACCCTCGATGGCCCTGGTAGAAAGTGTCTCCCGACACCTCCGCACCCTGCCTGTCTCCCAGCCTCAGCAGCCCTGGAGGTGGCCCAAGGCCCATGCCCATGCCCAGTGCTGGGCACCCCCAGGAAGCTCAGAGGCCCCCAGGCAGAGCCGGGGAGGCGTGAAGGCATAGCCAGGGCAGAAGCAGAACAAAAGAAAAGAAAAAAATCCACCCCCAAACCCACCCAGCCCACACCCTGAATCTCCTTATCTGTGTCTCCGCAGCCTGTTGCAATTGCCTGCTCTGAGTGGGTTGAGAAATTCGATGGAGCAGATAGTTGCCCAGGCACTGAGGCGTCTAGGGCGGTTGGACAGGTTTGGCTCCTGCCCCGGGTGGAGGGCCCTTCTCCAGAGCCCGGAGCAGAAACCTGGCCAGAGTTCGCTGCTGAGCGGGCTGCAGCCTCCCGCATCCTCACCTGGGCTCCCTGCAGGTTACTGGGAAAAGGGGACTTTCAGGGCCAGGGGCAGGGGATTGCACAGAGCTGATTCGCACCTTGGCCCCTCTGCTGTAGCCGCGTGAAGTCAGGCGCTTTGTGGGCCTCAGATTTCTCGCCTGTGCAGGGGGTTGGGGGATGTGGAGTTGGTGAGGTCCGTATGTCTACGAGGACTGTCCACGCCACGAGCACAGTGGGGGAGTCGTGGGTGGAGGGTGGGAGACCCCCAGACCTGAGTCAGCCCCTCAGAGAGCCTTGGCCCTGGGTTCGAGGCCAAGGGTTCGGCTGTGGTTTGTGCAGTCCCAAGCAGAAAGGCGAGGTCTTTGCTAGGGAATGCCCTGCTTAACCAGTCAGATATGTTACCCAGAACCTTCCAGAACACAAACATGCACCAGAGGTAAGCAGAATTGGCCACCCTCGGGGCAGAGCACCCGGGAAATTACGTGTTCTTAGAAAATTATGTGTAAATCACGGTTTCTTCATAAGTTTGTTTATTGGTTTTTCCCTGGCAACCTTCACACTGTCTGATCCTAGGGTGAGGCCATGGGGGCAGTCTACAGCGGACCCTGTGGGCAAGGGGAGGAGCCACAGCAGAGGAGGAGGAGGAGGAGGAGGGCAGCATCCCGCCTGGGGCCTGGGGTGCCCCCACAGAACACGGGGACATGGGATGAGAGGCGTACCCACTGTGCTCCCCGACATCCCTGCTGCTCGCTGGCCCGAGGGCTGGCTCCTGCAGCACCATCTCCACGGGAGGCCGTGGGCCGCTTCCAAGAGGGCTGCTGCTGGGTGTGCCACCCAGGCCCCGGCCACCTGCCGAGGACGGAGCCAGGCGTGAGCCCGTGCAGGACAGAGTGGAAACACCGAGTTCTGCCTGCACAGTCCTTGGGCCCTTGCTGGAGGGCTCTGGCTCACGAGCCAGGAGATGGGCACCAGTCCTGTTAGGCCGCC
Organism: Homo sapiens; assembly: GCF_000001405.40. Lineage (NCBI taxonomy): Eukaryota > Metazoa > Chordata > Mammalia > Primates > Hominidae > Homo > Homo sapiens. The sequence goes on from NC_000009.12 coordinate 134,358,286, forward strand.
ACCATCCACTTTCCTCCGGCAGCAGGCAGGCAGGCAGGCAGGCAGGAGCCACAGCTCAGGGCCAACAGGCCTCCCTCAGCCTGGGTAGGGTGGAGCTGGAGGGAGGGCTTCCTGGGGGAGGTAACAGGGAACATATGGGGAACAGCATATGCAAAGGCCCAGAGCTGGGAGAGTTCCGGGGCCTGTAATGGGGAGGTCAGTAGCTGAGCCTGTGCAGTCCTCAGAGGCCTTGTGCAGGGTCTGGACTTGGCCCTGTGGGTGCCACCCAGGAACTGACAAGGTCTTGTTCCAGAGACTTCCCCAGAGGTCTGGGACCTGCTTTCCAGGCTCCTGTTTGGATGCTGTTCCAGCCCAGCAGCACTGCCCTAGGCCCTGCCCTCCCCTCCCCGCCCCTCCCTGGTCGTCTGCAGGACTGGGCAGAGCCCCTGGACCCTGCCTGAGACAAGCAGTTTCCAGGGCAGGCCTGGGCCCCGGCTGGGGTCTCAATGGGGTGTGCTGGCTTTGGGAACGTTGGCAGGTCTGAGCCTGGCCTATGTAAGTGCTGCTTGCTCATGTGGGTGGTGAGGGCTGTGGGCAGAGGGCCAGGAGTCCCCGGGGCCTGCTGCTGGGCTCAGGGGAAGGGCAGGCGGAGCTCTGGGGCCAACAGCCCCACGTGGCAGGGGATTTTCATTAAGCGTTGCGCCCACTCCTACCCCATGCCCAGTTCTGGAAGGCTCAACAGGGTCCAGGGAGCATTCATGGAACAGCTGCTGGGGGCTGCCGTGTGGGAGAGGCCGAGAGGAAGGCCAGGGTGTAGCCAGGGGCGGAGGAAGCTTCCAGACCTGCTGTCTATAAAATTGAGGAAGGCAGAGGTGTTCTTCCTGCTTTTGGGGTCCCCTGCTCACATCTGAGGGCACGGAGAGTGAGATATAAAGAACACTCACTCCACTGAATAGCTGGGGAAATTGAGGCAGAGCCAGGGCCACCTGCCTTTGGGGTCCTCAGGCGTTGGCTGTGAGATGGGTGTGCTGCTGCCGCCGGCGGCTCTGAAGTGGGCTTCGAAAGCTTTGGAGGCCCCGGAGATAATTATCTGGCAATAACGAGCTAATTAATGGCTGCAGGTGTGCCCCAGCCCACCTCCCCTCCCTTCCCAGGCTCCATTCTGCCTCGTGCCTCCCACCCTTCCTCATCCTCTCCACCGGGTGCGCCCTCACCTCGGTGTGAACATCAATTCCATAAGTCATCGCATTATTCCTGGGGCACTGTGGCTTTGCCTGCTTGGAGGGTGAGGGTGCCCGCCTGGGGAGGGCTGGAAGGGGCTACCTTGACCTCCGGGGAGGGGTGTGACCTACCCCCTGCGGATCAGCCACCTGCATTGTTTTCCCTCCCTCCCTCCCTCTGCTGGATAAATAGCACACACAGGCTGAGGGCAGGGGAAGCGTGGCCCTGGAGCCACGTGTGGCCCTGGCGGGGTGGGGAGGTGACACGCAGCCCCGCCCCTCCCAGCAAGGATGTGGCCTGTCTGTCCTGGAAGGTCCTGGGTAGGCTCTGGGCCCTGGTCCCAGCCCGTTTCCCCCAGGGGCTTTGCTCCCGAGATTGTCCTGCCATGCTGGGCAGCCTGGTGGCTCTGGGTGGGCCTGGCCTGTGAGGGGATGGGGCCCTGGCAGCAGAGGCCTTTCCTTGCCCCACCTAGGAACAGGGAAGCTTCTGGAGCCGCGGGGGTCCCTGGGCTAGGGGTGTGTAGGACCGGGCGGGGAATGGAGCGGTAACCGGAGGGTGGAGGTGTGGCGTGCCCAGTGGGCCCACCCGGCACAGATGCCACCATGCTTTCGAGGCCGCTGAGGGGCCCCAGGGCTTTACCTAAGGCCCCCGCGATTGCTCTGTCCTGCCTGGGGTGGGCCAGGATCCCTGGGCAGGGCCTGGAAGCTGCCACCTGTCCTCAGTAGCCTCGGTGGGGGGCACTGGGCTGGGTGTCTGCCTTCCCTGGAGGCTGCACTGCCTGAGCCGGTGACAGGCTGCGGACTGGCCTGTCGGGCGGCAGGGCAGAGCGAGCAGGAAGCGCTGGTTCCTTCTCCATTTCCACCCCGCTGGTCACGGGAGCCTGCCGTGCCCAGGCCTGGGCTTGCCGACGCCTGGAGTTCTGGGTTCGAGCTCTGGCTCTGTTGTGGCTGCAGGCGAGGCCCATCCTTCCCCTGGTCCCGCCGCCTGCAGCCTCCGTTTCCCTTTCTGAAGGACTGGTATCAGGAGACAGTGTGGGCAGCCAGTGCCCGCCGTGCCAGCGCCCCTTCCGGCGCACTTGTGTGCAGGTCGCTCGCGGTTACCTGCCGCTTGCTGGTCTGCGGGAGGCTCTTTTGAAAGTGGCGCCCTTTGGCTGCTCAGCCTGGCGTTGCATGGGGGACATGGTGGCCACAGGGCCTTCGTGTATTGGGGGTGAATCCAGGACCTGGGACCACAGAGAGAGGAGTTCTGGCTAGAATCTCCTGGAATAAAGAGCCCCCTTACAATTCCTGGGACTCATTGGATTGAGGGACTGCCCCCAGGCAGGCTGAAGCTGGGGACCCCGAGGCCTGCCAGTGGGTAGTGGAGAAGCCTGCTGGGGGGATGCTAGAGCCCTGGGCTCCCTGCAGGGGCTCTGAGCCCGATGCAGGGCGAGGGTTCCGTTGGCCCTCAGAATTGCGGGTGACTCCTGTCTTTTCCCCTGGCTTGGGGTTCAGTAATCCAGGAGGCCTGGAGAGCTTTTGGTGTGCTGCCCACCTCGGAGCCCGGATGTGGCGAGTGCTGCCTCACCCCGGCCCTGCCAGGCATCTTATCTGATGGGCAGGAGCTGGCCCTTCGCTGTCAGACTGGACTGGCGCACGTGCCCTGCCATCTGACTCATCCAATTAATGCCGTGATCATTTTGCTAATTCCCTCAGCTAACTGATTCTGGAACCTTTTCCGGTTGGGCACTGGGTCTCGGAGCTGGGAGGGAACCTGGAGACCCTTTTCAATGTCCTCATTTCACTGAGGGGTAAACTGAGGCCTCCCAGGAAGCACAGCCCTGCCTGCCATGCCTCCTCCCAGGCCCTCCCCTGAGCCCCCAAGCCGTTCTGTACTGAGGGCCTGCTGTGTGCCCGGCCCCTGGGCATCTCCTGTGGGGAGGCCCCTTCCAAGGGTCTGCCTTGCCTACCTGGTGCCGACCCTGTCGTTTCTCTTTGTCTCCCGGCTGGGTGGCTGGGACAGGGATGGTGGTGGTGGGAAGGTGCGGGTGACAGATGAGGCCATGGGCACTGAGGTGTTGCGTCTCCTGAGACTAAATGCCTCCAACGTGCGTGATTCATCAGGGCCTTCCACACCGTCAGTGGCCGTCGCCCGTCATTTGCTGGTAATGAGCTTTTTCATACTGTAATTTGTGTCTCCTAATTGCCGAACAAGCACCTAATGGCTCTGATTAACATCGGAGGGACTCTGAGCTTCCGTGTTTGGGAGCAGGCCTGTGGCTTCCAGGACTGCCTGCCACCTGCCTGTGTGACTGGGGGAGGCAGAATGTTCCGGAACAGGGGCTCAGGGCCTGAGCACGGTGGGTCTCCTTCTGGTCTGACCCAGGTAGGGGTTTCAGTGCTGGTCCTCAGGGTCCCCATCTGTAGAATGGGGACAGCAGTGTGTTCATGCCCTGGGGGGCCAGGGTGTGCACATAGCTCCGGCTGCGCTGGGTTTCTGATGCCGCCGGGCTCCGGTCCTCCCCTCCTGCTGGGCTTGGCAGGGCTGCCATTGGTGGGAGGAGCCCCAATCTGTCTCCCAGCCTGGAGCTGCCCCCTGGCTTGGCACTGCCCTCTGTGCCTCTGTGCTCTCCCTGGACTGCCTGCTGGCTCTGCCCGCCCTGGGCCTTCTGTGCGGGTTGGGAGGGGATGGGCTCAGAGGAGTGAGCGGCACTTGTCCAGGGCCCAGTGCGTGGCCGCTGCTCATGGCAGCCTCTGCCTAGAGCCCTCAGTGGCTCCCCTGTGCCCCTGGGGTAGCTCCCAGCAAGCCTTGACCCTGAACCCCCTCCCTGCCTGGTCGCCCCTCCTTCGAAGACTCTTGCTCATCCCCCAAGTCCCATCTCTCCCTGGGGTGGCAGGGGCATCTCTTAGGCCCGCCTCGCTGGGTGCCCCTGCAGACACTCTGCAGCCCGCGTTTCTCCATTCATGCCACAAACTGTGTTTCCAGCGGCTTGTCCAAGGTTTGGCTTCCCCAGCTCCCGCCAGACCGTGAGCTTCAAGGGGGCAGGAGCCGAGTCTGCCTCGTGGTCACAGCATGGTGCTGGCATGGCACAGGCCTTCATGGGTTTCATGGAGTGAATAAATGATGGTGTTCCAGGGAGCAGAGCCTACTCCTGGGAGCTGGGCATGGGCTGGGCACGGGGCTGACGGTTAAGTCGTGGATTCCTTCACACCTACAGACACACACTGCCGTCTTAGCTGGTGAGGCCCAGCAAGGCCCCCACGAGTGTACCCAGCTCTGCCCGCCCCACTTTCTGTCGGCCCCTCATGTGGTCCCGGTCAGCTCCCAGCTGGAGTGAACACTTGGCTGGTGGCGCTTAGAGGAGGGGGCCCACTTGGACGGGGATCCTGCCTGTGTGTGCCCCCATGCCCGGGTCTGCACCAGCCTCACTCCCACAGCGTTGTCCCCAGCCTGATGTGCCCGCTGTCAGCAGCCACCTCGGCTCCATTTGGAGACCTGAGCTCTGGGTCTGGGCAAATCCTTGCTCTTGTTAATTTGGGGAGAGTGTGGACGGTTGCAAAACAGGACCCCTTTCTCTTGCCCCTTCTCCCAGACAGAAGCTAGGAAGTGAGCCTAGGGCACCAAGTTCAGTAAGTTCACTTTCCCCGGGGGCTGTTGGGTGCCATGTTCTCCCTGTGCCATGTGCCCTGTGCCTGTTGGATGCCACGTTCTCCCCATGGGGACCTTTTGGGAGTCGTCATTAGTGATGGAAGTAACCCAAGTCATGGCCACGGGCGAGGGGGTGGGGGCCTCGTTGCTCTGTCCTCTCCCAGTCCAGCATGTGGCAGGGCCGTCGGGCCTCAGAGGTGTCCCCTCACTCAGGGAGCCTGGCGGTGGGCCCTGTCCACCCACCCCATTTTCCTGAGCAGCGGGAGGTGGGAAGGCATCCGTTTAGGGAGTCAGCTAATTTCATACCTCTCTGGTTTCTCATCTAAAGCCCAGCCCTCATGGGCCTGGTGTGGCACCACAAGCCCAGGCTCCTGGGTACCGTGCCCCTCCTCTGCAGGGCAGTGTGTCTGTGGGGCAGTTTGCTTCTGTCCTGTTTCTGGGATGGGCCTACACTGCCCTCCAGGGAGGCCCCAAGGGGTGCAGGTGAGCAGGGTTGGCAACGGCAGCTTTGGGCAGGACGGGCACTGTGCCGCACCTGTGCGGCACCGGGTGTGGCTGGCACGGTTTGGCTGCTGTCTGCCTGAGCACTGCCTGTGCTGGCCAGTGCGTCTCCCAGTCCTTGGGACAGCCTTGTGGGAGGCCCAGGCCGCCCTGAGCATGGGGACCCCAGGGCCGGAGGTGCGACCTGAGCATGGGGATCCCGGGGCCGGAGGCGTGACGTGGGTCTCCTCATCCCGACCTCAGCTCCAGACATGTCACCATCTCCCCCGGGTTTGGCATTTTTTGGGGAAAAGCCTCCCCTAAAAACTGTACAGCCAGAAAAAAGAAGAAGAGAAAGGGTTGTGCCAAGAGCCTTGTGGTGGGCATACTGGGTCCGTGCCGGGCTTCTCCTCTCCCAGTTGCCCCTCCTTCAGCCCATGTTTCCATGGTGGGCATACCGGGTCTGCACCAGGTTTCTCCTCTCCCAGCTGCCCCTCCTTCAGCCCATGTTTCCAGACTCCTCCACAACCGTGATGTTGCCCATTTCTTTTCCCCCCAAATCTCCAGCCGCCTGAAGACACTTCCCACTCAGTGGGGTGAGGTCCACAGCGTCACGTGTAAGGTCCAGGCATCAGGGATGAGGTGCAAAAGCCGTGCGGTGGGAGCTTGTGCTGGGGTGGGAGGGAGGTCTGGCAAACGCCCACTGCGTGGGCACCAGGGCACTGGTGGCTTCAGGGGGCTCCAAGCCCTGGCATATTAAATGGCCTCCACCCCAGCATTGATGGGCAGCTGACCCTCAGATGCCGACTCCAGGAAGGGCCTAGGGTCGGTGTCTTTGGGAACAATGTCAACAGCAGCCTTTGTGTGGGGGTCCGGCTGTCATGGGCTCTGTGTTTGGATGCTCCCAGCAGCCACCAGAGGGCAGCTTGCATCTGTGGGAAACTGAGGCCCAGACAGGCCGGGGCATGGTTCTGGTGGGGCCTCACCTGCCCTTCTGGCCTTGGCCCCTGCAGACCCTCTGGGCCACTTCCTGCCAGGGGTGTGGATATGGCAGAGCAGCCCTGGGTGCTCTGTGGCTCCCAGCTCCCCACACCCCCTAAGCTGGGCTCTTCCGGGCAAGGCTGGGGCGGTAACCCTGGGGTGTTCTGGGAGATTGGAGACCCCCTGGGGTTCCATGCTTTGCCCAGCCTGCCCCTGCTGACGTTAGGGCTGCCTGGGACTCAGCTGGGTCCCTAGTGTTGGTGGCTGGGGGAGAGGAGCCAGGAGCGTGGACTTTGGCATCCCAGGCTGGGGCTGGCCTCTCGGCCCCTAGCTCGTGGCCCTGGCTTTGAATGTTACATAGATGAGGCCTCATGTGGGTCCCTCCCCTTCTGCTTACCTGCCCTCTTACTTATGAGGAGGCTGATGCTAGAGAGGGGTGTGCCCTGTCCCGGTTGCCCAGCTGGGGGATGGGGCAGGCCCACAGCTTCTGGGGAGAGCGTTTCCCAAGGTGGGGTCTGGTGCTGGCAGGAGGGGGCGGGGTGAGCCAATGGCTCCGGGGCCACCACAGAGGCGGCTGTTGCTGGAGGGCTGATGGCACGCTGGGCCCGGGAAAGCCCCTCGTGGGCCATCTCCCGGAGTTCTCTTGAGGGCCCCTGTCTTACGGATGAGGAGATAGAGGTTGAGGATCACAGCCCCAGCCTGCAGGCGCTCGAGCTGAAAGCCCTCGCCCCTCGTGGTGGGGCAGCGCGTCCCTGGGTGAGTGACCAGGCGGCCTTGGGTCTCTGGTGAGCTCAGGGAGCGGGGTCCACGTTGCCTGGCCCAGGTGGGATTTGGCGGGTAACGCTCGTGGTGTGTCCTGGTGTGAGACCCGGTGTTCTTGGCTGATGTGTGGGTTTGCTCATGGGGTGGACCAGGCCGCTGCCCCTGCCTCCTGTCTCTGGCTGTGGCCATGGCTGTGTGGACCAGGCTGGGGCTGCACTGGGGCCTGGGTGGTAGGGGGTGATCTGCTTGTCCAGTGGTTTCTGTGGCTTTTCTGGGGTCCTGGGCTGTCCCTCAGCAGGCCTGGGACTGGGCGGGGACAGTGGGGATGAGTTTCAGGTCTGTTCTTGGTGGCTGTTAACTCTAGGCCAGATGTAGCCCTGAGGGGCCCGGCAGAGTCTCGGTGGGTCTCGGTGGGGCCAGCTGTCGGTGGGTGAGGTGCCCCAGGGGAAGGGAGGGCCAGCCCAGAAGGACCCTCCCATTACCCTCTGGTGGCTTGCCCATGCCACCATTCCTACTGCTAGGCTCAGGCCTGTCTTGGGGAGGGTTCCTGGGCTGGGATTGGCCGTCGGGGAGGTGCACACAGACGCTCAGCACAGTTGTGGCTGCCTCCAGTCAGGCGTCCGCTGAGCGACCCCTAGGAGCCGCCTGTCTTTGCAGGAGCCGCGGGGATCATCTGGCGGCTGCCTCCACCCCTGCCTCCACCCCTCCCTTTTTGGGAGGTGGGGCTTGGCATCTTCAGCATCTCTCGTGCCTCAGTAACAACCTGGGAGCGGTGCTGTCCCTGGGTACAGATGAGAAGCCAAGGCTCAGAGGCACCAGGGCCCCAGTGGGAGGCGGCAGAGCCTCTGGTGGCTCCGTGTGGCATGTTCTGGGCTGTGTGTGGGGCCAGGGAGGGTGTCTTCAGCACAGGTGCCCGCTGGGTGGTCTCCCATGTGTGCCCAGGAGGAGTGCCACAGCCTCTCCCTCTGCCCACCCCCCCCATGCCTGCCCTGCCAGCAGGTCCAGCAGGCCTTGGCACAGGCTCCAGAATTGCACGTGATCTCAGACGGTTCCCAGCTTCCTCTGCAGGGCGGGGCTGCTCCAGTCTCTTACACCAGCGCATCTGCAACTCATTACACAGCGGTGTCGGTGGCAGAGTGGCCTGGCCACGGCGAGCTCCTGGCGGGAGTCCCCCTCCCCAGCAGCCACCCCGTGCCATGGGCCTCCAGGTCCCCCGGGTGCTGGCCTGGGGACAGCACCACAGGGCCCAGCCAGGGCTGGGGCAGGGAGGAAGGGCCCCTCCACTAGTGGGCTTTGGCCTCCTCGTGAGGAGCTGGGTGGGGCTGGAGAAATCAGCTCCCGCCAGCCTGATCTTCCTGCCTCAGAAGCTGAACCCCGGGGACAGTGTTGGTCAGAAAAGCCATAGACTCTCCACGGAAAAGGAAGCCTGGCACCCCCCATGTTTCACGTAGGCCACCCTAAGGTCCACAGATGCCTGGGGACAAGGATTAGTGTGAGCAAAGACACAGGAGTCGGGGACACATCCCAGTCGGAACGTGGTGGAAAGGCGCCAGGCAGGCTGAGTCGGAGATGTCCCTCAGGCTCCTGCTGGGAGAAGGGGCTGGTGGTTCCCGGGCCTGCACATCCCCACCCCTGCCCTGCGTGCCACTCTCAGCCTTTGCCCAGCACCAGGCTTATTATCCGATTGGTTAATTGGTTGAGATACGGGTCACCTCCCGTAACAGTCATCTTTTTAAGGCGTGCAGTTCAGTGGGTTTTCATCCACACACTTGCACAGCCACCACCACAGCCAGCTTTAGAATTTCGAAGCACTTCCACCAACCCCCCAAAAGAAGCCCCGTGCCCGCTGGAGCTGCTGCAGTGCCCCGCCTGACCCCACCAGCCACTCCCCTGCCTGCCTTCTTTGTGGATCTGCCTGGTCTGGCGTTTGTGATCTCCCTCCATCTTCACAGCAGTCTAGGTGCTGCGCTGGGCAGGGACTGAGTCTGCGGTGGGGGGGAGGGTGGTGACCCTGTCCGGGGAGACCCAGCCTTGCTCCCCGGAGCCCACCCTTCCACTCTCTGTGGGAAGAGAAGGACACTGAGTCTGCCTTGGGTTTCTCTTGCGTCCCCACATGCAGGGACGACGTGCCAGGGCCCGCTGTGTGCCCTTACCGTGGAGATCCCACTTTACAGATGGGAAACTGAGGTTCAGTGGTCGAGGAGCCAGCACTTGGAGACAGGATGTGAAACCCCCGGCTCCTGGCCCCTCGGCCAAGCTGTCGGTGCAGTGCGGTGACCCTCGCCGGCTGGGGAGTGTGGGGTGGGCTTCCCTTTGTGGGGGCCTCAACTTGCCTGCCTGTGCAGGGGGTGTGTGGGGCACCATGGTCCCCCAAGGGGCACAGAGCCTCCTTAGCACCTGCAGCTCCCCCTCGGGTGGGGGGTGCCGGGGTGTCTTGTGGCCCCTTCTGGGTCCTTGGGGTTCCTCTCCCACACCTGAGGGCCTGCCCAGCCTGTCTCTGGCAGCCGAAACTGGTTCCTGGGCCCCGGCTCAGCCAGCAGTTTTGTGCTGACCCTGCAGGAACTGCTAATTAAGCTAATAGTTCCCAGAGCTGCCTGACAGCAGCTGATGGTATCGGCCTTGCCGGAGATGCTCGGCCGATAAGCCGCTCCCTGCCTGCTCAGAGTAATTTGTTATTAAACACCACAGCTCGCGCATGCTCTCCGCTCTGGAGGTGCCAGCTTGCAGGGCCAGGAGCCTGCGGCAGCGGGCCTGGGGCTAGGGTCTCCTCAACCCCCTCCCCCCGGGACTCCCTGCCATGCACCTGTGTCTCTGGAGAGCCCTCTGTAGGGGAGGGAGGCCAGGCTGCTCCCCGATGGATGGTCAGTGCCTGGCTGTGGCTCCCACAGTGCCCTGTGTCCCCAGGGCTCTGCTGATGGTCAGCTGGCCTTGACAGGCACAGCCAGGTGCCTGTGAGGTGCTGTTCCGTCCAGTGGGCTTGAGGCCCCCTTGGGAAGTAGGGCAGCTGCTCACTCTGCCCTTGCCACCCACTCCCCTGGGGCTGGATAGCCCCTGCCATGGGGGCCACCGGGTCCTTCCCGCACTGTGGTGTTCGGAGATGCGCCCTCCAGGATGAGAGGCTCAGGCAGCAGAAGGCTGCAGAGAGCTGGCTGGCTTTGAGCAAAAAGTCATGTGTGCCGTTCTGTTAGGGTGTGTGTGTGTATGAGTGTGTGTGTGTGACTGTGTATTTTGTATGTATAGGTATGTGTGACTGTAGGTGACTGTGAGTGTACATGCATGTGGATGTATGTGTGTGGCTGTGTGGTGTGTGTGTGAGGGTGTGTGTGTGTGACTGAGGATGTATGTGTGAGTATACGTGAATGTGTGTGGATGTATGTGTGACTTCATGCCATGTGTGGATGTGACTGGGTGAGTGTGGATGTGTGTGTGACTGTGAGTGTGTTTGGGTGTGTGCATGTGACTGTGCATGTGAGATGTGTGTGTGCTGTGCATATGTGTGACTGCATATGTGTGTGTGAAAGTGTGTGAGTGCAGGGGTTATGTGTGTGAGTGCAGGGGTTATGTGTGTGTGGGGGTTGTGTGTGTGTGTGAGTGCGGGGGTTATGTATGTGTGTGAGTGCGGGGGTTGTGTGTGTGGGGTTATGTGTGTGTGAGTGCGGGGCTTGTGTGTGTGTGTGTGGGGGGGGTTATGTGTGTGTGGGGGGTTATGTGTGTATGGGGGGTTATGTGTGGGGGGAGTTGTGTGTGTGGGGTGGTTATGTGTGTGTGTGTGGGGTTGTGTGTGAGTGCAGGGGTTGTGTGTGGGGTTATGTGTGTGTGAGTGCGGGGCTTGTGTGTGTGTGCGTGGGGGGGTTATGTGTGTGTGTGGGGTTATGTGTGTATGGGGGGTTATGTGTGGGGGGGTTATATGTGTGTAGGGGGGTTGTGTGTGTGGGGGGTTATGTGTGTGTGTGGGGGTTATGTGTGTGTGAGTGCAGGGGTTGTGTGTGTGGGGGGGGTTATGTGTGTGTGAGTGCAGGGGTTGTGTGTGTGTGCGGGGGTTGTGTGTGGGAGTACAGGGGTTGTGTGTGTGTGGGTTATATGTGTGTGAGTGCAGGGGTTATGTGTGTATGTGGGGGGGTTGTGAGTGCGGGGGTTTTGTGTGTGGGTTGTATGTGTGAGAGTGCGGGGGTTGTCTGCGTGTGTGTGGGGGGGTTATGTGTGTTGGAGATCGCAGCTGTTGTGCCTCCGGGGGCTTCTTGGATACTGTCACCCATTCCCTGTGAGCTCTCCACACCCCCACCTTTGTGTCCCCTCCAGCCCCACCCAGGGCCTCCTCCCTGTGGGCATGGGAGTCATGGGCCTGGGTTTGAGGTCTGACCTGCTCGGTGGCCTTGGCGTGTTGAGGCCTCTCGGGTATCCTGTCTCAGAGCTGCCTTGGTGCACCCTCCCACAGCCTCACATTTGGAGGCAGAGGTGTGGGAGGAGAGGCTGAGTCCAGAGGTCCCCTCCTCCTAGTTCAAGGCTCACTGTAACCTGAAACTTTACAGACTCCATTTACACAGTCCCGTGTGTGCGGGTGCATGAGCCCAGCATGTGTACTGTGTTTGCACACGTGGGAGCTCGCCACGGAGTCTGCCTCCTGCCCAGTGGGATGAGCAGGGTGTACTCAGAGCCTCGGTGCACCGAGGAAAGCACAGCCCGTTTCCCTTTGCTGGACTGGAAGTCACAGTGGGGTACTGGGGGCTCCCAGACAGGTGGGAATGGGGGCCCACTGCCTGACTCCCTGGGACCCAGCTGGGATCTGGTCCTTGGTCTTCTGATGTCCCGGGTCGGAAGGATGACTGTCTGTCCCATGGCTATGGCTTTGAGGAGCCCCGGAGGCCCTGTGGGGTGGTGTCCATCTGCATGGGACGTGGGGGAGCACACGCTCTGAGCTTGAGCACTGGCTCCGCCGCTGCTGGGCAGTGTGACCTCGGGCAGGGCTGCGCTGAGCTTGGCAGGGCTCTCTGCCCTCGCCGTGTCCACTGCTGGGAGCACGTCAGGCCTCCCTGCCCGGCTGGTTCCAAGGCCTTTCTGGTCCCTGTGTGCAGACGAGGCTCCTCACCTCGGGACCCCACATTACTTTCTTATTTGTGCGCTGGTTTACTTTGTCTCTCGCCGTGGGGCATCACCTCTACAGGACAAGGCCAAGCCTTTGCCCCGTAGACGAAGGGCTCATGGTGAGCCCCTCATTTGGGATTCTGTAGCTCTGTTGGGGCAGCCTGGTCATGCCAGGGCCTTTCAGGGTTTCAGAGTGCTGCCTGCTATGTGACCTCCCTGGTCGTCCTTCCTCGCCACCTGCAAGCCATCCCCGTGTGCTGGCTGGGCCCTGGGCTGCAGACTGGGGCCAGGGAGATCTGGACAGCAGCGTCCACCCCATGCAGTTCGCTGTGTGGCGGCGCCGGGTGGGCCTTGTGCACAGCCCAGCTCAGACCACGGAGGGTCTGGGGTTGGAGGTGGTGTGGACATGATGAGTGCTCTCACTCCAGGAGAGAACGCTGCCAAGAGAAGGGTGGCTGGCCCGGCGGGTGGCTGCTGAGGGGCCATCGCGGAAGGTGGGTGGTCAGCAGAGAGTACAGTGTCCCTTCTTCCACTGGGTTCCACCTGAGGGAGTGGCAGGAGCCGGAGGGCTTGGGGAAGAGGCCGCATCAGCCTCACTTGAGGGCTGAGTGCTGAAGACAGTGTGGGGGGCCCTGGGCTGGCAGGTGGGTCACCCTCGCTCTGGGACACGCTCAAGAGAGTGCCCTGGAGAGGGGTTTGCATCCGAAGCTGATCCTGCTTCCCCATCACATTCCCACCCAGTTACAAAAGTCATCCCTCCCACCGGCCCAGTGGGGGCTGCTGGGGCTTGGGGCTGAGTGGGGTCCTTGCTGCCTGCCTTGTCTGATGTGTGGCTTTGGAAAAGTCCCTTGACCCCCCCAGGCCTCTGTGTCCTTTGCCGTGAGGTCTCAGGGGACCAGTCGTCTAGAGCCAGGGTGCTCTTGGGCAGCCGCCACTGTCTCTGGCCCCCCTGGTGTTCATTCAGGCAGGGCCAGGGTAGCCGTGGCTATGAGCCCAGGTGGGTATGGGGCTTGGCGGGGCTGCCGTGTGTCCAGCGAGAGCCAGCTGGGCTGAGCTTCTCCTCAAATGCTGATGGGGGCCAGACTTCTGGGGGCACCGTCTCTTTCCATAACATGATCTCCCCTAGGCCTCGCCCCTAACAAGCTGGCAGAGAACTCTCGCCCCATTTCATGGCCATGGCACTGGTGGCTTGGGGCAGGGCCTGGCGGCCAGCTCTTGGGCCGGTGCCTCTGGTTCACTGGGCCTGTGGCCTGGCCCTTGGGGTATGGAGGACGGGCCTGGGGGTGGCGTGCGCCCCCTTGAAGTGGTCCGCCCTTGTCTCTGCCTGTCCTGAGGATGAGGGTCATCAACTGAGTCGGGGCCACAGGGCAGCCATGGGTGCGCGAGTGCAGGGCCGGGCCTGTCTCCTCCGGGCGGCGTGGCAGGTGGCTGGGCCAAGATGGCTGCAGCGCTTCCTGGGCGCTGCTGCGTGTTGAAACCCGTCTGTGACGTGGCCAGCGGTGTTGAAATAAGTGCCTGTGCATTTCCCAACATCCTGCCAGCCTGGTGCAGGACTGGGTGCCAGGCCCAGCCTGGGCCTCCCTTGTGGGGTGCTCAGGCCCCACTTCCCTCCCTGGGGAGGGGAGGAGAGGCCACCTCGAGGGAGTGACGTCAAGGCAGGGTGACATTAGTCTGGGCCCACGGGATCCTTGCTACTTCCCCATTTATGGAGGGGAAACTGAGGTGTGGAGAGGGGTGAGGATGGGTTTGAAGCCCGGCCATCCAGTCTCAGTGCCGCTTGTAGAGGCAGAAGGGCGTAGGGAGGGAGAGGGAGAGCCAGGTAGGCCGAAGGCGCCTGGCAGTGTGGCAGGACACGCGCCCACTGGGGAGGTGGAGGGCCGCAGCCAGGGCCTCAGCTGAGGGCCTCCTGGATGCTGGCTTTGCTGTTGGGGCTGGAGCATGGACCCGTCCTGGGCCGATTATGGGAGATGGTGTGGAGTGGGGGCCGCAGGCGAGGGTCCCTCTTCCTTTGGCTGGAGGAGGCCTGGCCCTGGGACTGTCCCGTGAGGGGAGACAGTGGTTGGACCCATTGCAGAATTGATTTGTTATCACTGGGTTCCAGGCACACGGCTTAGAGGGCATCACGGAGGCCTCCCCGTCACCTCAGAGGGCATCACGGAGGCCTCCCCATCATCTTATGGGGTGGGTGTTATTAGGCTTAGTTTAGAGGAGACAGAGGATCAGAGAGGCCCACTGACCCGCCTTGGGGCCCCCAGCAGGCAGAGGAACTGTGTCCAGGTGCTGGACTGTGAGACCCTGCTCTTCCCGGGACTCTACCACCTCAGAGGGTGGCAGCACAGGGCCCAGCAGGGCGTGTGCTCCTGTGGGGCAGGCGAGTCCTGGCTCTGCCCTTGTAGGCTGTGTGACCCCAGGCGGTAGCTCAGGCTCTCTGGTCTGGACTGGGCGCGGAGCTGCTTGAGATCTGGAATCTGGCTTTCTGGTGAAGGGGCAGCAGGAGAGGGGCTGAGACCCAGCCTTCCTGGTTGCAGAGCTGCGGTAGGCCAGACCCTCCTGCCTGCTGGGTGGGGCCTGGCATTCCAGGAACCTGTGGTCAAGCCTGGCCTGGGCTGTGGCGTCTGCCCCGGGTTCGTCAGCAGGGGAGGGGCCCTGGAGACCAGTCCGTTATGGATGAGGAAGCGGGTGCCCAGAGAGGGTGAGGAGCTGGGCTGGGCCACACAGCCAAGTGGCCACAGAGCTGGGGGTGGTCAGGAGCCATGCTTTCTGGTAAGGCGGAAGTGTCTGGGGCCCGGGTGGGATGAAGGACTCGGGTCCCAGAGACCAGCCTTTGGTGCTGTTCTTGGGCTAGGAATGGCAGTAACAGGAAGGGCATGGCCACCGAGACGCACTGAGTTATGGGCACCTGCCGTCTGCCAGGAACTGTGGTCCACGCCCGACTGTCTTTAACAGCTCTGTGCCTGCTGCTGTGTGCCGGGCCCTGCGCTCAGCCCTTCTCGTGTGTGGTCTCCAACCCTGTGTTTTCCCAGGCCGTTGGCCCATTTTCCAGATGAGAATACTGCGGCCCAGAGAAGCAGCATTGTGTGCTGCGGTCCTTGGCCACGAGGTGGTGTGGGTTTTTTTGACCCAGATCTTCCTGTCTATCACCCTCCCTGGGCCTACCTTCCTTATGGTAGACACATGTGCAGGTCTGTCCCATCCCCCAGCTATCCACAGAGAGGCCAGGGTTTGGCATGGGGAGGTGTCGGAGCCTACTGGGTTGTAGCTGGAGGGAGGTGAGTGGCACCTCCCACAGGAAGCCCCCCTTGATGTCTCCTCCACCTTGCCACATTACCAGCCGATAGCCAGGTTCCTGGAAAAGGCTGTCTTTCTGACTCTGGACTGGGTGCCCCTGGGCAGGGCCCACCTTTGTTTTCTAATTTATTTTAATTAAAAATTTAAAAATTAGAGACAGAGTCTTGCTTTGTTGCCCAGGCTAGACGTGAACTCCTGGGCTCAAGTGATCCTCCCGCCCCGGCCTCTCGGGTAGTGGGGACTTCAGGAGTGCGCCACCTCACCTGGCCTCCCAGCCTGGTTTTTCTCTGCCTGTTTGTAGCCCTGGGTTCGACGGGGGAAGCAGTCGCCTGATGGGCAAGTGCTCTCTGAGTGGTGCATGAAGGTGGCTGTCCACGTGGCTGTCTGTGGTGTCGGTTAATCGTCACGGCTTCCGGGAGTTAAAGGTGAGGGTGCCATCCCCTTTCTGGGGACAAGGACGTTTAGAACCAGCGAGGTTGAGTCAGATGCCCAAGGCCCTACCCAGCCGAGAGCGATGCAGCCAGGACTCAAACCCAGATCCGCAGGCGGCGGCCGCTGTGCCCCAGTGGAGCTTGAGCCTGGGTGGTGGTTGGCACTCACCACCTGTGGGATGGATGAGGAAAGGCCAACCTGGTGGTCACTGCCACTTCCGCAGTGTGGGCTGCTCCCGGCCTGAGGGTGGCTCTGGTCCCCAGCTGTCCTGAGGGGTGAGGGGGTGAATCGCAGGCCACCCTCCTGGTGTGGGCTGCGCTGGTCACTGGTCGCTGGTCACAGGGATCCTGGCTCTCGGCCCAGGGCCACTGTTTCAATGGGTTCTGGCTTGAGGGAGGCCCCCGGGGCACCCCCCGCCTCCGGTCTTCCTCCCAGACCAAACCCCCACAACCTCCACATGTTGAGCCCCGAGCAAATGCCGTTCCCTCTGTCTACCCAGAGAATGGCCAGGCCAGCGGCTGCCTGGGGAGGCACAGCAAGTGGGTGGTAAAATTTAGACCTTTTGCCTCCTGGCGACTTCCTTCTTCAGTTTCATTCCTACAGAAGAGGAGATAGAGGCTCAGCGAGATTGTCTAACCTATTTGGGGAAGCACAGCTTGGCAGTGCCTCGTGTTACTGCTTGGGTCTCCTTGGAACTCGGCGCCTGCCTGGCTAGTTCTTAAGGACTCCTGCAGCTGGCGCCGACCTGGTCCCGCTATCCTGTAGGTCTGTACTTGGCACCTGCTATGTGCCAGGCACTGGCCAGGGCCCAGGGTGTCACAATGGAGTGGCCATGGCTCTATCCTCGGTAGCCCTCAGCCTTGGCACCCAGGGTGAGGGGCTGACTGTGCCCTGCACTGCAGGGAGTGCTCTTGAGGGGGTGTGTAGGAGATGAGACCCCTACCCCAACTGAGAGACTCTGGGAAGGCTTCCTGGAGGAGGTGTTATATAAAACGGAGCCAGGCTGGAGTGAGCCAGGAAACAGGTGGAGGAGTTTCAGGCCCAGGGAACAGCATGTTCAAGGCTAGAGGCGAGAGAGCCTGACATGTTCCTGGAATGACCCAAGGCTGGGGGTGGAGAGCAGGCCGGGCCAGAGCGCGTGTCACTGTGGGGAGGTGGGAGCTGCCTGCTGTCTTCCTGGCCTGGTTCCGATGGCTGTGGCTGGCTGGGCACCCAGGAAACCTTCCTGCCTCCAGAATTGCAGTGGCTTTTGGGGTCTGAGGGGGGATGCTCTTCATGGAGGGCAGCCGAGGGCTCCCGGGTGGGCTGTGGACACTGTGAACAGTTGCTCCAGGCAGTGGGCAGGGGATTCCAGGCAGGTCCTGGCCCGGAATAAACCCTGGTTCATCTGAGGGTCAGCCCGGAGACTGTGTGTGGATGATCGGCCTGGCGGGAGAGCTGGGAGTGACGCTGGGTTGGCCGTCTAGTTTTACAGCTGGGAACACGGGCCAGGGCCAGCGGGCAGCCTGGGGTGGCCAGCAGGTGGGCCCGGGGCCGGCAGCTCTGGGCCCTGTGTGGGTTGTCAGGGCTGGAGGAGAAGCCTGAGGGCTGGGGTGAGGGCGATTTGGAAGCAGCCACTCCCTGGTGCGGAGTAGGAGGGCTGGCTTCTGGCAGGAGAGCATTCTCGGTGTGAGAGTTTGTGTTAGTGGCTGGGGGATGCTGAGATTCTGTAAAACACTCCCCCAAACAAACAACAAACACCACGTGCCCTGCGACTCGATGGCAGAGGCCACGTAGAGAAAACAAGCTGCCGGCCGCCCTCCCTCCCTCCCTCCCTCTCTCTCTCTGCTTCCCCCCCACCCCACCCCGCCAGGCTCGCAGCCTGCTGGCCTCCCTTCTCCGCATGCGGGCAGATCATGACAAGCCTTGCTATTTATTAATTTTTTAAAACAAAAATGGAATTCAGATTTGTGTTTCCTATCAAAGTTGGGATCTTCCTTAGGAAGGAAGGCACCCTCCCACCGGCCCCGCTGGTTGGGGCGGAAGAAGGCGGCCCCTCTGCAGGCGCAGCCAGGCCTTCTTGTGGAGGCCCAGAGGGGCACCCTCAGCCGCGGGGCCTGCCCATGCCAGCTGTCGCACCTCGCAGTGCCCAGGGTTGTGGGGGTCTAGGAGCTTCGGTGCCTGGCAGGGTGCGTGTTTATGCATGTGTGTGTGCCTCGTGCTCTGATCTGTGCGTGTGCCTGTGTGCCCCATCCACACTGCTCCCGTCTATGCTGTCTCCATTCCTTCGCGGGGGCAGAGGTCCCTCCAGTGGCCCAACCACAGCCCCCACTGCTGCCCTGTCCTACCGTTTCTTCTCTCTCCTCCCCTGCCGCCCGCCACACTCTGCTCAGGCAGCCCTGGGCTCATGACTTGACAGCCTGGCCAGCTGCGTGGCCTCGGCCAGGGCGACCTTTGTGTGTTGGAGCCTTGCCGCGTTCTCTGTCTATAGAAGGTGATGCTTAGGGAGCTCTCAGAGAACCAGTGAGACCTGTGCTGGCTGGTGCATCTCGGGTGCTCAGCGCGTGGGCAGTACCCTCCCTGGCTGTGCTCCTGGGGGAAGCTGGGCACTGGGCATGGAAATGAAAGCGTGGTAGAGAGGGACCTCCTGGCTCCTTGCAGCTGAGACCAGCCAGGGGCGCAGCCCTAGGGATCTGGCTGGGCCTGCAGGCTGCAGGGTCTCAGGAGGGAGGGAAGGGGCATGGTGAGGGCACCTTGGGCGTCGAGTCTCTGAGGGGGTGCAGGAAGCATTTCCTTACCTGTGGCGGGCAGTCGCTGGGCTGACCTCTGGGCCACGTGTTCACTGGCTGAGTGTGCGATTGTGTGCCCTGGCCCTGTGCCACGCCCACTGTCCTTGACCCGTCAGCCGGGTTTTCCTGGCAGCCCTGTGACTGCTGGCCTAGGGGCCGACCCTGTGAGGGGCTGGCACTGGGAATGGGGACCTGGCCAGTCTTGCTCAGCCTTTGGGGACGGAGCCCCAAGCTCGCTGCATCCGTGCTGGGCACTGACAGTACCCATTCTCACCCTGTCTGTGCTCCGCTTTCATTTCTGGGGGCCTCTGGCAGTGTTGGGGTTACTGATCTCCGCCAGCCCCAGGGGTGTTGGGTCCTTGATGGCGAGCTGGCTGCCCTCCCTGGGCCACATGCTGTCCCACATGGAAGGCGATGGCGTTGTCCCCATCACTGCCTGACCAAGGGCAGGTGGCCCAGAGCATGGGAGGCCTGGAGCATGGGAGGCCCAGAGCATGGGAGGGGTCCCCAGTGTCCAGCACAGTTGTGGGGCTGGGCCCTCCTTAGAACTCAGCCCTGCGTGTGCTGGCATCACCGCTCGGGAAGGCATGCGTGTCCTTCCTGCACAGCTGGGTGAAGTCTCCGTGTGTGTGTGCCCTGCAGCCAGCACACCCACACCCCCAGCTCCCGCGACCCCTCGGAGATATCCGTTTTCCCAACTTCCCTCTCCGGGACCACTTCTGTCTCTTGTTGGCCTTTATGAAAACAGAGGTCAGTTTGGATGTGGGGGTCAGGGAGGAGCACTCTACTCTTGCAGAGATGTAACATTTTTATTCTGACTTCCAGCTGCTGCCCGATTTCCACCGTCTGTGTGTGCGTTTTGATCTGTCATACCCTCGTGCTCTGCAGACCAGCTTCTGTCCCCAGGAAGCCATCTCGCTGCCCCCCTCCACACCCACCTCCATCAGAACCAGTATGGGGGACGTTGCGTGAGCTGATGGGGTGCTGAGTGGGGACCCTCCTGCTCTGCCCCCCTTGGAGGGGCTGTGAGAATCCAGGTGTGTGCGGAAGGGCCGAGCTGGGGCAGGTTATGTGCAGCTCAGCGTCGGCCACACCCAGGCCTGGCCCCTGTGCTGTCCTCCTGGAGTGGTGGCCATGGGGGCACAGTGGTGCCCTGGGTGGCGAGCAGGTTTCACGATGACTGTGGCTGGCGACGAGGAGCTAGCTCGGCAGGAAGCTGGCAGCCACCCAGGGTTCTGGGCAGGGCCGGGGCAGAGGGCACAGGCAAGGCACAGAGCTCTGGAAGTGCCAGGCCACCCCGGCTGCTTCCTGGGAGATGAGTCCCTGGCTGGATGCTGTCATCCTAGGCAGAGAGGCGAGTTCTCTGTCTGCTGGGTCAGCGCTGGGGAGCCAGGCCGGTGCTGGTGTTGCTGCCTTGCTGCCGCCACCTGAAGGCGTGTGTGCCGGCCAGCGCCTGTGTGCGGGGTCCTTACCACTGTGTGGTTTAACCCTTGCCACCCAAGAGGGCTGTGGCCATCTGCCTCCAGAACGCAGCTGGTGAACAGAGCTGGCCTGGTCCCGAAGGGTCCTGTGGCCTGGAGGCAAATGTGGATGCTTGTTGGTTTATTTGCTTAGAGGCAGGGTCCTGGGTGCCGAGGGAATAGGCTGTGGCCCCTGTCACCTGTCCCCAAGGAGCAGTACCTGGGGAAGGTACCGAAGTGGTGGCCCTCCCTGCCCCTGCCAGCCTCAGGACTGTGGCCATTAGGCTGGGTCGGCCGCTCAGAGTCACAGGAGGGGTGGGTAGGGAGCTCTGACCCTGGGCAGCGCGTGCCGTCCGGTTGCTCCCAAAGGCAGCCTGGAGTTGGGGTTTGCCGAGGGAGGCTGCCCCCGCAGACCCCAGGCTGTGAAGCACCCCAGCCTTGTAGGGGTGCCTGCAGGAGTCCCGGCAGCTTCAGGAGCGGCCTCTGGAGCCTGGAGGGCAGGAGCCAGACCATCCTTGGCTGTGACTTTGTTTTGTTTCCTCAAGTCAGATTGTCCTGCTTCATCCTGTGCCCGGAAGAGAGGTCCTGCTGCTGTCCTCGGGTGGGAACACACGTCTCTTGCCTTCCCTCCTTGAGGGTGGGGGTGGACCTCAGCCGCCACCCATTTGTCAGTCAGCAAATGCAGCTCCTGCTGGGTCACTTGCCTGCCAGCTGAGCTCCTGGGATGCAGCCCAGCCTGTGGGGCCACCCGGCTCCTCCAGCCTTATAGCTCCTCCCCACCACACCTCCTCTGCACAGCAGGACCCGGAATTATGCTGTTCTCGGTTGGACCTGCTTGTCCGTGCTTAACTGGGCCTTTCCTGATCCCTGTGGGCTCCCTGAGGGCGGGGCTCGGGCCTGCCCCATCAGCAACAGCTGTTGCCGAGGGCACAGATGCCCTGTGCATGGGGTGGGGATGAAGGAGGGCTGGGGGCTCCGTGACAGACAGTGGGAGGGGAGGCTGGCTGTCCTGTGGTGAGCTGCTTCTGGGGCACCCTGAGATGGGGCCTCCCTTCACTTCCTGGCCATCCAGGCATCTGTGTCTGTGTCCGGGAAGTGGAGGAGGGCCCCCAGGACCGAGTCGCTGCCCATCACTGACCGTCTGTGGCAGGCACTGCCAGTGGCCGTGGCCCAGGGTCTTGGTGGCTCGGCCTCATGGGGGGCTTGCTCCAGGCCTTGGGTGATGCTCCTGTGCTCCCTGACAGCCGCAGGGTCTCACCCTCCTGCTCCAGCCCCTCTCTGACCCCACCCTGCGGTCCTGGGAGGTAGCAGGACAGCCCCAGTATGCGGATGAGAAAACCTGAGGCCCAGCCTGGGCGGGTTCGTGGGTCCAGCTCAGCCCCTCTGTGCCTGTGGTCTGTAGGGACCTGGGCCCAGCTGCCCCTAAGGATGGAGCTCAGTCTTCCCCAGCTCCAACCCTGGGGCCTTGTGTGGGAGGGGCAGTGGCCCTGGGATCTGGCCTTGGCGGCTCCAGCCCCCTCTCCAGTATGGCAGAGCCTGGAGGCCTGCTGGTCTCTGGGTCTGAGACTCTGGCCTCCCAGCCTGCTCCCCTGGGGGTTGGTGGAGGCCTCGGGGCTGTCGGAGCTTCAGGATTAGGGACTGAAGCCCAGCAGGGGCTCCCTTTTCTGTGCCCCCTGCCTGAGCACAATCTTCCTGCCCTCTCCCCTGCAGCCCCTCTGTTGTCGTGGTCAGTCGTGCCGCCTGAGGGCCAAGTGTGGCCTTGGCACTGCCACCGTCCACCAGCGGCAAGTCAGGGCAGGTGCGTGTGTTGGGGGTGGCCCCCCGCGGTGTAGGCCGGAGGTGGCGTGCCGGCCCCGTGAGTCACGCCGATCCCAGGATGGGAGTGGGGGTGGCCGGGGCACTGTGAGCTGGCGTGCTGAGGCTGGCCTGCCCGTGGCTTGGCCTGGGGGCAGGGGTAGGGTGGGGTCCTGCCCGGGTTCTCCTGGAGAACCTGGGTCAGGAGCCAGGGGCCAGATCAGGGCTGGGGACTTCGCCTGGGGTCGGATAGGGGCTGGGGTGGCCATGAGAAGTGAGGAGCCTCCCATGACCCAGTGGTTGCAAGGAGCAGATGCCGCCTGTCAGGTGGGCGGCCCCCCCTGGGAGGAGGCTGCAGGCTGGGAGGTAGACAGGACGGGCCCCTCGGTGTGATGGTTGGGGTGTCCAGGGACTGGACTTGGGAAGGGTTGGTGACCTAGTGCCATGGGGTCCCTGCTCTCTGTGGCTGCCTCTGTGGCCAGGCCTTGGCCCTCCTATTGCTGCCCCACGACACCTGGCTGTGGCTTGTCCCAGCTCCTGGGCCAGGTGGGGAGTGCAGCTGGCCACCGAGCCTCATGAAGCACCTTTCCAGTTCCCCGGCACCTGGGTCTGGCCGAGGTCTGAGGCCAGAGGAAAGGCCTCCTCCAGAATCCAGGGCTGCCCGTCCTGAGGTAAGGGGCTTTGAGCTGCAGGCAGACGGCACCTTCTACCCATGGCCGGATCCCCCCCTGTCAATCTGCAGTAGAGACAGCAGAGCCCCCGGGAACCCCTCCCAGCAGCTGAGGGTTCAGGGGGTGCCCCTCACTGTACTGGGGAAATGTGGCCCCAGCGGGCAGGAGGTGCAGGGCCCAGTCAGAGACTGAGTCTGAACCCGGTGGGGCCTCAGGCCAGCTCTGTGACCCGGACAAGGGGTTTTCCTTCTCTGAGCCCCAGTTGCTGCTGTCAGAGCCTGCGGTGGGCACTGATTTGAGGAAGGACAGACATGGGCTGGGAGGGTTGAGGGAGGCCCTGGAGAGGGGGACCCTGGGGAGGGAGATCTTGGAGCTGCAGAGGCTTTGAAGAGGCAGGCGTATGGGAGTGCGTGGCCAGGTTGCCCGGCCTGGGCTGGGGGCTGGGTCCAGGGATGCAGCTGGCCTCACCTGCTGGTAGAGCCCTGTCTGGAGGAGTTGAGCTCAGACCTTAGCTAGTGCTGACCGCGCTGGGGCAGAGTGCTGAGAGGGGCTCTCTCAGGGCCGTCTCTCAGGGCTGGGCCCTGTTGGATCTTCTAACTGTCTGAGCGGGAGAGGGAAGGCTTCCTGGAGGAGGTGTCCCTGGTAGGAAGACGCAGAGGGAATGATTGTGTGTGCTGTAAGGGCCAGGCCCAGGGCTGAGAGGGGCTGGTGGAGATGGTGGGGGCTGGGTGGGGCAGGACACCATGGTCTATGTGGCGCCCGCCCTTCTCCCTCCTCCATGGCCACAAGGCCCCTCTGGTACAGAGGGTGGTGCTGGCCTTGAGGGATCTGGCCGGCAGGTAGGCAAGTGAATGACAGAGCCCCTCAGGTGGACTTGGGGGTGGGGCCTCCTGGTTCTGCCTATTTTCTTCAGCGGCCCTGGTTAGGGCTTTGAAGGGGCTTCACTGCAAATTAGCCCCGACCTCCCCGGGGTGCCCAGCAGGGGCGCACTGCACCTTAGGTGCTCCGTCGTGAAGTGGCCACAAGGTGCCTTTGGTGTGTGGGGCCCACAGGATGAGTTGGATGCAGCCTCCCGGTGGGGGCTGCTCAGGTGGTGATGAAAACTGTACCTGTGGGCAGGTGAAGCCACCGCTCCCTCGGTGTAGCAGTCAGTGTGCCCTCCCCACGTCTCCTCCTCTCCTTCTGTCCCTGGACCCAGGAGTTTGGGAGAGGCCAGCGGGCCAGCTGGGCACTTTGGTCTCTGTAATGAGGACCCTCCCACCCCACCAAGATGCACACATGCCCTGCCAGGATGTGGGGGGGCGCAGGGCAGTGGGCTGAGCCAAGGTGTAGATGCTGGGAGGTAAGGTTACCCTCCCCCTGGGCTGGCGTCTGCCTCCCCGCCTGCTGCTGCCCCTGTGGCCGGCCGCATGTGGGGAGGAAGGAAGAGGTTTGGGTGGTGTGTGTGTGTGTGTGTGTGTGTGCGCTTTTGACTGGGCTCGGAGGGCTCTGGCTGGGACCCAAGCTCAGGCCTTTAGCACCTTGGCTGGGAGGAGTGAGGCCTGGGGAGACAGTGGGGGCCAGGAGCTGGGTGCTGAGGAGACCAGAGCTGGGGGCTGGGGCGGGGCCAGGGCAGCTGGTAGGAAGTCCTGCCCTTGCAGCCGGTCCTGCGAGAAAGCCCCTGGCTGCTGTCTTGGCTTTGCTGGACTGGCAAGGTGGACCAGAGGCTGGGGACTGGACACCATGGGCCTCTGTGCACTGATGGAGCAGTAGGTGTGTGGGATTCATGGGGTGCTGGGGTGTGGATTCACGAGGGAGGGGCCTTTTGGGTTACGAATCAGCCCCTCCAGTTATCCAGGGTGGGGTGCTGAGGCCTGAGTGGGCAGTATGAGGGTGGGCAGCTAACTATGTAACAGCCGGGTCTCTGGGAGGCCCTGGTCTGTGGCGTTGCCGTCTCTGAGCTGGGAAGACATGTGCCTGAGAGCTGGTCCGGGGTGGCCTCTGGCTTTGGCTGGGGAGGCCCTGCCCACCTGAGAGCAGCGTTCGGCGAGTGTGGACTCTGCCCCGGTGCTGGGCGCAGCACCTGTCGAGTTCTTGGAGCGTGCCGAATGCAGGCGTAGCTTCGGGCTGTCTGGACAGGACCTGGTTAGCGAGACCCTGGCTGAAGGGCCCAGAAGGGGCTGCAGTGGGACTGGAGCCACCTGGCTATGCCCCTGGGCTGCTGGGATCACATGCTGTGGGTGATTGGGCAGATGTGGCTGTGTGTGTGCACACTGTGGGGACAGACAGGGTGGGCCCATCTAAGCCATGTCCTGCCAGAGGCTTCCCCAGTGTCAGCACACACAGGGGGGCCATGAGGGGCCGAGAGCCCAGGCCGCTTCACCCCAGAGGGCTGAGCAGCTGGTCAGCTGGACTTGCTCTGGGGGTCTTTGTCTCACTGATGAGCCATGTCAGGGTGAGGCAGGATGGAGGTGGGGCTGTCTTGTGTGGCCTGAGTGGGTGTGGCGGGCTGGGAGCCTGTTGCAGGTCAGGATGTGTCCAGGGGCCAGCACCAGACCTGCTGAGGTGGGAGGTCAGTCTGTGCTGGCTCTGTGAGGGGCCCTGCAGTCTTGGACCTTGCCTGTCCCCTCTGGGGCTGAGGTCAACCCTGGGGCAGGGGTAGGATGGGGACACGGACCCTCATTCCGAGTCTCATGAGACCGCACCACTTAGCTGTCAGTGAGGCTTGTTGGGCATAAATGAAGCGCATTGATGGGGTGAGGGCCGGAAGAACCCACAGAGGCTTCGCACCTCCCACTCCCCGCCCCACTCTGGGAACCAGGCCCTCAGGCAGCTGGCGAGGATCTGGGGGTCACAGCTGACCACCAGCCACAGCTGAGTTGGCAGTTAGCATGGTGGCATGGTGTGCCTCTTGGGAATAAAGCTTCGACCTGGGCTGCATGAGGACGGGTAGGTGGGCTGTGATCCTCACTCCAGGCAGAACCGTCCCATGCCCTTGTCCATAGGATGAGCTTATCCAGGTGTGGTTCCAGGCCCTGAACCCGATGTGCAGGGAGCTGGAAAGTTCAGAGGAGGGAACAAGGGATCCTGGCTAACACCCAGGAGGCCAAGGGACCGTCTGGCCTGAGTCTTGATGAAACCAGGCCTCGGGGGTTGTTTGTGTTGTTATTATGAGACTAGCATGTGCCTGTGGTACAGACCCCAGCTCAACAAAAGCCTATCTTCTCCTCACTAGAGCTGGGAGTCCCAGACCCTCCACACTGTCACTCAGGTGGGGAGTCCTGGACTCTCCACACTGTCACCCTGTGGGGGGAGTCCCAGACCCTCCACACTGTCACCCCCGGGGGGAGTCCTGGACCCTCCTCAGTGTCACCCCGGTTGGGGGGGAGTCCTGGACCCTCCATACTGTCACCCCGGCGGGGAGTCCTCAACCCTCTTCAGTGTCACCCCTCGGGAGGAGTCCTGGACCCTCCTCGCTGTCACCCCAGGGACCTCCCTCATCATCTTTGAACCCCAAACTGGGCAGACATTGATGGTTACCTGCTCCACATGGCTGGGCCGGTGGTGCAGAGGAAAGCGAACCGTGCTGGGGTCGCCAGCGACTGAGGATGGAGTCAGGGGATATGGCAGCAGTGGAGACACCAGCAAGCTAGGGACAGCCCGAAGCTGGGGGAGACTTGGGAATTTAGTGGGTTCTGCAGAGCATGGGCTTTTGTGGTGGGTGAGACCCAGGAGGGAAGGGACCTGCCCTGGGCCCCTCAGCCGGTGGAGCTGTGGGTGCAGGGTGAGCAGCGTGTGGACCCATGCAGGGCGTGCTGGGGGGCAGGGGCCAGAGCTGGAGGAAGAGGCTGCGGTGGGGCTGTACTGGGCCGTCACCCGGTCGGCCTGGGGGCGAGGGTTCTCTGGCCCTTTTCTGTCTTCCAGGAGGAAAGGAGCCCTCTGTGTCCCACCTGCTGCCTTGACGCTGGTGCCCTGGGCTTTTGTGGGCAGTGGGTTTCCCTGTGCTCAGGCGGGGCAGTGCCCTCCTGTGGTTCAGGGCCAGCCTGGCCTCCAGTCCTGAGCACCGCCTGCAGAAGGGTTTTCAGACGGGTGTGAGCATGTGGGGGTGCCATCACAGGAGACTTCTGGTTCCCCTCCAGCCCTGTGTGACATCTTGGCGGCCTGTCCCCAGCACTGGTTGGGCAGGCAGGAAGCTCCTGGCCTGGGATGGGCACAGACAGGGTGTGGGCCGTGAGTCGCTGCTGCTCAGAGCTACCCCTGCGCAGCCTTCCTTGAGGCCTGGTTCCCGGGCCATGGCTTCTGCAGCCTGGGCAGGGCAGCCTGTTGTGGACAGAGCTGGTTGGCTCTCAGGCCTCCTGGGTGGATGGGGACTTAGGACCCCCACTAGCATGCCAGGGGCTGGCAGGGCTGAAAGCTGCACGTCCACACCCCCACACTCACTACCGGCCCGGGGCTTGTCCATTGGCTGATGGGCCACAAAAGGCATTCTGTGCCTTGGAAGAAAGCCCTCGTTGTGTGGCTGGAGGGAGGCTGGGAGCCATGAAGGCCCCTTCCCCCGCGTGCTTCCTCAAGCCTCTCGAGGCGGGTTCCATCCAGAGCTGCTCAGGCCCTGCCTCACCAGTATCCGAGGCTCTGCTCCATTCCGGCCCCTGCCTTGCCAGGCCCGGTGACTCCCTGCTTGTTTCCTCCACTCGGGCCTCTGCGTCCCCCACGCCCCCACAGGACGCCCCCCAGGATCCGTAATGCTGGCCTCTCTAGGGCTCCCTGCTCAGTGTGGCCCTTGCTGGGAGCAGGTGGGGATGGCACGGTGGGGATGTGAGGGCCTGCGCGAGCGGTGGTGGCCCCCGAACAATGCCTGGGCTTCTTCCAGGCCACCACTCCAGGCCAGGACAAGGACAGGCACCCTGCATCCGGTTTTCCAGCACTCCTGCATGCCGGCTGGCACCATGTTGGGGCGGCTGTTGCCATCGCCCCCCAGCACGCAGATGGGGAATGGGCCCAGCCAGGTCACCTGATTTGCCTACAGTGGGCAGCCAGCTGTGGTGGAGCTGGATTTGAACTTGGGGCTGCCCAACGTCCGGGCCTTGCCCTTGTCCTCTGCCCAGGCCCCTGCTGGGTGGCAGACCATCTGCGGCACCAGCTGCGGGTGTGACGGTCGTGTCTCGGATTGAGGAAATGAGGCCGGGGTCCTTGTCCTCTTCCAAGAAGCTCTTGGCTTTGGCCAATGGCAGCCGCCTTGTGGTCACAGGTGTCTGGTTGAGGGTGGGGGACCGGGCGGCTCTGGGAAAGGGGAACTGGGCCGCCGGGCCAGCATGAGCACCACTTGCTTGCGACCAGCTCCAGGCTGCCTGGAAGAGACTCCAGCTCTGCTCAGGCACCTCCCTCAGGCCCCTTCCTGCCCGCTCAGCCGCCGCGCTGCATCACCCGAGGCTGTGGGACCCTGAGCCCGCCGGCCAGCGGCCGATGGGGCCGCCCCTGTGGTGGGACCTCTCGCCTGCCCTCGCCATGAGGCTGCACCTCCTTGCCTCTCTGTCGGGCGGTGGACTGGCCTGGCGGGCGGGGGACCGCAGGTGGCTGGCAGGTGAGGGCCAGGTTTGGTGGCCACTCCGTGTGGCCTGGGTGGGTGCCTGTGTCTTGCCTATGGAGTGTGGGACTCATGGCATGTCTGCTGGGGCTGTGGGGGAGAGGATCTGGGGACCCCAGGTCGGGAGAGGCTGGGGAGGTATGGGGGCCAGGTCTGGGACACCCCGCTCCGTGGAGCATGCCTGTGGTCTGGTCACGGCTGCTCCGTACGTGGCCGTGCTGAGGGTGTCATGGGAGCGTTCTGATTCTCCCAGGCTGCCACTGTCAGCAACAGCAAACTGAGGCTGGCCCTGGGTCTGCCAGACCCTGCAGCCCGAGGCCAGGACCACTGGGGTCTCTGGTGTCCCCCCGGGTGTCTGGGCCTGAGGGCTCCTTTCAGGCCACTTTGTTCCAGAAGAAAGACCTGGGCTCTGGGCTCTGGGCAAGGGTGGGAGCGTGGGTGGTTCTCCTCCCTCTCCTTACCTTGAGGCTCTATGGAGGACCCCTTGGGGTCTGCCCCACTCCCATTTTAAAGATGAGGAAACTGAGGCTGGGTTGTGGCAGGGACTTGTGTAGCCGGAGGGGTGCAGTGGACCTGACCCCGTCTTCCTGGGCCCAGCGTTGGGACACTGTGCCAGAGAGCAGCAGGGGGCTTAAGCGGCCAGACTGCTCAGCCTCTGCCTGCCCTGGGCCGCTGCTGTGGCTGCGGTGTCGGGTGGGTGAGAGGGGAGACATAGGGGCAGCCCTTCTCTGCAGGGAGTGAGGGGGCTGAGTCGGAGGGTCCCCACACCCATCCTGCTGGTGGAGGCCAGAGCCGGCTCCCGGCCGCTCCGCCCTGCCCGGCCCTGGCTCATGTCCCGTTTCTTTTTCCTGGCAAGGACGTCTGTTAATTGGCATGCACAGAGTGCCAGGGCCCATGTGGAGAGTGCTCAGGTGCCTTCACAGATGTCCCTAGAAGGATGCGCTCTCGGCGCCCACGGTACAGGAAGACAGGCTCAGTGCCGTGGAGTAACTTTCCCAAGACCACGGGGAGCCTCGGGGAGGGACTCAAACCAGATCGGTCTGGCCAGGGTGCAAGCCTGGACCATCTCGATTTTCCAAGGCCTTTTAAAAGTCCTTTCGCAATTTGTAAATATTTAGCCCAGCCTTCCTCAGCACTGCGTGGGCATTGATGGATGCCAGGCGAGGCTGTGCCGGGCAGTCTCTGGGAGCCACTTGGTTTTGGAGCTGACACCTGAAATAGAACAGTGCACCTGGGGACCACGCAGTCCTTGACCAGGACCACCTGCCTCACAGAGCCGTCCATGAGCGTTCCCCGCATTTTGTGCTGTCAGTAAGCAGCAGGCGTGCGGCGTGCCTGCCTCGCACACTTGTCCCGGCGCCAGCCCTGACTAGCTGGTGACCATGAGCCTGTCCTGGGCATCTCTGGGCTCAGCTTCTCCCCTTTTCCCCAAGCCCGTGCCTCGCTTGGGCTGTCTGGAGTGATCGTGAAGGCCCGTTCCCAGCCTGACTCTGTGAGCCCAAGGTTTTTTGAAAGCCCCAGCCTCTTGCAGCAAAGAACTCTGATTTCTGTTTTGGAGGTGACATTGGGGGGTTTGAATTCAGATCCCTTCGGCAGCTCTTCCTGGAGGGCAGGAAGCGCTTATAGGGCACTTATCGCTGCACCCCATGGTGACCACAGAGAGGCCTCTTCAGCTCTTGGCTTTGGTTTACTCATCTGTAAAGTGGGCGCAGAAGTTTT
Organism: Homo sapiens; assembly: GCF_000001405.40. NCBI lineage: Eukaryota > Metazoa > Chordata > Mammalia > Primates > Hominidae > Homo > Homo sapiens. The sequence continues at coordinate 134,388,113 of NC_000009.12, forward strand.
CCAGGTCAGCTTTCTTGATGTGACAGGAGGTTTGAGTTTGTATTAAGTTACTTTTATGCAGAAAATATCCTAGGCTGTTAGACTGTGCACTTCCGTCAGGGGTCCTAGGCTGTTAGACTGTGCTCTTCGTCAGGGTTGGGGGATGTCTTTGGTGTTCTCAGCTAGAAGCAGTGTGTGTGTGAGTGTGTATGTGCATTTGCGTGCACAGGCACACGTGTTGGGGTCACTACGGGCATCTGGTGCTGGGTCAGGCACTCTGAGCGTCTCCTGAAGCGCACTTACTGTCTCTTCTGGGAATGACTTGGGATGTTGTTCTGCTCTCACGCAGGAGTGGGGCCCAGGGTCTGTTGTATTTTTGGCTGCTGGACTTTGATTTGTGCACCTTTCCCCATGGCCTCCTGGTGACGGTCCTTTCTCCCACGATTACCTCTGTCTGACTGCTTGTCCTCTGGGGAGTCATCTGAGGCATCAGGTTAGTGTTGTGTGTGAAGCTGAGTCAAAGACCCTGAGCAGGAGCCTCTCCTGTGAGTCAGGCGCATGGAAGTTTTAGCTTGTGGAGTTGGTGGCCGCCATTCTGGGCGCATCGGGCTCTCCCGGCCCCTTTCCCTGGTCTTCCTGCACCTGGATGGGGAGGGGAGTCATCCTTCGATGTCCTTCCTCTGCCTCCTCCTCCTTGTGAGCCAGGTGACAGCCGGGTGCCCTGGGGCAGATGCTGAGGGTCTCCAGGTGTCTGGAGGCTGTGAGTTCTCTGGAGGGACAGAGCCCCCTCCCTGCTTGGTGGGGGCTGCTGCTTGACGGACTGGGTGTGGGTCAGAAGCCCTGGAAGACACATTTCTGGCTCCTCTCCTTCGTGCTGGATGCCCCAGAGGGCTGAGACCCGGTGACCTGCCTCCTCCAGGGTGGCCTCAGGCCTGTGTCCACTCACCTCCCTGCCAAGCTCTGGTCCTCCAAGGAGGGGTTTGGTCTCCTGGGTCCTCCTCGGAGAGTCACATCCGCCACCTGGCCGGTCCTGTCGTGGACGCCCTCAGCTCGCTCCCGTCCCCTGCCCCTCTGGATGGCACAGACTGCACGTTGTTGCCATTTCACGGAACCCGTTTTCCCGGATTTGTCAGGAGGGGAGAGAATGGTGGAAATGCAGTTTTGCTGGGTTCCCTGCACACGTGGGCGCTGGCTTTGGTCACCCCCGGGGGGTTGCTCGTGGGATCCAGAGAAGTGGACGTTGGTGAGGCCAAGCAGGCTGGGAAGGGTGCTGGACAGGGACAGCAGAGGCCTGGCCCCAGGGGGTTAGGGGGCCAGGGCTTGGGCGCCTCTGTCCCGGGCTGGGGGCTTTGGACTTTGGGGGTATAATGGGGAGCCCTGGGACAGCAGAGGGCTAGCCCCAGAGGGCTAGCGGGGCCAGGGCTTGGGCATCTCTATCCTAGGCCTGGGGCTTTGGATTTTGGGGGTGTAATAGGGAGCCCTGGGAAGTTCTGATGGTGACAGAGTGGACATTCTGCCAAGTGACCAGTGGAGGGGACAGTGGTGGAGAGGGTGTGCTGAGCTGGCCTTAGCCTGGCCTGGGCAAGGTCTGGACTTGGCCATGTCTGGCTCTGCCTGTACAGAGGGGGCTGGCAGACGTTCCTGCGGGAGGCACTCTGTGGATGGGGTCACCCAGAGTCTGGACAGAGACTCCATAGCTGCAGCTGGCCTCTCCATCCCTCCCCTTCCTTCCGAGGCCCCTGGGGGCTGCCGGCTAGGCTGGGAGTTACCGTGCGTGCTAGCTGCAGCCCCGTCTCAGGTTCTTGGGGCTGGGCACCGAGGAGCAGAGAAGCTGCCTGCCACCTGTTCACCCTCGCATCTGCAGGCCAGCGGCTCGTCCCCTCCTGCTGCCACAGTACCCTGATATGTGCCGATTGGTGGGATTGGGAGGGGACACAGCGAGGCCTTGGGTCAGAGCCTTGATGAGGATGGGGGTGGCCGTCCTGGGGGCAGCAGGCCGGAGCCTGCGCTTGCCTGCATTCCCCGGCAGGATTTTTCTCTCGGCCTCCTGGGTCGGCATCTCCTTGGTGCAGGGTGGAGTCCGCTCCCCAATCCCTGGGCTTAAGGGAAGGGGAGGGGGAGTCTGACACACAGTGGGTAGGGGCCCGGGTGCCCCTAGAAGTGGCCAAGTTCAGACCTAGCCCAGGCCAGGCTAAAGCCAGCTCAGCACACCCTCCTCTCCATTGCCGTCCCTTCCACGGGTCACTTGGCGGGAGGTCCACTCTGTCGCTGCCAGAAGTTCCCAGGGCTCCCCATTACACTCCCAAAGTCCAAAGCCCCCAGTCTGGGACAGTGGGTGGGGGGCCAGGCCCTACACAGCAGGCACGGCAGCCAGGAGGGAGGTTTCTGAGGCTCAGCCTGTGGGGCCTGTGGCGCCTGTGGCCACGGGGTGGTTTGTCTCGCTCAGAGTGGTGATGAGCCTGACCCGGGCCCTCAGCAAGTTTCTGCGGGGCAGGAGGGACGTGCTGAGGCTGAGCTCGGAAGAGGCAACTCTGGGTGCAGTTGAGCCTCTGGGCTGGTGTCGTTGAGCTCCGCCGCAGCCCTGGGAGTGGCAGAGGCAGGGAGGGCGCCCATGTTGGGGTTGTGATGGGGGAAGTCCTGCTCAGCGGGCTGACGTCCCGTTCTTGGTCTGTCTCATGGGTGAGGCCCTGTCCCCCGTCTGCAGATGCCCCGCCAGTCAGGCCCCTGCACATGACAGGCATCCGGCTCAGGTGCGTGGGTGGTAAGCCTCTTCTGTGGGAAGGATGCTGCGTGCTAGGGTGGGCCTGGGCTTATGGCACGGGTGTGGAGGGGATTCTTGGAAAGCCGGCACCAGCTGGAGAGGGTCCCCACTGCCAGCCTTGGGTGCTGAGCAGGTGCTCTGTCCTTCAGGGGTTCCCTGCCTGGACTCTGTCCACCGCGTGGCCCCGGTGGCCATGCCCTGCCTATTCTAAGCACCGGTGCCCCCATCTGCAAATGGTGCTGCTCAGCGGGCCGTGGGAAGACTGGGGATGTCCCCCAGAGAGGCCGGCCCCATGCCAGGCCCCAGGACATGCCTGGGGGAGCATCCTCTGCCCTGATCATTTCAGAGTCCCCGACTGAACCATCGTGTTGGCCTCTGGCATGGAGCTGGCCACGCTCCACCACAGGTGGGACCTGAGGAACTGCAGGGGTGTTCCTGAGCCAGGTGGCCGTGCACATGAAGGTGGAGACGAGAGCCGCCCTGAGGGTGGAAAGCCTGGCCGTTCCACGACAGAGCTGCTGGCAGCGGTGGCAGGGCCTCTGAGCCACCGAGAGCAACATGGCTCAAAATGAAACAAGAATCATTTCTTTTCCTGTTGAAGGGAAACTACCCCCAGGAGCCCACAGGCTGGGGGCCCCCTCGCCACACAGGCGGGCTGTGGGGCAGGCGGGGTTTCTCCAGGAATTCCCCTGCTTCCCACTCACCCTCCTCGAAGGTCTGGCCCTGTGGTGGTGCTAGACACAGTTCAGGGGTACGGCCTGGAAGGGAGGCTGCGCTGCCCAGGAGCCCCTGCCTGGCCCTGGAGAGGTGAGCATTCTGCCAAGTCCCCGAGCTGGTACCCGTCCTCCAAGGTGGGCGTCATTGCTGGAACTCTCAGGGCTCATGGGTGTCTGCTGTGTCTGGCCACCCTGGTGGTCGAGGGGTGGCCAAGGGGTGGACCGAGGCTTCAGAAAGCCAGGCCTCCAGGCGTTGACCCGGCAGCTCTTGTTCCGGGCTTGGAAACATCTCGCCTCCTTGAGCCCTGGTTCCTCCCCTGCAGGACGGGGGCAGGAGGAGCGGCTCCCCCTTGTCACCACACTTCTGTGAGCTCATGTAATGAAATGTTGGCCTGGCGTGCACCTGCAGTTAGGTGTTTGAGCTGTGGTAGCTGCGGCCTACGGCAGCTCTTCTACCACATGATGGAGTCTGTGTGTTTGCAGGGGGCCGTGACAGTCACCTGGCTTGGTGCAGTGTGCAGGGCAAGCCCCGGTGTCAGAGCCTCCATTTTGCAGAGGGGGAGGGTGGGAAGGACGTCACATGCAGGCGATTGGGGCTCCCAGCTTCCTGGTGGCCCCACGCCTTTGGTCACGCCCTTTCCGTGACTCCGCTTCTTTCCACGGGGACTCTGCCAGGACTGGGGCTTGACTCCCGCCCTCCCACCCTCCTAGCCTCTGCCCCAGGCAGCAGATGGGTGGTCTGCTCACGATGCCCCGGGGGGAATGGCCGTACAGGGGCACAGGTCAGCTTACCGAGTGTCTCCGGCCTTGTGGCTGGAAAGCAGCTCTCAGGACTCTCCGGGGCCCCTTGGCATCTTTCTAGGTGGGTGGCCCTGAGCCCACCTCCTCCCTGTACCCCCATGGCAGGAGCTCCTTTTTGGGAACCAGTGGAGCGAGCGTGGCTGGACAGGCCTGGCCCCAGAGCTGCGCGATTTCCATCACGGCTCTCCTCTGGCTTCCTCCTTGGCGCTGGCTGGGCCAAGCCCTCCTGACTTCTGGGTCCCTGGGATGGGTGGGTGACTCCGTCCATGAGGCTACCTGAATTCTCGCTTACCCTAGCCATCTTTAGGCTGGGGGATGTGGGTGCTTCCTGGTAAAATCAGATGCCCTGTAGCTCTCCTAAAAGGGCCAGCCTCAGATTTGCGGTCCCTGGTCCTGGCCCCTGGGTTCAGGACTTCATTTTGGCCGTGCGGGTTGCACCTTGGGGATGGGCGTCCCTTGAGGTTTGTGCCAGTCGTGGGAGTGGAGGAGTAGCGGCTGCGTTGGGAACCCGTCCCTGGGCAGGCACTCTGGGATGGGGCTCCGAGTCCCACAGTCACTGGCCGGTCATTGCCAGCCCCTCAGCCCTCTAGGGACAGACCCTGCCTGCTCGTCCCTGTTAGGGGCCAGTTCTGCAGGTGGTTACTTGGCTTCTTCTTAAAAAAAAAAAACCCATCCTGCCCTGGGAAACCCGGGAATCATGGGGAAGCGGGAAATGACAGTAGGGAATTGACATTTCCTGAGCCAGCGTCTGGGGCATCGGACCAAGTGCAGGGCGAGCTGGGCAGGGAGGGGTGCAGCCGGCTCTGCCGTCAGCCTAAAGCCATGAGCGACCTGGGCGCTCTTCTCCCTGTAGCACTGGGGCACACACAGGGTGGTGAAGGGGGCATGACACAACCAGGAGGCTGGGTCACAGAGGACCAGGGGTCTGTCAAGAGTTTGGCCTGCACCTCCCAGCTGCCTGGCCCAGGTGTGCCCCTCCTGTCCACATCTGCCTCTAAGCTGTGAAGAATTTGGGAGTGGATGCTGCTCTGGGGCTGTTTCCTCTTCTGAACCATGGTGGTTCAGGCAGCCTGGTCCCAGGTTAAGTGTGCCCCTTAGCGCCTGGGGCATCCCTGGACAGTGGCCGCCATGGGCATCTGGCAGCCCTGCCAGCGTGGTGGGTGATCATAGCAACGGCTGCAAGACTCGGGGAAGGTGGTGCGTGCATATCTGGTTGAATGTAGCTGGGCCTGGTGTGAGGCCTGTGGCCGCAGCTCCCATGGTGGGCTTCTCAGGGGAGTAGGCATGACAGGGTGGGGTTCCTGCAAAAACCCTAGCCCTCATGCCCCAGTTAGTGAGTGTCTTCACCTCTCAGCTCTGTCTTGAATGCTTCCTGGGTGCAGGCACTGACTGCTCATGGGGAGCCCCCTCCTGAGCACCCTCTTCCTCCTGTGTGTGCTTCCCACTTCCCTCACTGTGGCTGGGCTGCAGCTGTACCTGCCACCACTGGGTCTAACCCCAGCGCCCCTGGGCTGTATGAGTGGGCTGTGCAAGGGTGGCCATCAGCCTCGGCACCACTTCCTATTCTTCCTTCTGCCGCTGGCCAGTCCTCAACTTGCTCAGTATGGCCAAGAGGACCCAAAACACCATCCCCTTGCTATTTATGACAAAACTTGTCAACCTCTCTGTCTAGGCTTCAGCCTGCCATCTGCACAGTGGAGCAGGGCAAGGGGTTGCTCAGCTGGTAGTGATGGTGACGGTGGTGGTGGTGGTGATGATGATGTAATGATGGTGTTGATGATGTTGGTGATGGTGGTGATCATGGTGGTGATGATGACTGATGATGTGTGATGTTAATGGTGAGTGATGGTGATCATAGTGATGGTGGTGGTGATGACGGTGGTGATGATGACGGTGATGTTGATGGCAGTGACAGTGCAGATGTGTCATTGCACGCTCGCTGGATGCCTTCACAGACATTGCTTTAAGCTGAGTTTTATAATCAAGAGTGGTTTTCCTGCCGAGGCCCTTTGGGTGTTGATGGAGCCTGTCTCCATGAAGGGCCACTGCCTGTGCCCTGGGAGTTTGAGGTCAGTCAAGACTGAAGGGTGTTTGGTTGGTGTCTCCTGACTGAGGCTTGGAGAAGGTCAAGGTGTGTGGGTCACTCTTCCTCATTCTCATGCCCTGGCAGCTCGCGGAGGTCTCTGGGGGAGGCCCGGGCAGGGTCTCATAGGTCTGGGTTGCAGATCTACCCCTGCCTTTGGATCCCCTGCGGACTGAGCTGCCTGGCCAGCTGCACTTGCACGCTACGTGCCTCAGGGGCCAGAGGCCTCAGGCAGCACCCCTGGTCCCCTCATCTTGACATCACGCCCCCTCACTACCCTGCGTCTCCCAGTCTCCCCTTGTGCCAGCCCCTGATCTTGCACTGGGGAAACTGGACAAGGTCCCCACCATGGGGGCCTCTTGGGCTGGGAGGGCAGAGGTGTGAGAGGCAATGTCAGGGGGCCCCATGGAGCTCAAGGAGGGAGAGGCCAGTGTTTGGCTCCTCCTGGGTGAGCGGATAGGGAGTCAAGACCCTGCTTTCTCTGCATTTGTGCAGGGGTGGTGATAATAAAAGTGGGTTTGGCATTCAGAGTCCTTGAGGGTCTCTTGGTCACGTGGAACCTGGGGGACCAAACTCACAGAGGCAGAGGCCGGACAGGAGTCCAGAGCCTGACCGACCTGGCCTGGCTGGGCTCTGTCCTGAGGCTGGGACACCGTGGGCTCTCAGGGAAGCATCAGTCCCCTCTCAGTCCTGGCAGGAGCCTGTCTGTGCTGGCTCTGCAACCCCGGTCACTCCGAACTCCCACATGTCCATGGGGCTGGCAGGACTGTGGCGTTGTGTCTGGTGCAGACCCAGATTTCTGTCCCTCCCTTGGCGGAGTCCCGCCTGGCCTCACCGTGGCTTCCTGTGTCCACCGCTGCTTCCTTCTCACCCTTTCCCTCCTGGCCCACTGGCCGGCCATGGGGGGCTGATCATGGAAGGGCCCGTCTCACTGGGCCCTTGGGGCATCTCTGCATGTGTCACGGAAGGTTGGGTAGGGCAGGGCTAGGGAGCAGGCTGGTCAGGGCTCTGTGTGGGGCCGGCAGTCCTTAGGGCCACTTCCTGGGGGTTTTGTGAGCAGTTGCGGGCTGCAGTGAAGGAGATGGACACCTTGGTGTGCCAGGCCCCATCCTCCTTTCTCCTCCAGAGTCTGGGTGGTTCTGGGGCACCCCTGGCTCAGAGCAGGGGCCTGAGTGTCCATGTTCCCGCAGGTGGGTGACTTCATAGGCCTGGCCGAGGTGGGGGGCTGGACCTCCCCATGGGGCCCCTTGGCATTGCCTTCAGGGAGCTCCATCATCCGACCCTGCTTTGGGGCCCTCAGGCTCCTGTGGAGGCAGGCCTGGGTCTCTCCTAACTATTCAGGAGGGCCAATCTGGCCTGTCCTCAGATGGGGCTGAGATTTAGGGCCAGGGTGTTGGTTGGGGAAAGGGCAGGGTAACCTCAGAAGAGCTGAAATTCCAGCCTGGGCCACCTGAGCTGTAAGCTGACACTTGGCCTGGAGGCCGCTAGCGGGCCATGCTCCTGGGGCTGGAGGTGACAGGCCCGAGTCTTTGCCTGCCCCTGCGGGGAGGCGGGAAACAGATGTGCAGCAGGTACGGAGAGCCCACCCCGCCGAGGGCCCGTAGGGCCCATCTTCAACAACCTCTGCTGTTGGCATGCCCATTTTACAGAAGGGGAGACTGAGGCTCATCTAGGCTAAGGGGTTGCCTAGGGTCTCTCCGTCAGGGAGTGGTGGGTCTTGTGGGCCCAAGGGTGAGCAGAAGCCCATTCTCACCATGGCCGGCATCTCCTGGGTTGGGCATGGCTGCCCGCCCCACCCTAGTTCCTCAGGGCCCCTCACCCTCTGGGGCTTGTGGCCACTTCCTTCCTCTTCCTCCTACACTAACCACCTTCAGCTTCCCCCAAACCTTGACGCGCCGTGGTCCCTGCCACGTCCTCATCCCTGTCCCCGCCAGCGCTGCCCTTCTCCCTCCCCTGGGAGGCCAGGGGAAGCAGTACTTCCGGAGGTGGGGGCTGGAGGTGGGTGATCCAGGAAGCTCTGAGGGCCTGCTAGCTGCTTGCAACGGGGTTTCAGTTCCGGGCGGGGGGGTCCCCAGGCAGGTGGCATAGGGTTGCAGGGACGTTGCAGGGACCGGGAGCAGGCAGGCTCAGGACCAGCTCTCATCTGGGTGCTGGTTTACCCAGTGGGCTTCCTCATCGCAGGCCGAGCTCCTCCCTCCTCCCGGGCACCCTGCCTTTCCTTTGCACCATCCTGGATTCCCCACCGTGGAGCCCACGGGACCCTACCCCAAGCTCCCCCATTTAGAACGCCGTCCTTCCCTCCGCTGGGCTTCCTGGGGCGCCAGATTGGATGGTCCGGGTGTCCTCTGTTTTTCATCTAGACAGGTGACCTGATCACTCGGCCCCAGCCTGTGGCCTGCTCAGACCCTGCCGCGATTGGCCCTGCAGATTCCAAAGGGATGTGGGGATTTTGAGTTCCCCTCTCCAAGGGCCGGAGGTTCCCTGGCTGCCCAGGAGGGGGCTGGAGTCCTGAGGGCTCACCCCCGCCCCCACCACAGTCAGACTGGCATTTCCTGCCACCTTCTCTGCCTCCCCCGCCTGCCAGGCAGAGGCCGGAAGGGAGTTGGTGGGGGTTCCCCAGGCTTCCTGCTCTGGGGTCCAGGGAGCAGAAGCATCCTGGCACTGGTGAGCGTTCTGGAGGGAACTGTGCAGCTCAGGAACTTTGGTCAACAGGGTGTCCCTTCCCTCTTCCAGCAGACCCTCTGGGGTGTGAGTGTCCCTGGGGTCCTGAGTGGTGCCTGCATACACCTGGGGTGGCAATTCACCGTCTCGCGGAGCAGCCTGTGCCGTCACTGGGCAGCAGTCAGGACAAGAACATTCCTTACTTCAATGTTACTAAACCTGCCGCTTAGCCCCCGACACTCAGGATCTGCCATCTGGGGGCCCAGGGAGCTGCTCTGTGCCTGCCCTGGGTGCTGGCATTCCGGGGCATTCATCTCTGGTACAAGGCTTTTGCTCCCGGCCTCCAGGTATCTGCACTTTAGAGTCAGTTTTGTGCCAAGGGAGTGATCACTCCACCACTTCTTCTGTGCAGTCTTCCTGGATAGAAATCTAGTAGCTGTGAGAGGCGCCTTGGGGCTACTGGGCACTGCCCCTGCCGGGATCAGGGCCTGCTTTCTGCTCTTCCGTTTAGCCCTGGAGGTCCCTGAGTTCTTCCTGAGCTCCTCCTCGCCTGGGGTTCGGAGTCACACTGATTGCCTGTGGTCCCTAAGTGGGCACGGTGGGTGTAAGGGGTGTGAGGGTCTGGGATTGTGGGGCCCTGTATGGCTCAGGTTCTGAGGTTCCCAGATCCCGCCATTCAGTTTTGCCACTCAGGCCCCTCTGCCGCTCCCTTGTGTGGGGAGGGCTGTGTGTCTGCTGGCTCCCGGGTTGGGTCTGAGTGTCTGAGGCTGTCCCTGTGGTTTGGGGGTGAACCTGGAGGGCCACGGAAGTCAGTGAAGACCAGCTGGTAACAAGTGCCCCTGCAAGTCCAAAGTAGGATTTTTTTATTTTTTATTTTTTTTTTGAGGCAGAGTTTCGCTTTTGTCACCCAGGCTGGAGTGCGATGGCGCGATCTCTGCTTACTGCAACCTCCGCCTCCCAGGTTCAAGCGATTCTCCTGTCTCAGCCTCCCAAGTAGCTGGAATTACAGGCGTGCACCACCATGCCCAGCTAATTTTTGTATTTTTGGTAGAGATGGGGTTTTGCCATGTTGGCCAGGCTGGTCTTGAATTCCTGACCTCAGGTGATCCACCCACCTCAGCCTCCCAAAGTTGTGGGATTACAGGTGTGAGCCACCCTGCCCGGCCCCAAAGTAGGATGTTTTAAGAATAACGCCTATGGTAGCCACCACTTAATCAGGGGTGGGGACGGATAAATGACCTGGAAGAGACAGAGCCCACACACGGGGCCCTTTGCTGTGAGTAGAGGATGTCGAGGCATTTTTTGCCTCTTCTTTTTTAATGTCCTCTTCCTGGCCAAAAAGCATCTCTCTCTAGAGGATTCCAGAAAACACACCCAGCCTATTGTCACCCAGGCTCTGGGAAGGTGTCTGCTATGGACGGAGTCTGTGTAAACAGGAAGGGCTGGGAGCAGGGCCCAGGGGCAGCTGGCTTAAATAATTCAGCTCCTGAGGTGCCCTGGAAGGCTGTCCCAGAAACCCTCCAGTCCCCTCCTCCAACTCAGTGTCCCCCTGACTCCCCAGTCTTCCCAGATTACATCTGGAGCAGGGGGTGGGTGGAGAAGCTGAAAGAATCCAGGAGTGTCTTCTCCCATGGCCTTAAAATTCCCATCTTCTTCCCAGAGGCCAGGAAGAAAGGTGGGCGGCCTTCCCAGGGGTGCCTAGGGCCTCAGATCAGGCCATTCCAAGGCCCGGCTTCTGAATGCAGTGCTGAGGTTTGGGCTCCCTGCATGGCCCGGCCTCCTCCCAGGTGCTCCCAGGGCTACCTGGTGGAGATGGCTGCAAAGCCAATTTGTGCACAGTCATGCTTTCTTGTCCCTTCTGCCTTGAAGTCAGCACAGTGTTTCCCTGGATTGGCTTGGATAAGGAGGGCCCAGCCCTGGTCCAGGCTCAGTCTGTGTGGATTTGGGGCTGAGCAGAACTTGCTGCTGAGTACGCGTGCCTGTCTGCATTTCACAGATGAGGAAACTGAGGCTTGGTAAAGGAAGAAGCTGGCTCAGGTTTCCTCCGGCAGGGGTCAGCTGAAGGTGGGTGAGGTGGGGCTGTGATGAGGCAGCCATGTGGCATTCCCAGGGTCCCCGCAGTGCCCTGGTGGGCATGGTTGCCTGGCCTAGGGGCAGCTGCAGGTTTCTGGGAGTGTGCCTTTGGGGCAGTTCTCATCACACACCTTCTCTATGCCTCAGTTTCCCTGTCTGTCACAGGCTGGTGGTGGTAGCTTCTCCAAGAGTTGCAGGAATCAGTAACATCAGGTTATGCAGGTATTTCATAGACTCGTGAGCAGCCTGATTTTGTGTTTGTCTGTCTTGGACACACTCTTTTGCCTGCTTTGTCTTGTCAGCTCCTAGCTGTTCTCTCCCTGGCCTTCTGCACCTGGGGATTCTGGATGTGGAGACCTCTGGGCTGCATGTGTTTGATATCTACATGTGGGTCCTGCCTGTCCTCCTCCCAGGAGTTGAATGACCAATAGGGCTGGTTTGCAGTACCTGTCTTAGCCAGTAGGTGCCACCAACATCTGGTTCTGGAATTCCTTAAGTCTGCATTTTTAGTTCAATGAAATGGCTTATTCCCAATATTGTGAATGATGAAGGTTTCCAGTGGGTCAGACAAGGCTCATTTGCTGGTGGGGTCTGTACCCCGACTGCGATGGGGCACTAGTGGCAGCCAGGCCCCTGCAGTGCTGGCTGAATCTGAGCAGTGCTGGCTGAATCAGGGCAGTGCTGGCTTCCAGGCCTCCTTTCTGCACCTTCCTCCCTGGGAGAGGAAGCAAGAGGGGGTGTGTGGAGCAGGCCTGAGGCTGCTGGACAAGAATGGGCAAATGCTCCTGAGCAGAGGTGGGCACAGGGTGGCAGAACCTCTGTGTTCCTGCTGCCTCTGAGCTGGCCTTGGCCAGGTGCTGGGGGCAGCAGAGCTGTGTGAGGTAAGAAGAGTGCTGGCTTTGGATGGGGTCAGGAGTGGCCCGAGTTTCCACGCTGCCGAGTGGTGGTGGCATCCTAAAGCTCATGCCATGTCTTCCTGAGATGCAGGGTGCACAGGAGGCAGATGCCCATGAGAGGCCTGGCCCAGGGCTTCCTCCCGCTCTAGCCTGGCACCCAGCGAGTGAGCCAGTGCCCTGGACACAGCTGCTCTGAGGCTTGGGGAGGTGAAGTCTTCCTGGGGCTGGGGAGGGGTGGAGCCAGGGGTGTCCCCTGACCTGGGGCATGTGGGCTCAGTCATAGCCACTCTATGTGTTCATGGTCCTGCTCGACTCCCCAGAAGTGCCTGTGATTGCCACAGGTCAAGGCACGGAGGGCCTGAGAGCCATTCTGCAGATGGGAAGGCTGAGGCCCAGAGAGGGAGAGTGGCTTGCCCCGTGTGCCCAGCCCGTCGGAGATAGGGTGGGGGCAGGCAGGCAGTGCCTCCAGCTCCCGGCACTTGCTGCCGTCTGTGCTGCCTTGGGTGGGCTCCGACATTTCCCAGTGGTCTGCTCAGGCCCATGGGCAGTGGATTCGCCACCTGGGAGCCTCCCTTCTGCAGTGCCAGCCTCCAGGGTGCGGGGCAGGGGGGCACCTCCTGAAGTGTGGTTGGGGCTTTGAAATCTCTGATTTCAAAGGCGGGAGTGTGGGAGGTCCCAGCCTCTCCTGCGGCCCTATGGGCTGCCCTCTTGTTCCTGGCACACACCAAGGCCTTGCACAAAGCCACCCAGCAGCGTCCAGCCCACCGCCCACGTGAGAGGTGCCCCATTCCACCCATCTGGTCCCCTCAAACAGACCTCAGAGCATGGAGCTAGGGGCCTGAGCGTCCGGTGCCCGGGCGACCACTGCTGTGGCACCTGAGCAGGTCCAGGCAGTGTGGCCTGCTGGTTAGGGCCACAGACATGGGAGTGGGTCAGCAGGCGCCGCCAGTCCTGGCTTGGCCACAGGTGGCTCTGAGTACTCAGGGCCTGGCTTCCCGCATCTGTAAAATGGGAGAATCATGGTGCTCACTGCTGACCTCCCAAATCCACGAATTTACCCACGCTCAGAACTGACCAGGTCCTGGTACACGGCAGGTGCTCGGCGACATCAGCCTTTCTGCCTTTCATGATTATTCCCAGACCTTCACCTTGAGTCCCTGTGGAGATGGGCAGAGGGGCTGACTAGTCCCGGCCACCAGCCACTCCTCCCACTGCTTTCCCAGGTGGACGGGCCTGGAGTGCTGAGGGTTGGAGCGACCCAGGCGGGCATCCTGGGGCTCATTCACAGCGGGTTCTTCCTGCGTCTGCCGCAGGCCCAGCCTAAAGCCGGGGTCAGGCGCAGAACAGTACCTTGGAGGGGAGCTCTGGGCACACCTGGCCCGTAGTGAGTGTGAATTTGCGTCAGAGAGCTGTCGAGACCCACGGGGCCACCTTGAGGGTGCCGGGGTCTTCCCGCAGGTGCGTGCATCTGTAGCTGGGGGGAGCAGGCATTTGGTGGGGCCTGGAGTCACCTGCACTGACCACTCTCCTGCGGCTTCTTGTCTTGCAGATTTCTCCACCCAGGTGAACTCCTCCCTCACCTCCCCGACGGGGCGAGGCTCCATGGCTGCCCCCTCGCTGCACCCGTCCCTGGGGCCTGGCATCGGCTCCCCGGGACAGCTGCATTCTCCCATCAGCACCCTGAGCTCCCCCATCAACGGCATGGGCCCGCCTTTCTCGGTCATCAGCTCCCCCATGGGCCCCCACTCCATGTCGGTGCCCACCACACCCACCCTGGGCTTCAGCACTGGCAGCCCCCAGGTGAGTGCGGGGCTGGGGCAAGGGGAGGGGGTGGGGCCTGGGGTGGGGCTGTGGCTTCAACTGCAGGACGACCGCCTCATCTTGAGGCCTCTGGGAGGTAGGTGCTGTGGTCTCCCCGCTTGACGCAGAGTATACAGAGCCTCGGGGAGCAGAGTGCCGTGGGGGTTTGAGCCCAGGTGGGGCTGACTGCTGAGCCTGGGCCTTTGGATCATCAGCCGAGGTGACTTGCAGCTGGTTATCTGCCCACGTGGCCCCTTCCCATGCCGGAGGGCTCGGGACTCCCTGTTCCCATGACTGGGGGACTCAGCAGAGAGAGGCTGTGGCCTCCCTCAGGCCTAAGCCTGCTTCCCCAAAAGCTTGTGCCCACACAGCCTGGGTCCTCCCCTGAAGTCTCTGCTTACACCCAGGCCAAAGGGCCCCCAGGGAAGGCGTGTTCGGGCTCAGGGCAGCTGCGTCCCCTCTCAGGGATGCCGGCCCTGGGACCTGCAGTGGCCAGGTGTGGCAGCGGTGCTCTGTGGTCTCGGCTCCCCCACGGCTCTGTGGGCGCCTGGCCGTCTGTGGGGCGTGGGGACCTTTTCCACAGTTGAGGTTTGCTCAGTCGCTTCTCCAGCTCAGCCTGGCCCTTTGGGCTGTTTCTGGATCAGGAAGGGCTGGTGCCTGGCAGAGCCTGGCGCAGTCCAGGTCTTGTCATGGAGAACTTGGGGACCTGGTCCGTGCTCCCCTTCTTCCTTGGAGAAGACACCCCGAGTAGTGTCTCTTGTGGAGTTGTTCCCAGCCCTGGGGTGTCCGGTCTGTGAGGGTGGAGGGCGAGGCTGGGCCTCGTCCCCTGGCTCCCGGTGGTTGCTTGTGGATTTCCACCTGGCCGGCCGGAACCTCCCAGACTCCCACTAGGCCCTCCCTCTCCAGGGGCTCCTCACATGAGCAGGGGTGCTCCTTCCGCTCTGAATTTCTGTGTTTGGGTTTCACCCTGTGTTCCTAGTAGCTGAAGGCTCCATGGCAGAGTTTTGGTGCCATCTCAGGACAGCCCACCCGGGTGGGACTCGCCCTAGGAGCTCCTCTGCCCACACACAGCTGACAGCACCAGATGTGTCCTGTGGACTCCCAAACCCCCTGCTGCCCTGCCTCAGTTTACCTAGGGCAGGCACTAGGCCCAAGGGATTGCATGTGAGGGGGCCAGGAGGCAGCAGGTGGACACCTAGTCCCAAGCCCCCATGCCATCTCCCGGGTAGTCCAGGACTGCTCCTGACCTAGGACTGGGCTGTAGTTGGGGTCTGGAGCCGGCCTGCTGCCCATCCACCTGGCCCTGTTTAGAGCTGGCCTTGACCTCCCGAGCTCCTTTTCCCTGGAGAATCTTGCTGGCTTTCTGGGCCAACCCCATCAAAGCCCCTCTGCTTTGGGGGATGTGTGCAGAAGAACTGGGGCCTCTGCTCCGTGTCCCCCTCATATCACCTGGCCTTCCGAAAGCAGGCAGCAGGCCCAAGGTGCTGGCACGAGGGAGGCCTGGTCATGTTATTTTTAGCACACCAGCCCTGCCCCTGCTCTTGTTGGCAGCATGGTGCCCTGTGGCGAGAGGGCGATGAAGACTCGGCTTCCGCCTGTCCCTTGGCTGACTGGCTGGCACCTGCTGGGTCCCAGGGCCCCAGGATGCCCCTTGCTGGGTCCTCCCAGGTCTGCCGCCTGTCCTGGACACCCAGGGGTCTAGTGCACAGTAGGTTACCCCCTGCGGGTGGCAGTGGTGCTCCCAGAATCCTCAGGGATGCCTGGTGTCCTCCGCACTGTTGAGCTCTTCTCGGGGAGGGGATGGGCAGCACTAGGGGAGGAGGCTTTTCAGGGCTGCTTCTGGGCCATTCTCTGTTGCTTCCTGTGCAGCCAGGCTCCTGGCACAAAGTAGGGACTTGTTGAAGCCAAGTTGCTTGGGAGTGAGTGGTGCAGGTCCCCTTGACATTGGCGAGGTCCCCGGGGTGGGTGTGGGTGAGGAGCAGACGCGGGTTGCCCCAGACGTTCCCTGCCCGGCCGCTGTTGGCGTCGGTCTGCCGTTGGGCTGTGGGTCTCACCCGCAGTTAGTTTGCCGTGGTCTGAGGCCCATGCTTGACTTGGCCCTGGTTCCCCAGAACCCATAGCTCCTTCCCTGGGGGTTGAGTCCAGCTTTGAGGCCTCAGCAGTTTGTCTTGGAACCCTGGGGTTCCTCACATTCATGGGAGTGTGAGCAGGGTTTCAGGAGGGATGTGCCCCCACTCCTAGCCCCAAAACCACAACCGCAAAGTCAGAGTCGCTGGAGCCAGAGAGATTCTCTGACTTCTGCTGCTGTTGGGGAGGGCCAGGCACTCTGCCAAATGCTGCCTTCTGCCTTCTCAAGTCCATGGCCAGGAAGGGCCTTCCATGTGGCGGCGTCCAGGCCACTCGCCCCTCCTGGTGGGGGAATAGGAGTCTGGGGGGGCTTGGGTAGACCCAGGCCAGACCGCAGCTGCCTGGCCCCTGAGCTGTCCCAAATCTCTTCCCTGGTCTGCAGGCTGTACTCCCAGAGCAGGCCCGGGGGACATTCCCCACAGTGTCCCAGAGCCTTCCTGGCTGCAGCCGGCTCACCTGGGCGCGTTGCAGGTATTGGTGGAGTGAGTTGGTGCCAGCTTCCACACAGCACTTCTGAGTGCCCGGCATGGAGCTGGACTTGGTGTCAAGGCCTCTGAGCTCTAGCAAAGCCTCCTGGTGGGAGGGCCTGCCCAGGGCCTGTGGGGCTGTGATGTGTGCACAGGGAGTGTGGACGCGAGGCTGAGCGGGCTTCACGGGGTCGGAAGCAGGGCAGCACAGGCGCCTACCCGCCAGGGACTGAGGTCGGAGGGGAGTGTGCAGAGGAGCTGGTTTGCTCCTGCCTCGATGGACAGATGAGGTCCAGCAAGGTCCAGGGGCCTGCTCCTGGCGCAGAGTGGGCCTTTCCCAAGTCGGGGCTGGTGGAGAGACCCTTCAGGGGCTCAGGAAGGAAGGGTGTGGTGGGTGTGAGGAGAGAGCCAAGAGACGGGCAGGAGACCTGGGTGGGGCATCGAGGCGGCGGGAACTGAAATAAGTGCCAAGGATCTGAAAGGGGAAATGCGATGGCCCCCACCCTGGCCACGCGTGGAGTCCTGAGGCTCCAGCGAAGCAACAATGGCAGCCTGGCTCTCCTGGGAGCGGGAGCAGGGAGTGTGGGAGGAGACCCTGGATAGCTGGGGGGCTGTGGAGCCCACTGGGGGAGGGACAGACCAAGGCAGACCCCCGGGGCGGCCCTGTGCTGTGCTCCGGGGGCTGTGAGCCAACCCGAGGCCCAGCAGCCTGGGGCTGGAAGGGCGGAAGAACGCCCGCCTGGCCTCCCCATCCTGGCACAGCCTTGCTTCTGTAGCCTGGACCGTCCTCCAGGTGAGCCCAAAGAAGCAAGGTGGGTGGCCCCAGGGCCTGCAGCCTGGATGGGCACCTCAGCCCGGGCTCCACTCTTCTCAGATGTGCAGAGGCTCACCGGGCCCTGGGCTCACTGGGCTAGCCAGACCCTCTGATATCACTGAGGTCTGGGGGAGCCAGGGATGCAGGCTAAGTTCAGCGCGGGAGCTGGCTTGGCCCTGACACTGAGAGGGAGGGGGACCGTCTGCCATTCTGTCCTGCCTGGAGTCCCTTTCCCGGCCAGGGCTGCTCTGGTGCTCCCTCAGTTTACCCAGGGCAGGTGCTAGGCCCAAGGGACTGCACATGGAGGGCCGGGAGGCAGCAGGTGGATCCCTACCCACCCGAGGTGGTTTGGGACAGCCTAGAAAGAGGAAGTGCGTGAGTTCCTTTCCTTTGTGCTTCCGAGCAACCTGGACCTGCAGAGTCATGGCCTGTGCTCCTCCAGCCTCTGGCCCAAGGGGCTCCTGCTCACACGCCTCGGTGCCTCCCCAGTGCTAGGGCACAAAGCGAGGGTGCCCGACACTTCCTGCTTGTGGATGCCTTTGCTGCCCCTGCTCTGACCTGATCCCCGCCCTGGCTGTACCTACTTCTTTCCTTTTTTCAAACAAGCCCTTTGCTTCCCCACCTCTGAACACTGGCTTGGGGGCCCCTGTGCCTGGGACACCCCTTTCTTCCTCCCAGGCCCTGGCCCATCTCCTCCAGGAAGCTTGAGTGCTCACTGCAGCCACCGGCCTCCCTGTAAGACAGTGAGTTGTCTGCGAGCTCTGCTCTGAGCCCTGGCACATGGAGCGACTCAGTTACACTTAATCAGCTCTTAGAGGCACTGGCTGGGCATGGTGGCTCAACGCCTGTAATCCCAGCACTTTGGGAGGCCGAGGCGGGAGGATTGCTTGAGCCTAGGAGTTGGAGACAAGCCTGGGCAACATAGTTGAGACCCCACCACTAGAAAAAAAAAAAATAGCTGAGTGCAGTGGCATGGACTTGTAATCCCAGCTACTCAGGAGGCTGAAGCAGGAGGATCAATTGGGCCTGGAAGTTTGAGGCTGCAGTGACTGTGATTGTGCCACTGTCCTCCAGCCTGGGCAACAGAGTGAGACCCTGTTTCGGAAAAAAAAAAAAAAAAAAAAGAGAAAAGAAGTAGGCACTAACATGGTTCCAGTTTTGCCGACGAGGAAACTCAGGCTCACAGTGATTAAATCATTTTCCGAATGTCACACGAGAACGTAGGAGGCAGGCAGAATCCGGAGCCAGGGATCCGCCTCTGGGGCCTCCAGTGCCTCCAAGCGAGACAGCCACTAGACCAGCGAGCCCTGGAGGGCTGGGCAGGGCCTTGTCCCCTGGTGCCTCCCGGAGCCCAGCACGGGGCAGGGCCAGCTGGGCACTTAGTTTGGACGAGCTCTGTCCCTCCAGGGGCTTCACTTTCGCCTTCTGCAGCGTGGGGGATCATGTGTGACCTTGGCCAGCCCCTGACCTCCCTGAGCCGCAGCCTCTGCATCTGGGACACCCAGGGTTTCCCATGCAGGGAGTGTCAAGTGTGGGTGCAAAGCCCAGGCACCGCACCCCTCTGCAGACGTCTGGGGCTTTCTCTTGCCCCTTCAGTTCCCTCCCTTCTCTGAGAAGCGCACCTGCTGCCTGTGGACATGAACACTGGGCATTTGGTGAGTCACACAGTGGCCACCCGCTTCTCCAGTGGGAGCTTCATGGCACCCCCACTGTGCTGAGTTGTCACGGGGGACCTCCTGGCCTCTCGCAGCCCACCTGAGTCCTGCAGGGACCAAGCATCCTTGTAAAGCCTCACAGCCCACCTGGGCAGATCGAGGAAGAACCTAGAAGCCAGAACAAGCTGGGGCTGGAAGACTCATTCCAGGCACCGAGGTCCATGTGAAAGGAGGCTTTGCGGTGGTTTCTGCTTTGCTTGCATTGAGCCTCAAACTCTTCCTGTCCCGTGAGAAGGGGGGATGGGATTTGGAGGCCTGAGGAAGGAAGGAGGGGAGCTTCCTGCGCACAAGCGGCGGCAGGGGTTTGCAGAAGTGGAGGCTGGGGGCTGCCTGGCCAAGCGCTTACCGCCCTGCGCAGCCAGGCTGGCTGGCAGGCTGCAGCGGGAAGCGCCTGTGGGTCCTCGGCGCTGACTGCAGAGCTGGGTGGAGGCAGCGGAACCAAAACTGCTGTGTCACTGCACGCTGCAGCTGTTGCCAGGGTGACCGGGTGAGTTTCCCACGCTTGCCCGGGCGGCAGCGTGCGGGCCGGCGGGTGGGGCGGAGGGGTGTGCAGAGAGGCCAGTGGTGTCGTGCCACCCGATGCCCGGGGGTGTCCACTCCCCTCTCCTGGGTCACGTGACCAGGGCCCCTGCCCTGCGGTGTTGTGGGGTGTATGTGTGGTTCTTGGGGGGGTCCCCAGCCCTCCTCCGTCCTGGGAACTGGGCTTCGGCGTCCTCATGTGTGGGTTGGGACCCCCCAGAGTGCCTGCCTCATGGAGTGTCCGGGGGCACCCAGCGGGGCTGGGCACTGCCAGGGGCTCAGTAATGAGAGGCAGCTCTCATTTAGGTGGGCAGCGGGCAGGGGGTTGCAAGCAGGGACCGCCCATGTGTTGGGGGGGGTGTTGAAGGTCCTTTTCCACAGAGGCCTGGGGTCTGCTGCGGGCGAGTCCTGAGGTTGCCACAGCCTCTGCTGGCCTTGCTGAGCAAGCACAGTGGCCCCGCTGCTCCGGAGCAGCGTGGCGGGTGGGGGGCACGGCCCTCTCTAGCCTCGGTGTCTGTGTGTGAAGTTGGGGGTACAGCTGCGCCATCCTTGCTGCAGGGCCGTGGGGGACATAGGGACAAACCTGGTGTACACCCCGCTGACTGCTGTGGTTGCCCCCCCCAGCTCAGCTCACCTATGAACCCCGTCAGCAGCAGCGAGGACATCAAGCCCCCCCTGGGCCTCAATGGCGTCCTCAAGGTCCCCGCCCACCCCTCAGGAAACATGGCTTCCTTCACCAAGCACATCTGCGCCATCTGCGGGGACCGCTCCTCAGGTACCGCTGCTGTGGGGGCCAGGGGCTGGTGGGACAGGGTTGTCAGGCCATTGCAGGGTCTGGAGGCCTCCCCAAATCACCCTCCTGTGGGCCAAGCAGGACCCAAGGCCAGGGTGCAGGGAGGCAGGTGCCTGGGCCATGCCCCACTCCCAGGGCTCCGCGAGGCCATTCCAGGGTTCTCACGTCTGTGGGACAGTGAGTGTTGGGTGGGGTGGGGCACAGGGCAGCCTGAGGCTTCCGGAGAGGAGGTGGCTGCTGATGGCAAGGTCAGCATGGGGGCAGCCAGTGCTGCGCCTCCTCCCTTGGCTGGGTCTGGGCAAGGGGCCCGTGTTGTGCCACTGACCCCCAACGGCCTGAGAGGGAAGAACGGGCTGCACAGTGCAGACACAGAGCAGGTGACTTGCCTGGGGCCCTGGTCCCTGGTGGGCTGGGATTTGTCCCTGCCCCACTCCTAAGCTGTCCTCGGAGGAGCAGAGAGAGTGAGGCTGGGGCCCAGTCTGAGCCCAGGCAGGGGTCTGGAGACCAGCAGGTCCCTTTCTGAGGCCTGGCCCGCCAGCTGGTAGTGGCGGCGTTGGATGGGGGGTGGGCTCCCTGCCGGGGCGGTGGGTGCTCCCCAGCCCTGCTCTGCCCTGTCCCGCAGGCAAGCACTATGGAGTGTACAGCTGCGAGGGGTGCAAGGGCTTCTTCAAGCGGACGGTGCGCAAGGACCTGACCTACACCTGCCG
This sequence comes from Homo sapiens, assembly GCF_000001405.40. Classification (NCBI taxonomy): domain Eukaryota; kingdom Metazoa; phylum Chordata; class Mammalia; order Primates; family Hominidae; genus Homo; species Homo sapiens. The sequence continues at coordinate 134,409,025 of NC_000009.12, forward strand.
CGACAACAAGGACTGCCTGATTGACAAGCGGCAGCGGAACCGGTGCCAGTACTGCCGCTACCAGAAGTGCCTGGCCATGGGCATGAAGCGGGAAGGTAGGCCACGGCGTCGGGTGGGGGCGCGGGCAGGTGTTGGACAAACAGTGGGGCCCGGGCTTGTGCGTGGACACCCGAGATGGACAACAGGGAGTGAGTGGCCTGGACAGAAGCATGGCAAGGCCAAGGCAGGAGTGGGGGCGGGGCCCAGCGCGTGGGCACACGTGCGGCCCAGAGCGTGGGCACACATGGGTCCTGGGCGGCATGTTCTGGCTGGCGTTGGCTGTCCGGTGAGGGGATGGTCAAGGAGACCCTCAGGTGGCACTGCTTAGGTTGGAGAGGTGGAGCGGGGGCATCTTCTGAGCTGTTGGATGCCAGGGGTGGTCCCGGGCCAGCTTCCTCCCGAGGCCAACTCTGTGGCACCCCGCAGGGCCGCCGGATGGCCCCCAGGCTCTTGGAGCAGTTCCTCCTTTCCTTTTGTTTTTGTGCTCGTCTTATTAACAAATCTGTGTCGGGGCGGTTTGCAGGGAAGTCCCTCCCCCGATGTCACCAAAATTGTCAAGTCATCCAGCCAGACCTGGGTCGGAGTCCCGGGCCCCACAGGCACTGTGACTTCCCAGTCCTGGCTGGCTGTAGTCCTCAGTTTCCCCATCTGTCACATCCCCTTTCCCTCTCAGGTTTGGCGATTCCTGGCCTCTTAGTGGGTCCCTGGGTCATGGTTTGCACACACGTTTGGGGGTGTGCCTCAGTTCCTCCCATCGGGTCCCGTGCCCTGGGCCTTGTGGAGGTGGGAGGTGCTGTCTGGGGTGAAGATCTGTTGGTCTGTCCCTGTCCCCCCGCTCTGCAGGACACCCTTCCTCTGTCCTCTGCTGTGCTGCTCCTGAGGCCCAACACCTGTGTGGCTGGTGTGTCTTACTTCCTCCCCGCCAGCCCCTGGTGGGGTCCCCAAACAGGACCCACACCACTGTCTCACCGTCAGGGATGTCCTGAGTGGCCACCTTGGTGCTGCAGTTTCATTTCATCATCTCTCTTGTGTATGTCTTCTCAGCCTTAACGGTCCTGTTGAGAAATCAGAGCCTCTGCCAGGCGCCGTGCTCCTGGAGGGTGTCCTCCTTGGGCTGCGAGGCTGAGTGTGGTGTATGGGCTGGTGTGAGGTCCTTGTGCCTGCATAGCAGAGCTGCCTTCCAGAGCTGGTGTGGCCATGCCCAGTGCTGCCAGTCAGGCCTTTCTGATGGGGATTCGTGTTTCATGGAGTGCTGACGTTTGCTCAGGCCCACCCTGTGCTGTGCAGGTTGGGAAACCGAGGGCAGACGGTTCAAGCCTTGCGCAGGGTCACATGCTGGGCCCTGGCCCCCATCCAGACCTTGTTGCTTTCACCAGAGGGCAGAGGAGCATGTGCCCAGCCTGGAGAGGTGTGTGCCCAGCCTGGAGAGGTGTGTACCCAGCCTGGAGAGGTGTGGACCCAGTCTGGTTCTTCCGGGTGCCTGGTGTGGGCAGGGAGGCTTGCTGTGGTGGCAGGTGCAGCCTTGTCCCTGGAAGATGGAAACTGGGACAGGGGCAGGCATAGTAGGCAGTGGCCGGGGCCCCTGTGCCCAGGCGTGGAGACTGGCCTGTTCTGGGGTGGAGGCCCGAGGCGTGGCTGGAGCTGGGGGGGGAAGGCCTCGTGTGCAGCCTTAGCCTGGCAGTCTCTGTGAGGATGCCACAGCACAGAGAGCTTGGTTTAGCCGAGACCACTCTCAGATCCTGGGGGCTTCAGGGAGACCCCTGCGAGCTTGGGGGCAGATGAGAGCGCTGTGCATGGCTGATGCCTGGCCTGGGCCTGCAGCAGTAAGCTCGCTGTCCTTTGAAAGTGATCATCAGATAACCAGGGGGGGCCCAGGGGGCAGCCAGTGCAGGCTTAGGGGAAGCTCAGGCACTGTGGGAGCCCAGAGGAGGCACCTGACCCTGCCTCGGGCACCCGGTGAGACGCAGGCAGGCAGGAGGGCTGTTGACGCCTGAGGAATGAAAAGGTGTCGGCACCACAGGCCTGGCTGCAGGGAGCAGTGTCCGTGAAGTCTGAGGCTGTCATCACACCTGGCCCTCGGAAGTCGGTGATGGCCTTTCTGAGCCCCGTCCCGGACCCTCCAGGCTGCACTGACTCCTTCCTAAGGCCCTGCAGCCCAGTCATCCATGTGCCTGGGATCATCAGACTCCAGCTGCCTGGGCCCCCCAAAGCCTGGGGACGACACCCCATCCCATCCCAGTGGAACCGTGCAGTGTTGGGGCTGGGGGGACCTGGAATCACCTGGTCAGACCGCTCCCCTGGTGCCCATCGGTGACTGGGTCCTGTTAGGAGCAGCTCATGTGGGGGACCACCCTGGACACCCCCTTCCTGATCCCCACACATGGTCTCACTCGCCCCATACCTGTGAGACAGAGAAATGGGGTATAGAGAGGTGAGCCGTGGGGAGGTCTAAGGGCCAGCACCAGGCGTGGCCCCCATTTCTTGCCGGTCCTTCCTGCTTCCAGTCCTTCCTCTTGGCAGCGCATAAGCCCTGGAGACCAGACTTAGGGCCGTGAGAGAAACTGCTGCTGCTGTCAAGGGACCTCCTCCCCTTTGCCTCCAGCAGGATTCTGAGGCGTGAACTTGCAGTCAGAATGCTGCCGAGCGCTCTCGCCCCAAACACAGCTGCAGAACTCAGCCTCGGTGTGGAGGGCACCTCTGCGTGGGCGGTGAGGAGGCAGTGAGGCCCCCGTGCCAAACGTGCCCTGCTGCCAGTGCCTCTCCTTGTGCACAGGGGGAGTCTCTTGCCTCCCCCAGCCTGGCTGTGTGGGCTGCACAGCCAGGCCTGTGGAGCTCCTTACTCTTGGGCAGTAACGGGGCCCCTGGTGCAGCCCAGGCACTCGCCCTGCAGGGACCCCACGTGGAAACGGTGGCTGGGAGGGCTTGGCAGGCACCCTCCTCCCCGGCCTGCGTCTGGGTGCTGGGCAAGACCCCTTGGCTCCAGATGGGTCCTGAAGTGCAGAGCACTCCCCTCTCTCCTCTTGGGCAAACCACTGCAAGGCAGGCTCCCCGACAGCGGAGGGCAGGGCTGTTGGCTGCATGGGTGAGGCATTGCAGCAGCCCTGGAGAAAGCTATGGGGCCAAGTTGGCCAACACTAGGTGCCTGTGGCCCAGAGCATGCAGGATGGGAGCTGTCGGCTCTGGGGACTGAGCCCTCCTAAGTGTCAGGCCCCCTGGTGGGCAGCTCCGCCCACTGGCCTTGGTGTCAAGTGGTCCCTCGGCCCGGTTTGTGATCAGACCCCTAGAAACAGGCTGGAGCTGAGGCGTCGCATCCCAGTGCAGTGCTGCGAGGGAGTCGCCTGGGGTTGGTCCCAGGGCTGGCTGAAGGCAGGATGGCCCAGGTGCCCCCATGCGGTGACTCTGCCCCCGGCAAAGGCCCACTCTGGCTCTGGGGCAGATGGGTTCCCACCCCTATGCGGTAGGATACCACAGGCTGATAGCATCTCAGGTTGGGCAATGGGGCCTGCACGCGCAGGCAGCCACCAGGAGGGACTCGTTCCGCAGCATTCCCGGGACCAGGGGTGGGCAGAGGTGGGGGGACGTGCAGTGGTGGGTGTTGGCCCTCTGCCAAGCTGAGCCTGGGCCTGTTTGCTGAAGCCGGGGAGGGGGCAGGGGTTGGGGGTCCCGCAGGGACACGTGCTCTGATGGGGAAGACAGGCCTCACCCTTGGGGGTTCCCAGTCCGATGGAAAAGACCTAGCTTCCACCCAGGGTCGTCGGGGGAGACATTGGTCTAGAGGGGGCAGTGGCTGTCCCCCATTCTGCTTCCTCCTCCTCCCTCAGGAAGGCTGCTTCCCATTTCCTTCCTGCCTGCCTTTGCTTCCTGTGCCCACCCTCCAGCTCTGAAGGACTGGGTGTGGAAACAGCAGGGTCTGGCGTGTGTGCACCTATGTGTGCACGTGTGTGCATGTGCGTGCACTGCAGGGATGTGGCTGACCCACAGGTCTCTGCTGTGGGAAGGGAGCCCCGGCTGGGCTCGAGTGTGGCCCTCTTGCCTTCTGGCCTGTGAACTGGGCAAGTGACCTTGCCTCGCCCAGTCCTCAGGTTCCTCATCTGTGATGGGCTGGGGGCATCAGGAAGACCCCTGCGAGCTTGGGGGTGGATGAGAGTGCTGTGCGTGGCTGGTGGTGGGGTTGGAGAGCAGTGGTCACGTGTGGGTGTGGGTGTGGTATGTCTGTGTGGTGTATGGGTGTGCGTGTGGTGTGTGTGTGATATGTCTGTGGTGTGGTATGTGTGGTGTGGTATGTCTCTGTGTGTCTGTGTGTGTATGTCTGCATGGTTTGTGTGCACGTGTGTGTGCATGGTTCTCGTGTTCTGATGCCTTGCTCTAGGTTGAAGCCCTGGAGGGAAGGTAAGTCACTCCCTTTAGAGACTCTAGCTTGCTGTGTGGCCTCTGGCGCTGCTCTCTGGGTCTCTGTCTCCCCACCCTTAAGAGGAGGCCAGAATGGTTTGGTGGAGTTCGGTCCTGCCTGTCTTGGGCCCAGCCCTGGGCTGCACAAGGGACGGAGGAAGGACTCAGCCATTGCCACTACCCAAGCCAGAGGAGCCAGTGGGCCTGGGGATGCCCCTCGGCTCCGACATGCCTGCCTCGGAGCTGTCTGCCCTTCCCCAGACCCCCTCCCTCCTGCTTGACCCTGAGGGGCTGTGGCAGGTCGGAGATGTCCTTTGCTTCTGAGGGGCTGCTGCACCCTGAGTCCTAGGCCAGCTTGTCTCTGGGGGCCTGGGACCCCAGTGATGCTGGGGAGGGTCCGCCTGGGCAGGAGTCTCAGGTCTTCCTGGGAGGACTGGGCTGCGGTGTGTGAGTCTCCTCTGCCTCTGAGCAGCCTCCCCCGTGCCTCCACTCTGCCTCCTCCAGCCGCCACGCTCTGGTCTGGAGGGTAAAGAGGCTCTGTGTTTACAGACACCTCCCGCCCGGCCTCCGGCGCCAGCGGAACATGAGTCAAGCATGACTTCGTCTAGAAGGTGATTGTGCTGGCAAAGCATAAATCCCGGCCCCTCCTGCCCCCCAGCCTATAAATAAAGCGATCATATTTATAATGATGCTGGGCAGAGCTGCCAGGCCCTTCACAGCTTCAAAGTGCTTCACAAAACACTCGCTAATTAATTCTCGGCTGCCCTGGCGGAGGAGGCAGGTGCCAAGGAGCCCAGCTCCAGGCACCTGGGGAGAACTGGCAGCAAGGCCCCTCGCTCAGGGCCACCCTTGTCTGGGGCTCCCCATGCCCTGGGGCTACCTCTGAGCAGGAGAAAATCCCTGGCACCGGGCCGGGCTGGCGCGTGGGGTGGGAGGCTCCGGTGACAGCTCTGAGCACCTCCAGGCCCCCCGTGTGCTGGCGCTTCCTCTTGGAGCCATCCTGGGGGTGGGCGCTGTCATTTTCATCTTACGGATGAGGGAGCCGAGGCACAGAGAGGTCAGGGGACTTGGCCGGGGCCACACGGCTGCTTGGGCTGTGGCAGGCTAGCAGGCTCTGTGGGGCTGGGGTTGTCGGATCCCAGGGCCTGCAGCTTTAGGCTGCTCACTGTCTTGAGCGCTCAGCCCTGCCCCTTTGGCTCTCAGAGCCTCAGCTTCCCCACTGGGAAGACAGCAGTGCCAGCTATGTCTTGGCACTGAGACTTTAGAATTCTGCCCTTGCTGCCCATCCTTAGGGTCTCAGGGACCTGGGCCAGTGGAGGTGCCGTACCCCTCAGCTCAGATGCTGGCTGAGATCTGCGTGTGCGGGGGCTTCCTGCCCCGGGGGCTGCTCAGCGTGGGTGGGGTCGGCTCTATAGGCTCAGGACCCTGTATGGAGGGTCGTGTCAGTAGTGACCCCGCCCCGGATGAGCACCGCCCTCTGGAGGGCTCATGGAAGTCCCATGTGGGGGCTGACCGGAGCCTTCTGCAGCCTCTGCCAGACCCTTGCCATTTGCCCACCAGCCCTGCTCCCCATCCTGCCCCCACCCACCATCAGGTTTCCAGTAGGGCCAGGCCTGTGCATGCCGACTGCGGGGTCCCTGGCTGGCTCCTCTGCCTGGTTGGTGTATCCTGAAGCTGGGGATGGGCCTCCCCGCCTGAGTCTCCCTGTGTGGGCGGAAGTCCCTCGCTCAAGCCAGTGGGCCATGCAGGAAACTGTTGGCACAGGGTGGCTGAGAGGCATCCACGTGGGGCTGTTACAGAGCTGTGGCGGCATGAAGGGAATCAGGGCAGGACTGGGGACCCTGGGCCCGGGGGTGTGAAGGGAGGGGCTTGCAGAGCCCCGAGACGGCTGCTCAGTGGGAGCTGTAGCTTCAGGAGAAAGTGGCGGCTGACACCGTGGCGGGTAGGGGCAGGGAGGGTGCCACAGGCACAGATATGTTCTCCCACCGTTTGCCAAACCCATCTGGAAGCCAGAGGGTGGGAGGGTGGGATGGGACATGGTCAGTCCATGGGTGGCTGGTGCCTGTGAGTACCCCAGGTGTTCTGCCCACCATCGAGACATCCTAGAGGGGCTGGGATGAGCCCCGCCACAGGCCCAGAGAGGTGGCAGCTTCAGGAACCCCTCTGCCAGGCCATACCCTTGGGCCCTTAGGAGGGCACCATCCTAGGCCTCAGACCAGGAGGAGAAGGGGCCTGGGTCAGGGACTACCCAGCCCAGCACACTGGCAGGAGGGCACAAGGGAGGGAGGAACTGGCCCCAGGTCCATGTCTGAGCTCGGAGGAGATACGGTGGGAAGGGCATTTCCAGGGCGAGAGTGGAGAGGCCTTGACTGGAGTAGGGGCGTGGAGCTGTGCTGGACAGAGGTGGCCGCAGGACCCCATGGTCGCTGTTGCTTTTCTGGCTCTGCGGTTTACTCACTTAGACCAGTCATTTTCTCTCTCAGCCATAGTTTTCTCACCGGTACAATGGGGTAATGTGAGTGCCCGCCCTGTGGGGCGGTGTTGGGGTTGTTGGGTGGTGGATGGAACAGAAGGAGGTGGTGGGGTTGGGGACCAGAGCCCCAGCTCAGGACTTTCAGGGAAGGGGACGTGTCTCGGGGGAACCGCCCATAAGCCAAGTGGACTCTTCTATCCAAATTCCATCTGGGTCCTAGCCTGTCCCCCGGCACTTGGGATCCCCAGATAGGCTGACAGAGGGGCTGAGGTGGCTTCCTCAGTGTTCAAAGTGGACAGTCGAGGAAGGCAAATCCAGGTGGAGGTAAGCTGGGGGCGGGAGGAGCCTCATGCGCCTGGGCAGCCAGGGCTCATGCCTCAGGCCCCTTTGCTGAGCGCCCACCCCCAGGGCTGATGAGAGTCAGCTGACCGGAGCCCATGCCTGGTGCAGATCCTGCTGCCTGCAAGCATCGCTCTATTTTGTCATAATGCTCGGCTTCTGGTTCCCCCCGAGTGGCTGCTTCCTGGGACAGATTGAAAGGCATCTCGGTGCCCTGCATGGGGCATGGTCGGTGGAGCTGGGTGGGCCGTCTCTGTGTGGCCAGGGTGGGGCCGGGCGCCTGCCCTCCATTTCTGGCAGGGCCCAGTGTCCTTGGGAGGGGCGTGGGGTCTGCAGGTGCACGGTTTCCTGATTGCCCAGGTGTCTCTGAGCCTGTCCCTCCCCCGCCCCCCGCCGCAGGTTCCCCTTGCCCAGGCCCTCAGCCAGCACGGGTGCCCCTGTGCTGCCTCATGAGCGTGCTCTGCTCTGCTTCTGGGCCTTTGCAGGGATCGTGTCTCCAGCCTGAGCCATGATTCCTCTGCAACCTCCTCTTCCAGTCACATTGACACCTCTTCCAGGAAGGCTTCCTGGTTCTCCCTGAGTCCATAGACCGTCAGGACCTTTCTCGCCCCATGTTGGGGTCCCTGCTGCACTGTCTCCTTCCAGGCCCCAGGCAGGCTCCTGGTGTGAACATTGATTGGAATTAATGAGAGTTGGCCTCTGTTCTCAGAGCACACAACCACACGGAGGCCAGGCCTGGGGCAGAGATGGGGTCTCCATCACCCAGTGCTGGTGGGGATGCTGGTGTTGTGGGTGAGTTGGCTGGGAGCTGGCACCACCCGGCCAGGACAGCCTTCCCTGGGAGCCACTGGCCGGGCTGAGCGTGGGGCTCACCTGCGCCTCCCGGGTTGTAGCCGTGCAGGAGGAGCGGCAGCGTGGCAAGGACCGGAACGAGAATGAGGTGGAGTCGACCAGCAGCGCCAACGAGGACATGCCGGTGGAGAGGATCCTGGAGGCTGAGCTGGCCGTGGAGCCCAAGACCGAGACCTACGTGGAGGCAAACATGGGGCTGAACCCCAGCTCGGTGAGTTGCAGCCTGTGCAGGGGTGGGCAGCCTCACATGCCTCAGTTTCCCTCACTCACTCACCCTCCCACCTGAGCAGCTGATGAGCCAGAGAGGTCCTGGGGGCTGCCCTGGGCCCTGTGGCTGCCTCAGCTCGGCCTCTTACCTGAGGTGACCCCGTGGGCCCCTCGCCCCAGCTGGGCGGCACTCTCCTCTCCTGGCCCATGCACGAGTAGCCCATGGGGCAGGGGCCAGGGGCCAGGGGCCCGGGGCCTGGGGCCCTGCGGCCACATCATCATCCTCGGCCACCTCTGCTGGGGCCTCAGCCGCCGTGTCCCCTCGGAGTTTGGCCTGTCTCGGTGCAGAGGCTGTCCCTGCTCCCCGGTGCCACTTGGAAAAGGTATGGGAGGAGGCCGAGCCCCCAGCAAGAGGCTCTGCAGGTTGGTTCCAGGGCTGGCTCTGCCAGCAGCCGTGTGGCCCTGGGCAGGTGCCCGGCAGTCGCGGTGGCTGCTGTTGATACAGGAAGCAGCTCTGCAGCCCCCCAGCTGGTCACCCCCATGCTGACCCTCCTGCCCCCTCCCACCCCAACAGCCTCAAGGGGAGGAGGATTGGGTGGGCCGCAGCCCTGGTCCCGGGCTCTTCTCCTGGGCTGGCTCCAGCTGGTCCTGGAGGTGTTGGATTCAAGACCCCCTGGCCTCGCCCTCCTCTCCTTGGACCCTCCCTGTTACTGGCTCGCTCCCTGTGGCATCTTTGCTTCTGGCTGTGGCCTTGCCAGGGAGGGCAGCACAGGGGCGTTCTGAGCCCCTCCTACCCTACCCTAAGGCCTAGGAACCTGTGCTGCTCGGGAACCATTGCTCCCTGGTGAGCTTGTCTGGCTGGGAGACCCCACCTGTCCCAGGCCCCACTGAGGGGGTGGCTCCAGCTGTGCCCGGGGTTGGGCAGGTGAGCTCCTGGCCACCCGTGTGAAGGTTCAGGACTGTGCAGTAAGCTTCCTGCTGCTGGGGACCTGGGTCCAGCTGGCCCTCAGGGCCCATGTGTCTTTTGCCATGGTCACCATGGTGTCCAGTCTTCATCTGTGTCTCCGTGTGGGTTTGGGGCTGGGACCAGAGCCCTGTGGCCACCGAAGACCTTATACAGGCCGACCATGAGGTTGCCCCAACCTCTGTCCCTCTGTGGGCCCAGGCACACCAGCCTGCCCTCCGTGCTGGGTGCGCCCTGCAGGTCACTGTCTCCCCACCCCCCAGGGCCTTCGTGCTTGCAGCTCACGTGGCCTGGAACTGGGCCCTCTGGCTCTTCCCCAGGCTTTGGTCTCAGCTGAGGTACCTCCGGCCTTCATCTGTGCCCCTGCCAGGGTGGGGACTGCCCCTGTGATGTGGGCTGAGAGCACCTGATCTTTTCTCTGTGGCCCCTGGCACTGGCCACCACAGGGTGAGGTGTGTTCACAGGGTAAGGTGTGTGGTGGGTTAATTTCTGCCCCCACGAGGCTGCTGGTGATGGCTGTGCTGCTCCTCACCACCAGCTTCGGTCAAGGACAGCGACCCCACCCTGCTCGTTGGCACTCACACAAGGCCGGCATCCCCACTGCCTCTGCCTGTCTGAGGGTGGGGGTCTGCTCTTGTCTGAGGCCCCGTGGCTGGGTCAGGGCCACCCTGCTTCCCTGCCCTTTCTGGATAGGACAACCTGGTGCCCCCACGTCCCCGGCTCTGCTCAGACCTCTACTCTGGCTGGGGGCTGGGGCTGCCCAGCTTGGGGGAAGATGAATGGGACCCCGACAGCAGGCACCGTTCTTTCCGGAGAAACCCTCCCCTTGAGTGACAGGCACAGACCCACCCCCAGCCCTGGCTGGTCTGCACGCATGCCCTGCCCTGCTCCCGCCTCACCAGCCTCGCGGAGGGCAGGGGAGGGAGGGTGGCTGTGAGGGTTTCATGATCCAGCAGAAAATCCAAAAGCAAGTTTGGCAGATGCACAAAGGGCTGCCAAGTTTTTATTTCGTGAAGGACATTATTTGGGGGGGAATCTGCCATCTGCTGTCTCCGCCACTGCCTGAAAGTTCAGGGAGTTTAGAACCACAGAGGCAGGCAGGGCTCGCTGGGGATAAAGGACACGTCTTCCACGGGGAGGGGGTCTCTCTGTGCCCGCTCACTCCCTGCTCTGTCTCATCTCACACTGAACGCTCCTCTGTGGACTGGCCTGGGTCCAACTTCCAGAACCGCTCACTGGGCCCCTTCTCTCAGATGGGCAAACTGAGGTCCAGAGAGGGGGCGACCTGCCCAGCGTCACGGTCCTGGTGCCTGGTTTCTCCCCAGCGCGGGGCAGGGCCTGGGCGGGTCCTGTGGACACTTCTAGGCAGGAGTAGAGCCCATCACACGCCTACTGTTACATGAGGCACGTTGGATCTCCAGGCGAGAATGGGAGGCTCACAGAGGTTAATCCTTTCCCCAGGCCACACAGGGAGGTGGAGCCAGGATCCTGCACTATCCCTCCCTACCTAGGGGACCCCCTCCAGGCCTAGCCCTGCTGGTACTGGAGCGAGAGCCTCACACCTGCCGGGAGTGTGCCTCCTCCTCCGCTCCGGCCTCCTGGCTCTCCAGCCTGCCACATTCTGCTCCCTGTGGCCGGCTGTGCACACTGCAGGCACATGACAGATGGTGACCCGTGTGCCCACTCCTGCAGAGGTCCCAGCCAGCCCAGGAGGGCTTGAGGCTCTCCTTCCTACCCATGGCACCAGCCTGTCACCTGGGCCTGCTCTGGGCCCCGTCTTGGCTTCCGAGAGTGGCCGGCTAGTGGCTGGGAAGTTCCTGGGTACAAGGATCCCCAGCAGAGCCACTGCTGCAGACACGGTGCTCGGGGCTGGTTCCCATATCCCCCCGCCCCTGCCAGGCCTGCTTCATCCTTTCTCAGGGATACCCTGCAGCCGATGGGCAGGCGAGAAGGATGGGCCCCTTTCAGCCCCCAGCGTGACAGAAGGAGAGGCTGAGGCTAAGAAGCCAGCCTGGCTGTGGCAGGCCTGGGGGGCGCTGTGCACAGATCCGGGAGCCCTGTGAGTGCTGGGGGCTGTGGCTGCTGCTGATGGAAGGTTTGTGGAGGAATGAGTGAGTCTGTGTAGACTGTGGTCAACCCCACTCAGCCGAGGGATCCCACCCCTGTGTATACCCCTTCTGGCTCGGGCCCCCAAGGGCTGCCCTGCCCTCTTCCGAGGGTCCTGGCGAGTCTCTGTGCCATTCCTCGGGGGCCTTCTCACTCCGCCCTCAGAGGCCTTTCCCGCCGGGCGCTGCGTTTAGGCTGCACGTCTCTGATGAGCAGATGGTTGCTGTTGGTGGAAGCTCTTCAAAGGGAGGCATTTTTCTCCTTGGCAGATGCCCTGAAGTGAGGGATCCCCGAATCCTATTCACAGTCGTTATTCCTGCAGCGGCACCACTGAGGGGGCCGTCATCTGAGTTCCCATTGCTCAGGACACAGAAGGTCCGTGACCCAAGCCCCACCTGCCAGGAGCTGAGGAGGGGCCTCCCCTCCTGCCCTGTTCAAGGCTGCCTGGGTCCCCTCATCTGTGAGACTGAATGGCCCCCTTCCGGCTAGGACTTTCCAAAGGAGCCGTGAATGCTGCTCTCTCTGTGCCTGGGGCCTGGTATCTCAGCCGAGGCTCCTGCCCTCCTGAGCTCCCACATCCATGCCTGATGGAACGTGAGAGGCCAGCCCTGTCCCCAGCGTGGGCCACCTTGGCCATCAGAGATGAAGGTGGTTGGTCCCACCCTGCTCCAGTGCTGCCCATATCCAGTTTCGTCAGCTCGCCGCACCTGCCTTCCAGAGCTGTGGGAGAGACTCGTGCGTCCTGCTGTAACCCAGTGGCTGGAAACAACACACATTTTATTATATGACTGTTCTGTGGCCAGAGAGCCAAAAGCAGTCTTGCCGGGCTGACATCAAGGTGCCTGCCGGCTGGCTCCTGGAGGCTCTGCTGGGGAGTCTGCCCTGGCCTCTGCTTCTGGCACATTCCTTGGCTTGTGGCCTCTTCCTCCACCTTCAAACCCAGCAGTGTCTCTCTCCCCTTGGGCCCCAGCGTCTGTGATCTCATCTCTTCCTCTGACCCTCCTGCCTCCCTCTCATAGACCCCTTGCAATGACCCTGGGTCCCCCCAGTGGTGCAGGCTTACCTCCCAATATCAGGCCACACCTAATCACCTCTGCCAAGCCCCATGTGCCATGCAAGGTCGCATAGTCCCAGGTTCTGGGGATTGGGGCCTGGGCATCTTTGGGGGCCGTATTCAGCGTCCTGCATGGGCCCAGCGTGTGGCAGGGCCTGGTCTGGGCTGTGTTTGGTCAGTACACTGGCTTCTGGGACTGAATGTCCTGCTCTTCTTCCTCCACTGCAGCCGAACGACCCTGTCACCAACATTTGCCAAGCAGCCGACAAACAGCTTTTCACCCTGGTGGAGTGGGCCAAGCGGATCCCACACTTCTCAGAGCTGCCCCTGGACGACCAGGTCATCCTGCTGCGGGCAGGTGAGTGGCGAGGCCTAGGTGGGGATGGGGATGCCATGCAGATGGGACACGTACCAGGACACTCCCCCCTCCCGGGATACTCCGCACTCCCGGGACACTCCCCTGTCCTGGGACACTCCCCCCTCCCAGGACCCACTCCTACCTCCCGGGACACTCCCCTCTCCTGGGACACACTCCTACCTCCCGGGACACTCCCCCTTCCCGGAACACACTCCCCCCTCCCTGGATGCTCCCATCTCCCAGGACGCTCCCCTCTCCCAGGACGCTCCCCTCTCCCAGGACACTCCCGACTCCTGGGACACACTTCTACCTCCCGGGACACTCCCCACTCCTGGGACACACTTCCCCCTCCTGGGACACACTTCCCCCTCCTGGGACACACTTCCCCCTCCAGGGACACACTTCCCCCTCCTGGGACATACTCCCCACTCCTGGGATGCTCCCATCTCCCAGGACGCTCCCCGCTCCCAGGACACACTCCTACTTCCTGGGACGCTCCCCTTTCCCGGGACACTCCCCACTCCTGGGACACTACCCCCTCCCGGGACACACTCCCCGCTACCGGGACACTCCCCCCTCCCGGGACACTCCCCCGTCCCGTGACATTCCACTCTCCCTGGACGCTCCCCTCTCCCTAGACACTCCCTACTCCCGGGACACACTCCCTGCTACCGGGACACTCCCCCCTCCCAGGACACTCCCCTCTCCCGGGACACTCCCCCCTTCCGGGACACTCCCCCCTCCTGGGACAGTCCCCACTCCCGGGACACTCCCCTCTCCCGGGACACTCCCCGCTCCCAGGACGCTCCCCACTCCCGGGACACTCCCCTCTCCCCGGACACTCCCCACTCCCCGGACACTCCCCACTCCCGGGACACTCCCCCGTCCTGGGACCTCCTATGTACTCTATGGGACTGTTGGGGGAAGGGCCTGGGGCCTCAGTTTCCCTCCATCCCTCATAAGGAGGTGTACCATGCGGGGTCTCTCAGTGGCCTTCAGAGAGGTAATGGGCTGTCGGTGGAGGTTTGGGGGCTCTGGAGAGGGAGGCTGGCTGTGTTCCAGGGGCTGCCCAGGAGAGCCACGTGCTCTCTGCCCTTCTCCTCCCACTCCAAGGCCGCAGCTCTCTTTCCATGCGGTAATGGTGGTGCACAGAGCCACTGCACAGAAATGCCTGCTCCACGCGCATCACACTCCCCGTGATGCCATGCGGCGGCCAGGACGGTGGCTGGGAGCTCAGCTTTGGGGTTTTGGGGTCAGGTTGGCAGTGGAAGCCTGGATGGGGCAGGCCCCCCGCAAAGCTGGTCCCCCACCTGGAAAGGGGGTGTGAGGGGCGTGCTGACTGGGGCTGGTTCTTGCCGAGTCAGCCGGGGTAGCTGTGAGGCCAGGCTGTTAGTGGAGTTTCCTGCTGGTGAAGCAACACGTTGGGTGCCCAGGTCTGCCCTCACTGCCCGACGATGGTGCTGGTCACTGTCCCATGTCCCCCTGGGCCCAAGAAGCCAAGCTCCCTTAGGGCCGGGTGTCCCAGCTGCCTAGAGGCCCGCTACCGCACTGTGGGCTCCGCCGCCTCAGCCCGACTGGGGAGCCTCAGCCCATACAAGGCGGCTCCTAAGTGGCAAGTGGAGAAGACACAGCCAGAGACGGGCTCCCTGTGAAGCAGGGAATGTTCTGGAAGTTGCTTGGGTCAGGGCTGTGACCACACAGGCTGTGTGTATAGGGCCTGGCGCCGTCGCCACCCTCCTGGAAGGACTCTTCTGGCCATACTGGGCCCCGCCGGAGGAGCCAGGATAATCTCCCATCTCAAAGTCCTTGACTTAATCCCGCTGGCCTCGTGTCTGGTGGGTCCTTGCCCCTCTGGGCCTGAGGCATGTGGCTGTCTGCCGTTGCGGGCTCAGACTTCTTTCAGGGTATGGTGAGTATTCCGCCTGCCAAGGGAACCCTGCCCTTGTTTGCAGGGGCTCCCCCAGAACCCTCGGTTCAGAGCCCCTGGCTTTGCCAGCTGCAGGCCTGCCTGACCCCAGTGGTCCTTGGAGAGATAGCCAAGGCTTTTGCTGAGAGAGGGCGGTGCTCCCACCCCACCCCAACCCACCAGACCGATCCAGAGAACAGCTGGCCGCACGCAGCTCTTTTCCTGGGGATCCCAGATGGTTGTGCGCTGGGGGCCTGGCGGAGGTCCGAGTCGGGTTGGATGGCTGTGTCCGTCGCCATGTTTGTGTGGTGCCTGGCCCTGTGGTCCCATGTTCTGGCAGCTTCTGGCTCCAGCCTCAGCCTGTGTGGGGTGTTCGTGGTGGAGTGCGGTGCTGAGGGCCTGCGTGGGGTGGTCGTGGTGGAGTGCAGTGCTGAGGTTAGAGGGTTTCTGTGGCTGTCCCTCTTAGGTGGGCACCTGCCTGTGGTCTCCCTGCAGCTGTCAGGTGGGGGCTCCCCGCAAGGCCCTTCCCTTAGCCCAGAGCCCTGGTGCCATGAGTCCCCAGGCCCTTCTAGGATGCCTGGAAAGCCATCCCGTGGCATCTCTGCGAGGGTGGCCTCTGCTCCTGCCCAGCGGCTCTTTCCGGGAGATCTCTGCGGCTGCATGTCTCTGAGTGGGACTCCCAGCCTGACCTCCCCCTGGGCGCCCACTGAGGTCCTTGCTGACCTGTCTCCAGTGGGCCCTGCTCATGCATGCTTCTGGCTTCGAGGGCCGCATGGTGAGGTCTGAAGCTGCATTTCCGGCATGAGTCCCAGCCCCACTACCCACGAGCAGCTGACCTTGGCTGAGTCACTTACTCTCTGTGCCTCAGTGTCCTTGTGTGTTCTGTCTGCCGGGGCCAGCAGCTCACCCATCAGGTGGTCTCCCCAAGCCCCAGTAAGGTCCACTGAAGCACACGTCCAATTCAGATGTGGAACACTGGAGTTTGAAGCCTGCACTGGCCAGGTGGCTGGAGAGGACCTGGGTTAACTCCAAGGATACACTGTGCCTGGCTGGTGTTGGCTGAAGGACTCTGTCCCCCTCCAGGGGGCTCAGGTCAGGATCCATGGCTGTAGCCTGACTGGGGACCAGGGGTGATCCTGCTGGGTTTTCTTCTGGCAGGAGGCAGTGGCAGAGGTGAGGCCCCGCCCAGCTCCGGCAGGTGCCAGGGCCACTGAGTGCTCCCCCATTATGTCCCTGTGCTAGGCCCTCCCACTGTGTTCCCAGTGCTGGTGGGGGAGGTCACTTCCGCTGGGCGACAGCAACGATGGGAATGGGTGCCCAGACCTGCAATTCCCACCATCGTGAGAGCCATTGGCCATGCAGGTTCAAGGCCCAAGGTCTCTGCTCACTCCGGGGAGTGTCCACCTGTGGCTCGCGGTGACACTGAGTGGGGGTGCAGTGGCCACAGCCCTGCAGGGGCCCAGAAACTGGTGGAGGATTCCAGCCAGGCTGTGGGAGGTTGATGTCACACGTGTCTGCTCCTGTGGGGTAGGGCCCCTTCCTTGGGGTGGGCTGCTGCCCTACCCGTCCAGGAGGCCTTCAGAAATAAAGCATTAAAATGAAGAGTTTTGGCTTGTTCCATGGAAGCTCTGGGTCACACCCTGACCCTTGTGTTTGTCAGATGAGTAAACTGAGACAGGGCCGGGTCGCTCACAGCTTTCAGGTTTCTCCGTCCAACCTCCTTCCCACCTGCCCCCTTCATCCCAGGCTGTTGCTTTCCAAGGCCGTGTTAGCTGCTCCAGCGGGGTCGTCTGAGGGCCTGGGTTGCACAGGCACCTCCTGCGTGGCGGCAGGGTGGGGGGTGGGGGGGGGTGAGGGGGGTGGGGGGAATGGAAGTGGGCGGGCCTTGCTGGGCTGGGAGGGAGGGAGGGAGGGGCCAGGCTTAGGTAGCAGGCCCAAGGTCCCCCTGTGGGGACAGCACACCACTTTACTCCCCTGGTCTTGTTAATCCTGCCCACATCTCTGGCCCCAGAACACAGGGTAAGCCAGGCTGGGCTCTTGTCACTGCCGCCCTGGGACGGGATCCCCATCACAAGCCCCATGGGGACAGCAGCCGTGACTCTGGGGGGGCCCTGCCCTGCCTTGTGAGTGTGGACTCATTTAACTCTCCAGACCACCAGGAGTCGGTGTTATTACTGTCCCTTGTGCTGCGGAAGTGGTGGCTCAGAGGTGAGACAGGAACGTGGCTGAGCCAGGTTGGAGCCCGAGGCCCCAGCTTCCCCACCTGACCCTTGACTCTGTGCTGTTCCTTCCGGAAGCGCTGTCCAGGGGTCCTGCAACCCCAGCAGAGGCCCTGAGCGTTTGGGCAGGGCCACGAGGGATCTGCAGGAGTAAGTTCCTTGGGAAGGGCCAGCCTCTTGAGTTGGAGGACATAGTGACCAAGGGAGCAGCCCCAGGCAAGACTCTTTGTCCTGCGCTTGGAGCCTGGAGTAAGACCTGGTATCCTCTGCATCACTGAGGTCCTCCTTCTGAAAGGCCAGCGCACCCTGAGCCGTTTAAAGCTGTGTCCGTGCCGGGCCCCCACATCACAGGGCCAGGAGCCCTCCTTCCTGCAGCGATGGAGCACTTAGGAAGGTGAAGACACCCCAAAGGTTACTGTAAAGTGGGTTCCTCTCCTATTTTTCTCTTACATCCGAGAAGGAGGAGGGCAGCTTACAAAGGTGTGTGGGGCAGGAGAGGAGAAATAACCGAGTGAGGACATCGGGGTGGAGGGACAGGGGACAGGGGAGCTGAGATGCAGCCGGCGTGCCGGAGGGTGCAGAGAGAGACTCCGCACTGTTCTGTCCGTGTGTCTGGGCTCCTGACCTGTATCCCGTGCTGAGGGCCGCACCTCGGCTCAGCAGCGCCTTCTGACCCCAGCCGTGCACTAGGCCCCTCTGCTGGGCACACCAGAGTTTCAGAGGCGAGTCTACCCTGGTGCCTGCTGGGTGGCCTCAGGGGCTCTCGGGGCAGTGGGAGGGGAGGTGGCCACTGCTCAGGTAAACCCCCAGGCCTGCAGGATGTGAGGGAGAGAGGCAGGCCCGAGAGGCCAGGACTGGCCAGGGATGGTGGGTTTGGGGCCAGTTGTGCCCCAGCCCAGATCTTGTCCTCGGCCCCCTGGGTCCCTGCCCTTGGCCACAGGAAGTCTGTCCACACTGGGCCTGGTGTGGGAAGGGAGGGAGAGCCCTTTCCTAGGAGAGCATTTGCTCTCACTGGATGTCAGACCCAGTGCCTCTCAGCCTGGGAAAACCTGACGGGCTGAGCCGTAGGAGGGGCAGGAGTGGGAGTGGGCCCGGGGCTCCTGTCCAAGTCTCTGTGTGATTTGGGGCAAACCCTTCCCCTCCCTGGGCCACAGATTACCCACATGTCAGATTGAGGGGGCCTCTTCTAGATTAGACTTCTCCCAAATGTGATGCTACAGATGTTTCATTGGGCAAAAACAAAAAAAAAAAAAAGAGGGTTCTGTGGTCAAAGAAAATCTGGCTGGGCAGTGTGGAAGCTGTTTTCGCGGCTGGCTCGGCTGAGCCCTGGGATGCCACTGCATGCTGCGGCCTTGGTTGTGTTTCCTAAACCCCCGCCCCGGGGGACCCCACTCTTCTTACTCCCCATCGCAACGGGCTGCCTGCTGCCACCTGGCAGGGAGAGGGGATGCATGACAGGCGGGGAGGTGCCAGTCCCGAGTCTGTGACGGTATTTCCAGCCCTGGCTTTTCCATCAGACCGCCCGTGGTGCCGTCTGCATGCTCCCACGGTGATGGGGCACAGACCCCACCGTTCCTCCCTCATTTTGGTTGCACAGCCTGGGGCCAGTTGGGTGCCATCCCTGCCTGGTCTGTCAGCACACCTGGGCGGGGCGGCCTCGGGGGTGGGAACTCCCTCCTGGGGCCCTGGGATTACTCAGTTGTGAAATGGGGAGAATGGGGACGGTGACACCTGCCCCCGGGTTCCCCATGACAGGGTGGGTATGTGCTGGGAGGGTGTGGAGGGCCGAGCCGGAGCTGGCACGGTGGTCCCCACCAACTTCTTGCTGATCACTTACCCCCTCATGCCTCAGTTTCCCCCTCTGTAAAACAAAGTTAATGCCAGTTTTCCAGGATTACAGTTGGGATTAAGTGGGAAATTAATGACAGTGTCGGCCATAGAGGCTGGAGCCTCTAGAGCGCTCAGGGAGTGTGGAAGGTGCTGAAGGTGACTGTGTGACTGCAGGTGACTCCATGTCACCCTGTCTATAAGAGCTGTTAAAACAGCAGTGCGTGTGTGCGCGAGGGTCCCTGACTGTGTGACTGCAGGTGATTCCACGTCACCCGGTCTCCAGGAGCCCTTAAAACAGCAGTGCGTGTGCACGCGAGGGTCCCTGTTTCTTCCTCCCCGATGCCTGCTCTGCTTCATCTGCACTGGAACCTCATGTTGAGGGGCTGCTGTTACCTAACTGTCTGCCCCCCAGGGAACCCCCACTATGTTGAGAGGCTGCTGTTACCTAACCACCCGCCCCAGGGAACCCCCACTGTGTTGAGGGGCTGCTGTTACCTAACCACCTGACCCCCAGGGAACCCCCACTATGTTGAGGGGCTGCTGTTACCTAACTGTCCCCCAGGGAACCCCCTGATGTTGAGGGGCTGCTGTTACCTAACTGTCTGCCCCCCAGGGAACCCCCACTATGTTGAGAGGCTGCTGTTACCTAACCACCCGCCCCAGGGAACCCCCACTATGTTGAGGGGCTGCTGTTACCTAACCACCCACCCCCCAGGGAACCCCCCGATGTTGAGGGGCTGCTGTTACCTAACCACCCGCCCCAGGGAACCCCCACTATGTTGAGGGGCTGCTGTTACCTAACCACCCGCCCCAGGGAACCCCCACTATGTTGAGGGGCTGCTGTTACCTAACCTTCCCCCCTGGGAATCCCCCCGAAAGAGGCTGCGGCTCTCACGCACCTGCCTTCAGTTGGATAACCTGCTGTTTGGTGGCATTCCACGAAGGGCACACAGATCCCCGAGAGTCCTGGGACCCTGCTGGCAGCAGTGGTTCTGGGGCCATCCTGGGAACATCCCTGGGTGCTCTCCCACGTGCTCCGTGGCAGGAGTGTCCTGCACACGCGGGAGGAAGCTTCTGGGGCACATGAGTTTGTGAGCTCCCGGGTTCCACAAAGCTCAAGGGACTTTGTGTGGGACTTCTCAGGGCCTTTCGTGTGCCGGTGTGTACTGTAGAACGGGCATTCTCAGGAACCTCTTTTCTGTGGAACACTTCATGGGATTGGGGTTCCAGAGCCTGTCAGGATGGGTCGGTGACATGCTGCCTCTGTAGGGTCCCACCAGGGGCTGGGGAAGGGGCGAGCCCCGTGGGGCCTGGAGACAGCTGAGTGACTGTGTGCCTCCTCCCCAGGCTGGAATGAGCTGCTCATCGCCTCCTTCTCCCACCGCTCCATCGCCGTGAAGGACGGGATCCTCCTGGCCACCGGGCTGCACGTCCACCGGAACAGCGCCCACAGCGCAGGGGTGGGCGCCATCTTTGACAGGTGGGGGTGGTCCCGGGAGGGGCGAGGGCGCTTCGGTCACCTCCGCCACCAGGCCAGCTGAGTTCAGCCACCTTGGCCCCGGTGCACATCCTGCCTAGTATTATTTCAGTGCATGAAGGGTGCACACATGGAAAAAGAGAAAAGCATGAGGAGGAGGCTCAGAGCCCTGTGCCAGCCCTGCCTCTGGGGCATCTGTAACCACAGGGAGCACTTGGCCTATCTCCCTCCATCTCTTCTTTTTTCACGATCCCATGTATTTATCCGTGGGAAGGAAAGCTTCGTTTCTTTTTAAAGTGATTATACCGTAGATGCAGTTTTGTAAAAGTGTCAATTCCAGTTGGCATGTCGCAGGCTGCTTGAGGCTGGCACGGTAATGCCGTGGCAGCCCGGGGCGTGGTGCGGCCTAACGCCTGTCCCCGTGCAGGCAGGGGTGTCGGGACCGCAGTGCTTCACACCTCCCAGTGGAGCAAAGGGCTGCACCTCAGCCACTTCTCAGGGGACACACTGGAGGAGCAGCACTGGCTGGAGGGCCCACCCTCGTCCGGGCCTGGGTGGTCCGTGTCCGTTCATGTTGCCCTCCTGGAGTGCTGGCCAACTCCGCTCTGCCAGGCGAGGCGGACAGTAGCTTCCTTGTCCCTGTCTCTGCACAGCCTTTTTTTTTTTGAGATGGAGTCTCGCTCTGTCGCCCAGGCTAGATTGCAGTGGTGCAATCTTGGCTCACTGCAAGCTCCGCCTCCCGGGTTCACACCATTCTCCTGCCTCAGCCTCCCGAGTAGCTGGAACTACAGGCGCCCGCCACCACGCCCGGCTATTTTTTTTGTATTTTTAGTAGAGACGGGGTTTCACCGTGTTAGCCAGGATGGTCTCGATCTCCTGACCTCGTGATCCGCCCACCTCGGCCTCCCAAAGTGCTGGGATTACAGGCGTGAGCCGCCGCGCCCGGCCTCTCTGCACAGTCTTTCTCCACGAGTCTAGAGAGCCACACACACCAGACTGGGCCTTCTGGGGACCGGATGTCAGCTTCAGCTGGAGCGGGAAGGCTGGGGAGGGGCACTGCGGGGTCCCTTGGGCAGGGGTCTGCAACACAGGAGCCGTGGGTGGGGAGGAGCAGGCCACCTGGAGAACGTGGCCCCTGAACACGAGAGCCCCAACGTTAGAGGTGAGTAGAGGCCATGCACCGGCACTTACAGGGGGATTAATGCCCCAGCAGCAATGCCCCAGGGGGTGGTTCAGGTCCCAGAGTCCCAAGGGTGATCCTGGAACTTGACCTCCATGGGATGTGCCAAGTGCAAAAGGGTTTGTGGCCGCAGACGGTGGGCAAACGGTAGTTCAAACAGTGTCCTTGAGGGTCTTTGCCGCAGGACTTGTCAGGGCCTTTAAGAAGTTAGTGTACAGGAGGGTCCCCACGGGGGCTGCAGGGTGCAGTGTGCAGTGTGTATTGCCCACAGAAGCTTCTTTAGAGGGGTACTGGGGATATGGCTTTGGGAAGCGAAGCCCCAGCCACTTGCCCAGCTGACAGATCCTTTGTCTGGCTGGTAGAGAGATGGCGATGACAGAGGTTTCAGGGTTACATTCTCTGGGGTCCCACAGCAGTGACTACAGAGGCCCCGGCATTTCCTCGCCTTTTTTGCGAGTGGAATGCAAAGTCTGCCCTCAGTGGCCCAGGTCTTTTCCATGCCCGCTGCCCCATCCCTCTGCAGCTGTGTGCTCCTGCCTCAGAGCAGACATCGGGGGTCCCTCCCAGCTCCTGTTCTGTCCCACCCTGTTCTCCAGCCTCCTTCAGATCTTCTTCCAGGAATCAACCAGGGCACTCCCCATTCTGCAGACCCTCAGGGCCGCCCTTGGCCCACAGGGGAGAGCCCAGGCTCCTTAGGCAACCATCCCCACCTGGTCACCTCCTTTCCCCCGCTGTGGCCCACCCTTACTTCCTGGACACAGCAGTTGAGCTTTGGGGTTGGTGGGCAGGCTGCTGAGGCTAGGGGGCCCAGTACACTGCAGAGGCTGGTGTGATTCAGAATCCAGCTGCAGGGCTGGGGCAGCTGAGTCTGAATCCAAGAACGCCCCCAGCGTCTCCATGGAGGGAGCTGGCGGGCTTTCCCCGTGTTGAGGCTGGTGGATTTTTTTTCTCTGGTGACAAGAAGTAGACATGCCTCCCTCTGGCAGCCCCCACCCAGGGACACCAGGCCCTGGGGAAAGGTATCTTCCTGGACTGAAGGGAGCGGCTGGGGCTGTGGCATGGGAAGGGGCTTTGCCTCAGGTGGTGCTGGGTCCACAGCTGAGGAGGGACAGTGGTGTGTCTCACTGGGTTCGGGAGGGGTGGACTCTGTGCCCTCTGTGCAGCTGCGGCTCACCTCAGTTTAGCTGTCACGAGGCCCCTCCTTAGCACCTCGGTTCCCAGAATAAAGCCCCGCAGGCAGACCCTAGAGGGAGAGGAGAGGAGCCCACCCTCCGGGCAGGGCCAGGCAGGCCTGGCAGGGGCGGCACCTGGGCCTGGGTTCCAGCCCACTCCCTCTCGGGGTGTCTGGGAGTCCTTGCCTTGGCTTGGCCCATCTCAGCGGCCCTCGGGCCACGCCGGGCTCTCCAGAGGCCTTGGGTATCTGGGGTGTGGCCCTGGTGAGGGCTGCGACCTAACTGGGATGGGGTGTCTGCCCTCCTCCTCTGCAGGGTGCTGACGGAGCTTGTGTCCAAGATGCGGGACATGCAGATGGACAAGACGGAGCTGGGCTGCCTGCGCGCCATCGTCCTCTTTAACCCTGGTATGGCCTTCCTGCCTTGAGGCTTCTGGCCCCGTTCTCTGGTGGGGCAGAGGTGCCTGGGCCTCCTCCTGGCTGTACTTCTTGCCTCTGGCTACATGTGGGGCCAACTCCCACCCTCCTTGAGCTCAGTGTGCCCCCCTCCCAGTGAAAGTGTGGCCATGCTGCCTTCTGCTCACCTTGAGGGCCAGCCAAGGGGGCATGGTCCCTGGGCACAGGGGGACCCAGCAAGGCAGTTGTCATGAGGGGCTTGGTGGTGCCGTCTGGGCTCCGCGGTTCATAGTGTTCATCACTGTGCGTCGGAATCCAGACTCCGAAAGTGGCCAGCTGTGGTTGTGAACTTCCGGTGCTGAAGTTCAGGAGTCCCAAGCCCTGCAGGCTGGGGATGGGTCAGGCCTGCCGGGTGTTCCAGAGGGGACCAACCTCATCCCCAAGCCTCGGGTCCAGGGTGTTTCTGGGGCTGGGCCCCTGTGGTTGAGGAGAGCAGGGCTTGGGGCTGTGGGGCTGGGGCTGGGCACAGGCCTCCTGGCCGACAGTGCGGCCCTTCTCCAGCCTCTGGGTTCTCGGCTTGAAAAGCCTCCTAGGTGCTACTCCTTCGCCCAACAAGTGCTGACACGTGCCTGTTTGCTCGGTGCCCTGCTGGCATGGGAGGGCCCCTTCAAGCTGCTGGATAGGGCTTGCCTGCCTAGAGCTTGGGGTTTAGAGGGTCACGCCCACCAGCAGGCACCCCCGGCACGTGAGGGCAGGAGCACGGTTGGTCGAGGGTGCGGGCCACTTCCTCCGGGAGCTGCAAGTTAGGGGCCAGGGGAGTGAGAGGCACGGAGGTGGGGTGGGCTGGTGGAGGCAGCCCAGGCAGGGCCTTGAAAGTCTTGCTAAGTTTGGGTTTTTTCTTGGGGCCACAGGGAGCCAAGTCCTGAGGGGTTCCAGCCGGGAGGGAGCTATGGGTTTCTGTGTTTGGAAACTCAGCTCATTGCGTGATAGGGGCAGGTGGCTGGGGTGTGGAGGGAGAGGTTTGGGGCTGCTGTGGGGAGCTCACTTGGGCTATGGTGGAGGGAGTGGAGCCCTCTCGGCTCCTGGCCCTGACCTTCTGACCTTGCCCTTTGTCAGACCTGGCTCTGAGGGACCGGGCCGGGATGGAGATGGGCATCTTCTTGTGGGGAGAGCTTGTTTCCAGGGTCATTTTATCACCCAGGCTGTGCATCCGGGCCGTAATCCTGCCAGCTCGGAGGCTGAGTCATGCCACGGCCCGGCCCGGCCCGAGGAATCCCCATTCAGGTCCTGTGTGGTCTGGTTGCTAGAGCTGGGGCACCAGCAGGACCTGGGCACCGGCTTGCAGGGAGGGTGAGATTGTCTGGCACAAGCAGGGTCCAGGCACAGGCTTGCAGGGAAAGCGAAGAGACCAGGGCACAGGCATGCAGGGAGGGCGAGGAGACTGGCTGGAGCGGAGGCAGCTGGGGGAGCCAGGTACGTTGCCAAGGAGCCCAGGACACAGGCCAAGGTGGCATTCACAGGGGGTCCCTGGGCCTTGGGGGCCAAGGTGGCATTCACAGGGGGTCCCTGGGCCTTGGAGGTTTTGGTGGCTGCAATCTTAGCCTCTCTGTCCACTCTAGGCTCTTGAGCCCGGGTCCTGAGCTCAGGACTCCGCAAGCACACCGAGGATGGGTTTCCGCAGGGTCTGGGTACTCCTGGGGGCAGCAGCGCTATCTCCCATCCATGTTATGGGGCTGGGACCCAAGGGCAGCAGCAGCATCCATTGTCTCTCCCAGTTCCCAAGGCGGCTGGAAGGAAGGCAGCAGATCCCTGACACTTTATCGATGGGGAAACCGAGTCTCTGGAGGTCAAATAGTTGACCCAAGGTCACGTGGCTGGCAAGTGGCAGAGCTGAGCCTGGACCCAGAGCAGCCTGGCCTGGCCGTGGGTTCCACAGTCGTCCCCCTGCCACCAGGCTCTGGGGGAGCGGGCGGAGGCATGTCCAGCGGCATTCCTCCACCACCTGCTCTGCCCATGGTGGGGCAGCCTGGGAGACCCCACACAAGCCTGGGTCCTGGGGGCAGGTGCCCGAGACACGCCCCAGCTGAGGGTTCTGACCTGTGGCTTCTTCCTTTCAGACTCCAAGGGGCTCTCGAACCCGGCCGAGGTGGAGGCGCTGAGGGAGAAGGTCTATGCGTCCTTGGAGGCCTACTGCAAGCACAAGTACCCAGAGCAGCCGGGAAGGTGGGTCCCGCCCCGTCCCACACACACCCCAGACCCAGGCTCTTGTCTCCAGAGCCCCCACCCCCTGCAAGGCCATTTTATGTGAATGAGAAGGTGGCACCCTCCCCAGGCCCAGCCCATGCCAGCAGGTCCTGAGCAGGCAGCAGGAGGTCCTCCAGGCCAGTGGGCTGTGGCGGGCACACCCCACAGGCCCACGTCGTATCCCCACTGGAAGGATTACCTTGCACCTGGCGCATAGTAGGTGCTTCTCTTTGTTCAGTAGATAGATGAAGGCTGTGCTTCACCCCCCACTGCGCTCCCCTACCAAGCAGAACCACCAGAGGCCAGGCGACACCAGCACATAGTAGGTACTTCACAAGCATGTGTAGAATGGATGGCCAGATGCCCACACATACTAAACACTCTCTACAAGTGTGTACGGAATAGGCGGTCACGGCCTGAGCGTAGCGCTCATGTTTCCCCCCTGCCCGGCTGTGGGCCCTGGAAGGGCTGGGGCTCCCTCATTTCTGAGTCCACAGTGCTGGGTGCACAGTAGGTGTCCAGGAAGAGAAACGTTTGTGGATCCCTGCCTGGGATTCAAAGTCAGCGCTCCAGATTCTGCCTCTTCTCTCTAAAGGGGCATCTCCTGGCCTCTTGATCCTCAGACTGTGGGGCGGGGAGGGGGTCGGGGGAGGTGGGGCCCAGCAGACCTCATAGGACACCCAGGCCTTCCCGCCACCAGCACATACACAGTTAACCGTGTCCCCGCTGCCTGCCCAGCCCTCATCTGGCTTGGTTTAAAGTGAAACTTCCCGGAGGACGAGGACAGGAGGGGGTGGCAGGCAGCTTGTTTTTCCTGGCTTTCTGCCCTGGCCCATCTCGCCAGCTCAGCAGAAAACAGCTTGTTCTCTGGCCCAACTCCAGCCTCTGCGCTGTTTTTGCCTTTAAAACAAGGCCTGTGAGGCAGCCAACCACAGAGCTTTTCCCTGAAAGAAAGACTTCGTTAATAATTAATGAGGTCCTGCAGCCCCTGGAGGGGCCGTGTGGAGAGACTCAGGCCGTGCACAGGGGCCCTGGGCAGACACGGCCAGCCGGAAGGGACACCTGGTTCCGTCCCCATAGCACCCTGTCCTCAGCGGCAGCTGCTGCCCTCATGCCTGGCCCTGCTATCCCTCTTCCCAGAGCCCCAGACTTCCCCCCTCCCTCCCGCCCCCCCACTGGTCCCTGCCCCAGGAAACTCCCCAGGGATGGGCCAGGCCCTGAGGACCAACCCGTGCTCCCTCCCTCCCCGGCCAGCCTTCTCTGACCATGCTGTGCCCAATGCCAGCAGAGCTATTTCTGAGGAAGGGGTGGCCCTGGTCTGGGGCCCACAGCCCTGCACAAGGTGCCGTGGGAGGCACTCATGGGGTGCTGATGCTTTATGGAAAGGGTCTTGCACCGTTACACAGCTCCCAAGTCAGGCCTGGCTCCACCTGCAGTGGGGGTGCAGCCTGACTCCCCCTCCCCCGCCTGATGCTCTTTGACTTCTTGGTTGCCCACCATGTGCCGGGCCTGTTCCCTGCGACTCACCAGTGTGCTCAGCAGCCCTTTCCCTTACAAGCCCCGCAGTCTCTTGCTGTGATGGCTGCTGCAGCCAGATGCATTACTGATACTCACACCCGCTCCCGGCTGTCATGGCCCACAGTTTTTCATTTTTTGAGAGACAGTCTGGCTGTGTCGCCCAGGCTGGAGTGCAGTGCTGCGATCGTAGCTCATTGCAGCCTCAACCTCCTGGGCTCAAGCGGTCCTCCCTGCAGGCATGCACCACCACGCCTTGCTACTGTTTTTCTCTTTTTCTTTTGTAGAGACAGGGTCTCACTGCGTTGCCCAGGCTGGTCTCGAACTCCTGGCCTCAAGCCATCCTCCCACCTCGGCCTCTCAAAGTGCTGAGATTACAAGTGTGAGCCATCATGCCCAACTGCCTGCAATTTTTAACTTCTTCACAAAGAGCTATTCAGTCTGCCCTAGCCAGCTGCTGTCTGGCCCCTGGCCCTTCATCTCCGTCCTCAGACCCAGGGATCTCCCTTCACTCTGTCCTGGCTCTGGGTTGCCACTGCCTCTGTTTCCTTCTAGCCTCCCCTCCTTCCTTCTGGAGGCTTGGCATAGGCAGATTCAGGGCTACAGACCAGCCTCAGAGGGGTTGGGGTATCAGACACAGCCCCATCCCCAGGGAGGCCTCCAGTGCCAGGGCAGAACTGCCCATGCCCCTTGCCCGGCCCTCACCAGACCTGTTCCCTGCAGGTTCGCTAAGCTCTTGCTCCGCCTGCCGGCTCTGCGCTCCATCGGGCTCAAATGCCTGGAACATCTCTTCTTCTTCAAGCTCATCGGGGACACACCCATTGACACCTTCCTTATGGAGATGCTGGAGGCGCCGCACCAAATGACTTAGGCCTGCGGGCCCATCCTTTGTGCCCACCCGTTCTGGCCACCCTGCCTGGACGCCAGCTGTTCTTCTCAGCCTGAGCCCTGTCCCTGCCCTTCTCTGCCTGGCCTGTTTGGACTTTGGGGCACAGCCTGTCACTGCTCTGCCTAAGAGATGTGTTGTCACCCTCCTTATTTCTGTTACTACTTGTCTGTGGCCCAGGGCAGTGGCTTTCCTGAGGCAGCAGCCTTCGTGGCAAGAACTAGCGTGAGCCCAGCCAGGCGCCTCCCCACCGGGCTCTCAGGACACCCTGCCACACCCCACGGGGCTTGGGCGACTACAGGGTCTTCGGGCCCCAGCCCTGGAGCTGCAGGAGTTGGGAACGGGGCTTTTGTTTCCGTTGCTGTTTATCGATGCTGGTTTTCAGAATTCCTGTGTGGCCCTCCTGTCTGGAGTGACATCTTCATCTGCTCTGAATACTGGTGCCCAGCCAGCCCGTGACAGCTTCCCCCTAATCAGGAGGGGACAGCTGGGGGCGCAAGCTGGTGTGTCATCAGCAAAGACCTCAGCCGCCTCGGGGATGAGAGGGGACTCGTGGGGCAAGCAAGCTGCCCTGTGCTCTGAGTGAGGGGGAAGGTAGCCCCTTTTTCCAAAGATAACTCACAGTTTTGCCCTCGAGCCAATGAGAACATGAGCTGCCCTCTGTGCAAGGTTTCGGGGCCACCTCCAGGCTGCAGGGGCGGGTCACTCACCCCCCTGTTTTCTCTCTGCCTTGGTGTTCTGGTTTCAGACTCCCGACTCCCCGTTCAGACCAGAGTGCCCCGGCCCCTCCCCAGCCTGAGTCTTCTCCTTGCTCTGCGGGGTGGGCTGAGGCTTGTCCTTGTTTCCTGCAGGGCTGGCCCTGGCTCGGGCAGGGTGGGGCATCACCACCTCACTGGCCTTGCTGGAGGCACAGGGCTCTGCGGACCTGCAGCCATCTGTGAGGCCCGCGGGGATGGGAGGGGAGGAGGGTGGCCTGTTGGTTTCCCTCAGAGGGGGCAGGTGGCCTGGAGAGAGAGGGGCTCAGGAACTGGGAGCCTCGTGGGTGGGGCAGATGCTCCGCGGCCTGGAGTGGCTCTGCCGGGGCATTGGTGGGACCCCTGCTCAGGCCTTCTCTCTGGCTGCCAGTTGTGTCTAAAAGACTCTTGGAATCTGAGAACCCGGAGTCGCAGCGCCCTCGGGCCTGGGCCACACGCAGGCCCTGGTGGGACCACCCAGCCTGGTATTGTCCACGGACAGCGTTGTTCACCCAGAGCCTTACTTGGGAGCCTCACTGAACGCCTGCTCTGGTTGAAGGTGGGGTGGGGGCGGGGCTTGGGGCCTCCCTGGCTCAGCCCAGTGCGGCCTGGCGCTCCTCCCGCAGGCTCTGCCCCCGGGCTCCGGTGGTGCGGGGCCCTCTCAGGTTGAACTCGCCTCTTTTGCACTGGAAGGCCCTCCCTTTGGCCTGAGTACTTTTCCCGTTCACGCCTCAGTCCCGTGGACCCAGCCTTTGTCAGTGGCAGGTGCCTGAACAGAGGGTGGATGGGGGGGATACCGGAGGGGGTCTTGTCTTCCCAGCCGCAGTCTAGGAATGATGCGGGGGGGTGGACGCCTTCTCCATAGTCTTTCCCCACCTGGAGCAGGGGCTTCCTCAGTGGTGAGGGGAGCTGCCTACAGGTTGGACCGGGAGGCAGTGGCTTGGAGAGGCAGCTTTCCAGCCTTGGTGGGGAAGAAAGTGTCCATTCTTTGCCTTCCTGGAGCTCCCAGCCAGAGCTGAGCTTAGGCACCCGAGTGGAGCCTGCAGCTGAGTCTGTGCCCGAGACAGGCTGTCAGAGATTCCAGAAGCCTCTCCTCCCCGCCGCCCTCCACCCCTGCCTTTCAGCGTTGTGGATCCCTAGAGGTGGCCCCCTGCCCGATCCACCGTCCTGAGGCAGAGTGTTGAGCCTCATACCTGTACCAGGTCCCCGGCCAGCTGGGCCCCTCCCAGGCACTGCCAGGAAGCCCCAGCTGCCCCTGGCGGGTGTGGTGGAAATGGCAGGAGGGTGCAGGTACTCTTGGGGCCCCAGCGGTGGGAGTGCAAAAGACCCAACGCCAACACCTGGTGCCTTCTGCAGCCAGCGCCCACCCATCCGTGCCCGGACCCTTGGGAATGCCCGCGGCTCCAGAGGAAAAAGCCCAGGGACGGGGCCTCCGTTGCGGGGGGTCGGCTGCTTCTTGGGAACTTTGTCGTTTCCGGCGCTGGCTGGCTGGCTGGCTGGCTGTAAAGCACTGAAGCCCCCCGGCCGCCAACCCCTGAAAGCAGAACCTGGCCTCCCTGGCCACAGCAGCCTTACCCACCGCTCTACGTGTCCCGGGCACTTCCCGCAGCCTTCCCGTCCCTTTCTCATCGGCCTTGTAGTTGTACAGTGCTGTTGGTTTGAAAAGGTGATGTGTGGGGAGTGCGGCTCATCACTGAGTAGAGAGGTAGAATTTCTATTTAACCAGACCTGTAGTAGTATTACCAATCCAGTTCAATTAAGGTGATTTTTTGTAATTATTATTATTTTGGTGGGACAATCTTTAATTTTCTAAAGATAGCACTAACATCAGCTCATTAGCCACCTGTGCCTGTCCCCGCCTTGGCCCGGCTGGATGAAGCGGCTTCCCCGCAGGGCCCCCACTTCCCAGTGGCTGCTTCCTGGGGACCCAGGGCACCCCGGCACCTTCAGGCACGCTCCTCAGCTGGTCACCTCCCGGCTTTGCCGTTCAGATGGGGCTCCTGAGGCTCAGGAGTGAAGATGCCACAGAGCCGGGCTCCCCTAGGCTGCGTCGGGCATGCTTGGAAGCTGGCCTGCCAGGACCTTCCACCCTGGGGCCTGTGTCAGCCGCCGGCCCTCCGCACCCTGGAAGCACACGGCCTCTGGGAAGGACAGCCCTGACCTTCGGTTTTCCGAGCACGGTGTTTCCCAAGAATTCTGGGCTGGCGGCCTGGTGGCAGTGCTGGAGATGACCCCGAGCCCCTCCCCGTGGGGCACCCAGGAGGGCCCTGCCGGAATGTGCAGCCTGTGGGTAGTCGGCTGGTGTCCCTGTCGTGGAGCTGGGGTGCGTGATCTGGTGCTCGTCCACGCAGGTGTGTGGTGTAAACATGTATGTGCTGTACAGAGAGACGCGTGTGGAGAGAGCCGCACACCAGCGCCACCCAGGAAAGGCGGAGCGGTTACCAGTGTTTTGTGTTTATTTTTAATCAAGACGTTTCCCCTGTTTTCCTATAAATTTGCTTCGTGTAAGCAAGTACATAAGGACCCTCCTTTGGTGAAATCCGGGTTCGAATGAATATCTCAAGGCAGGAGATGCATCTATTTTAAGATGCTTTGGAGCAGACAGCTTTAGCCGTTCCCAATCCTTAGCAATGCCTTAGCTGGGACGCATAGCTAATACTTTAGAGAGGATGACAGATCCATAAAGAGAGTAAAGATAAGAGAAAATGTCTAAAGCATCTGGAAAGGTAAAAAAAAAAAATCTATTTTTGTACAAATGTAATTTTATCCCTCATGTATACTTGGATATGGCGGGGGGAGGGCTGGGACTGTTTCGTTTCTGCTTCTAGAGATTGAGGTGAAAGCTTCGTCCGAGAAACGCCAGGACAGACGATGGCAGAGGAGAGGGCTCCTGTGACGGCGGCGAGGCTTGGGAGGAAACCGCCGCAATGGGGGTGTCTTCCCTCGGGGCAGGAGGGTGGGCCTGAGGCTTTCAAGGGTTTTCTTCCCTTTCGAGTAATTTTTAAAGCCTTGCTCTGTTGTGTCCTGTTGCCGGCTCTGGCCTTCCTGTGACTGACTGTGAAGTGGCTTCTCCGTACGATTGTCTCTGAAACATCGTGGCCTCAGGTGCCAGGGTTTGATGGACAGTAGCATTAGAATTGTGGAAAAGGAACACGCAAAGGGAGAAGTGTGAGAGGAGAAACAAAATATGAGCGTTTAAAATACATCGCCATTCAGTTCGTTTGTTCCGTGTGGGGACTTTTTTGTTTGGAGCGGGAGGGCCCGCGATCAGCCCCCACCAGCCCACCCTCCTGTCCACCCTACCTGCCGGTCCTGTGCGGCGAGGCTGGCATCCTCTGTGGGCCATACTCTTGAGAGTTCTCTCCCTGTCCACTGGGCTCTGCTGCTCCTCCAAGGGGCAGGGGGCTGGGGCCTCCGTGAGGGCACCTCTCAGCAGCCGTGGGCACTGGGCCTGTGGGCGCCTGCGGAGCACGAGTGTTCCCACCTGTCCCTCCCCAGGCTGCCTAAGCATCCACGCCTCTGCAGCCACGCTGGCCCAGATGGGCAGGAGGTGCACCCAGAGGGCCAAGGAACACACGATGTCACCCAGCTGCCCCAATAACAACAAGTTAATGATGCCCCATCTGCATTGTCTCCTGTGATAAACGCCCTCTGTCTCCATGCTGTCTGGGGCTGGGCTGCTCCCGGCCTGGTTTGGTCTTCGTGCCCGGAGCCCTCTCATGCACCTGTGTCCAGCCAGGCACCCTCCCCGAGAGGCACCAGACACACTGAAGATGGGGAGTGGGGCTCTGAAGGTCCAGGTCCTGCCCTGTGGTGGTGGGCAGAGGACAGTGTGGCCTGTGCCCAGAGCTAGGGTGGCTCCCGGGTGAGACTTAAAATGGAACGGCCTGCCACCTGAAAGGCAGGGACTTCCTGATGGCACTCCCCTCATGAGCACACACACATTCACACACGTGCATACTCAAACACGGGCACGGACACGCTCACATGGACCCTCGCACCCATTCATACGCATGCACACACCACGTGCTCACACAGATGCTTTGGCATGCACACCCATGCAGAACTGCTCCCGTGCACACACCCATCGCTGCCCTTGCACACACCCATGCATGCTCCCATGCACACACACCCATACAGGCTCAGTTGCACACACCCATACACGCTCCCGTGCACACACCCATACACGCTTTCATATGCACATACATCCATATTCCCATGCACACACACCCATACACACTCCCATGCACACACACCCATACATGCTCCCGTGCACACACACACTCATGAACATACACACTTGCACTCAGCCCTGGAAGGATCGACAGAACAGTGGGGGTCTTGGGTGCGGGGCTGAGCCAGCCTCCCTTGGTGGAGTCAGGACCCCACACCAACATTCTCCCTCTTCCTGGGAACGGCGGCTGTGCGGCTGTGCTCTGAAACTCTGGGCCACTCCCTGGGCCCCCAACCATGGCTGAATGGTGGGTGCCACAGGAGTCTCGACTCACTTTGCCATCTTAGGAGCCCCCCTGGGTCCCAGCTGCACATCCAAAGGATCCTCCCTGGGCTTCACACCCTCCCCTGCCAGGGCCTCGGCTCTGCCCACTGAGACCAACCTGGGCTTCTCCAGAGGGGTCCAAGTGTGAATGGACCCCGAGGGAGGGCGGAGTCCTTGAAGTGGCCACCCGCTTCCTCTGTGTCGGCACAGCCCTCTGCCGACCTGGCTTGCTGAGTCTGGCCCACCCATGTTCTCTGCATATAATCTTGCACACATGAAGCACGTGGGCCCCTTCCGTGGTCTGGAAAAGGGGTCGGCCCTGGGGCTTCGGGAGCTGGGATGTGGCCTCCCTGCTGAGAGGCCTCCCATCCTGCTGCACATCTGCGCACATGGCTGAGTGCTGCTGTGTGAGACACCAGCGGTTGGAAGCTGGCTCTGTGCCCTGGTGGCCCCCTGGACTCTGGGCACAGCCTCCACGGACACCCGTCCTTGGGGTGAGAGTGAGCCCTCGGAGTTCTCAGGCCAGAGCGCAGGGACAAAAGGGGAAAGCTGAGGTCTGTGGTTGCAGGACACGGACCCCTCGGGGCTCTGGGAGAAGCCCAGGAAGGGGAAGCTTCCCGTAAGTTCCCAGGGCCTTGGTGCTTGTTTTAATAATGGGGCAGGGTGTTACTATGGGACTTCCTGGGGTGAGCGTGGGGGGAGTTTGGTGCCCCTCCAGGGACACGAACACCACCCCGTGCTCCCACCAGCCAGGCAGAAACTCCAGGCTGCTGGCTGGCGCGGCATCGCAGGACAACCCAGCTTTGGGCCTCCCTTCGGCATTTGGTTGCCACGGTGACTCCTGCCCAGGGCAGTCCCTCTGGACCAGAGATGCTGGGCTTGATAAGTTCTTCACCGTCACTCTCAGGCAACGACAGCAAGCCAGTGTGGGCTGGAGGTTTGTGAACTGAGAGGCAAGGGAGGGGGCAGGGGCTCAGGCACCTGCGGTGGGGGCAGGGACACATGGCTCCTGGATGGGCACCGCTGAGCTCCCTGTGCTTCCGTCCCTGCCATCAGCCAGCAGACAGCATGATGGGAGGAAGGGCGCACGTGGGGAATGGGGCGCATCCTGAGAGCACATCCTGAGAGAACGGGGCAGCCCCTGCACTTTGTGCAGGCAGTGCACACTCAGGGCGGAGGAGGGGTCATCGCTGTGCCCAAGGACAGCTGCACCTGGGTGACCAGAGGAGGCCAGGGAAGTCTCAGGGGCCTCAGGAGGAAGGGGCTGGGGCGTGGAGACATCGGGAAGGGCCACATAGAGCCTTCAGCCCAGTCCCCTGGATTCTCAGATGGGCACAGCCGCCCCCTGGCAGGGACTCAGACAGCATCGGGGCGGGCAGGCCATTGAGTCTGGCATTTTCTACCTGCCTTTCTGCAGCGAGCCCCCTCTGTAAAGATGCCCGGAGGGAGCCCGCAGCCCCTGCAGAGCTGTGTCCCCACACTTCGCAGAGGCCCTGCGAGGAAGGAGTTTGCCCAAAGGGAGGCCAAGGCAGGACCAGGTCCCATCCCACCACCTCGGTTATGGAGCTGATTAGGAACCCGAGTGTCCCCAAGGACAGATGCCCCGGCGCCTGCTGCGGCGTGAAGCAGCCCTGCCCCCTGCTGGCGACGCTGGGACAGCGCGGGTCCTCCAGTCCCTTCTTGCTCCTCCAGGCCTGTGGGTGCCACAGTGGCTTCCGGCAGTGGGGTTGATTACTGTGAGTCAGAATCACCTGGGCGCTCCGCCACCCAGCCATACCCCTGCTCACTGCAGCAAGCGGTCCAGTCAGGAGCCGGCTTCATCCCAGTTTCACCAAGATGCCTCAGCAGTCAGCTGTTCGGGAAGCTGGGCACACAGCCCTACTGGGTGCCAGGTGGGCTTGGCCTGCAGCAGGAGCAGGGTCAGGGAAGGTGAGGACAGAGCGCCAAGGAGGGAGGGGGGCGGGTCCTGCCCTCTCTGAGCCTCAGTTTCCCCATCTCCCCACCTCCAAAGTGAGGACAAACTCCCCACTTTCCAGGGCTGTTGTGACCAGGGCCTTGGTCACCCAGAAAATGCTTTAGGAGGAAGCAGCCACTTCCTCCTTTCTTTTGGTGTGAAGAGGCTCTAATGCAGGGCATGGGTGGAGGAGGCCAGGCCGACTTTGCTCCCTGAGCAAAGGGTGGTGAGCAGGAATCCTTGGAGATTTGACCCGGGGTCCACCTCTGGACAAGCACAGGACTGTAGGCCCAGGTTCCAGGGCCTGGGATCCAGGAGGTGGCATCATGGCTTTTGCCCATTATGGGGGATGGGGAAGGTCAGGTACCATGGTGCCCTCCAAGGTGAGCAACGGAGCCTTTGAGGTCCAAGGGCAGGGCAGAGACCCCTGTGTGGGTCAGTGGGGGCATTTGGGAAGCACAGAGAGGAGGCTCAGTGGTCTTCCTTCTTTCTCACTCCTTCCCCCCTCCCTCCCTCCTTCCCCTTCCCTCCTGCTTTCCCCCTCCCTCCTTCCTTCCCTCTCCCCCCTCCCTCCTTCCTTCCCCCTCCCTCCTCCTTCCCCTCCTCCTTCCCTCCTTTCTCCTTCCTTCCCCCCTCCTTCCTTCCCCTGCCTCCCTCTTTCCCTCTTCCTCTCTCCTTCCTTCCCCCTCCTTCCCTCCTTCCCCCGTCCCTCCCTCCTTCCCCCTCCTTCCATCCCCCTCCCTCCCTCCTTTCCCCCTCCACCCTTTCCCCCTCCCTCCTTCCCCCCTCCGCCCTTTCCCCCTCCCTCCTTCCCCCTCCCTCCTTCCTTCCCTCTTCTCTTTCTTTTCCTCCCTACCTCCTTCCTTCCCTCCTCCCTACCTACTTGCTCCCTCCTTCCCCTCCCTCCTTCCTTCCCCCTTCTCCTTCCTTCTTTCCTACCTCCCTCCTTCTTTTCTCCTTCCCTCCCCTCTCTCTCCTTCCCCCTCCCTCCCTCCTTCCTCCCTCCTTCCCTCTGGTGGCAGGTGCCTGTAATTCTAGCTACTCAGGAGGCTGAGGCACGAGAATCTCTTGAACCTGGGAAGCAGAGGTTGCAGTGAGCCAAGATCTTGCCACTGCACTCTAGCCTGGGAGACAGAGTGAGACTCCATCTCAAAAAACAAAACAAAACAAAACAAAAACAAAAACCACAAACAAACAAAAATGTGAGAAGGACATGAGATTTGGGAGGGGCCAGGGTTTGGCTCTGTGTCCCCACCCAAAACTCATGTTGAATTATGATCTTCCATGTTGGAGGAGGGGCCTGATGGGAGGGGACTGGATCATGGGAGTGACTTGCCCCTTGCTGTTCTCGTAATAGTGAGTGAGTTCTCACGAGATCTGGCTGTTCACTCTCTCTCTCTCTCCTGCTGCCATGTAGGACGTGCCTGCTTTCCATTCGTCTTCCACCACGATTCTAAGTTTCCTGAGGCCTCCCCAGCCATGCCTCCTGGACAGCCTGCAGAACCGTGAGCCAGTTAAACCTCTTTTCTTTATAAATTACCCAGTCTCAGACTGTTCTTTGTAGCGGAGTGAGAACGGACTGAAACAGCACCTGATCAGCCCTTAGGACAGTCAAGGTCATCAAAGACAAGGAAAGTCTGAGAAACTGTGACAGCCAAAAGGAGCCTCAGGAGACACGATGACTGAATGTCCTGTTGCGACATAGATAAAGGTGTATCAGTGCTGGCTCATGATTGCAACAAAGGTGCTAGACTAACGTGAGATGTTAGTGTGAGCAGAGCTAGGCGTGGGGCATATGGGAACTGTAGTATCTTTGCAACTGTTCGGTACATCTAAAAGCTATTCTAAAATTTAAAAAGCTAATTTTAAAAACTGAAAGCAGCATTTATATATATGAAAAAGTTGGCTGAGGTCCCTGTAATCCCTGCACTTTGAGAAGCCGAGGTGGGCAGATTGCTTGAGCCCAGGAGTTTGAGATCAGCCTGGGCAATGTGGAGAAACCCCATCTCCACGGAGAAACCCCGTCTCCACCAAAAACCCCCACAAAAATTAGCTGGGCACAGTGGTACATGCCTGTAGTCCCAGCTACTCAAGGCTGAGACAGGAAGATCACTTGAGCCTGGGAGGTCAAGGCAGCAGTGAGCTATGGTCGCCCTGATGCACTCCAGCCTGGGCAACAGAGCAAGACACTGTCTCAAAAATAAAAAAGTCACAGACTGTTGCCTAAGTCCTTATGGAAACCAACCTGCTTACTGAAGACCTATCGTGAGACATTCCAGCAGTTAGAAATAAGGACCTAGCTTTTCCAGAGCGATTCCACGCCTTTGCTAATCCCCACAGTCAGATGTGCTAGTGGAGACACACAGAATGGGGGAACGGGGTTGGTGATGGGAGGAGGCCAATGGGGTGACTTTTTTTTTTTTTTTTAAACAGAGTTTTGCTCTGCCACCCAGGCTGGAGTGCAGTGGCACGATCTTGGCTTACCGTAACCTCCACTTCCAGGGTTCAAGTGATTCTCCTGCCTCAGTCTCCTGAGTAGCTGGGATTACAGGCACATGCCACCATGCCCAGCTTTTTTTTTTTTTTTTTTTGTATTGTTAATATAGACAGGATTTCACCATGTTGGTTAGGCTGGTCTTGAACTCCTGACTTCAAATGATCTGCCAGACTTGGCCTCCCAAAGTGCTGGGATTACAGGCGTGAGCCACCACGCCCGGCCCAGTGAAGTGACTTTTGAGGCTGACTGCCCCCCCAACTCCTTCCCCCTCACCCCCTCCTACACTTCTAAGGTTGGGGTGCGAGTCACTTGAGGATCCTGGCCCAGGTGTGGAGGGGGACGCTGCTTCCCACAGTGCTCGCTCACGGCAGGTAACTGTGGAAGAACCGTAGCCCAGGTTCTTCCTGGGGGGCTGGGGGGCTGCTGGATTCCACCTGAGCAGGCCCAACACCCACCTGCCCAGCAGCATCTTCTTTGCACCACTGCACGGCTGCTGAACGCGGCCCTCACGCCCTTCTCACATCTGCCTGGCCCTTACCGGCGTAGCAACGTCCTTCATCTCCAGGGGCTTCATGTTGTCCTCCCAGCAGCTCCGTGAAGGAGGAGGGGCAGGGGTGACAAGCCCAGGTTCACAAAGGAAGCAGGGCTGGAGAGAGACGGGTCTCACAACCTACACAACAGTGTCAGGACTCTCAGGAAGATTGTCTTTGCTGGTCAGCGGTGGCCTTGTTCCCACAGAGTGATCAGAGAGGGGCTTTCCTTAAGGGCTTCAAAGGGAAGCCAGGTGGGCCTGTAGCACTTCCCTGCTCTCCTGCTGCCCGTCCTGGAAGGAGGGAGGCGCTTTTGGGAAGCTTCTCGCTGGGCTCCTCTCGCCCGGCACTCACTGGGGTGCAGCTGTCGGAAGCAGCATGTCCACCCTCCAGCACACACGGCACATTTGCCACCGCAGGCCTGTTCCCTGGTAGCTGTCACAGCTGGGGAAGCTGAGGCTGGTGCATGACCAGCAGTGGTCAGGAGTGCTGCTCTCACCTGGGAGCAGGAGGAACACGTAGAATCTGGAGCAGCACCCTGAGCGAGTCAGGTGCGGAGACTCAGTGCCCTATCACCCAGAGGGAGGAGGATGCGGCTGGTGGGGCACCAGGGTGCTTGGGCCCAGCTGTGGGGCTTCCTCCAGGCTGAGTGGGGTGGCGGTGGGCAGGGGTTTCTCTGGAGTCCTGGCCCTGGACCTGCTGAGCTGGTGATCACTGTTGCACATGCCTGTGACTCGGTTTCCCCTGTTTGGTGTGCCCACTGTCTGTGGGATGGGCATGAGACCATCACAGGGCTGCTTGTGGCAAGTCTGCCTCCACAGTTCAGCTCTTGCATTTCAGTCTGAAAGGTCCCCCAG
This sequence comes from Homo sapiens, assembly GCF_000001405.40. Lineage (NCBI taxonomy): Eukaryota > Metazoa > Chordata > Mammalia > Primates > Hominidae > Homo > Homo sapiens. The sequence continues at coordinate 134,447,700 of NC_000009.12, forward strand.
GCTCAGCCTGTTTGGGAGCAGCCTGTGTGCATTGGGGTAGGGGGAAGCAGAAGTGGGGTCCCAGCTCCCAGACACTGCCCACCTGGAGAAGCCATGGCCTGGCTTCCAGGCCCAGTGCCAGTGAACACGCCAGGAGTTGTGGTTGGACCAGGGCCTCAGCTTGACACCCGGGGAGTATCTCACCCCTCTCTGGTTCAGACTCTTGCTGTTGCATAAAAATCCCCCAAGTTCTTGGTCAGTAAGACCTGGGTTAGTGGCCCCAGGGCCAGGGGACTGAAGTAGGGGAGCTTTCCTAACAGACAGGCAGGGTTTGGGGAAGATTTTTCCTTTGTTGGAGGTTGGATGGGGTGGGGGAGGGGAGCAGGAGGACATGGGCTCTGCAGACCCTCTGTATCTCAGGTAGTGGCCAGGAGCCAAGGGCCCTGCTGGTGGTGCTGGCCTGGAATCCAGTCCTCGGTCTCTTCTGCTCTGCCCCTGCGAGATATAAGTGTGGGCTCTGGAGTCACTCACGTCAGCTCCCTGCTCGCTCACCCAGAGCCTCAGTTTCTGCCCCTGTGGAATGGGGCTAATCCTAGCACCTTGCTTGTGGTGCTGCCTGAGCCAAGACCTGCAGTGGCTCCCCTCTGGCATCACTCCAACACTCAGTGAGGGGCAGCTGGGCGAGACTGAGAGCGAGAGACCTTCCAGGTGCCGGGCTTTGCAGCCTCATTGGCCTTTTCTACTAAGGTCCTTTCTCTGGGTGCCCAGGGACGTGGGTGGCTTGCACAGAAGCCATGACAAGTGTGTGGGTCTACTGAGGACCCAGCTGCAGTGAAGGGCCTGGGAGAACCGGAGGTGCATGTGCTCAGGGAGTCTAACCCAGCTGTGGGGCAGAATGTCACAGGGCTGGTAGTGAGAGTGGAAGGTGGGGTCACCTGGACTGCAGGTGCCTGGGGCCAGCCAACTGCAGACTGTCCAGGGAATAGAGGGCCAAGGTGTCAGTGTCACTGGAGGGCATGTGGTGGCAGGGGGCCCTGGGTGGGGACACGTCAAAAGGGCAGGACCCAGGAATTTTCCAGTAAGTACAAACCTAGTGAACTTTGGGTGCAACAAACAAGCTACTTGAGTTACAAACAATATACTTTAGAGAAAAGCAAACAATTTGCCAAAAAACCCCAAGTGAACTAGGAGCAAATGGAACATGGATTGAGGGGGCCATACAGCCATTTGACCATTCTAGTTGGTAGCAGGGGCTGCTGACAGCACTGTGATGAGAAGGACTCTGAGGCTTTGTCTGGGTGCAGCAGACACAGGCTTGATGGGACTGTCACTGTGCAGCTGTGTTCTTCATTGGGTGAGTTGGAAAGCGAGGGTGTGGGAAGGCAGACAGCTTAAAGGTCCAAGGCCAGCAGACTTTGTTCCACTGTCCTCCTGAATTTGGAATTTGGTGGTTTCTTTCTGTTGGACATGTCACCCCTCTTGGGGCTCTAGAAACTCCACCAGTCCCTGAACACCCACCCTGCCCCACCCCACCCCCGACACATAGGCAGAGACCTTGGTTTTGTTTGGAGAGTTACAACAGCTGATAAAGCTGGGTTGCAATTTTCTGAGTCCCCACTGGGTGGCAACCTCTAATTATTCCAAGTTTTAGGGTTTAGAAAACGAAAATACCTTACTGAAGAAATTCAGTAAAACCTATCTTTGCCGCTGAATTATGTGGATGACAGCACTGAATTTTGTCATGTTCAAGGAAGGAGGCATCTCATGGACCCTTTGTCTTCCCTGCAAGGGGCTCTGTTTCCTTGGCATGCAGGGCAACACTTGATGGGAACTGTGGCAAAAGCAACTTCCCCAGAGGTCAGGATGCTTGTGAAACCTCATCACAACGGAATATCCTCAGCTTGCTCCCCCAGAGAGGCCATGGGAGCTGTATGCAGGGTCAGCCCTACTTGGGTATCTTTAGTATACACAGAGCGAGGGGAAAACATCCTAAGGTGCCTCCATCGGCTCAGGACATAGCGGTCCCTGGTGCCGTGGCTGTCAGCATCCCTATCCACCACCTGAGGGCAGTGTCATCCTGCAGAGTGCACCCGGCAACCAAACTGGTGGCCCCTGCTGACTGGCTAAGCTCTGATGTTTCCCTGGCAACCACCTCCCGGCTCCTCCCTCTCCCATTTGCCCAGCCCTGGAACATGCTGCTTAGTTTGATTTGCAGATGCTGCCTTTTTGCTCTCTGTCCCCATGCTTAGGGGCCAAGATGCTGCCCCAGAATGGACCGTGGCGGGCTGTAGAAGCAGGGACGGACCCGCATATGAACATCCCTGATTCCGTCTTAGCTGAAGGGTCCTCCTTTTCCTCCAGTGCTTGTGTTTCCCACATCCTGCTCTGGAAATGAAGAGCAAAATACAGAGAAGGGGCTTTCAGGGCCAGGAGTGAAGGCAGAGAACTGTGTGATGCTTCTGCGATTCCCCAGGCAGAGCCCCTGCACCCCTCCTTGCCTGCTGCCCATCTCATGGGCTGGGGAGAGTGCCCTTCCCCTGCTTGCTGCTGAGGGGAGGGAGGGGATGCAGAACACTGTGGTTCAGAAGCATGGAAGTGTGGTGCCTGGGACATCTGCCCTGATTAGTCCCAGGGGAGATTTGTGGTGGTCCTTCTGGAGCAGACCTTGTCAACTACAAAGCGACTATGAATTCTAATGAGTTGAACCCCACTGGGACACAACTAAGTTGTCCCCAGAGACTGCAGGAAGCCTCAGGAGGGTGCCTTCTGAGGTCAAAGGAAGACAGAGGGGAGAAAGTGGCATGCCTGGGGCCTGCTTGTGGTGCCTGGCCTTGAGGCTGGTGGATGCCTGCATCTGGAGCTGGAGCCCTTGGTCCCAGATAAGCATGTGAGGAATCAAGTCATGGGGAAGGCAGTGAGTGTGGGAGGTGGTGGTGGGGTTGCTGATTTGGACAGCATGGCAGGTGGGGCCTCCACGGGAAGCCGACCTGTCCTAGTCCACTTGGGCTGGGTGGCTCACAGACAGCAGCTTATTGCTCATGGTCCTGGAGGCTGGAAGTCCAAGATCAAGGCACCTGCGGATTTGGTATCTGGCAAGGGCCCATTGCTGGTTCAGAGCTGGCTGCTTCTGTCTGCATCCTCACATGGCAGAAGTGAGCAAGGCAGTTCTCAGAGACTTCTTTTATAAGGGTGCTCATCCCACTCATGAGGGCAGAGCCTCCCAGAGGTCCCATCTCCCAACATCATCATCTTGGAGGTTAGGATTTCAATGCATGACTTTTGTTGAGACACAGATATTCTGTCTATAGCACAACTACACAGCAATACAGGGAAAGGCATCCCAGGCTGGGGGAACAGCATATACGAAGGCTCAGAGGCAGGAGAGAACTGAGGTGTGCAAAGAGTAACACAGAGACACATGGGGAGAGAGGCTGGTGATGAGGCGGGGACCATTGGGGCTGAGGGTTCTCCATGTTGCCCAGGCAGACATGTGCTGGAATTGCTGGATGTATCGCCCAGACATCCAGCAATTCCAGTGCTTCTTCTCAATCCCCCTTCGAATGCCTCTTTCACCTTTCACAAACGTTTCCTCCTGCTCAGGAGGCTTGCCTGGCCTGTGTCTTTGCTCCCTCCTTCCCTTCCCTCTCTCCCTCCATCCCTTCCTCTGCCTTATAGACTCCTCCCTGAGAAGAAGGCCAGCTCCCAGTCTTCCCAGTCTTCCCCTCCCTCAGGCCCAATCCAGCCTGAGCACGGTCTGGATTTAGTCTTTAGGCTTGGTCAAGAGTGTGTTTGCAAACCTCTTCACTCCTTGCTGGCTAGAGCTTCCCATCTTCTTAACCAGGTCCCCTGAGACTCCAAGGCAGGCACCCACTGGGGCTGATCACATGAATAAATTGGGTGTAGTTCCAAGAGGTGGGAACTGTGGTTTTGTAAATTTCACAAGTTGTCTGCATTTCACAAGTGCACAGGTGTACCATGGTGAATCAGAGGCTCCAAGGCAAGGCTCATGGTGTTTAGCCCTGTGCATACACCACCTCATCTCCCTACCCATCTATTCACCCACCCACCCATCCATCCATCCACCTACCCATCTACCTACCCACCCACCAATCCATTCATCCATCCATCCATCCATCTACCCGCTTACCAATTTATCCATCCATCCATCTATTCATCCATCCATCCATCTACCCATCTATTCACCCATCCACCCATCCATTCACCCATCCATCCATCTACCCACCCACCAATCCATCCATCCATCCATCCATCCATCCATCCATCCATCCATCCATGCATCCATCCATCCGCTTACCAATCCATCCATCCATCCATCCATCCATCCATCCATCCATCCACATCCACCTACCCACCCACCAATCCATCCATCCATCCATCCATCCATCCATCCATCCATCCATCCACATACCCTCATCCACCCATCCACCCATTCACTCACCCAGTCATCCATCCATCCATCCATCCATCCATCCACACACCCATCCATCCACCCAACCACCCATTCACTCACCCAGTCATCCATCCATCCATTCATCCATCCATCCACCCACCCACCCAGTCACCCATCTGTCTACTTATCCATTCACCCAGTCACCTATCTATCCACCCAGCCAACCCACCCATCTATTCATCCATCCATCCACCCTCCCATCCATCCACTCATCCACCCACCCACCCAGAATTCATCCATCCACCTATTCATTCAGCAAATACAGACTGGAAATTGCATGGATTAGGTCCTGTACTTGGCTCCAGGAGAGAGCAGAGTTTGCAGAGTCTGTTCAACAGAAATCCAATGTGAGCCATATATGTAATTAATTTAAAATTTCCTAGTAGCCACACTAAAACCAGGTGAAATAAGTGTAATATTTTATTTAACCCGATACATAAACAATATTATAATTTCCACATGCAATCAATATAACAATTATTGAGATATTTTACATTCATATTTTGGTGGCAAGTCTTTGAGATTTGGTGTTTATCTTAGCCTTATAGCACATCTCAATTTGTACAGGTCACATTTCAGGCTCTCGAAACCACATGTGGCAAGTGGCTTGTGCATTGGACAGTGCAGGTCTAGAATATTCTCATGGTGTTGCATGTGGGCAGCAAATGTGGGCTGATCTGTGCCATGAGGAGGCCATAATCAAGGTGCGATGGGAATATGGAGGAGAGGCAACCATGGGTAGAGGAGGCTGAATGGCTTCCCAGAGGAGGCAGCACTGGAGCAGGGCACTGACGGATGAACAGGAGTTCTTCAGGTGCGAAATAGGGAAAAGAAAATCTCCCAATTCCCTGGTGCCCCAAGTAGGGCTCATGAAGGTCCAGGTCAGCTTGAAGAAACCAAGGGCCTTTAATGACCTCCCCACCAGGTGCTCCTTATAGACCCATGGTTCAAATCATCTTATTCCTGCCCCCTGGGCCAGTGTTGACGTTTCCCCATCTTATAGTGACGAACACTGGGGCCTGGAGGTCCAGCTGCTTACAGCCACGGTTTTCAGAGCATCTACCATGAGCTAGAGCTCCACCCCAGATGGTGGGGTTGGAAGTACAAGGAGAAAAGGAGGTGTGGAATAAGGCTCCTTGCTCTGAGCCCGTAAGCTCCCTCTGGGTGGGGGCTCTGTGGGTTGGTGCTGGGAGACTCGCTGTCCCGCTGACCTGCCTTCTCCCATAGATGGTGGCCCTTGAGACCACATGGAACCAATTTCCCAATTAAGCTAATTGGAAGAATCATGGCATGCCTTTCTGGTTATCGGCCTGGGAGGGCAGAATGGTGCCTGCGTGCCGAAGAGTCCATAAACGTTGAGCTATGCTGGCCAGACCATTGGACGGTATCACCTGGTCCAACCACTGTTTATGAGGACTTCCCGAGATCACTGAGGCTTTTAGGCTACTGTGCGTGTGCCTGTGAACTTCCAGGCCCTGTACCTGCATGTTATAGGAGGAAGTGCTGGGGTGGGGGGCTGTGGAGGGGCTCCTGAAACTTGTCTATAACCAGGCATGGCCATCTGGCTCTCACTTGGGTGGACTTTCTTAGGTCTAACTGCAATCTCTCTTGCTGCTGACTCAACATGCCCCCTCCCCCTCCCGAGTGGTTGGGGCCCCAGGTGAGCACTGGCCGGCGGGGCTGCTCACGATTGCTATCCAAGACCAGCCTGGAAAGCTGCCATTTTCATTAAAACCCTTAGACATGAATCTTCCAAAATGTTTCTATGAAGAATCCAAAGGAACCCGTGTCAGGGACATCCTTAGCTGGATGGGCAGCCTGGGAGCGGCGGCATGGGAGCAGCAGCATGGGAGCGGCCGGCCTGGGACAAGCTCCGTGTGACCACAGGCTCATCCTTTCTGCTCACTCGAGGTCTCGGCTTTCCCTTTTGTGGAAAGAGGGAGTTGTTCTGGAATCCACACCCTATGGTCCGTGTGATTTGGTGGGGGCAGCAAGGAGGCCTCCCCCTCCCCTAACACTGCCTCCCTGCTGCCCGGGATCACAGCCGCTGGGCTCCGTCCTGAGGGTTTAGCACTGCCCTCCCCTTTCTCAGATGCTTGCTGCACATTTCAGGGTGGAAAGGGCCCGACCTCATTCTTTCTGGGAGTCCGAAGAGGTTTGAGCAGGGCCCAGCACGTGGCCACTGCAAAGAGCGCTTGCTCTCAAAACCCAAGCTCCACCTTAGTTCAAGAGAGACGCCGATACTTCCCAGGAGGCAGCCACCACCAGGCCCCCAGTTCTAGGGCCCCCGTCAAGGCATGGGCCAGGCCCCATTTGTCTCCTCCACTGCTGAAGAGGCGGGGCCAGGGGTGACAGGAGCAAGCTGCATGAGATCAGGGTGGGGTTCTGGCACCATCCCAGGCTGGCTCTGTGACCTGGGCACGTCATAACCCCTCTTCCTGCCTCCATCCCACATCATCTGTAAAATGGAGGTGACGCCAGCTGCCCTGGCTCCCACTGGACTGTAATTTTGTCTGTGGTTTTCTCCGCCTCCTCCCCTCTCCTGCCTCAGTCGGGACTCATTCAAGCTGATCACCTCCCAGTGGGGTGCTGGTGGGTTCTGGTCACTGTGCAGGAAAGGGTTAACTCAGCAGGCCTGAGTTGTCCACACCCTGCACATTCCAAAGAAAGGTCTGGCTCTGGCCTAGCTCCTGGGAGGTGACCTCTGACCTCTAGCCACTTGAAATATACTGCGTGATAAGTGTCTGTGTTTGCTTGGGGGTCTTGGGCCACCCTAGTGACCGCGCTAATGATGTCATTTACAGTGGGACCTTGGGCTGTGCTGTATCGGCTCATCATCCTGGGGATGAGACCAAGGCCAAGCACACGGGCAGTGAGGCATGTCTTTGCGATGGACCCCCAGTAGGAACCCTGAGCCCCGAGGCGTGGCTGGGCCCCCCTGGCTGGTGCACACCATTCTGGGAGAATTGAGCATCGTCTGCCCGACTCTACTGAGAGAAGACCCCTGGGTGCTGGAGTCTGGTCTCCCCTAAACCCTGCCCTCTAGAGATGCCCAGTTTGCTGGTTCGAGGCTATGTCCTTTCACGGCGCTAAACCCTGACCTCGGGTATCGCTGCCTGGCTGAGTTCTGTGAGCCAGTCCAGCACGTCCCTGAGCCTGAGGGTGGTTTGGGGACCCTGAACTGCAGTGTCAGCATTTCCATGGATGGGTTCTGAAGGCAGGTGATGAGGAGGTGTCAGCCTGGGTTGACTACGAACTTTCAAGTCCTATTTCTGAAACAGCCCTTGGAAGGTTCGGGGGCCATTTTACCCCCTCTAGACATTTTGCTGAGCCTTTGCCTGGCCTTGACACCTGTCTCCACCTGTCCACGTTCCCAGCTCTGCCCACCAGGGACTGTGCCTACACCCAGGGATGGCCTAGGTCAGAGAGGGACAGGCTGTGGACTGAGGTCAGGCGTGAGCCAGCCCTGCCTGCCCCCTACAGTTGGGAATCCTCTGGGCGAGGGAGGCAGACAGGACAGAGGGATGCCGCAGGGGAAACCTACAGGTGTCCCCTTTCCCTGGAAATGGCGGACCTCCTTCTCCAGAGACCCTCACGTGCGTCTCTCTCAGGGACGCCTTGGGCCCCCACGGCGTTTGTGCCCAGCTGCCAGGCCTCTGATAAAGCCGCTTCCTCGCCTCGGCCCCCCTTCCCTGCCTGTGCCTCAGGAAACCCTGGGCCTCCTTCAAGGCCCTTCCCCTGTAAGCCCCTCCGTGTCGGGCTCTGCTGTGTCTTCCGAGACCACACCTGTCCTAGGTGCCTGGGTCCAGGTGAGGCGCTCCCTGCTGCCAGCAGTGGACAGAGACTGGTTTTAATTAAAGCTCCCAGCAACCACCCCTATCGCCGTGGAAACAGAGGTTCCGGTGGAGACGTGGCTCCCAGGCCACACGTGTAAGTAGCGCAGCTGGGAGTGGCGCCCGGAGCAGCCCGAACCCAAAGGCTGATCTTGACCGAGGTGCCCTGCTCCTTCCCGGCCGCGGTCTCCACTCGGCCCACTGCTGGGCCAGGGCCGCAGCGGCCGGAAGGGGCTGTCCCTCATGCACCGTGGCCCTCCGGCCTTGTCTCTCAGCGCCCAGACCCCAGGCACAAGGAGGCAGGGGGCTGGGACCTGCCTGGAGCCTGCTGCCCCAGCTGCTGACGTGGTCGCCCCCGCCCACCCTGTAGACGTGGCCGCCCCCACCCTGCCACGTCGCCACTTCCACCCTGCAGGCAGGAAGCTGCACGCTCTCGCTCTCTTTGTGTAACTTTTGGAGGGTTGTAGTTGCAGGAAACATCTGGATGTGGCCCAAGGAACATAATAAAAAAAAAAGGGAGAGCCGCGGGGAGAAGGCAGGGCTGGGGGAGGTTTGCAAAAGCCATCTGATTTCACTTTGCAAAGACAACTGCAATTATGCCTCTGAGGGTTTGCAGTCACTTCACATTCTAGCCATGCGGTGACGTCAGTGGGAAACTATGAAGCTCGCGGACTGCGTGGTGACACACACCCCACGAAACATGGCTCGGGCCAGCTGCCGGCCATGCTCCAGCCCGACAGCCCACCAACAGGGGTCTCTCCCAGAAGGAGGGAAGCTGTAGCTGGGAGAGGGGGTCCCTAACTTTGGACATGCTGGGTTGTCCCCAATCGCCCTCCGAGCTCCAGCTGTGCCTTCCCCTGCTCAGCCTGCATCTACCCCATCTGACCCCACAGGCTCCTGGACAGAAATGGCCCGGCCTTGCCTAGAGCTAAGCTTCCACTCCAAGGCAGAGCTATGGGGGTCCGGGCTGGCAGGGGGGCCATGGCCAGGCCCTCAGGGCTCCCTGCTTTCCAATGGCCCCAGGATCAGCGGTTTCCACAGTGTCCTGTAGCATGCGGCTGGGTGTCTCCATCGTCCCAGCATCCTGTGGGGTGGGCCGAGGGTCTGTGTCCCTCTATGTCCCGTGGGGTGGACCCCGGGTCTGTGTCCCCCTGTGTCCTGTAGGGTATGGCTGGGGTCTGAGTACCTCTGTGTCCTGTTGGGTGGAGCTGGGGTCTGTGTCCCTCTATGTCCTGTGGGGTGGGGCCGTGGTCTGTGTCCCCCTGTGTCCTGTCAGCTGGGGCTGGGGTCTGTGTCCCTCTGTGTCCTGTGTGGTGGGGCCGGGGTCTGTGTCCCCCTGTGTCCTGTCTGGTGGAGCTGGGGTCTGTGTCCCTCTGTGTCCTGTGTGGTGGGGCCAGTGTCTGTGTCCCCCTGTGTCCTGTCGGGTGGAGCCGGGGTCTGTGTCCATCTGTGTCCTGTGTGGTGGGGCCGGGGTCTGTGTCCATCTGTGTCCTGTGGGGTGGGCCGGGGTCTGTGTCCCTCTGGGTCCTGTGGGGTGGGGCCGGGGTCTGTGTCCCCCTGTGTCCTGTGTGGTGGGGCTGGGGTCTGTGTCCCCCTGTGTCCTGTCGGGTGGAGCTGGGGTCTGTGTCCCTCTGTGTCCTGTGGGGTGGGGCCAGTGTCTGTGTCCCCCTGTGTCCTGTGGGGTGGGGCCGGGGTCTGTGTCCCTCTGTGTCCTGTGGGGTGGGGCCGGGGTCTGTGTCTCTCACAGTGTCCCCAGCTTCTGGTCACTATCTCTGTCCCTCCTGCCCTGGGGTCATCCTGAGCTGGGTCCTGCCTGCCCTGAAATCTCAGGAGCTGGGGTGGTTCTCTCTGCTGCTTCTCTGCCCAAGAGTCCAAGGGCTTCCCAGGGACAGTGCTGCACCCTGATGGAGCCCAGGCCTCTGGGCGAAGGACACAGCCTCTCCCAGACCTGCCCCAGACCCCTGAGGCTTTTTAGTGCAAGGGGACCCCCAGGGCAGGAAGGGTTTGCCTGCCACGTGGCAAGTACTTCTGCCTTGAGGCCGTCACAGACAGGGTCTCTGGACTGTGGTGTAGTGTCCTGTCATCTCCAGGTGTAGTCTCAGAAACGCCTTGAAATGAAGCCTGAAGGGGAAGCCCAGTTCCATGGTGTGGACGAGCGTGTCTGCCGGAGGCCTCGGAGTCGCATCCACCGGTGTTTATTGACAGCTGACTGGTGCTGTGCCCTGAGACCCAGGCCCTGCCCTCTGGCACTCAGTCTACCAGGGGCCAAGGCCTGCACCCTCCCTCTGGGCTCACCTTGGTCAAGCCTCTGGTGGACTTTTAAGGCCCACGGGGAACCCCCCCACAGACCCCCTTCCCACTCTGCAGGTGGGCCGCTGAGGCCTCTGCAGACGGGCCTGAGCAGCAGGGCCTGTGCTTGTCGAGGCCCCATGGCTCCCGCCATGGCCAGGGTGAGATGCAGAGGGCCACGGAGCCTGCGGTGGGGCCCTGGGGTTTGACACTGGGGCCCTGCCTGGAATGGGGCCTTGGTGTGATGGGAGCTGGGGGTGGGGTGGAGCCTGCCTGGGCCGAGGGGCTGTCTGGTCGGGAGCGATTCTTCAGCAGCAGAGACTTGAGTCATGGCTGGGGCCTCCTGGCCTCTGGGGGGACCTTAAGACATTTTTTCCATGGAAAGTAGCTGCTGGCTCTCTGCTTACCGGGGAGCTCTCTGTCCCCTCCCACTGCCTGCTGAGGGTTTGGTGGGGGCTGCTTCACTTCTTTGCTGGACTTTCCACTGGCCTGGATGGGCCGAGAGCTCCAGGCAGGGACCGGACAGCCAGACTCTGGACCCAGTCCCAGCCTGCAAGTGCCTGTCCTCTGAGCCTGAGTTTTGCCTTCTGCCAGGGTGAGGGCTCTGGGTGAGGCTAGACGCTGAATGGCAAGGACTGGGCTGTGATGGGACGCTGGGCTCCAGGTCTCTGTTAACTCTTTAAGGGAAAGGTGGGGCGGGATATGGAGGGAGTGGCGCGCATCATCCTCCCGGAGCCTGCAGAAATCCAGGCGAAATTGGCACATCTTTTGGGAATTTGCAGGTGCTGCTGAATTTAGGAGAAGCCACCCTGAAAACTTGCTCAGGGGTTGCCCTGGTCTCTGACCCAACAGCTGGTGGGGGAGGCACCCACCTGGCCTGTGTGACCCCCAGCTAGTTCTTCGCTGGGCGACACTGGCCATAAACAGGTCAGTCAGAAGCCTGCCCTGAACCCCTCGAAGGCCTCATCCCTCCCTATGGGAGACCAGGATGGCGGCTCTGGAGCTCAAGGCTGTGCACTGGAGGTGGGCCTGGGCTGTGGGGCAGGATCTGCCGTGGTCAAACGTGGGTCAGTGTCAACTGGGAAAGCAGAAGTCTGCGGCCAAGCTGGGGACCTCCCTTCCCTCTTCTCCCTGCAGCATGTGGCGGGGGCAGGGTGAGGTCAGGGAGAATGGCAGATAGGACAACCTCATGGGTCATGAGTCATGAGGCTGGGTATGGGTGCAGCTAGGAAGGGCCCAAGGTGAATTTTCTCCAAGAGAGCTTTACGAAAGGGACCTGGGGACTCACAGGGGCGGCTTCGTGACCATCCCAACCCCAACCCCTCCTCCAGGAAGCCCGTCTGAGCCAGCCCTGCCAGTCTGAGCTCCTACCTCTGTGGATCCTGCCTGTCGTCCACACCTGACTGCCATGTCCTCTAGGCTTTCAGGGAACACAAATCTTATCTCTTGGGCCTGTCCTGGCTGGGCCTCCCTCCTGCTGGCTCTGTGGCCCTCATCGCTGGAGGCCTCGCCCCTCAAGGCTCTGCCCTGTGTGCACCGTGGGCCTAGCGGGGCTCTCACAGCACTTCACTGGCCCTGGTGGTCATTCGGGGTCAGCCCCTGTGCACCTCTCCCGTTACCCACGGAGGACATTTCCCAGATGCTGGAGGATGCTTGACCTCTAGGCCCCTGTGACCAAAATCGAGCCTGAGTCTGAAGCTGTGGCCTAACTGCGGCCCTTGGGGATGGGGAGGCCCGATGCCACATGCCTCTCTGCCCCTCCCGTGTGCCCTCCATGCAGGCATGAGTTCCTCGGAAGGGACTCCACCACCCACTCCCTAGGATGGAGCGTGATGCTCACTGAATCCTCTGGGGTCCTGTCTCCAGGAGACTTTCTGGGTGACAGATGGGACACTGAGGCCCAGAAAAGGGAAGATGTCAGCTGAGGGTCATGCAGCAGGTTGGGGCAGAGTCCAGACTCAAACCCAGCGCCCTGATTATCAGCCAGGATGAGCTCTGTTCTTGGTATCTGCACTGAGAAGCGTGTGCATGAGAAGGAAACTTCCGGAGGAGGGCTCGGTTAAAGTTGATGATGCCCTCGCTCAGCTGGCCTTTCTGCTGTTGGGGCTCATTCTTCTGGAATGTTCCAGCACCTACCCCTCCCACGATACACTCGGTTTCCAACACTCCAGTATGCGCTTCTGCCGATGGCTCTCCTTCACGTGCAAGCATCGGGCCCTCCTTCCTGGAGGCTGTGCATGGAGCTGCTTTTCTTTCTAATGGTGCTCCTGGGCCCTGCTGGACGCCACTTTGCTGGGCATTTTGCTTGTTTTCCCTGTGGGGCTGTCACCAGCTGGTGCTGTCATGAACACTCCTGTCCAGCATTCGGCAGGTGCTCTCCTGGATGGAGTTCAGAAGCGACGTTGCTGGGTCCAAGGGGCATGCCCCTTTTACATTCTAAAATTCTATGGGACCTCAGTGGGGCTTTGGTTCTCTGAAGAGGAATTGTGAAGGGCGCCCTGGGGCCTGTTGGAAGCCTTCACCCAGCAGGAGTCACCTATGTGGGGAGCTGTGTTGGGGTCTCTGCCCCCTTCTGGAAGGTGTCAAGCACTTTTGCCAAACAAACAACTGCCTCAGGCCCTCCCTGGAGAAGCTGAGACAATAGGTGACCAGGGCATGACGGGTGGTTGCAGGAGACGGGACCACAGGCTCTGGAGCTCCTTAGCTGGACAGAGCAGCTCCCTGAGCTCAGAGAAGCCCTGTCCTGCTCGTTAGAGGGCTGTTCAGCCTAGTCCTGGATGGGTGTGGCTGTCAGCAGGTAGGTGACTTTTATGAGACAGTCTGCCCACACTTCATTGCCTATCCCTCTGCCTGTGGGGAGGCGGGGTGCTGTGGGCTGGGCAGGGCGGTAAAGGAAGGCCTGTGGCTCCATGGTTGGGGGCCTTCTCCCCCTCCCTCTGCTGGTGCTGTCTCCTGACCTGGCTGCTCTGAGCCTCTCTAGAGGGCTGTGGACCTGCTACTTCATCCTTTGTGTACATCATCCTGTCACAGGGTCCTCGGAGTTCCTGAGAGGACAGCAAGACCCCACTCTTACTCCAAGAGCCCCACATTGGGAGGGGGCTCCAGCCATGTGCCCATGGGGGGCTGAATGGGAAAAGACACATGAGTGAAAGGTGCCACACATGCCCGAGGTTTGCATCCTGGTGAAAATCTTCCACCTTCTTTCTTTAGGCCAAGAAGGGCTGTGCAGGGTCTGCCTCTTAGTTCTCTGTTACTATGTAACAAACCACCCCACAACTTAGTGGCTTAAAATAGCAGTAATCATTCATCATCACTCACAGTTTCTGTGGATCAGGACTTTGGAAATGGCTTAGTCAATGGGTGGTTCTGCCTTGGGGTTTCCCAAGAGGCTGCGGCCAGATGTTGGCCAGAGCTGCGTCATCTGAATGTCGGCCAGGGCTGGAGGAGCCACTTCCAAGGTGGCACACCACGAGGCTGGCACGCTGCTTGCCTCCACAGTGCTGCTTGAGCATCCTCTCAACATGGAGGCTGGCTTCCCCCAGTGCAAGTGATCCAGCAGGCCAAGGCAGAAGCTGCCACGCCATTAAGGAGCCAGACTTGAGAGTCATGCATTGTTATGTCCACAGTGTTCTTGTGGTCACCTGACCCCTCAGATTGCCAGCTGTGGCCCAGCCAGGTCCCAATGTGGCCCTTCTCCGAGATGGCTCTTGCAGCACTGCCCTATGGCCCATTTTCTCACATGCCTGGCTCCTCTCAACGGGACCCCTGGGGCTGATTTGCAGGAGGAGTTTGGTCAGTGCTTGAGTTGAACTGAGCCCCCAGGCCTCCCAGCTTGCCTTCAACTCAGGGTTACGGAGCTCATTGAACTCTGAAGGGCCTGCGTGGGCCATTTTGTAGCTTGGGCGGAGTGTACAGTGAGAAGGACATGCGTTCTAATTCCCACTGTGTGGCCTCGCACTCATCACAAAGCTCCCCGCCCTTGGTTTCCTCATCTGTAAAATGAGAGTATTGATGGAACTTTCTCCTGGAGGTTGAAGCACAGCAGCTGGGCGGGGCTGAAGCTGTGGCAATGGGGGCTGTCATAACCACACCAACAGCCGGCTGTGTGGCCTATCAGTGCCCTGACCCCCACCATGGGAGAGGTGTGCCGGCCATGCTGGCTGTGGGAGGAGCTGGAGAGGACCGAGAGAGAGGACAGAGGTGGGGGAGGGCACACACCTCCCAACTGCAGGCCGTGGTCAGTGGCTGTGACAGGAAAATCCGGGAGGTGGACCCATTATCATGAGGCTCAGGCCACGCAATCTGCTTGGCTGTGGAGTGAAGCCAGTGCAGAGATGTGGGGGTGGGAGAGCATGGGGTGGCGTCCGCTCGGAGGTAGGAGGGTAGGGCGAGGGCTTCAGCCCCACCTGGGACTCCTGCCAGCACCTCGTGCCCCAGGCTTCGTGGTTGGGGGGCACACGGGAGTCCTTGTGGGCTGGTTGGTTTCTGATGCGTTTTCTGTCTCTTTGTCGCGGCTGAACTCTGCCTCCTCCTCTTATGGACATGTCAGTTATAGAGCCCCTTGGTGCCTTTTTTTTCTGCCTCAAGACAGAGGACAGCTTGAAGAGCAAAGGTGACAATTGTGCTGGAAGAAGGGAAAACATAATCCTTTACAACTACTCAACCATAAAAGCCCAGACAGGCAGGAGGTTTGCACTGTGGGTGAAACGGGCTGCTGGTGTGGTGGGATGGGGGCCTCTGGTCAGCTGGGCCACCTGGCATCAGTCTGTGGGTGGGTTGCCCGGCCCTGCCCCACCTCTGGAAGATTCTACATCTGTGTAGGTTGCAGGTCTAGAGTCTGTCCCCAGCGTCTCCACGGTAATGGTTTTCATTCCCTGTCACTCAAAGCTCCTTTTAAGTAGAAAAGAATAAAAAGTTTGAAAAGGAGAAAGGAGGATTCCCACTTTAGGTCCATTTGGCCCCTGACCTCGGCTTTAGAGGGCGCCGGTGCTCGGAGGTCTCTGCTGGCTACGAAGAAGTGGGGTTGGGGGGCTGCCTCTGCCTCCTACCTGTCCCCCGGCCACCTTCCTATGAGGCCATCAATGCCCTGGAAGCCTGCAGCTGCTGCAGTGTCCCTGGTCTGCCCACTTCTTCCCAGGTTCCCTCTGAGATCTGCCCTTCCCCCCACAGCGGGCTGCCAGTCTGACCCAGTCACTCCTCAGCTGGAAACCCTCCAGGTGAAGCACAGAGTTGGGGCCTAAAGCCCGCCTTCCAGCCCTGGGCAAGCCGGGCCACTCCTCTGTCCCTGGATGCCCGCCTCAGCAGGGCCGCCTCCCCTTTGGGTGTTTTGTCCCCAGAGTTTCTAATTCAAACCTTTCCTGACTCCCTTCCACCTGGTCCTCTCTTCCTCATCCCTCAGAGCAGGGCTGAGACCCCAGAGACCCTGGCTGGGTCGCGGGCCCCTCTGCACGCCCCCCATCCCCCTGCCCCCTTGGAGCTGCAATGCAGGTGTCCACTTTCCTCACTGGGCTGTGACGTCCCTGAGGGCCCCGGCCTCCCCTCCCTGTTCCCAGGGCTTGGCCCAGTGTAGATGTCCAGTGGGCATCAGGGTGGACGCCATGGTGACAGCTTAGATGCATTTTTGGAGATTGTGATGGTGGTGTTGGGGCCAGGGAGGAGGAACCCCCGTGAGCACACAAGCTGACAGCCCCATGGCCACAGAAAATACACAAGGCCCTTTTCCTCAGTTGTGGCCCCAATTCCAGAGTCAACACCAATAGGTGGGCTCCTTCCTGGGCCTTGGGGAAGCCAGTCTGGGACCTAGGTGGCCAGTTAGTTCTGGGTTTGCAGCCTCGGCTCCTGGAGACCCCGCTGTAGGCAGAGCTCCTGTTCTGTGCTGGAAGTTTGAGTCCTTTGTGGAGGACACAGTGGGGGAGATGGAGGATGGTTTATGATGCTCTGTGCCCCTCCTGGGCAAGGGGATGCCAGGGCTGGTGAGCACATGGGGTAGGAGCTGAGGCATTGTGGGGGTCCTGGCCATGTCTCTCACTTGTGAGGACCTGACACTCACCGGGGCCAGCTCTTGTGGATGACATCGGTGTCATGAGCTCTGATGGGACATCATGGGGCTTCCTGGATAGGAAGGGAGTCCTGCCGGCCTCTTGGGGGTAGAGCCGGCAGCCTCTGCCTCTCCTGGAGGCCCCGGTGTCATGCCTCAGCTCTTCCCCACACCTCTGCGCTGCTCACCCAGCCGCCCCCTCCCATTAGTGCCCACTCTGCACCACACGCGCCTCTGCCCGGCTCACCCAGCCGCCCCCCCATTAGTGCCCACTCTGCACCACACGCGCCTCTGCCCCGCTCACCCAGCCTCCCCCCCATTAGTGCCCACTCTGCACCACACGCGCCTCTGCCCCGCTCACCCAGCCTCCCCCCCATTAGTGCCCACTCTGCACCACACGCGCCTCTGCCCGGCTCACCCAGCCTCCCCCCCATTAGTGCCCACTCTGCACCACACGCACCTCTGCCCCGCTCACCCAGCCGCCCCCTCATTAGTGCCCACTCTGCACCACACGCGCCTCTGCCCCGCTCACCCAGCCTCCCCCCCATTAGTGCCCACTCTGCGCCACACGCGCCTCTGCCCCGCTCACCCAGCCGCCCCCTCATTAGTGCCCACTCTGCACCACACGCGCCTCTGCCCCGCTCACCCAGCCGCCCCCTCATTAGTGCCCACTCTGCACCACACGCGCCTCTGCCCGGCTCACCCAGCCTCCCCCCCATTAGTGCCCACTCTGCACCACACGCGCCTCTGCCCCGCTCACCCAGCCTCCCCCCCATTAGTGCCCACTCTGCACCACACGCGCCTCTGCCCGGCTCACCCAGCCGCCCCCCCATTAGTGCCCACTCTGCACCACACGCGCCTCTGCCCCGCTCACCCAGCCTCCCCCCCATTAGTGCCCACTCTGCACCACACGCGCCTCTGCCCCGCTCACCCAGCCTCCCCCCCATTAGTGCCCACTCTGCACCACACGCGCCTCTGCCCGGCTCACCCAGCCGCCCCCCCATTAGTGCCCACTCTGCACCACACGCGCCTCTGCCCCGCTCACCCAGCCTCCCCCCCATTAGTGCCCACTCTGCACCACACGCGCCTCTGCCCCGCTCACCCAGCCTCCCCCCCATTAGTGCCCACTCTGCACCACACGCGCCTCTGCCCGGCTCACCCAGCCGCCCCCCCATTAGTGCCCACTCTGCACCACACGCGCCTCTGCCCCGCTCACCCAGCCTCCCCCCCATTAGTGCCCACTCTGCACCACACGCGCCTCTGCCCGGCTCACCCAGCCGCCCCCCCATTAGTGCCCACTCTGCACCACACGCGCCTCTGCCCCGCTCACCCAGCCTCCCCCCCATTAGTGCCCACTCTGCACCACACGCGCCTCTGCCCCGCTCACCCAGCCTCCCCCCCATTAGTGCCCACTCTGCACCACACGCGCCTCTGCCCGGCTCACCCAGCCGCCCCCCCATTAGTGCCCACTCTGCACCACACGCACCTCTGCCCCGCTCACCCAGCCGCCCCCTCATTAGTGCCCACTCTGCGCCACACGCGCCTCTGCCCGGCTCACCCAGCCTCCCCCCCATTAGTGCCCACTCTGCGCCACACGCGCCTCTGCCCCGCTCACCCAGCCGCCCCCTCATTAGTGCCCACTCTGCACCACACGCGCCTCTGCCCCGCTCACCCAGCCGCCCCCTCATTAGTGCCCACTCTGCGCCACACGCGCCTCTGCCCGGCTCACCCAGCCTCCCCCCCATTAGTGCCCACTCTGCACCACACGCGCCTCTGCCCCGCTCACCCAGCCTCCCCCCCATTAGTGCCCACTCTGCACCACACGCGCCTCTGCCCGGCTCACCCAGCCGCCCCCCCATTAGTGCCCACTCTGCACCACACGCGCCTCTGCCCGGCTCACCCAGCCTCCCCCCCATTAGTGCCCACTCTGCACCACACGCGCCTCTGCCCCGCTCACCCAGCCTCCCCCCCATTAGTGCCCACTCTGCACCACACGCGCCTCTGCCCGGCTCACCCAGCCGCCCCCCCATTAGTGCCCACTCTGCACCACACGCGCCTCTGCCCCGCTCACCCAGCCTCCCCCCCATTAGTGCCCACTCTGCACCACACGCGCCTCTGCCCCGCTCACCCAGCCTCCCCCCCATTAGTGCCCACTCTGCGCCACACGCGCCTCTGCCCCGCTCACCCAGCCGCCCCCTCATTAGTGCCCACTCTGCACCACACGCGCCTCTGCCCCGCTCACCCAGCCGCCCCCTCATTAGTGCCCACTCTGCGCCACACGCGCCTCTGCCCCGCTCACCCAGCCGCCCCCTCATTAGTGCCCACTCTGCGCCACACGCGCCTCTGCCCCGCTCACCCAGCCGCCCCCTCATTAGTGCCCACTCTGCGCCACACGCGCCTCTGCCCCGCTCACCCAGCCGCCCCCTCATTAGTGCCCACTCTGCGCCACACGCGCCTCTGCCCCGCTCAGCCAGCCGCCCCCTCATTAGTGCCCACTCTGCGCCACACGCGCCTCTGCCCCGCTCACCCAGCCGCCCCCTCATTAGTGCCCACTCTGCGCCACACGCGCCTCTGCCCCGCTCACCCAGCCGCCCCCTCATTAGTGCCCACTCTGCACCATACGCGCCTCTGCCCCGCTCACCCAGCCGCCCCTCCATTAGTGCCCACTCTGTGCCACATGTGCCACTGCCCATGTCCCTTGCTTCAGTTCCAATGGGCCTACTGGCCTCGGATCCCTTGTCCACTCCAGGTCTGCACTTGGGAGATGGGGTCACCTGGTGCTGGGCCCCTGAAGTATGCCGATGACCTGGGCCCTGCAGAAGTGTCCAGCTTGGGGAGGCGGGAAGCAAAGCAGAGCTCCGGGGTGGCCTTTGATTTTCTACTTCCCCCAGCCCCATTCCAGGGACCCCTCCACCCTGCTACACCCACCTGCATGCAGGGACATGAGCCGAGAGCCCAGAGGGGACCCGTGAGAAGGGAGGGAGGAAAGTGAGAAGACTCCGGTACCAGCAGCCTGGAGTTACACTGGGACAACCAGACGCTCCAGGGTGCATCAGCAGAGGACGACCCTGTCCCTGAGCAGCTCCCAGGCGGCTCTGCCATCCTGGAGGCCCCTGGGGCGCTGTCCTATCAGCACCAAGCAGCTGTGCTCCCAAACTCTGGGGCGTGCAGCCTCAGGGCAAGGTGGCTTTGGGTGGCTGATGGTGCCCCCTCAGGGACTCTGAGCAGGTCTGAATCTTTCTGAGCCCTTGTTTCTTTAGGTACAAAGCAGAGATGCTTACCTGCCAGATGGAAGGTCTGGGGGAGGGGAAGGGACTTCAGAACACGCCGCTGGGGCATAAAATTATTTTGTGCAGGAGGCATTTGAGTTTCAGAAACCCCTTATCTGAATAAAAGCAGAGCCCCCCAAAAGAACTAGAAATAACTCAACTGCTGTACATCCCTCCCTGGAGTGGCCAGGGAAGATGGACTCTTATCATAGTCAGTGACGAGAAACCTCCATAGCACACGGATACGGGCGTGGTCCCAGAGCCACGCTACCCCAAATCTGTCCACCTCAGGGCCCATTTACCTTTCCAAAAAGCCATTCGTTTTCCTGTGTGTGCCCTTCTCCTTCTCCCCTGATTTTTGTGTACCTCTAAGAGGATATGTAAGCCCCAGATTCTAACCACTCCTCTGAATCCCATTTTCCTGTGGTCTCCCATGTACATTTCTACATGAAAACATTTTTTTCCTCTTCCTAATCTGCCTCTTGTCAGTTTAATTTGCAGGACACAGTGGCATCATCAGAGATGGCAGAGCTCTTTCACTCCATGGGAACTGCTCTTGGAGCCCCTGGCCCCTTGAGGGGACCTGAGACTCGGGGAGGAGGGAGGTCTGCTTATGTCAGGGTGGGGCTGGGCTGACCTGTCTCCATGCACATCAGGCAGCCTGGGTCCTGTCTCAGCCTGGCCAGCATGATCGACTCCTATTCCCACGTCCGAGCCCTTTGCAGGTATTACCTCCTTTCCAGAAGGGGCTGCTGCCTTTTGTTGCTCTTCCTAAATCAGGTCCTGGGCCAGGTAGTTTAGGAGCAATGAGGTCCTTAATGTTTATGGCCCCGTGCCCTCCTTCACAGGTGGGGGAGCTGAGGGTTTAGAGGGATGGCGCGACTTCCCCCGAGTGCCCCAGCAGGATATGAGGCCAGGCTGCTACATCCATCCCAGGACCCTAGGGCCCTGCAGGCGGAGGCTGGGACCTCTGCACCCACCTCAAAGGCCTGTCCATTTGCAGGGCGGGACTGCCCACGAGGCTGGGCCTGATCCAGCTCCAGACACCAACCCCATGGAATCCCAGTTCCACCTGGGGCAGCCTGTGATGAGCAGGTCACCTCACCTCTCCAAGCCTTGGTTTTATGTCTGTAAAGTAGAGGCAATGTTATCCCTCGCTGCACAGGGTTGATGCAACGGGGCAAGAAATAAGGTGGGGGAGACAGGCTGCCTGCGTTCCCCCCAACACGCATGCTCCCTCAGGAACCCGATGCCTGTGCAGCCTTGCCAGGCTAGCACGGGGACCTGCCTCTCAGAGGCAAGACCCAGAATGCACCCATAGTATGGCCACTTGATCTGGGACCCTGGCAACCTCCTCCCCTGTCTCTGGGCCTCAGTTTCTCCCCCTGCACCACGGGGGGCTACGCTAGTTGACTGGAGCCCCTTCTTGGCCCAGTTTGTGCAGAGCATGAAACCAGTCACCCGGGTGTCCTGCTGGCCTCCCAGACCATGCGATGCTGCTGGTTAGCAACCACAGAAACAAACGCATCAAGAGGCATTCCTTGGCTTTAAAAAGAGGCCGTTTGAAGAGGCAGGCCGGCCTCCCCCGCCCGGTGTGCCCGGCATCTGGGAGGGGCAGGGCTGGGAAGGTGATGAGTGCATGGCAGCCAGACCTTGGCTGGCCGGAGGAGGCCGGCGGGCTGGGGCCCTGGCTTTGGTCAGGCTTGTTTTATGTCAGGGTGACTTGGGCCGTGGAGGAGCCGCCGTCTTGCCAAAACAATGTTTAAAACATCTCGGAAAATGTGCAGCCACTTCTTTTCCACGGGATTCATGCCGAGTCTTCCTGGCTTGTTGGGGAGGGTTGAGGACTGGCCAGGAGGGAGTGAAGAGGGCGGCCACAGGAAAAAGAGTGAGAGACTTTAGACTGAGGCAGGGGCCTGTCCCTGCCCTGCCTGCCCTCCCTGTCTCTTCTCTCCCTGTCCCCCACCCCTCACCACCCACCCCAGGAAGTCAAAACTCTGTCTCTGTTTCTCTCGCCACCCCAGGCCACCCTAGGAAGTGGGCACTAAACCCATTTCACAGATGGGCAGCCACAGTGCTGGGGTAGGAAATGAGGATTCTGACCCACCCAGCGTGGGGGCTGGGAGCTGGATCGGCTACAGAATGTGTAGAGCCTCTGCAAAGAGAAAACAGAGGTCCCACATTCCAGATGGAAATAACTAAGAATTTTAAGAGGGCAACAACAAAGCATTAAACCAACTACAAGACCCTCCTGAGCCTGGGTTCTCACGAGCCGGGGTCCTCCTGAGCCTGGGTCCTCCTAAGCCTGGGATCCTCCTGAGCCTGGGTCCTCCTGAGCCTGGGGCCCTCCTAAGTCAGGGTCCTCCTGAGCCTGGATCCTCCTGAGCCTGGGTTCCTCCTGAGCCTGGGTCCTTCCATGTCAGGGTCCTCCTGAACTGGGGTCCTCCTGAGCCTGGGTCCTCCTGAGCATGGGTCCTCCTGAGCCTGGGTCCTCCTGAGCATGGGTCCTCCTGAGCCTGGGAACTTCTGAGCCTCGGGTCTTCCTGAGTCAGGGTCCTTCTGATCCTGGGTCCTCCTAAGTCTGGGGTCCTCCTGAGCCTGGGTCCTCCTGAGCCTGGGGCCCTCCTGAGCCTGGGGTCCTCCTGAGCCTGAGTCCTCCTGAGCCTGGGGTCCTCCTGAGCCTGGGTCCTCCTGAGCATGGGTCCTCCTGAGCCTGGGAACTTCTGAGCCTGGGGTCTTCCTGAGTCAGGGTCCTTCTGATCCTGGGTCCTCCTAAGTCTGGGGTCCTCCTGAGCCTGTGTCCTCCTGAGCCTGGGGCCCTCCTGAGCCTGGGGTCCTCCTGAGCCTGAGTCCTCCTGAGCCTGGGGTCCTCCTGAGCCTGGGTCCTCCTGAGCCTGGGGTCCTCCTGAGTCAGGGTCCTCCTGAGTTGGGGTCCTCCTGAGCCTGGGACCCTCCTAAGTCAGAGTCCTCCTGAGCCTGGGTCCTTCTGTGTCAGGGTCCTCCTGAACTGGGGTCCTCCTGAGCCTGGCAACTCCTGAGCCTGGGTCCTCCTGAAGCTGGGCCCTCCTGAATCAGGGTCCTCCTGAGTTGGGGTCTTTCTGAGCCTGGGTCCCTCCTGAGCCCAGGTCCTCCTGAGCCTGGGACCCTCCTGAGTAAGGGTCCTCCTGAGCCTCAGTCCTTCTGTGTCAGGGTCCTCCTGAACTGGAGTCCTCCAGAGCCTGGAAACTCCTGAGCCTGGGCCCTCCTGAGTCAGGGTCCTCCTGAGCCTGGGACCTCCTGAGCCTGGGAACTCCTGAACCTGGGGTCCTCCTGAGTCAGGGTCCTCCTGAGTTGGGGTCCTCTTGAGCCTGGGGTTCTCCTGAGCCTGGGACCCTCCTAAGTGAGAGTCCTCCTGAGCCTGGGTCCTTCCATGTCAGGGTCCTCCTGAACTGGGGTCCTCCTGAGCCTGGGTCCTCCTGAGCATGGGTCCTTCTGAGCCTGGAAACTTCTGAGCCTGGGGTCTTCCTGAGTCAGGGTCCTTCTGATCCTGGGTCCTCCTAAGTCTGGGGTCCTCCTGAGCCTGGGTCCTCCTGAGCCTGGGGCCCTCCTGAGTCAGGGTCCTCCTGAGCCTGGGTCCTCCTGAACCTGGGGTCCTCCTGAGCCTGGGTCCTCCTGAGCCTGGGCCCTCCTAAGTCAGGATCCTCCTGAGCCTGGGTCCTCCTGAGCCTGGGTCCTCCTGAAGCTGAGTCCTCCTGAGTCAGGGTCCTCCTGAGTTGGGGTCCTCCTGAGCCTGGGTCCTCCTAAGCCTGGGAACTCCTAAACCTGGGTCATCCTGAGCCTGGTAACTCCTGAGCCTGGGGTCCTCCTGAGCCCGGGGCCCTCCTGAGTCTGGGGTCCTCCTGAGCCTGGGGTCCTCCTGAGCCTGAGGCCCTCCTAAGTCGGGGTCCTCCTGAGCCTGTGTCCTCCTGAACCTGAGGCCCTCCTAAGTCAGGGTCCTCCTGAGCCTGTGTCCTCCTGAGCCTGTGGCCCTCCTGAACCTGGGTCCTACTGAGCCTGGGTCCTCCTGATCCTGGGATCCTCCTGAGCCTGAGTCCTCCTGAGCCTGGGGTCCTCCTGAGCCTGGGTCCTCCTGAGTCGGGGTCCTCCTGAGCCTGGGATCCTCTTCAGCCTGGGACCCTCCTGAACCTGAATAGTCCTGAGCTTGGCTCTTCCTGAGCCTGGAATCCTCCTGAGCCTGGGGCCCTCCTGAGTTGGGGCCCTCCTGAGTTGGGGGTCCTCCTGAGCCTGGGTCTTCCTGAGCCTCGGTCCTTCTGAGTCATGGTCCTCCTGAGCTAGGGTCCTCCTGAGCCTGGGTCCTCCTAAGCTTGGGTCCTCCTGAGTCAGGGTCCTCCTGAGCCTGGGGTCCTCCTGAGCCTGGGGTCCTCCTGAGCCTGGGACCCTCCTGAGTCAGGGTCCTCCTGAGCCTGGGTCCTTCTGAGTCAAGGTCCTCCTGAGCTGGGGTGCTCCTGAGCCTTGGTCCTCCTGAGCCTGGGTCTTTCTGAGCCTGGGACCTTCCTGAGCCTGGGTCCTCCTGAGCCTGGGTCCTCCTGAGCCTGGGTCCTCCTGAACTTGTCCTTCTGTGATTCAGGTCTTCTTGAGCTCAGCCCCTCCTGAGTGTGGTCTCTTTGGGACAGTGGGGACACAGCCTGTTGGTCTGTAGCCTTGCTCACCCCGATGACTGCTCAGACCCGCTCTTCATTAGTGGTGGGGCGGTGCAGAGGTCTTGGCTGTGCTTGGCCCTCCGGCTGGCTGCAGGGAGCTTTGGCAGAATCCTCTAGCCTCCTGCCTGGCTGTCCCTGAGGGGTGGGAGCCAGACTGGGCATGAGCCCTGTGGGTGGCTGCCCCAGCCCTGGAGTTGCTGACAGTAGTGGGCAGGAGAGGCTTTCTGGGCGGGGACCTGGCCCCTGCAGCCCCAGAGGTCAGTCAGAGGTGGGAGGCTGGCTGGGGTGGAGACGCCTTCCTTGGTGGTGTTGCAGGCCTTGGGCTTGGAGGAGCCATCTGAGTCTCAGTGCCTGCCTTGGTGGGGCAGGGGTGGCCTGGCCCTGCCCCTTTGGAGCTACTCGCCCGGGGCAGGTCGCTCTGCGCCTCTGGGAGCCCCAGTTCCCCGCTGGCAATTTGGAGCCCTGGGGGCCCTGGCCCACCCCACTCCCAGGGCCCCTCCACTCTCAGTTTTTCCCAAGGAAAGCCTGGGTGGTCTGAGGCCTGGCCTTCCCCCTTTGAGGGTCCGAAGAGTCCCTGATCATGGCCAGGGCCGGGCTCACTACAGATGCCACTTCCACGTTCCCTGAGTGCCTCCTGTGTATGCATGGCCCTGGGCTCCTGGCTCCTTCTCCCTTGGGCGTGGAGGAGGTGGCAGGTCCACCCTCTCCCAGGTGAGGCCCCAGTGTTGAGTCTCACACCCCGGGTCACAGCACGGTGGGACTCCGGCTTGGACTCTCAACTTCACCCCCATCTCCAGGGGGCTGGCGAGTGGATAAGTACACCCCTCCCCAGGCGGGAGGGACACAGAGCTAGGGCTCCAGCTTCCAACCAGAGGTTCAGAGGGGGCCTACAGAGGAAGCTGACCCTCACAGCGCCACAGCCCTGGCCAAGGTGCACAGCGTCCCATTTTCCGTGTCCCCTGGGAGGCCCAGTCCCCCTCCTGGAAGATGCCTGGCCCTAAGTTGCTGTCTTCTTATTCAAATGGACTTCTGTTGGCTCATACGGTCCCATCAGCTGCAGTGGATGTTTTGCATAATGACGATTTGGAACTCAACCTATTCTACTAGAATGTCCAATTTAATGCCAATTAAGTCTGGAATTGAATGATGTTCTCTGGGAATCCTGCACAGATGAGCCTCAGTGGCGCTGGCTGCAGAGACCGTGATCACTCACTTTGGCTTCTTGGAACCGCCCTAGCACAGGGCTGTGGGCTCCCTCACCTGGCCTGGCCCTCGGGCTACCCCTGCCACTGCCTTGATGGGAGAAGCCGCTGGATGGGCAGCCTCACGTGTGCTGGAAGAAGTCCTGGCCTGGAGGTTCGGAGGCAAGGCAGGCTGGGAGGTGCTCCTGCTGATGTGGATGGCTCTGCCTCCCTTCCTTTCTCACTTCCACCTCCTCTTCCCAGCCCACAGGCCTGTCCCACACCTGTTCCAGGAAGCCTGCCTGGACTGCCCTCCATCCGGAGTCTCCGACGTCTCCGTGCCTGTTCTGGTGAGGTCGTTCCATGCTGGAACCTCTCTGGCTTTTGCAGAGAAGCTCTGAGGTCCTCTGGCTGACTTGCGTTCATCCTGAAAACATTAGGCTCCGGGTGGCCCAGTCTGTGTGCCGGAGTGTGGCGTGGAGGCTGGAGGCTCGCCCTGCTGTCAGCTGACCTGGGCTGGCGCCTGGGGGGCCCCTGGAACTGGTGACTTGGGGGGCTTGTAGGGGTGGCTATCTCCCCGCTTTGGGTTGATGTGAGTCACACACACGGTGCACGGGTGTGTGAGCCAGCCCCAGTCAACGAAGCTGTTAGGACTTTTGTATTTATTTTGGACAATCACCAGGGGGGCCAGGGTGACTGCAGCAGAGTGGGCTGGGAGGGCAGAGAGCAGAAAGGGCCGGGTGAGGACTTGCCTCTTCCTGTAAGATAGTGTGTCCTGAGCGTGGCCACCAGGCCTCCCTCACTGTCCCTAGGGTGAAGTCTAGCTCCTCTGCTGACCCCTGTGGAGTCCCATGACTCCTCCAAAAGGCTCGATTCCCACAGCCTCCCCTGGCTGGAGCAGCCCAAGCCGTGCAGGCTTGCGGATCCCACGGGATGTAGGGGCTCTGGGGTTGCCCCGGAATCTTCCGAGAGTAGCCTCCTGGGTGCTCCATCGTGGTGGGCTTCCCCAGAGAGTGCCTCACGTTTGGGGGCGAGGAGGGCACTTGCTGAATGAAGGCCAAAATGGGGCAGAAAAATGCCCGTGCTGTGCAGAGCTGGCATCTAAGGCCATGCTGGCCCATGAGCATCTTCCTGTGTCCTGACAGCGGAACCCGGAGGCAGAGGGCTTGCCTGCCACTCTCACTCTGAGACTCTTCGAGAATGAGCTTGGTGACCCTCCAGGCCCTGGCCCCGATGGAACCTCCCTGGAGGGGGCTATTGGCTGATGTACTTGCCCCCGCTGAGACCTGGGCCTGCTGAAGATGAGCCCCCAGCCCCAGGGTGAGGCGCACAGCTGGGGCTCAGTGTGTGTTTGCTGAGTGGATGGCATGCCCGCTCTCCCCGCAGCAGTCAGGTGTCCCCGAGGCGGAGCCGTGGAGTGTGTCTTGCCACTAACGGGATAAGAGGAGGCCCCAAGCCAGCCCCTGCTCCATCCCTAGCCCCTGCCTCACTCCCTCCCACACCCCAGGAGCCCCTCTGTCCAGGTGCAACTGCCTGGGCCTCGTGGCAGTTGGCTTTGCCCTTGCACCTGCCTCTGGCTGGAGCCTTCTCAGAGGGCTCGAGGGGACGGTGCCCACCCATGGCTCTACACCGATCTGGCTTCTGCTCGATGCATCCTTCCTCCGGGTGCTGGGGGATGTCCCTTTGCAGAGACGTTATGTATTTTGTTCTCAGCTGTTTCCCTGGGGCCTGGGCTCACTGAGCAGGTGGAGGAAGCTGACAAAGTGTGGGTTTGGCTGCCGCCAGAAAGCCTTGCCTGGGCCTCAGGGGGCTGGGTGGGTTCCTGCTGCCTGGAGAGGCCTGGTGGGCACCCCCTGACCCTGATCGGCACCTTAGGACCCCGCTGCCCTGCTGTCTTGAGAGAACGAGGAGCAGATTCCCGGGGAAGCAGGAGGGGTTCGGGGAAGGAGCAGATCCCCGGGGAAGGAGGAGGGACCCGGACGAGAAGGGGCGCTGCACTCCACGCAGGATGTCTCTCCACCCTGAGCCTGCGGGAGGCCGGTGGCATCTGCAAACTCTGCCACGTGGACAGGCTGCACACTTCTTTCTCCAGGCGTGTTCAGGAAATGAACTTTTCCTCCTCCTTTTCTGGGCCGTGTCCCGGGAGGCGGGGCCCCAGGCTTTAGGAAGGAAGGCAGCTCTGGCCTGGCAGTCGCTGCTCAGTGAGCCCCCAGCCAGGATGGGGTGGGGGCTGTGCTGGGGCCCTGGTGGGGTCCCCCTCCCACTGGCCTCTCTGCTTGGCTCCAACTTCAGCCTGCACAAGCCGCTCCCCACTCTGCTCGTCCCAAAGCCCAGAGCCTGTGTGGGTTTGCAGAGAGCCTGGGTTTGGGGCTGCAGCCAGGACAGCCACCATTCCAGCCCCGACACATTCCAAGAGGGTTCCCTGGAAATCCCTAGAGCCCCCAGAGCTTCTCTGACACTGAGCATTAGTGCATTCTGCCCTCAGAGCTGGAGACCCCGGACCTGCAACTGGCACCAGGGCTTGCTCGTCGCATCCTCACTCTAGGCGCCAGTTCCTCACTCTAGGCCCCAGTTCCTCACTCTAGGCCCCAGTTCCTCACTCTAGGCCTCAGTTCCTCACTCTAGGCCCCAGTTCCTCACTCTAGGCCCCAGTTCCTCACTCTAGGCCCCAGTTCCTCACTCTAGGCGCCAGTTCCTCACTCTAGGCCCCAGTTCCTCACTCTAGGCCCCAGTTCCTCACTCTAGGCGCCAGTTCCTCACTCTAGGCCCCAGTTCCTCATTCTAGGTCCCAGTTCCTCACTCTAGGCCCCAGTTCCTCACTCTAGGCCTCAGTTCCTCACTCTAGGCCCCAGTTCCTCACTCTAGGCCCCAGTTCCTCACTCTAGGCCCCAGTTCCTCACTCTAGGCCCCAGTTCCTCATTCTAGGTCCCAGTTCCTCACTCTAGGCCCCAGTTCCTCACTCTAGACCCCAGTTCCTCACTCTAAGCCTCAGTCCTTCACTCTAGGCGCCAGTTCCTCACTCTAGGCCCCAGTTCCTCACTCTAGGTCTCAGTTCCTCACTCTAAGCCTCAGTCCTTCACTCTAGGCCTCAGTTTGCCCATCTTTGTGAAGAGCAAGGTGGCCCTGAGACGGGTATCCACAAGCTGTGTGGGTTAAGATACAGGCTTTAGTGTTGGATGGCTGAGGGTCTGGGTTCCAGTGTGGCCAAGTCGGCCTGAGCCTGTTTCCCTGCCTATCAATAGGTGGATGAGAGGCCACACGGAGCCTGGCACCGCTGGGAAGGGCTGCTGTAGCCACTTCACCCACCCAGCGCTCCCGAGTTGCCTTCTCTGGGGTGTTCTAGAGACTGCTGGCCAGAGGACTTCATGGAGCCTTGAGCTCAGCCCTCCCAGCCTCCAGATGGTGATAAATACATTTCTGTTCTTTATAAATTGCCCGGTCTGGGGGTAGTTTTCTTTTATCGTGGCTCAAATGGACTAAGACAGAAGGGAAAGAAGAAGCCAGATTGGGTGGAAAAGGCGGCTGCATAGTGGTGCAGGCCTCATAAGGCCTAGTCCAGCCCTCTGGGGACCCCCAGAAAAGTGTCCTGCACCTCACTGCGTCCTGCCTGTTGGTGTCCTGCGGCACACGGCCGTGGCTCACCTACAGAGCGTGGGAAGGGGCATGACCTAGGGTGCGGAGGAGCTGCCAGCTGGAGGCTGTGTGCTAGCCACTCCCCGGGGCCGGGTGACAGGTCCCTCCTGAAGGGAAACCAGGGCAGCCGTCCCTGTGCCAACCACAGCAGGTCCTATGGAGAGGCCGGACCGATCACTCTTGGGAAGGCGGGCCCCACACTCTCATTTTATAGGTATTGAAACTGAGGTCAGACGGTGTGAAAGGGGCTTTTCCAAGGACCGGCCAGCAGCCATGTGGTGGACGGGGATGGAACTCAGTGGGGCTGGAGCCCTGTTTCTGGTCTGTCCTCCCGTGGGCAGCTGCTCAATGCAGCAGGTTGCGACGTCTATTTTGTTTGCCACTGTAGCCATGTCTGGGAATGGCTTAGCCATTTCTATTTTGAGCACCAACTGTGTGCCAGGCTGATGATTTTCCCAGAGAGGGGCTGGATGCATGCACAGCCTGGTCATTCTCACCAAGCTCCTGCCAGCTCTGCCACCAAGGAAACACCTGGCACTTGCAGCCGGCGCCTTCCGCAGGCTCCTGCACCCACAGCAACTCCAGCTGGGATTCTCTAAGCCTCCAGGGGCCAGGGCTTACCAGATGAGCTGCTGAGGGGCAGATGGATGAGCAGAACCACCCCTCCGCGAGGTCCTGCTGTCCCTGGCGGTGTGAGGTGGGGTGGAAGGTCCTTCTTCGGGTGTGCCCATGTGCCGGGCTGCTTGGCATGCTGAGACCCGGAGGGAGCCGGGCACAGCTGACGAGACCTTGGATGCCCTTTCAGACTTGTGAAGGAGGGAAAAGCTTCTTGTTTTAGTTTGCTCATGGGTTGGCAGGAGTAGTGACCTTTTAGTCATTGTATAAAGCAGCAATAAAATGTGATTTCGGGAGGAACTACTGGGTGGGAGACACCCGCGCTGACCTGCACGGGGCTCCCATGGGGGAGATCTGTCTGCCGGGCTAGGTGGGCCTCCTTGCTAGGCTCTGACTCACCTTGGCAATGGCGTGACCGAGTAGTGCAGTGGCTGGACTGAGAAGGACGAGCGGTCACGTGGTGTCTGGGCTGGAGGCACCATCCTCACCCCGTCTGTCCAATGAGGTCTGTCCTGGCTGAGTCTGGTGGCCTCTCTAGGACACGACGCTCATGTGGTCCATCCCTGGGGAGACCTGTCCTTCTTCCTTGGACCCAGTCACTCCGAATCTGTTTCCTGGTGGACTCCTTTGTTCTCAAATATCCATTGCTCTTGTGTGTATGCTCGTGTGTGATGGAAAACATTCTGGGCAGTGTTTTGGCCACTCTCTCTATAGTTGACAGAAACAAGAGAAAGCCCAGGACCCATATGTTTGTCCGTGGCCGAGGGAGAGGCCTCTAACCTCCTCTGCAGATGGCCAGGGGGTCTGTTACGGACTGAACTGTGTACTCCCCCTGCCTTCATATGTTGAAGTCCCAGCTCCTGGTGTCACTGTGCTTGGAGATGAGGGCTTTCTGGAGGTGATTAAAAGAGGGCATAAGGATGGGGCCCTGATCCCATAGGATCAATGTCCTTATAGGAAGAGATGAGAGGACTCCCTCTTCTTTCTCTCTCTCCCCACTATGTGTGGACATGAGGCAGGGAGAGGGCCCTCATTGGAAACCAATTGGCCAGCACCCTGATCTTGTACTTCCTAGGAATAGATGTCTGTTGCTTAAGCCCTCCAGTCTGTGGTATTTGTTATGGGCACCTGAGCAGAAGAAGACAGGTCCAAATGCCTTAATGCTTCTCTAACTAGTTCTCTACCAAATGGTTTCAGAGAGCCAGGAACGATGCTAAAGCTTCCTGATTCGTGACCCTGGCTAAGCAAATGTAACGGCCCCATTGACTCGCAGCCATTGGAGAACTGAGCTTAAGAATCTTTTGGCGGTCTGGAAACTTGGAAAAAGAAAGGGGCAACGTATCCCACTTGAGCCAAGGTAGGTTCCCAAATCACAAATGGCTCAGAAATCCGGGGGCCTGAGTGTGTTTTGGGGTTTGGGCCCCTCTCTCTTGCCAATGGGTCTTGGGAGCCACGGTGCGCTCCAATATGTGACTAGTGTTTTGTACTTTACAGTGCAGTCCTTTAAATTGCAGAAATTATTTTATCTAAAATGCTTCAGTATATAAATCATCTCTCCACTATTGCTACCAAGTGTGTGGCTGCCCTGCAGTGGGTCTAGTACCTAGTGCTGCATGACTGTGGCCCAAACTGAGCAGCTGAGAGCAACACACAGTTATTACCCCATAGTTTCTGTGGGGCAAGAGCCTGGGCATGACCTGACTGGGGCCTCTGCAAGGCTGCAGCCAAGGTGTTGGCCAGAGCCGGGGTCTCATCTGGAGGCTCAGCTGGGGAAGAGTCTGCTTTCAAGCTCCCGTGGCTGTCAGGAGGTCTGAGGTCCTTGTGGGCTGTCACACCGAGGGCTCCAGTTTCTTGCTGGCTGGAGGCTGAAGGCTGCCCCTAGGCCTCTCCCTCATGGCACTGTCTTCATCACAGCCCATGAGTGAGAGCGTCTCCTAGCATGCCTTCAAGCTCCCTAGAGGTTCTCTGGTTCCATTGAGAACATCCATGAGGCCAGTCTTTATCTCCTTACAGGACTGTTTGTTTGTGTGACCTGGTACTTTTAGCATCTGGTTTTTCTGAATTTTAGCAGAAGTTTCTGCAGTCACAATCTCAGGTTTTCCACCAGGCCATACTTTCCCGGCTGCTCAGAAGACATTTCTCTGTCTCCCCTGCTCTTCCCCATCTTGAATGTGGATGTCCTGGCTGGGAACACAGCAGCCAACTCGTGAGTGTGGGTAACAAGCAGGGACAAAAGACCACCAGAGTCACAGAGACGCAGCTGCGGTGACACCGAGGTGAGAATCATTACCAGCAGCCACTTATCTCAGGACTGTGGGGTAAGAAAAATAAACTCCTAGTGATTGCGACCATGAGATTTTGTTTAGGTGTATATTGCTACCTGAAGCTGACAGTATTAGATACCATGAATTTGAAGGTCATCCCTTGGTCATTAACATGTAAGCAGAGAAAAAAGTGTGGCCCGGAACAGTCTGGGGCATGCCCATGAGAAAGCAGGAGAGGGGGAAGCCCAGGAGAGCAGAGGAGCCGCTGTGTGTGGCAGCAGAGCCAGGAGCACTGGCAGAAGGAGCCAGGAGCGCAGCAGACACCCCGTGGCCCCACCTGTGCTTCTGCGTTTCTTAATTTCAGCACCATTTACCACTGAGAGGGGCTGAGAATTTTCAAAATCATCAAGTCCTTGTTCCTTTTTTTTTTTTTTTTTTAACAGTTCTGTCCTCAATATATCTCTTTCTTCTTGCTTTGTACTGTAAGCAGCAAAAAGAAACCAAACAGTACCTCCCATACTTTTCAGGGAAGCCTCTTTAGCTCAGTAGCCCAGCCCAGTCTCAACCCATCCTCCTTGCCGCATACCTGCAGGTGACGATTTTGCTGAACTTGCTCTTAACGACTTTGCAAGCATCTCCCTCCCTCCGGTTTTCAGTGACGTTGTCCTTGCTTGCTTCCGAGTCCTCTCTGGCAGTGATCTTTTTCAAAATTATTATTATTATTATTTTTGAGATGAAGTCTCATTCTGTTGCCCTGGCTGGAGTGCAGTGGCGTGATCTCAGCTCACTGCAACCTCTGCCTACTGGGTTCAAGTGATTCTCCTGCCTCAGCCTCCCCGTCAGCTGGGATTACAGGTGTGCACCACCACGCCTGGCTGCCTCCTGGGTTCAAATGATTCTCCTGCCTCAGCCTCCCCATCAGCTGGGATTACAGGTGTGCGCCACCACGCCTGGCTGCCTCCTGGGTTCAAGTGATTCTCCTGCCTCAGCCTCCCCGTCAGCTGGGATTACAGGTGTGCGCCACCACGCCTGGCTGCCTCCTGGGTTCAAGTGATTCTCCTGCCTCAGCCTCCCCGTCAGCTGGGATTACAGGTGTGCGCCACCACGCCTGGCTGCCTCCTGGGTTCAAGTGATTCTCCTGCCTCAGCCTCCCCGTCAGCTGGGATTACAGGTGTGCGCCACCACGCCTGGCTGCCTCCTGGGTTCAAGTGATTCTCCTGCCTCAGCCTCCCCGTCAGCTGGGATTACAGGTGTGCGCCACCACGTCTGGCTGCCTCCTGGGTTCAAGTGATTCTCCTGCCTCAGCCTCCCCGTCAGCTGGGATTACAGGTGTGCACCACCACGCCTGGCTAATTTTTGTATTTTTAGTAGCGGTTTCTCCATGTCGTCCAGGCTAGTCTCGAACTCCCCACCTCAGGTGATTCGCCTGCCTCGGCCTCCCAAAATACTGGGATTACAGCTGTGAGCCACTACGCCCGGCCTCTGGCAGTCATCTGAAAGCTCAGATTTCCACCAACAGTTTGCTCAAAGCAAATTAGGCTTTCTCTACCACAGTCTCCCAAATCACCCTCTGCCCCTGTCCAGTTCCAAAGCTGCCCCAACACTTCTAGGTATTCCTTATGGCAGCCCCCCACTTCCAGGTACTAAATTACCTGTTAGTTACTTAGTGCCGTATGACAACATTACCGCAAAGTGATTGGCTTAAAACAACACACGTTTATTATCTCAGTTTTCTGGGGTCGGGCACAGCTTAGCAGGGTCTTCATCTTCAGGGTCTCAGAGGCAGCCATCACGGGTGTCGGTTGCATCTTCGGTCTCATCTGCAGACCTGTCTGGGAGGGATCCCTCCCCAGTGCTCGTGGTCATTGGCAGAATCTGCTTCCTTGTGGTTGTGGGGCTGAGGGCCTCCATCTCTTGCAGGCTGTTGGCCGGAGGTCATCTCAGCTCCTAGCTGGGTATTAGCTGGAGGCTGTCCTCAGTCCAGTGCCGTGGGCCTCCCCAGCTTGGCTGCGTGTGGCAGCAAATCCAGCCAGGCGGTCCTCAGCAAGAGAGACATCACAATCTCACAGGTGGTCAGTGCCGGAGGGATGCCTTCCACCTTTACCACACTCCATGGGTTAAAAACAACTCATGGGTCTCACCCATATTCAACGGGAGGGGACTACCCAAGAGCCTGCATTCTGGGGGGCAGGGTAACTGGGGCCATCTTAGGCGCTGTCTACCATGACGAGGCTGTCACCTTCTGAATTGCTTACTCTCCTTTTGGTCCCCCAGATCCACTCGGCTCTCTTCTCTTCTGCGTCCTGCTCTATGGCCTGGGAAGCTGATCTCCAAGGATCGCATTCCTAGGGCTCTCTGGCCCATGGGCTTCCCGTTGGGTTTGCCCAATGGACAGCCATGGCAGAAGATCAAAGGGAAGATGGCAGGAAGCTGTCCCCCACTCCTCGCCTGGCTGAGTTCTGGCGATGGCTGCCATCCAGGGTCCTGAGTCCCACCAGGTATGGTCACCATGCTTGCACCGCTAGTGCCTCTGGGGCTGTGATGGCAAAGGCGTCCACCTGGGGCAGCCCTGCCCTTGCACTCGGTTCCTTCGACCTCTGGGATTTAGCTTTCTGTGTCCTGCTGGCCCTGACTGGTCCACCTCCTTCCTGGGTTGGCCATTCTGGGAGGAAGTGTCCCTAAATGTCCTAAATGTCTCTTGTTTATTGCAGTTTTTACCCCTTGAAGTGAGAAAGAACACGTCTACAACCCTCCCTCATTCCAGAGGCTGTGTTTTTGCCCTTTGGTCATGCAGATGGGGCTAAAGCGAAGTTACAACATTGGAAAATGTCTTCTTAACGTCACACTGATCTCCTTAAGGCAACGAGCCCCACATGCTCTCTGAGGCCTGTGCACGTGTTCTGAGGACCCAGTTATGTGCTGCGTGATTCCAGAGGTGAACAGACCCTCACAGATCACCTCTCCTCACCCTCTCATGAGAGGGAAACTGAGGCTCAGGGGGAGAATTGGCAAAGGTTACACTTGGTGGTGGGTTTGGAATCTGCCCTGTGGACGCCCGACTAACCATTTCTGCCAGATGCGCGTGGGAAGTAAAATGGGAAGAGGTGCTCCATAGGAGGAGGGGACGTGGGTACAGTCACGTGGACCCGTGAGCCGGTCACCTGCGAGGCACCAGGGCCTACAGGAAAGGTGCCCGCTGTCGGCTTCCGCAGGGAATTTCGTTATCTTTGT
Source organism: Homo sapiens (assembly GCF_000001405.40). Taxonomy (NCBI): domain Eukaryota; kingdom Metazoa; phylum Chordata; class Mammalia; order Primates; family Hominidae; genus Homo; species Homo sapiens. The sequence continues at coordinate 134,483,181 of NC_000009.12, forward strand.
GAGGTAGGGTGGAACTTGCATCCTGAACATTAAAGTTTACATGCCAAGGAGGGCGGTGGAGTCCTTGGAACTTCCTGCCTCCCCCTGAGGCTGCCTCCCCATGCGATTGACCTGGTCTGGCTGGGCCTGATGCTGGGCTCAAAGAGAACACAGGTCTCACCCTCCTATGTGGCGTGTGGTGAAGACTAAGGAGGTCCCCAGGACCCTGAGGGTTGCCCTTGGGTGCATTGGAGTAGAGGCCAGGGAAGTCCATGTCCTTTCCGAGCCAGGCCTTGCCGCCGAGGTACAGCCACAGTGTCCCCCTTCCAGCTGCAGAGCCGCTGCTTCCTCATCTGTCAGGTGGGAACAACGACCCCCACTCTGTGCACCTCACTGGCAGTAGCGAGCACGAAGTGTGAGGGTGGACTCTGCAAGGTGGAAGCCATGTCCCTGCAGGTTGCATCTGTGCTGCCTGCCCTGCTGAGGGACGGGAACAGCAGCATAGCCTTCGGTACCACGTACCTTGTTTGTCAAAACTGGACCTGCCACAGCGCGGTGGCCCTTCTCCTGGGGAAACACACTGTGCCCCAGGAGGTGTGTGGACAAACACCTTCACAGCACTGATGCTGAGACAGCCAGAGCCCAGAAACGCCCAGCCGCCCCCGGTAGGAAAATGAATAAGTAAATTGGGGCAATTGGAGATTGTGATGTCTCTCTTGCTGAAGACCACCTGGCTGGATTTGCTGGGGTGGGACCCAGACCGGGACGTTTTCATACACACAAAACGGGCTGTGCCAGGTGGCCTTCTCCAGGGCACGGTGGGTGGGGGAGTCTCAGGCTGCCACGTGCCTGGCAGGCTTGGGACGAGGTGAAGGGAGGTGAGTGTTCGTGGGGATGCTGGGACCCCATTCGGGCCAGGTCAATCACATGGGGAGATACAGTATCAACAGTAAAGGATCTTTAGATATGTAAACACACAGATAAGTGGCCGGTGTAATGTGCAGAAAATGCTAAACAACAGAATGCAATAATACAAAGTTCCAAAGCAGGCAACCCTAAACTCCATGTTCTTAGGGATGAACATAGAGGGGAGGAAGCTGGCTGGGCTCAGTAGCTCACACCTGTAATCCCAGCACTTTGGGAGGCCGAGGTGGGTGGATCACCTCAGGTCAGGAGTTCGAGACCAGCCTGGCCAACATGGTGAAACCCTGTCTCTACTAAAAATCCAAAAATTAGCCGGGCTTGGTGGTGCATGCCTGTAATCCCAGCTACTCAGGAGGCCGAGGCAGGAGAATCACTTGAACCCAGGAGGTGGAGGTTGAACTAAGCTGAGATCGCACCAAGCTGAGATCGCACCAGTGCACTCCAGCTTGGGCAACAGAGCAAGACTCTGTTTCAAAAAAAAAAAGGAGGAAGCTGTGAAGACAAGCAAGGGAGTTGTTAGCACACAGCCAAGTGGGGAGGTGGTGCCAACTGCCAGTCTGTGTCCTGACTACCAACATCCTTGCCCCTGGGGAGGATGTGGCTGGCTGCCCATTGGGTATTGCTGGGACCAGATGCTGGGTCCCATAAAAGCCTCCTGTGCCACCCCCATGCCCTCCGTCCTTCCTTCATTAACTGGATGTTGGGTGGACACTGATGCCCAGAGTGACTTTGGGAAACCCTCTGTGCCAGATGGCAGAGCATCTATCAGCTCAGGCCCCTGAACCTGGCCTAGAATCCTGTGCTACCTGCCCCTTGCCAATTGGACTTTATCTAAGCAAGAAGCAAATTTTCCTTTTCTCTCTCTCTCTTTCTTTTCTTTCTTTTCTTTCCTTCCTTTTCTTTCTTTCTTTTCTTTCCTTCTTTCTTTCTCTCTCTCCCTCTTTCTTTCTTTCTCTTTCTTCTTATTTCTTTCTCTCTTTCTTTTCTTTCTTTTTTTCCTTCCTTCTCTCTCTTTCCTCTTTTCTTTTCTTCTTTTCTTTTCTATTCTTTCTTGAGACAGCATCTGACTCTGTCACCCAGGCTTGATTGCAGTGGTGGGATCACAGCTCACTGCAGCTTGGACCTCCCCAGGCTCAGGTAATCCTCCTGCCTCAGTCTGCTGAGTAGTCAGGACTACAGGCATACGCCATCATGCCTGGCTAATTTTTCTGTTTTTTGTAGAGATAGGATTTTGCCACATTGCCCAGGCTGGTCTCAAACTCCTGGGATCAAATGATCCACCCGCCTTAGCCTCCCAAAGTGCTGGAATTATAGGCGTGAAGCACTGTGCCTGGCCTTTATTTCCTTAAACCACTGAGATCTGGGATCCATATGTGATAGCAGGAGTCAGCAAACTGTGACCCAGGCCACATGTGGCCTGCTGCCTGCTTCTTGCGGCCCTAAGGTCTTGCATCTTTCAAGGTGTACCTTTCCACTGGGCACCTACATGCCAGCATCATAGTTTCAATTTGCCCCGTGGCTCATATGGCTTAAAACACTGACTACCTGGTGCTTCAGGAGAAGGCTTTCTGCGTCTGGCATGGCTGCCTTAGGTCAGGGTCCCTTGGAAGCAGCCTCTGACAGAATACTTGAGTGTGAGTAGTTTATTTGTGGGGGTGATCCCAAGAAGCTCTGATACGGAAGTGAGGTACGTGAGCAAGCTGGCCACCACTGTGAGAAATTTGGGTGCAGTCCCCAGGGGACCTCTGGATGACAGTGGTGAATCCCCCTGAGTGTTCCGTCTGAGGGAGAGGAAGCTGGGGCATTTCTCCCCACTCCTGTCCCTCGCCACAGACAGAGACCAGAGAAACTCTAAATTAGAGGCTGCAGGTCAGGGAGTGCCGGGGAACGGGCAGCGTCAGCCACAGCTGCCTTTGCTGAGACCTTTGCTGAAACCCCTTCACTGGACAGATGAGAAACCAAGGCTAACGGGGGTAAAGCATCATGCTCCAGGCTGTGAAGACAGGAAGAGGCAGAGCCGGCCTGTGTCTAGGCCCGGCTGCTCCTGGGCAGGGGTCTTCCTGCTCTCCTACCTCACTGGATTTCCCAAGCTCAGCCTGGTGGGGTGTGGCAGAGGCTGGTGGGGCCTGGCAGGGGTTATGAGGTATGTCCGAGTCTCCTGGCAACGGGGATCGCACCCAGGCTGGCCCAGCGCCTTTGCCCCGCAAGCCAGGGAGCGGTGCCATTGCTCCAGGAAGTCGCCTGGCCTGAGACTTTCCTAAATTCTACCCAGACTCAGCGCCCAGAGCCTGGTGAGTCCTAGGTGCCCGGGCCAGGCCTTCAGATGTGGATTTTCCATGGAAGGCAGAGCCGGGCTGGCACTGCGGGCGTGCGCCTCACGCCTACACAGCACTCGGTTCTGGAATTGGCTCCTCAGCCTGTGATGCTGTGGGCTAGAGAGTTTACCCAGGGATAATAACCGTGGGCTCATGAAATCACAGGATTCCTGGGGCTGGGTGGGACCATGGAGAGGGCTCTGCGGCCTCTCCTTGTTGGATGGAGGGGGAGAGTGGCCCAGGCAGGGAAGGGAGTGTCCAAGCCTCGAAGCCGCTCGTGGTGGGACCCAGGGACCCAGACCGGGACTTTTTCACACACACAAAACGGGCAGTGCCAGATGGCCTTCTCCAGGAAATGGTGGGTGGGGGAGTCCTAGGCTGCCACGTGCCTGGCGGGCTTGGGACAAAGTGGAGGGAGGTGCTTGCCGGCGAGTGTTCATGGGGACGCTGGGAAGAACCGCGTGGTGGCTCTGTCCTACCTCGCAGGGTGCCTCTTCCTGGCCAGGACCAGGCTCTGCCCAGTGTGGGGGCCTTTTTTCTCCTAGTGTCTATACCACGCTGCCTCTGCCACCTTACGGGAGGTTCCTTCCATGATAATCTCTCTGCCAACTCATTACAAATCATTTGTTTCTCTACAAAGAGCATCCGTGCTCATTGTGGACAATTCAAACAGTTGAGCCAGGTTCACTTGGGAGGGAAAATCTCCCCAGATCCGACGATCAGAGACAGAGACAGAGCTCCGCTGAAACGCCCCAGCCTGGAAATCCATGGTGAATGAACTCTGCGTGGCCCACGCTCCTCACCATCCGTGTGTTTGTCCATCAGCAGTTTCAGTGGCCACCGCTGTCATGAGGATGTTGTTGCTCTTCAGATGGAGAGACCTCAGCACCCTCCCAGCTGGGTCACTCACCCTCCCCTGCTCCATGCAGGCAGAGCTGTGAGCTGAGCCCACATCCCCATGGGCCCAGCCCTCTTGCCCCCCTTCTCCCTGCTATGTGCCCTAGAGCATGGTCATGCCTGAGTTTCTGTACCACCAGTTAGCTGGAGAGGGAGAACCTCCAGATCTGGGTTTGAGCCCAAATCATAGGCCCCAGTCGGCTTTGCTGGAGTTCCCATCAGGCGGCATGGAACCACAGCCCTGATGGGAAGAAGCTGGGCACACTGACCGTCAGGGGCTCATCTCTCCTGTGCGGACCCCTTCCTCAGTGAGGAGGGACGGTAGGCAGGGCTGAACTTGGCAGTCCCGCATGTTCTAGGGCACCATATGGGTGCCCCATGCCACGAGCACAGCAAACCCTCTTTCCTTCAGTCTGCTGGTGAGGGACTTTTAGGGGATGCCCATTGATTTGTTAATACAGATAACGCTCCCTGAACCTTCTGAACTTGGCTTATTACTTCTGAGGCTGGCTTCGCAGGTCAGGACTACAGATTCTGAACAAATGCCTTTTCTTATATTTTGATGCCAACTGACAAATGACCTCTGCAAAAGCAACCCAGCCCCCACCTCTACCAAGAGTAGGCAGGGACGTTCATTCCCACGTGCCCTCTGCATGGGCGCCTGCTCATTTCCTTCCTTCCTTCCTTCCTTCCTTCCTTCCTTCCTTCCTTCCTTCCTTTCTCTCTCTCTCTCTCTCTCTCTTTCTTTCATGGAGTCTTGCTCTGTTGCCTAGGCTGGAGTCCAGTGGTGTGATCTCGGCTCACGACAACCTCTGCTTCCCAGGTTCAAGCAATTCTCCTGCCTCAGCCTCCCGAGTAGCTGGGATTACAGGCAGGCACCACCACACCTGGCTAATTTTTGTATTTTTAGTAAAGACAGGGCTTCACCATGTTGGCCAGGCTGGTCTCAAACTCCTGACCTCAAGTGATCCACCCACCTTGGCCTCCCAGAGTGCTGGGATTATAGGCATATGCCTTATTTCCTCCAGGACAGAGGATGCCCCTTCATGCTGGATGCCTCATGCCTTCACGTATGTGAATACGACTGCAGTGGGTGGCGGTCACCTGGCTCCCTGGCCTGGCACAGCGTGGCGGCAGACACAGAGGATGCAGCCTCACTCAGGCGGGGCCCAGGGCAGCCGCCCCTGCTCGGGCAGTTCTCTGCTGAACAGTTGCATAAAAACCTGGCTTCCTTTGTCTGGTGGCTTCTCTGAGCCCTTTACAGAGAGTGCATGGAGGCGCTGGTGTCCGCATGTACCCACACGGAAGTGCTTCTGTCACTTCTGAGCTTCCCCTGCTGAGAACTGGTGCCTCGGTTCCGCCCAGTGACGAGGGCGCTGGGAAACGTCCCTGCAGGCAGCTGCTTCCCACAGTGACTGTGCCTCGGAGAGAGTCAGAGCCTGATGGGCCGGCGGCCACCTCTGCCGAGCTCTGTCCTTGGGATCCTGCCCTGTTGCCCTGCCTGGGGGGATTTTAACCGTCTGTGATCTCATCAGTGTTGTGCTGATTTCGTGGTCAAACCATCAGAGTTTGGGGACGTCTGCTATCTGCCTGCGGAAGCTCCACGTTGCATTTTTCATTCCAGTGTGAGATGAGGGGCAGAGGGAAACTGCCAGTGCCAAGCCGTGCTTTTCGTTAGCTCAGTGGGGGAGCAAGCTCCCTCGCTCCCCTACCAGCTGCCCCTCCTGCATTTCACCCAGTCGCCCGGGATCAGGGAAGCAGAAGGAGGGTGCTTGGACAGAGGCATCTTTCTGATGGAAGCAGGAGGAAGTACCCTTGGAGGGGCTGATTCTGAGCATCCAGGTCACCCCCCTGCCCACCGCCTATGCCATGGCAGATGTTGCTAATTGGCCGCCAAGCCCAGAAGGAGTCTCAGACCCCTTCTTTACACAGTGCCCTTGGTGAAAATAAATGAAGGCCACCCAAGTGAGAACAGGCAGAGGCTGACTCTAGCACGGGAGTCGGCCACTGTCACTTATGTTTTAGCAGAGGCTCAAAGGCAGGCAGAGAAGTAGAAAAACCTGATACCATAGAGGACAAAAGGGAAGACTTCAGGTGAGCCCTGGTTGGAGGCTGTTGGTGTTGGGAAGCTGGAAGTGGTTGATTAGAAGCAGTGTCCTGTGCAATGGGCTAGGGATACAGATTTAGTTTTCTCTGGTTGGTCCTAAGTTGGAAGGAAGGAAAATGTTAGGAAACATACCAGTTATTCATCAAGTCCAGGCCACTTTGGGCAGATTGTTACAGGGGTTACTGTTTGGCTTCTTGGACTGTTTGCAAGAGACAGTGGTCTGACGTTCTCTGCAAGGCAGACTTGTGGGTGGCAGGCGGCTTCCTGGGCTGATTGTGGTGGGTAATGCATTGTGTCCTGGGTGGGTTGCTGCGGATTGTGGGTCAGAGTCCTGTTTTTATATGCGATCTGGCCATTGCCGACTTGTATACACAACCTCTCACCTGGCTGGGAGGGGCACTACCCCTGGGTTGCAGGGGGCTTCTGAGATGAAGCCTATTTACCATTCCTCCTAGAAGGAGCACATCTCCCTCCGTGCACGGGGCCACACTCGCTCCGGGATGATTCCAGGTTGTACTGGAACACTGCTTCATTTCTCACCCTGAGGTGGATGCAGGAAGGAGAGAAAGACACCAGTACAGAACCCTGCTTTGGATGAGCTGATCATGCAGGTGGAAAGAAAGGACCCAGCTCCTGCTGCGAGGAACCACCCTCCCCAGTGTGGCTGTCCCCAAAGGAAAGGGGCTGAGTGGGGAACATCCCCTGGGAGGGTCACAGGGCCTTATGATGAGAAGAGCCCAGCCTCTGGAGCCACCAACTTGGGTTCAAATCCAAACTCCACTGCCCGCGGTCAGGTCCCTTCCAGGAGCTTGTGTCCTTGTGAGTCAGGGTGGTTGGGGTGATGTCACCATGTCACACAGTTTGGGAAGGTTGAAGAGGGTCAGTGATGCAAAGCGCCAGCATGTGGTAGATGCTTGAGTCAGCCCCTTACTACTGGTGGCCATTTCTTCTAGGGGCTTCAGTGCCTTGTCTATGACAGGGAGGAGAGGTCTGCATGGTTCATATACGGATGCCCAATGGAGGGAGGGGCTCTTTCCCTCCGGGTTCCAGGGGGACAATGGAAGTTGCAGATGGCTGAGCCTGCACCGTAGCAGGTATACAATGACGCAGACACTGTGAAGTCAACTCTGACACGATTACATCCCATCTTTAGAAGAGACAGGCAGTGGGGACCTGAGAATCAACCTCCTGAGAATCAGCAGAGGATTCTGGGCTCCACTTGTGTGTGTGGAGGACGGGCCTCTGTTCCGGCATGGAGGCCTCCTTTCTGCATGAGTGTCCTGATAGGCCTCAGGCCTGTGTCCAAATCTTCACTGCTCTGCCTGGGATCCTGGGCAAGTTATTGACACTTCAGAGCCTTCCACGTGCACAATCCTGGTGCTTAGATTGGTTCGTTGGGAGGAATCTGTGAGATACGGGGTGGTGGAGAGCATTTAGCCGGGGATCTGGCCAGAGTAACTGCTCAATAAGGATACCCAAGAATAGGCCGGGTGCGGCGGCTCACGCCTGTCATCCCAGCACTTTGGGAGGCCAAGGCGGGTGGATCACTTGAGGTCAGGAGTTCAAGACCAGCCTGGCCAACATGGTGAAACCCCGTTTCTACTAAAAATACAAAAATTAGCCAGGTGGGGTGGCAGGTGCCTGTCATCCCAGCTACTTGGGAGGCAGAGGCATGAGAATCACTTAAACCTGGGAGGTGGAGGTTACAGTGAGCCGAGATGGCACCACTGCACTCCAGCCTGGGTGACAGAGGGGCTCTGTCTCTAAAAAAAAAAAATATAAAAAAGATACCCAAGAATAACAAAAAGAGAGAGGCGGGGCTGGAGTATTCTGTTATTGTGTCTCTGCGTGTGCCACACCATCCTGCCTCGTGCTGTGTGCCTCTGGGTGTCAGGGGCTCTGCCACTTCCTCTCGCCCGAGAGCTCACTGGAGGCTGGGAGGTCAGAGGAGGAATGGACCCTACCCCAAGCACCAGGCTGGATCAGAGCACATGGGCCACGTCGCTTCCTCTTATCAGAGGAAACTGCAGAAACAGCGACAGCCTCTTTGCCCTGTTCCTGGGGCGTGACCTGCTCCGTGAATTCGGTGTCTGACTCTCCTGTCTTTCTTTTCTCATCGGCGTGCTCGCAATCCTGGGTCTGGGTTCTCTCTGTGGATGAAGAAGGGGATCTGAGCTAGAAGCAGGATAATCTGAGCTAGAAGCAGGATCCGTCTGTGGTCAGAAATTGGCTCCTGGGACAGCTGGGGGGAGTGGCCATGACCAGGGCTGTCTTTTATTGAGCCCAGAGCCTTTTGGACGGGGGTACATCACAAAGTCATTTCCGCGTATGGATGGCCTACTAGGTGCCGGGCGCAGTGCGTCTGCTGACTCTCTGAAAGGAGAGTTTGTTTGTTTTCTATTTTATAGATGAGGGGACTGTGGAGTCAGTGGTAAAATGATTTGCTGTGGTTTGAACCCACGTCTGACCCCAGAGCCACTGTAACCCCTCCAGTATCCCGACCACTTCTTCCTGCCTCCACCTGCCTCTCAGGCCCTCCGGCCACGGTGCAGGAGGTGCTGGGTAAGTATTTGTCACCTGATTGTCAGAGGACAAGCCATTGCTAACTTGGGTGAAATTCTGCCCAAGTCCTGACAAGAAAATGGGCCACGGGCTCGGGATGTCGGACTTGCATTTTCTTGGAGGCTGATGGTGGTGCCCCTCGCCTGGCCCTTGCCTGGGCTACCCCTGGAGGTCTTGACCCGTGAGGCTGGGAGGTCAGAGGAGGAATGGACCCTACCCCAAGCACCAGGCCGGATCAGAGAAGAGGAGGCCTCCAGCTAAAGCCTGCATGACCCGCAAGAAGAGGAGGCCTCCAGCTAAAGCCTGATCTGCCTCTGAAGAATTTTCAATATGAGCATTAAGAAACAGTCCATATGGTTCAGAAAAGCCTGCTCACGCCCTTCCCAGCATCTGCTGCTGATTAAGGATAAGTGAGTTCACCCGGGGGCCCTGAGCACTGCTGGTTTGCGTGTTCTCTACATGGACAGCTGGGATTAAAGCGAGCTCCAGGGTTTTGTGCAATCCTTTAAGATAAGGAGTCCATTTGGGCTTTTGAGCAGATTGCTCCATGCAGCTGAAGTACTCCTGAGAGTCCGGAGTCAGAGCGGAGCCCACACCTCCTGGGTGGGGAGCTCGCAGGGAACGCGGGGCCAGTGAGGACCGCATTCCATTCACTAGTCCATTCATTCCCTTAGCCAGGTTCTTGCTCTGGGCTGGGTGCCCTGCACGGTGCTGAGGATACAGCGGGGAAAAAACCAAAACAGAACAAATCCAACCCAACCTGCTCCGGCCCCAACAAGCTAACAGCCTGGAGGTGTTAGCCAAGTGACCCGAGAACCAAGAGTGTAACATGGGCCATGCCAAGAGGGCGGGCACTCAGTTCTGTGGGGGCCAGAGTTGCCTCGGAGGTCAGAGAGGGCTTCCTGGAGGAAGCGGCATCTGAGTCAAGATTTTGAGGGATGAGTAGGAGTTAGTGAGGTGGAGAGCTGGGGCCGTAGCCTCGCCTCCGAGACAGAGGAGACAGGCTGTGCTCTGTGGCAGGAGGGAGTGGGGCCAGTGCCTGGGGTCTGCACAGACCAGGGAGTTGGTGACCCAGGACAGCAGGGAGGAGGTGGGGCCGGGGGCAGGGCCGCACGGTGGAAGCACCGAGGGGATTTCGACAATGACCACCCCCCTATCCCCTAGAGGGAGAGCTGGGAGCCAGGCTGCAGTAATGTCCCGGGGCCAGTTGTGGAGTTAACCCTTTAGTCCCTTTGAGACCCCGGTGTTTGGGGGATGGGGGTGGGGAAGTGACTGTGTACTGACCCTGACCTGTAAGGCAGTATTTCAATATCTGAAACCCTGGCCCAGCAGTCCTGGCGGCCCAGCCGCGTTGAAACCCTGGGAGCAAATGGCAGGATTCTAAGTGTGAGTGGAGAGTGTGGGGTGGGATGAAGGTGGGGCAGGGACGTCACCAGCTGCCACTCGGCTAAGCTCCCCTGACCGCAGGGTGAGGACAGAGCACACACCACCAGGTCAGAGGCTCCCGCCATCCTGTGGATGAGAGAAGGCACTGGGTGCTGGGATCAGGGTGACGGGGGGAAGACGGACCGAGGGAGCGGCATCCTGGCAGTGCCCCGGGAGGGCTGCCCTTGCCTTTGCCTGGTGAAGTCCCCTTTGAAGCCTCTTTCCAGGCACCCCGTTTGTTGAGCCTTGCCCTGGATTTTCACTGCTTAACAAAGTCTAGTTAGTAGCTGCCTTCAGACAGGCTGGGTGGGGCTTGGCCCCTGCACCTGCAGTGTCTGCCACAGTCGCATCTGTGGTTCATTCTGGAAAACCATCAGCCGGAGCCACCTGCAGTTTTCTTCTCTTTTTCAGATGCGACTAACACTGCCCTTGTCAGGACCGCCCTTGTCAGGACAGCCTGCAGGGTCCTTAGTCTCAGGTGGCGTCCCTGCAAAGCAGACCCCGAGACAAGGGTCTGGGCACAAGTGGCTGTTCTGGAGGGGAGTCTAGGATTTGCTGCGAGGCACCGGGGGAAGCAGGATGGGAAGCAGGGAGCCCGCAAAGCAACTCAGCCTGCTGGGGACCCTCCGAGAACAGAGGCCCATGATGTGCCGAGTGGTCCTGCTGGGATGGTGGATGGCGTTGGGATGGTGAATGGCACTGGGGTGGTGGATGGCACTGGGGTGGTGGTTGGTGCTGGGGTGGTGGATGGTGCTGCGGTGGTGAATGGCACCGGGGTGGTGGATGGTGCTGGGATGGTGGTTGGCGCTGGGGTGGTGGATGGCGCTGGGATGGTGGATGGCGCTGGGATGGTGAATGGCGCTGGGGTGGTGGTTGGCGCTGGGATGGTGGTTGGCGCTGGGGTGGTGGATGGCGCTGGGGTGGTGGATGGCGCTGGTATGGTGAATGGCGCTGGGGTGGTGGATGGCGCTGGGATGGTGGTTGGCGCTGGGGTGGTGGATGGCGCTGGGGTGGTGGATGGTGCTGGGGTGGTGGATGGTGCTGGGATGGTGGATGGCGCTGGGGTGGTGGATGGCGCTGGGGTGGTGGATGGCGCCGGAGTACTCAGCTACCGTTCCCATCCCCAACTGTTCTGGGGGTCCTTCAGGGGCTCTGGCACTCCAGCATTTCAGTCCACCTCATTCACAGCCTCAGCTGCCCCCGGTGGCCAGGGAAACCCTTCCAGGAAGGAAAAGGGAAGTGGGGATGCTCTCCGGGGAGTGCCTGCAAGTTGTCTCGGGGTGGATGGGGGGTGGGTGGGGGTTTGGGCCGGGCACTGATGCTGGCTGCTGGAGTCCACCCCTGGCTTCGTCCAAATCCCCTGAAGCCCCTGCCAAGTCCATTCTCATTTGTCCTTGATTCTTCAGGGTGGTGGCTAATAGCATTCCTCCCCAAACTCTTAAATCAGGAGAGCTTGTGAGTCCGGCTGCAGCCCCTGCGGCCCTCAGGCCTTCCAGCGTCACACCTGAGATCACCACCTCCCCCTCCATCCCGTGCCGGTGTCTCTTCCTGGACCGGCACTTCCAGCCCAAGGTTGTTGCCATGGAGTGATGGAGACCTCCCTCTTTGAGGGCTGGCTTTGCCCTGGCCAGGCCTGGCTGCTGGGCTTGTCCATTACTGTTACCCTGCTGGCACCAAGCGGGGCCTAGAATCCAGGTCCCTGCCCCCTGACGTAGCAGTGACCACAGCTCCTCCTGGTAGGCAAGGGAGGGTTTGCTTTCTTCGCTTCCTGTGTGACCAGCCAGCAGTTGCAGCGTTAGGTCAGCGGGGTCCTCACTATGGTCCCTGGAGGAAGCGCCCCACACCGGGCATCAGGACCTCTCACCCTACAGAGGAGCATCCCTCCTGCCTCCACACTTTCGTTCCTGGCCCATGTCTTCTGTGTAATCCGTGGGTTCAAGCATACATCATATCCTGAAGGGTGATGTTTCAAAATATATACATTGTACCTGTTTTCTTTTCTTATTTATTAATTTAATTTATCTTATTTGTTTAAGGGTGATGTTTCAAAATATATGCAATGTACCTTTTTTCTTTTCTTATTTATTTATTTTTGAGACAGAGTCTCGCTCTGTCGCCCAGGCTGGAGTGCAATGGCGTGATTTCAGCATACGGCAACCTCCACCTCCCGGGTTCAAGCGATTCTCCTGCCTCAGCCTCCCTAGTAGCTGGAATTACAGCACCAGCCACCACACCTGGCTAATTTTTGTGTTTTTTGTAGAGAAGGGGTTTCATGTTGGCCAGGCTGGCCTCGAACTTCTGACCTCAAGTGATCTGCCCACCTTGGTCTCCCAAAGTGCTGGGATTATGGGTGTAAGCCACCGTGCCCGGCTCTATTTTATTTTTATTGAGGTGAAATACACATAACCTACAATCCCCCACTTTAAAATATGCAATCAGTATATTTACCAGGTGCAGCCGCCACCTCTCTCTCATTTTAAAACTTTTTTGCACTCCAGAGGAGCGTTCTTTACCCATTAAACAGTCTCTCCCCAGCCCCTGGTAACCGTGAGTCTCCTTTCTGTCTGTATGATTTGCTTTTTCCTATTCTAGTTCGTACAAATAGGATCGTACAGTATGAGTCTTTGGGATCTGACGTCTTCCCTGAGCCCATGTCTTTCGGGTCCCCGTTGCAGCATGCATCCGAGCTTCGCTCCTTTCTGTGGTTGAATCACACTCCACTGTGCGGATGGGCCGGTTTTGTTTCTCCATCACCGTTGCTGGACCTTTGGGTGGCTCCCACCTTTGGGCCACTGCATTCTGTATCTCGGCGCAGAGGCTGTCCCCACCCGGAGCCTTTACTAAGGACTTTAAGGAGTCTTTCCCACTCTGTCAGGCTGGCAGGTTCTGAGTGCCATGGTGCTCCTGGGTCACGATCCCTATGCCACCTCCCTCACAGTAGCTGGTCCCTCATCAGAGGCAACCTCATGCAAGATGCCGTGTTGGCAAATGAGATGCTCTATGAGTCCTTGGAAGGTGCAGGTGGTGAGGCCACGTGGAGAGGGCAGGTGAGCCATGCTGGGATGTGGGTCCACCCAGCGAGGAAGTGGCCTCCAGGGTGGCAGGGTCAGCTGGGTTCTGACGTGTCACCAGTCATGAAGAGGTTGGTTGGTCTCCTTGAGAACTGAAGTCTCCCCTGGACAGCTCGAGTGGCTCTCTGCTCTGCTGGCACGCGGCATTGGCAGACACGGGTGGCCTGGGCAAGAGAACCTCTCGGATGTGAGCCGTCCACGCTGCTGGGGCTGTGCGCTCGCTGTTTCAGCTCTGGGTGGCGGGGAAGGCAGGCTGACTCACTGCTGTCTCACGGGCCCAGCATCTCTCCTCCTGGCTACTCTCATACCCATGAACCAGGAGGCCCCAGACAAAGTTTCACACGCTTCCCAGTCCATCTGCACACCTCTCCCCCAGGACACCTTGTCTCCAACTTTCCAGTCTTGCCCTTCCAGGCCCCGACCATCCTTCCAGGCCACTGACCACTGCCCAGGACTCACAGCATATCCAAATCTCCATCCATGTCTCCCTCCATGCAACGTGGATGACAGGCGTCCTGCTGGCAGCTCCGCCTTTCAGGGCCATTCCAAGAGAGTGGGGTTGACGTACGGTCGCTGCTATGGCCTGGCACGTGCACGAAATCACTGGGCGGCCGGAGTGTGTGTGGGGCGGTGGAAAAGCCATGTTGAGAGAACATGAAATGTGTGTGGAAAATAAAGGCAGAGGGCCTGCCTGAGTGTGAGCATACAATCGCCTGAACTCCCCTGTGGTTTTGCCATTTATTGAATAGCGTAAACCCACAACTATTTTTTTACTGTTTGGTAATGCTTTTCAAATTTTGCAATAAACCCATTCAGCAGCAACAAGCAGAAAAAAAAAGTCATGCTTAATAACAACATTAAATTTTTATTTCTCTTTCTCGAGGAAGTTGATGATGAACTCATATATAAACTTAGTGTTGGCATTAACCATCCAATATGGGGGCTGCAGTGACACACGAGAACCGGAGGAGCGAGTCAGTCCTTCAAGCTGTCACTTTAAGAGGACTGGCTGAGGATAAGGATGGCTGAGGAACCCCTAATACAGGACTTTGTGGAGCCTGCCACTTTATTCAGATGAAATGTCTGCTCCTCTAAATTAATTTTGCTTGCTTTTTATTCCAAATTTTCTTGTGCATGGATTCTCAGAACTTTGCAAACCATTCATTGATGCCTGTTTAGCTTGACTCATCAGATGTGTCAAGCAGGAAGTCAGTTAAATTAGGTCCAATAATGCTTTGATTTTTTTTTTTTTTCCTATCCAGTTGCAGGAATCTAGGTGAAGCATCTGGAAGTTTGTTTTATCACATATGCAACATCTGACGTACAGTCAATACTGCTGCAAATTCAGCAAGAAAATGTCAACATTGGCATTTTATTTGTTTTGATGATGGTGACAGGGAGATGAATTTTAGAGTACCATGGCACCATGGTAAAGACGCAGTGTTCTGACTCAATGAAGAAGCCCATTATTGGGATCTGGTTGCGGTGTACAAAACTCCTCATTGCATTTAAACAAGCTTGATATTCAACCAGTACAAACAGAGGGTGTAGCTGTCAAAGTGTGCACATATTTTTATATACACACGGAGTAGCTGAACTGTAGTTTGGTTTGTGTCAGAGTGATGCGTATAGGAAAAACCTTTCCGCGTGGAAGCATGAACTTTCTTTTTGATTGAGCCATTGAAGAATTACCTTGTAATTCAACATGACGGTATTGAACATTTTTGAAAATGAGTCTCCAGGCCAGGTGCAGTGGCTCATGACTATAATCCCAGCACTACGCGTGAGAGGCCAAGGTGGGCGGATTGCTTGCGGACAGGGGTTCCAGACCAGCCTGGCCAACATGGTGAAATCCCCTGTCTACTAAAAGTACAAAAACGATCCGGGCGTAGTGGCGTTGCAGTGAGCTGAGATCACGCCACTGCACTCCAGCCTGGGTGACAGAGCGAGACTGTCTCAAAAGAAAAAAAGAAAAGAAAAGAAAATGAGTCTCTAAATTTGGTTGCATTTTATTTAAAACCATTTGGAGGTTTTAAGTCAAGCGATTTGACAGACAGTGTCAAAACACTTGAGCTTTTGCATCTTTTTCTGCAAAGGCGAGTACACTGAGGCTTGTCCCTATGAAAGCAAGGAGGAAGCAGAACAAATTTAACTACAGGCCCAGCGGGTGTGCAATGTTCAGTTTCAAAATTGAATAACTGTGCTCTGGAAAATCTTTACTTGTGGGAAGAATGCTTTGTTGGTGCTTTTATGTTAAGTGGATACATTTACATTCTGAAACTAAGCAGAACAAAATTGAGAAGGTCATTCAAAAGAATCCTATGTAGAGACGGCCTATTTGAATTTTGTCTCACAAATATATTTGTTGAAGAAGGGCACACTAAATACAGCACCTGTGAGAATATTTGGCATGAAATATTTACACATTTAAGCAAAACAAAAACAAAACAAAAATGAAACAAACCAAAAGCCCCCAAACAGACCAACCTAGGGTTGTCAATATTCCCTACTCAGCAGAAATGGCTGGGTCCGTCAGGTTTGAGCTCAGCATCTGGTGAGAATGTATTTTTCTCAAATAAAAATGCTATTTTATTTCCAGAGAACTGGCTCTGGGGGGCATCAAAGAATTCAAATTAATTAACATAAATTGAATGATTTGTCAGGAATTTCATGAAAAAAATATAATGCCATATTGAAAAAAACACCAGTGACAACTATTGGAGACCAGTGGCTGAGATACTGATGGGAATGCATGGTTATGTACCAAAAATAATTTGTATAAAGATGTTATTTTATGTTGTGTTAGTATACACAGATACATTTTCATACTTGTAGGAAGCATTATTTATTATGTATGTATGTATGTATGTCTTTATTTATTTTTTTGGAGACGGAGTCTTGCTCTGTCGCCCAGGCTGGAGTGCAGTGGCGCGATCTCAGCTCACTGCAAGCTTCGCCTCCCGGGTTCACGCCATTCTCCTGCCTCAGCCTCTCGAGTAGCTGGGACTACAGGCACCCGCCACCATGCCTGGCTATTTTTTTTTTGTATTTTTAGTAGAGATGGGGTTTCACCGTGTTAGCGAGGCTGGTCTCGATCTCCTGACCTCGTGATCCGCCCGCCTCGGCCTCCCAAAGTGCTGGGATTACAGGTGTGAGCCACCACGCCCGGCCGTATGTATTTATTTTTGAGTTGGAATTTCGCTCTTGTTTCCCAGGCTGGAGTGCAATGGCGGGATCTCGGCTCACTGCAAGCTCTGCTTCCCAGTTTCAAGTGATTCTCCTGCCTCAGCCTCCCGAGTAGCTGGGATTACAGGTGCCCGCCACCATGCCCGGGTAATTTTTGTATTTTTAGTAGAGATGGGGTTTCACATGTTGGCCAGGCTGGTCTCAAACTCCTGACCTCAGGTGATCCATCCGTCTCGGCTTCCCAAAGTGCTGGGATTACAGGTGTAAGTCACCGTGCCTGGCCGCATTGTATTTTTGAAAGTAGTTTAGAACTACAGTTGACCCTTGAACAACACGGGTTTGAACTGCATGGATCCATTTGCCTGTGGATTTTCTTCCGCCTCTGCCGCTCCTGACTCAACAAGACCAACCCCCTTCCTCCTCCTCCTCCTCCTCAACCCACTCAACATGAAGACAATGAGGATGAAAACCTTTATGAGGATCCACTTCCATTTAATGAATAAGTAAATAAATTTTCTCTTCCTTATGATTTTCTTTTTTGTTACTTTTTATTTTTTTATTGAGACGGAGTTTCACTCTCGTCTCCCAGGCTGGACTGCAATGGTGTGAACTCAGCTCACCGCAACCTCCGCCTCCCGGGTTCAAGTGATTCTCCTGGCTCAGCCTCCCGAGTAGCTGGGATTACCGGCATGTGCCACCACGCCCGGCTAATTTTTTGTATTTTTAGTAGAGACGGGGTTTCTCCGTGTTGGTCAGGCTGGTTTCGAACTCCCGATCTCAGGTGATCCGCCTGCCTCAGCCTCCTAAAGTGTTGGGATTACAGGCCTGAGCCACCATCCCCAGCATGATTTTCGTAATCACATTCTTTTCTCTAGCTTACTTTATTGTAAGAATACAGTATAGATACATATATAAAATATGTGTTAATTGACTGTTATCAGTAAGACTTCTTGTCAACAGTAGGCTATTAGCAGTTAATGTTTTGGGAAACTCCGTCTCTACTAAAAATACAAAAATTACCTGGGCCTGGTGGTAGGCGCCCGTAATCCCAGCTACTCAAGAGGCTGAGGCAGGAGAATCGCTTGAACCCAGGAGGTGGAGGTTGCAGTGAGCTGATGATCGCATCACTGCACTCCAGCCTGGGTGACAGAGCGAGAATCCATCGGAAAAAAAACAAAAAAAAGCTTTCTATGGATTTTCAATTGTAAGAAGTGTGGGTGCCCCGACCCCCTCGTGGTTCAAGGGCAGACTGTCTTTTATGGAGCCACCATTTTCATACACCCAGCGAGTCACTAAAATATGCATTCCCAGCCTTTATAAATTTAATGATTCCTGGTGCCCTGCCAGGAGAAATCCTAGGTGTCCTGGTTTTAGGGATGAACCACGCGGTCACCCCAGCTGGGGGCGAGCAGAGGGACGGCTCCTCCTCCCCTGTTATTTGTCTTTGGGCCTTTGCCCCTCCCCTTGACCCTTTGCTCCTCTCTCCTCGTGCCCATCCCTAGACTGTCAGCTCCACGGGAAGAGGCCCCGCAGCCAGGACCTGCCAGCCCAGAGCCCGCTCACCGTGAGCGGTTGAATGAATCAACGCACGCAGGGACAAACCTGTGGGCGCGAATGCTCAGCCTCAGGAAACCTGTGCGCGGAAATGCTCAGCCTCGGGAAACCTGTGCGCGCGAAAGCTCAGCCTCGGGAAACCTGTGCGCGGAAATGCTCAGCCTCGGGAAACCTGTGCGCGGAAATGCTCAGCCTCGGGAAACCTGTGTGCGCGAAAGCTCAGCCTCGGGAAACCTGTGCGCGGAAATGCTCAGCCTCGGGGCTCTGGCTGCCCACTTGGCCTGGGACCTTCCTGCTCCCCTGGACCCCCCTGGTCTGCCCATCCTCCTCTGTCCCGACTCAGCTCAAATGCGCCTTCTGGGGATCCCCCTGGCCCACCCAGGCCAGGCGGCCAGGCAGGGCATGGGCTCCAGAACTCTTAGCGTGGTTTTCAATCACAGTCGGGCTAAGTGTATCAGGGCTGCGTGCAGGGCTCGGAGCGGGGGGAGTGTGTCCCTAGCGAAGGGCTCTTCTCCCACCCGCCCCTCACCCCTGCTGAGTCTCCCTCCCTACCCCTGTGGGGCAACTTGGGTGGGCCCGTGGGTCCTGGGGGCACTTCGGAGGTGTCAGGGCAGGCTTGTGGGGGTATCTAGGAGTCTAGTCCAACCTAAATCACAACTCCCCCTCTGCAGCTTCAGCCTTCAGCCCTCTTCTTCCTGCCGAGGCGAGGGGGCTGCTGGGAGGTTTTGGTCCTGCAGACTCGAGAGTCGCTGGGAGGAGAGGAAAGTATGTCGGCCCCAGGTCCCGGGCTCTGCTCCTGCGCTCTGGCCTCCGGTTTCTCTGGGCGTAGGAGAGGAGGGCAGGTGAGAGGAAGGGCGGGGCTGGGGGCTGCCCATGCTTCTCTCCCGCTGCTAGCAGTCTCCTTAGGAGGACCGCTCTGTGCGTGGGGTGGAGGTGGGGGTGTCTGTGACTTCTTCCCCAACCTGCCCCCAGGACTGCCCCACCCTCCACCCTCGAGCTGGGGGTCCCGATACTCCCGTCACATCCGTTCCCGTCACAACCTCTCTCTAGCTTCTCTTTGCAGGGCTGCCCTTGTGAGTGGGGTCCTTGAAGACCCTGGGGGTGGGGGGACAAGCCATGTGGCTGGGAACCGCCATGGGCCTCTGGG
This sequence comes from Homo sapiens, assembly GCF_000001405.40. NCBI lineage: Eukaryota > Metazoa > Chordata > Mammalia > Primates > Hominidae > Homo > Homo sapiens. The sequence goes on from NC_000009.12 coordinate 134,502,348, forward strand.
CACAGAGCTCCTCCCTGTACCTACAGCCGGCAGCCCCCCAACCCCAGCTTCTCCCTTTCTGCCTCCCCCTGCCTCCCTGCTGCCTCTCCACTGCCTCAACGGCGGCCCTGCACCCTCTTTCCTCCTGCAGGGAGCAGACTCGGGCCCTCTCTCTGCACCCAGATGCAGTGGGGCCGGTGGAGGGGTGAGCTTAGGTCGTGGGGGACAGGGGGCCTGGTGGCTCCAGCTGGCCATGTAGCCCACTCTGAGTCCTGTTCGCTCACTGGAGGATGGGAGTGACAGCCGGGCCCGGCCCCTGGTGGAGTCTGAGTGCCAGCTGTGGCCCACAGGGCTTGGTGAAGGGGCCTTGGGGTGAGAGGTGGGTACAGCGAGAGGCCGCCAGGCCGTGTCCTCGCCCTCCTGCCCTCTGCCTTCGTTCTCTGTCTCATGTGGGGGTGTCCATGGACGAGCCCCCTTCCAGGACGGGCCAGGAGGACCGTGAGCAGCGGGGCCACGTGGCTGGGGAGCAGGCTTGGTGCCTCTCTGTCGCTCAGGCCAGGAGCTCTCCCTGGATCCTGCTGCTGTTGCCTGCAGCTGGGCCTGAGCCAGGGAGGCCATCCTGGGGCCCAGGGGCAGGCTTGAGGTGGGGACGTGGCATCCGCAGCCCTGGCTGGCCTTGTCTGTGGGAGGCCTAGCCAGGGCTGAGTCATCAGGAGCTGGGAGCTGAGCAGACCAGGCCCAGCTGTCTGGAGAGTCTGGGCTTATCCCTGCGTTGTGACGAAATCACGGCGCAGAAGCCCGGGAGGGGGCTGCACTCGCAGTGGAAAAGCTGTCGTGGGCAGCAGGCTGGGCACTGAGGGGTGAGACCCTGGCCGCCCCCATGTCCAACCCACGCTGCCTGTCTTAGGGTGGCCCACCACGCTCACTTGCCCGGGACTGAGGGGCTTCCCAGGACTCAAGCCTTTCAGCTCTAGGGGTGGTAGAGTTTTGGGCAAAGCAAGACAGTTGTCACCCTAGTGGGGGCTGCATGGCTGGAGAACATTCGCTGGGGAACTCTTGATACAATGGCCTGGCGTGAGGAAATTGAGGCTCACAGCAATTAAGACACAGGCCCAGGGTCCTGAAGCTCCTAGGACAAGCGCCTGGAGTTTTTGGAGTGTGGCCTGGCGCTGTTCCTGCTGACAGCCACAGTGGTCTGGGGTGGCAATGGTGGCACAAGGCAATGAGCTCCACCCTCTCCACAATTAGTGGTGCTCCTTCCTGCTCAGCTGGAGGCAGCTTCCAGAATGCTCTGCTCTAGCACCCAGCCTGCATTCCAGATTTGGTGGGCTCTGTGGCAACTGGGCCAGACCAGGGTGTTTAGAGCCCCTCATCCTTCAGGTCTACTGGCACCCCATTCCTCTACACTGAGCAGCCAACGCCCAGCCTCACATCCTGGTCCTTTTCACACCCAGACACGTCTGTCGGCCCCTTTCCCCTATGCCTTCAGACAGGCACTGGTCCAACCTACCAGCTCATGCCAAGGAACCAGCTTCCTTCAACTGCCTTCCCTGCCTTGGTTTCCCATCACTGCAAGTGGGGAGAGGTACCTTTCACACTAGACTCTGTGAAGTTGCCATTCTCCAGACCTCACCAGCCAGTGCCCTGGGCTCCCCCCATGCCCACCCACAATTGCTGGGAGCCTCAGCCCAGGCCTCACCCTGGCTGATCTGATGTGCTAGGAAGGGCAGCCGGGCACCCTGTCTGTATTCCCTGCCGAACCTTGGGCTGGGTCTCTCCTGCTCCTCCTATCGGGGGCAGAGGTTAATGAGCACAAGCTCTAGAGTCAGGTAGTCTCGGGTTCAAATCCTGCCTCTGCTGTCCGCACATCAGTACAGCAGGAATACCACTGACTCCCTGCTGGGGAAATCCAGCAGCATCGGCCACTCACTGGCCGCCAGCACCAGAGTGCCCGTGGCGCATCAGGCATGGCTGGTTCCTCACTCATGTGGCCTCCAGATAGCTGCAGGGAGATGGGGTCATTATCTTTATCTTCTCCATTTACACATGAGGAAACTGAGGGCCAGGGAAGGGAGGTGAAGGCCAAGTTCCCCCAACTGGTGAGAAGGACCTTGTCTCCAGGTCTGTGAAAGGGGAAAGTTGTAACTGCCACTCAGGACTGGAGAAATGATGCTGCCTTCCCTCCAGGTGTGCCTCCCACGCCCCCCGGAAGCAATCGTATCTGCCCTTCCCTGCAGAGATTGCCACTGATTTGTTTTTTGTGATGACTGTTTTTTTTTTTTTTGGAGACACAGTCTCACTCTGTCACCCAGGCTGGAGTTCAGTGGCACGATCTTGGCTCACTGCAACCTCTGCCTCCTTGGTTCAAGCGATTCTCCTGCCTCAGCCTTTCAAGTAGCTGGGATTACAGGCACCCACCACCATGCCCGGCTAATTTTTGAATTTTTAGTAGAGATGGATTTTGCCATGTTGGCCAGGCTGGTCTTGAACTCTTGACCTCAGGTGATCTGCCTACCTTGGCCTACCAAAGTGTTGGGATGACAGGCGTGAGCCACCACGCCCAGCCAGTTTTGTTTTTTGTTGTGGTCCTCATTCCTAAATGATTTCATTTTTCCAATTTGTGATGCACATAAATGCAATCATGCATTTTAAAAAATTCTGTCCTGGGTCACAGTCCTTGTGCCACCTCTCTCACTGTAGCTTGTGCCTCAGCCAGAGGCAACCTCATTCAAGATGCTATGTTGGCAAATGAGATGCTCTTTGAGCCCTTGGAGGGCATAGGTGGCCAGGCTGTGTGGATGGGTGGGTGCGGGTCTCCTGTGTGTCCGGGCTGTGTGGATGGGTGGATGCGGGTCCCCTGTGTGTCCGGGCTGTGTGGATGGGTGGGTGCGGGTCCCCTGTGTGTCCGGGCTGTGTGGATGGGGGGGGTGCAGGTCCCCTGTGTGGCCCGGCTGTGTGGATGGGGGGGTGTGGGTCCCCTGTGTGGCCCGGCTATGTGGATGGGTGGGTGCGGGGCCGTGTGGATGGGGGGGGGGGTGTGGGTCAGCTGTGTTGTTGCAGGGACTGTCATTTGTTCTTGTGCGTTGTCATGTAATGTTTCATTCTCTGACTATTCCTCAATTCACCTGCATTGCTTCCATTCAGGGATCCTGTGAATAAAATGGCGCAGACGTGCTTGTGCGGCTTTCCTGCTGGAGTCCATGAGCGTCTCGAGGATTTGGTGAGTTGTGAGATTTCCACACATTCAAAGGTGGAAGGCAATTCCAAATTGCTTTCCAGAGTGGGTTTTTACAAATGGACAAGCTAATGAGCATTCCCATTGCTCTGAAACCTCACCAATAATTGGTATCTCCATTTTTTTGACAATCTGGTGGGTAATTGTGTATTGTGGTTTAACTTAAATTTTCTCCATATTGATGCGCTAGAGTTCCTTGGCATGTTTACTGGCTACTGCAGGTTCATTATCTGAAAGTCAATTTTTTTGGCCTATTTCTGTATTGCAATGTTTGCCTTTTAAAGGTACTGATTTATAGGAGTTCTTTATATATCCCGGATTTGCACCCTTGACTTAGTTCTGGGTTTCCGACTTTTTCCCACACCCTGGCTTGTCTTTTCTCTTTCTTTAGCATGTCTTTTGCCGAACAGCGACATTTATCTTCTTTTTGTTTACGGTTAGTGACCTTGGTCCCTCGTTTGGGAAATCCTTCTGTGCTCTGAGGAATCGTTTCCCAAGTCAGTTTCTTAAAGCTGTAGAATTGCGTTTGCCATGTTTTGGTCTTTGTTTCACTGGAATTGGTTTTTGTGTGCAATCTAAGGTCAAGTATCAATTTCACTCCCCCCCCCCATGTGGGTGGGTATTCAGTTGTTCCCAAATTGTTTATTGAATTAATTTATCTCTTCCCCACTGATCTCAAATGGCATCTCTGTGAAACACACTTTTTTAAAATTACTTTAAGTTCTAGGGTACATGTGTACAACGTGCAGGTTTGTTACATATACATACATGTGTCATGTTGGTGTGCTGCACCCATTAACTCGTCATTTACATGAGGTATTTATCCTAATGCTATCCCTCCCGCCTCCCCCCACCCCACGACAGGCCTCGGTGTGTGATGTTCCCCACCCTGTGTCCAAGTGTTCTCATTGTTGAATTCCCACCTATGAGTGAGAACATGCGGTGTTTGGTTTTCAGTCCTTGCGATAGTTTGCTCAGAATGATGGTTTCCAGCTTCATCCATGTCCCTACAAAGGACATGAACTCATCCTTTTGTATGGCTGCATAGTATTCCATGGCGTATGTGTGCCACATTTTCTTAATCCAGTCTATCATTGATGGACATTTGGGTTGGTTCCAAGTCTTTGCTATCGTCAATAGCGCCGCAATAAACATACGTGTGCATGTGTCTTTATAGTAGCATGATTTATAATCCTTTGGGTATATACCCAGGAATGGGATCGCTGGGTCAAATGGTATTTACAGTTCTAGATCCTTGAGGAATTGCCACACTGTCTTCCACAATGGTTGAACTGGTTTACACTCCCACCAACAGTGTAAACGTGTTCCTATTTCTCCACATCCTCTCCAGCACCAGTTGTTTCCTGACTTTTTAATGATCGCCATTCTAACAGGTGTGAGATGGCATCTCATTGTGGTTTTGATTTGCATTTCTCTGATGCCAGTGATGGTGAGCATTTTTTCATGTGTTTTTTGGCTGCATAAATGTCTTCTTTTGAGAAGTGTCTGTTCATATCCTTCACCTACTTTTTGATGGGGTTGTTTGATTTTTTCTTGTAAATTTAAGTTCTTTGTAGATTGTGGATATTAGCCCTTTGTCAGATGGGTAGATTGCAAAAATTTTCTCCCATTCTGTAGGTTGCCTGTTCACTCTGATGGTAGTTTCTTTTGTTGTGCAGAAGCTCTTCAGTTTAATTAGATCCCATTTGTCTATTTTGGCTTTTGTTTCCGTTGCTTTTGGTGTTTTAGTCATAAAGTCTTTGCCCATGCCTATGTCCTGAATGGTAATGCCTAGGTTTTCTTCTAGGGTTTTTATGGTTTTAGATCTAACATTTAAGTCTTTAATCCATCTTGAATTAATTTTTGTATAAGAGGTAAGGAAGGGATCCAGTTTCAGCTTTCTACATATGGCTAGCCAGTTTTCCCAGCACCATTTATTAAAAAGGGAATCCTTCCCCCATTTCTTGTTTTCATCAGGTTTGTCAAAGATCAGATGGTGGTAGATGTGTGGTGTTATTTCTGAGGCCTGTGTTCTGTTCCATGGGTCTATATCTCTGTTTTGGTACCAGTACCATGCTGTGTTACTCTAGCCTTGTAGTATAGTTTGAAGTCAGGTAGGGTGATGCCTCCAGCTTTGTTCTTTTGGCTTAGGATTGACTTGGCGATGCGGGCTCTTTTTTGGTTCCATATGAACTTTAAAGTAGTTTTTTCCAATTCTGTGAAGAAAGTCATTGGTAGCTTGATGGGGATGGCATTGAATCTATAAATTACCTTGGGCAGTATGGCCATTTTCACAATATTGATTTTTCCTATCCATGAGGGTAGAATGTTCTTCCATTTGTTTGTGTCCTCTTTTTGAGGAGTGGTTTGCAGTTCTCCTTGAAGAGGTCCTTCACATCCCTTGTAAGTTGGATTCCTAGGTATTTTATTCTCTTTGTAGCAATTGTAAAAGGGAGTTCACTCATGATTTGGCTCTCTGTTTGTCTGTTATTGGTGTATAGGAATGCTTGTGATTTTTGCACATTGATTTTGTATCCTGAGACTTTGCTGAAGTTGCTTATCAGCTTAAGGAGATTTGGGGCTGAGACAATGGGGTTTTCTAAATATGCAATCATGTCATCTGCAAACAGGGACAATTTGACTTCCTCTTTTCCTAATTAAATACTCTTTATTTCTTTCTCTTGCCTGATTGCCCTGGCCAGAACTTCCAACACTCTGATGAATAGGAGTGGTGAGAGAGGGCATCCCTGTCTTGTGCCAGTTTTCAAAGGGAATGCTTCCAGTTTTTGCACATTCAGTATGACATTGGCTGTGGGTTTGTCACAAATAGCTCTTATTATTTTGAGATACGTCCCATCAATACCTAGTTTATTGACAGTTTTTAGCATGAAGAGCTGTTGAATTTTGTCGAAGGCCTTTTCTGCATCTATTGAGATGCAGAAATCATGTGGTTTTTGTCTTTGGTTCTGTTTATGTGATGGATTATGTTTATTGATTTGTGTACATTGAACCAGGCTTGCATCCCAGGGATGAAGCCAACTTGATCGTGGTGGATAAGCTTTTTGATGTGCTGCTGGATTTGGTTTGCCAGTATTTTATTGAGGATTTTTGCATCGATGTTCATCAGGGATATTGGTCTAAAATTCTCTTTTTTTGTTGTATCTCTGCCAGGCTTTGGTATCAGGATGATGCTGGCCTCATAAAATGAGTTAGGGAGGATTCCCTCTGTTTCTATTGATTGGAACAGTTTCAGAAGGAATGGTACCAGCTCCTCATTGTACCTCTGGTAGAATACAGCTGTGAATCCATCTAAGTGTCCCTGTGTCTGGGTGTCTTTCTGAGCTTTTGATTTTGTTTTCCTGGAGATTTATCTGCTCTTGTTCCAATTCCTCACTGTCATGATCATTACAGCCTGATTAGAAATCCTGACAATAAGAAGGGACAGTTCTTTTACCTTGCTTTCCTTCAAGAATGTCTTGGCTATAACTGGCCCTTTGCAATTAAACATGAACTTCAAAATCACTTTGCCAGTTCCACAGATTGCAATTCTCTTGGGATTCTGAGTCCAGTGAATTTGAATCTATAGCCCACTTTGGGGACAGTTGACTTATTTACAATACTGAGTCTTCCAATCTATTAACGTCTTAAATCACTTATTTATATATTCTGTAATATGGCTCAAAGTCTCATCATATTCTCCAAATATACATTATTTTCTTCATAAATGTCTTTCAGTAGATATATTCGTAGGAACTTCATATTTTTTATATTATGAGTGGTATCTTTCTTCATTTATAAATATTTGTTGCTATCATGTAGAAATTTAACTCTAATTTGTGCATGAATTTTTGTATTTGGCAACTTTGCCAGACTTCCTGTCTGTTGGCTTATCTCCACATTCATACGGCTCTTCTATGTACATAATCATATCATCAACAAATGGTAACTGTTTGGTTTTTCCTTTTCAATGCTGGTAGCTTTTATCCCCTTGTCTTCCTGTCCTGGCCAGGACTTCTAGTACAATATGGAATAGAGGTGGTGAGACCGGACATATTGTCTTATGCCCTGTTTCAAAGGATAGCTTTAAAGTTTCACTATTAAATATGATTTTACAGTAGGTGTTTTGCACACAGTCTTTGTCAGGTTAAAGAAGTTGTCTTTTATTTCTATTTCTCTGTTTTGTACATACTATTTATTTATCAGGTTAAAGAAGTTTCCGTCTATTTCCTTCACTGAAAAACAGTTTTAAATCCTGAATGTATCCTGAATTCAATTATCTTCTTCCGTCTTCACTGAGATGAGCCTATGACTTTTAAATCTTTAATCTGTTAATGTAGTATGTTGTATTAATTTTTCTGAATGTTCAGTCATTTAACCTTGCATTCCTTAGATAAATTCAACTTGTCCATGGTGTGTGATTCTGCATATGCAGTTGGGTTTAGTTTGCTGAGCTTGTGTTTGCATTTATGTTCATGAGTGAGGCTGGCCCATGATGGTCATTTCCTATGCTGTCCTTGTCAGGCTTGGGGGTAGAATTCCTTCTTTTCTATTATCTGTGAGTGATGAGAATTTTTTTTTTTTTTGAAACAGAGTCTCACTTTGTTGCCCAGGCTGGAGTGCTGTGGTGCAGTCTCGGCTCACTGCAACCTTTTCCTCCCGCGTTCAAGCAATTCTCCTGCCTCTGCCTCCTGAGTACCTGGGATTACAGGCATGCGCCATCACATCTGGCTAATTTTTTGTATTTTTAGTAGAGACGAGGTTTCACCATGTTGGACAGGCTGATCTCAAACTCCTGACCTCGTGATTCGCCTGCCTCAGCCTCCCAAAGTGCTAGGATTACAGGCGTGAGCCACCACGCCCAGCAGAGTGATGAGAATTTACTGATGAATTTTTCTTCGCTTGAGGTTTTATTTGTGGAAAGATTTTGAACTAGTGATTCAGTTTCTTGAGTGGTGATAGGACCATGTAGGGGTTCTATTCTTGAGTTTGTGATATTTTTCTAGGGACATGTTCATTGTGTCAAATTCTAATATTTATTAGGAAAGTTTCATAATATCCTCTTATTATAATATTGCCATATCATAATATGTGTAGTGATTTTCTTTTTCATTCTCAATATTAGTAAGTAATTTGTAACTTTTCTAATTTTTTCTTTTGATTAGTCTTGCCAAAATTAGTAAATTTTATTATTTATTATCTTTAAAAAACTGACTCTGATTTTTTATTCTATTTTATAGTTTTCTATTTCATTAAGTTCTTTTTATTTAATTAACTTATTCATTATTTTATTTTTTCTTCCACTTTCTTGGAATTATTTTGCTGTGTTTTCTTCTTGAGATCTGGATTTAGCTGAGTAATTGTCAACCTTTCTTTTTCTCTAGTCTAATCACTTATGACTATACATGTCCTTAATGTATTGCTTTATGTGGCATTTTGTATTCATAACTTTCATGAATTTTTAGTATTCAATAAAAGCATTTTCTAATTTTTGTTAAATTTTGCTTTGAAAATAGGTTATTTAGAAGTGTTCAGGCTGGGTGCGGTGGCTCATGCCTGTAATCCCAGCACTTTGGGAGGCCGAGGCGGGTGGATCACGAGGTCAGGAGATCGAGACCATCCTGGCTAACACGGTGAAACCCCGTCTCTACTAAAAGTACAAAAAAAATTAGCTGGGCATGGTGGCAGGCGCCTGTAGTCCCAGCTACTCGGGAGGCTGAGGCAGGAGAATGACATGAACCCGGGAGGCAGAGCTAGCAGTGAGCTGAGATCATGCCACTGCACTCCAGCCTGGGCAACAGAGTGAGACTCCATCTCAAAAAAAAAAAAAAAAAAAGTGTTCATTAGTTTTTAAACATATGAGGATTGTCTAATCATCTTGCACTGTGGTAAGAAAATATTCGCTGGCTATTTTAATTCTTTGAGGTTGTTTGAGGTCCATGTAGGCCTCAAGATATAGTCACCTTTCCTCGGGTGAGGAAATGTCTGCTTCAGAAGGGTTTGTGAGTGCAGTTCCATGTGAATGGAACCGAGTCGCTAATTGCTTTGCTCACCTCTTCTCTGCCTATCCACCTCCTCTCAAAGTCTCCCACTGGGACTGTGGGTTTGCCGGTTTCTTCTTGGAGGCTTTTGATTTTTACCTTTAATTTTCAGGCTGTGTTTTAAGTCTATGCAGACTGGTTTTGTTTTCTTTTCCCAGTGAATTGAACTCTTCATTATAGCAAGGCAACAATTCCTAGTGATGCATTTTGTCTGCAGATACTCTGTCTGGCTTCCTCTGGTTTGCCGTTGCATCTTCTTTATCTGTTTACTTCCAACCTCTGCAGATCTTTATGTTTTGAGCATTTTCTGTAAACACCATGAGGTTCGATTTCTCCCCATAGTCTGTCAGCCTTTGTCTTTCTACTGCAGTGTTTAGTCTATTTAAATTTAATATGATTGCTTTATATTTAGGTTCAAATAGACTACTTTTTTTATTTTTAGCTGTTGCATATTTTTCTCGTCTATATTGTCTTCTTTTGGCTTTAAGTCTTTTTTTATTTCTATTTTCTATTCTATTAGTTTAGGAGTTCTGTACCATTGCTGGTCTTTTTGTGGTTTATCTAGTAGTTGCAATATACATCTTTAGCTTCTATGAGTTTTCCAGGGCTGCTATAATAAATCAACTAACCGTGGGGCCTAACATAGAGAAAGTTTATTCTGTCCCAGTTCTGGAGGCCGGAACTCTAAAACCAAGGTGTTAGCAAGGCCGCACTCCCTCTGGAGGGTCTAGGGAAGCCTCCTCCAGCTTCTGGTGGCTTCAAGCATTCCCTGGCTTGTGGTTGCATCACTCCAACCTCTGCTTCCGTCTTCATGTGGCCTCTTCTCTGTGTCGCTCTGTGTCCTCTTCTCTTCCTTTAAAGTCTCAAGTCATTGGATTTAGGGCCTACACTAACTCAGTATGATCTTACCTTGATCCTTAACCATGTGCATCGGCAAAGACCCAATTTCTAATTTAGGTCTTATTCTGAGGTTCTGGGTGGACGTGAACTTTGGGGGACCCTATGCACTGCATTATACTTACCAAGACGCAGAGTTAATCAATACCCCGGCAGCACAGGAATCCCACATGGAACCCTGAGGCTCCACATTTACTCCTCGCTGATTTCTAGGTATTTCTGTTCTGTCTTGGCCTATTGTAACCCACAGGCTTTATTTGTTTTTGCAGCCAGAACTCCTTTCAACTCACCCACTTCTGCCAGGATGCATGCCCACCTTATCCCCCTCCTCTCAGTTCTTCCACCTAGAATCATGTTTCTTGGGCCCGGAATTTACCTTTTAGGCTTTTAGTAGAGACACTCTGTTGTTGAACTCTCTCAGGTTTTGGTTTTCTGAAAATGTCTTTATTCTGCCCTCTTTCTTGGCGTTTCAGTGGGGTTTTCTTTCAGCTCATCGAAGACGCCATGTCATGGGCTTCTGGTTTTCATTCCTGTGTTTGACAAGTCAGATGTCAGCCTGCCTCTCTGGCAGATAATTGTCTCCATCTCTGGCTGCTTTGAAGATGTTTCTCTTTGTTTCTGCAGTTTCACTAAGATGAGTCCAGGTGTGGATGGCTTTTTATTTATCCCACCTGGGGTCCACTGGGCTTTTTTTTTTTTTTTTTTTTTGAGATGGAGTCTTGCTCTGTCACCCAGGCTGGAGTGCAGTGGCGTGATCTTGGCTCACTGCAAGCTCCGCCTCCCACATTCACACCAATCTCCTGCCTCAGCCTCTCAAGTAGCTGGGACTACAGGTGCCTGCCACCACGCCTGGCTAATTTTTTTGTATTTTTAGTAGAGACGGGGTTTCACCGTGTTAGCCAGGATGGTCTCGATCCCCTGATCTCTTGATCCGCCCGCCTCAGCCGCTTTTTTACATCTGTGGCTGTGTCCCATCAGTTCTGTGAAATCCCCAGGCATTATCTCTTAAAATATCATGCTGCTCCCATTGCCTCTTCTTACCTTCTGCAGCCTGGTGAGATGACATGAGACCTTCTGACTTGCTTCTTCGTGCCTCCATACTTCTCAGATTCCCCATCCTCTTGCCTCACTGTACAGCATTCTCTAGAATTTCTTCTAACCTAACCTGTCTTTATTTATTTTTTATTTTTATTTTTTTGAGACAGAGCTTCGCTTTTGTCGCCCAGGCTGGAGTGCAGTGGTGCAATCTTGGCTCACTGCAATCTCTGCCCTCTGGGTTCAAGTGATTCTCCTGTGTCAGCCTCCTGAATAGCTGGGACTACAGGTGCACGCCACCATGCTGGGCTAATTTTTGTATTTTTAGTAGAGATGGGGTTTCATCATGTTGGCCAGTGTGGTCTCAAACTCCTGACCTCAGATGATCCACCACCTTGGCCTCCCAAAGTGCTGGGATTACAGGTGTGAGCCACTGCACCCAGCCCTAACCTATCTTTAGTTTATGAGTTCTTCTTCAGTTGAAGTGAACATACTATGAGAATAAATATTAAAGCCATAATCTTAATTATATTTTTACCTTAGCTTTCTACTCCTTTTTCACCAAGTCAATGCCTGTTTCTAGCTTCCTGCTTACTATTTTCAGTCTGGCTTTTCTTTAAGCTCAATAAAAGCATAGTTGTTTTATGATACATGCCTGATTTCTTTAGTATTTGAAGTCTGCGTGTCTGTTTCTGCTCTCTGTTTTCTCTCTTGTCTCTTACTCATTGGATTTTGTTTCCCTTTGTCCTTGTACTGAGACCTGCCTGTGTTCTTTAGTATGTAATATGTGGAGGTTCTTTGAGGCCTAGGATGAAGGTGAATTTTTCTGGAAGGGATTTGCGTTTGGTTCTTCTGGGCCACCGCAGATCCAGGGTTACCTTGCTCCAAACTCATTGATGGAGCATCTTTAATTCGCCGGGAGATGGGGGCTTGTGCCGCAAGGCTGGCTTGTGGTTGCCATTTTCAGCGATGTGCCCACCCCAGCCCCACCCTGAGCTCAGCACCAGGGCAGCGTTTCTGGTGGTCTCCTGAGGTGGGGCATGGGTGGGTTTTTTTCTGTCTGACCTGCATCTGAGGGGTGTGCAACTTGTGCCCCAGCTCTGTGAACAAGGCCTCCCACTGGCCTCCTCGAGTGGGCCCTGGGCTTGGCTTTGTGCCTTGCATAAGGCCTCTGAGCCCATTTGGTTCTGCCATAGGCTCACGACGAAGGGCGTTGCCGGGCCCTGCTCACCTCTTCGTGGCCCCACCTCCCTTTAGATGGCATCTGCTGATTCCTTACCATCTGGTCACCTCTTTGCTTTTAAAAATATTGTTTTCAGCAGTTTTGTTCCTCGGTGAGTGATTGCACTGATGAACCTAACCTGGTGCTTTACCGGAAATGTAAGTTAAGGGAAGGACTTGGTTCCTTCTCTCCATGCTTCGCACATCCCCATCATCAGCAAGTCAGCCGAGCTCTGGGGTAAGGGGCCTCCCTGTCCCATTGCCCTCCCTATCTGTCCCACCCCATGGCCACTCCCCGTCCTACCCCGGTCTCAGAAGCAGCCTCCTCATTGCTCTCTGGGGCCACCCTTGCTCCCCAACAGTCAGAGACTTTGAAAACACAAATCGGAGCCCCTCCCTTTCCTGTGGAAAGCCCTCCTGTGTCTCCACTACAGTCAGGATGAAACTGAATTCCCTCGCCACGGCTGAGTCTCACGTGATTTGGCCTCTCTCCAGCCCTCCGGCCCCATCTCCCCACCGCCCACTCACCAGCTGCCTTAGCCTTCGTGCCATTGCTCACCCATGCCAAGCTCTTTCCCATCTTCGTCCTTTCCCCATAGTCTGGAAGGTTCTTCCCCCAGCACTTTGCAAGACTGGGTCTGTCTCATCTTTCAGGCCCTTCTCAATCTCATCTTGTAGAGAGGCCCTCCCAGAGCCCTCTCAGCTCCCATGCCCTACCCGTCAGCTCCTTTCTGACCTCCACATTCTCCTCCTTTCATTACTGCTGTGGCTCACCATGGGAAACTAGCACCTCTTCCCTGATGAACCTGCTTGTCCAGCTTCCTGGACAGTGGAGGCCCACAGGCATCTTGGCACCCACACCGTGCCTGCACCCAGTAGCTGCTCAGGACGTGCTTGCTGGATAAATGAGGGCATAAGTCTCTTTGCATGCTGCTCATGGGAGGCAGGGATGGGGCTTAGCGGCCTCCAGTTTCCATACAGACTTTTGGTAGAAGGTAGCTGAAGTCAGCAGATGGGATGTGTTTCCAGATCTGACTTGGTTTACTCTCTCCCCTGTTAAGAAAAATCATCTAGCCTGGCGCAGTGGCTTATACCTGTAATCCTAGCACTTTGGGAGGCTGAGGCGGGTGGGTCACTTGAGATCAGGAGTTTGAGACCAGCCTGGCCAACATGGTGAAACCCCGCCTCTACCAAAAACATGAAAAAATAGCCAGGTGTTTTGGCATGCGCCTATAATCCCAGCCACTCGGGGGGCTGAGGCAGGAGAATTGCTTGAACCTGGGAGGCAGAGTTTGTGGCGAGCTGACATTGTGTGCCACTGCACGCCAGCCTGGGCAACAGAGCGAGACTCTATCTCAAAAAAAAAAAAAAAAAAGAAAGAAAAGAAAAATCATCCTTTTTCAAGTATCTTTTCCAAGTCATCCTGGGGCATTGTATGACAGGCCCTCGCAAGGAGAATTTACTTATGTAGAGAAATGTACTGTGCCTGTGTCTGACTTTGCTGTTTCCTATTAATTAAGGATTCAGACTCTGTAAAGTTACATTAACTGGTAGATTTGTATTTGGTAGAAAAGAAGAGGGTTACGGCCATTGCCTTGTAGTACATTAACCAGTTTTACTTCTGTGAAGTTTTACTTCGGTGAAGGCATTGCAGAATGCCCTTCCAAGTCCTCAAACAGCTCCAGGAATGGACTTTCCCATCTTACGAGTTTCTGTGTTAATGAGCTAATAAATTTTTGGTATGTATTTATTTTATATTTGTACAGGATCCCTGCTCTTTCTGAAAATTATACTCTGACAGCCTCCAAGAATGGTGACAGAACCTGTGGCTGTTTACTGTCCAGCGGGTCCTTGCCTGGTTTGTCTGGTGACAGGCCTCAGGCCCCCGTGGCTGTCTGTCAGCTGTGGGTCCTTGGACAGGTTGCCTAACCCCTGCGCTAGCTGAGGTCCTCTGTGCCCCAGCTCCCTCATTTATAAATGAGACGATTACACCATCAGTCTAAGGCTCTTAAAGGGGTAAATGAGACCCAAGTCAAGTGCTTGGTCCTCCACTTTAGGCATAAGAAGCACAGTAACTATAAGAATGATGATGATAATAGCAAAGCTGTCGGTCTCTGTGCATCTCCACTAGCAGCAGGGAAGGCCCGATTTAAAGGCAGACGGGTCATACAGACACCCTTGGTCCCCACCAGGCGGTCTTAATGCACTTTACAAATAAGGGGGTCCTCGGAGCAGAGCCCCTCGGGTATCTCTGCCCCAGTCCTTGGGCCTTCTCTACACGACAGTGAGGTGACTGTTTTTTTTTTTTTTATAGCTTTATTGAGATGTAATTGACACTATACGATTCACTCATTTAAAGTGTACAATTCAGTGGCTTTGAGAATATTCACAGCTGGGCAACTGTCTCCACCATCAATTTCAGATGCTTCTGTTACCTGAGAAGCACCCCGTACACCTCAGCCACCTGCTTCCCCTCCCGCCTCCTCTCCCTCTCCTTGGCCCCAGCAGCCATCAGTCTATTTTCTGTATCAGTGGATTCTCCTACTCCAGACGCTTTGTATAAGCGGAGTCATGCAGCACCTGGCTGCTTTCACTCAGCACAATGCGTTTGAGGCTCATCCGTGTGGGGCCAGCTCACTGTTGGCTGACAGGTGGCCCCTTCTGCAAGGTGGGACTCCTTGGGGCCCTAGCCCAGCCTGGCTCCCCCTAAAGCTGGCGGCCCCGTTCGGGCTCTGCTTTTCTGTATTGGCTGGTGCCAACCCTGCCCTGAGGGGTGTCCTGTGCCCCGAGGACACCCCCGCCTGGCAGCTGCTCCCGCAGCCAACTGGTACTACCGCGCCTTCACCCAGCTCAGGTCCCTCCCCACGTGGACAGAGGGATCATGGAGGTCAGGGAGGCGGATGGAGCCTCAGGACCTCATGCGGGTAGATTTCTTGTCCCTTGTCTCACCAGCTGCTGGTGGCTTGTCTCTCTCCCATCCAGCAGGCAAGAGGCAGTGGTTCATGTTTGGGGGTGGTAGGGACTTCGGAGAGGCTGGAAAGGCAGGAAACACCACCTAAAGGCTCTGGGGGAGGGGGTGCAGGGTCCCACCAAGTCCTCGGGGACAGTGGGGCGGCCTTTCATTTGGTATTTCCCCAGCACCAAGTATGTACAGGCGCCACGCTGGGGGCTGGAAACAACACGAGCAAGGTGGGCACCGTGCCCACCCTCGTGGGGCCGAGCCAGTGGGGGAGGCAAAGCAGATGGCAGTTAAGGCTCGGGTGGGACTGTGATGGGGCCGCTGTCCTGACACCTCTGTCCCCTTGGGTCCACCCAGTGGTGGGCTGCTCGCGGGGTGCCTCCCGAGGCGCTCCTGGCCCGGGAAGGAGGCCGCCGTCTGTTTCCACTTAGCGGCCTCCCAGGCCAACATGATGTCATTGCAGCTTGGCCTGGTGGGCGCTGGCGCCGGGCCACCAGTGACAGCTCAGCTGGGAGCCCCAAGCTAATGAGAAGGGGGCCGTGGCTGCTGCGGCCATGGTGGGGCTGCTGCCTCTCATCCCAGAACCACGGCCTCATCCGCAGAATCCCGGCCTGACCCCAACAGGCAGAGTAGGCGGCAGCCAGGCTGCAGGAATGTGGGGTGGGGTGGTTCACTAAGGAACTGCACCTGGTGGGGGCGGGCGCAGCTGGAGCCAGGGCCTCGAGCTGTGGTCCTCCCGTTCTAGGAGGGTGCTTCGCCAAGGAGCTCTGGGCCTGGCCTGCGGGCGGCTGTGCTGCTGAGCTGTTGCTCACTGCAGAGTCCATGGAATTGGCAGGCCTGGGCACCGTCCGCTGAGGCCAGGTCTCCAGGCCTGGACAGGGAAGCCATTTCTCCCCAGCCACTGCGGCTCACCTCTCCCAGGGCTCAGCTTTCCCTGCTTGATATGGGCTGGCTCTGTGTCCCTACCCAAATCTCATCTGGAATTGTAATCCCCACGCGTCTAGGGAGGGAAGTGGTTGGATGCTGGGGGCAGCTTCCCCCATGCTGTTCTCATGATAGTGAATGAATTCTCACGAGATCTGATGGTTTTATTAATGGTAGTTTTTCTCTCTCTCCTGCCGCCATGTAAGACTGGCTGCTTCCCTTTCTACCATGACTGTAAGTTCCCTGAGGCCTCCCCAGACATGCAGGACTGTGAGTCAGTTAAACCTCTTTTCTTTATAAATTACCCAGTCTTGGGCAGCTCTTTATAGCAGTGTGAGAATGGACTAATACACTGTGGCCCACCTGTAGCTGTGGACAAGGCTGAGGACCAGGGTCTTGTCTGGCTCTGAGTGTCTACACAGCTAAGGGCTGCAGGTGGGGTTGGGCTGTGTCTTCCACAGAGGCCTGAGACCCACAAAGGACAAACCGTCACAGCCCTTGGTGAGGAAACTGAGGCCTAGGGAAGGAGAGCATTTGTACCAAGCAGGATGACATTGCCGGGCTCTGGCTGTGGCTGCCCTGGCACCAGTGTATACAGTCAGGCTATGAGCTGACACAGTAATCCCATAGCGAGCCCACGAAGGCAGATCAGTGCATTTAATCCTCCCAGTGACCCTATGAGATAAGATGTGGAGACTCAGAAACATCACAGAGGGGAGACTTGAACTCAAGTCTGGCTGGCCCAAAACCATGCTCTCGGCCTTTGCCTGCTTGCTCTTCCTGGCTGGTCAAGGGGTCCTGGGCCCTTGCACTGTCATACTGTGTAGCTTTGGGCATAAATGGTTCCTGAGCCACCGTGTCCTCTCCTTACAAAGAGACGTCAGGAGGATGAGGTGACAGATCTGCCTGGGGTACCACACTTGAGGAACTGGGAGTGGACAGGGTGGGAGCCTGAGGTTGCATGGTGCACACTGTCCCCGAGTGAGTGTCAGGACTAGGGAGAACTGCCACAGTCAGGGCCCAGCCTGGGGGTATGGAGCTGGGCAGCAGGGCCCAGTGGGCTGGCTGAGGGCCTTCCCTGGACAGTGACGCGTCCCTCCCCATCCCATGCATTGCATTCCTATTCTCTGGTCGGCAACAAACACACACGTGGCCTCTCCCTGTGCCCACGTTAAAATGTCTGCAGGGCTTTCTGGGAGAGTGAACACACATGTGGCCTCTCCCTGTGCCCACATGAAATGTCTGCAGGGCTTTCTGGGAGGAGGGCTGCATGCAGGCGTGCCATGAATGGCCGGCGGCTCTGGCAGGGTGCTGGGCCCTGGACCGGTGTCTTGGACTGACTCTCACACCTCACCTGTCAGGTTGGAAGTGACACCGTGGCCAGGCTCTGTGTCCCTGTCACTCTTCCACACCCACCTGGCTGCTCCGTGTGCTCTTTTATGTATGTGTATTTTTATCCCTAAAATAACTGCCATGTGCATTTGTTCTGCCTCCTTCCAGGTGTTTTTCCCTGCATGTGTCACACTGTGGTGGTCATGGTGGCCACACCATTTGTCTGCTATCCTGGTCTTTAGTTGATATGATTTATTGGCCAGCCCCTTAGGGAGTTGGGTGGTTTTCCTATACATGACAGACAGCAGACACAGTCTGTCATGATATATTAAATATCTGTGGGCTATGGCATTGGGCAGACATTTCAGACTGACTATTCCCTACTGCTGAACATTTAGGTATTTTGATTTTTTCCTGTCCTAATTAATACTGCAAATAACATCTTTATACATAGAGCTTTCCCACCCACTGAAAATACTTACTATTTTTTTCCTTAGGATAGGTTGAGCCTTTATTGGGCTGTCAAGGTGTCTTCCTAGACCTCATGGTGTCACTGAATTGGATCCATTATAACCCTCCATTCATCTGCTTGGCTCTCGACAGACTCACAAATGTGCTCAGAGGCCAAGTCACCCTGTGTGCTGCCAGCCCGGGTGAGTGTGCCTCTGCCCTCCCACTGGCCTGGCTTTGTTGAAAGTGTCTTTTTCACGTTTTAACTATTAATAGAGAAGGAGATATGCCTTCTTTTCTCCAGAAGGAGTAAAATGTCCCCCTTATGTTTCTTTTCTTCTTGATTTAGGTGAGGTCTGTCTCAGTCTGTGGTCAGTTTTGCTCATTTGTCATTAAAGAAAGCCATGCTACCCACATGGTGCCCCTTTCCCTGCAAGGAGCTGTGTGCTGGATACCACATCGTCCACTGTCTGTCATTTATAGGAAACCCTCCTTTCTCAGGACACAGACCCTGGAGATGGAAAGGTGCTTGGGTGCCATCAGATACTTTTTTTATTTATGAAGATAAAATTTGGGAGAAGTCCAAAGTTGACACTAATTGTGAAAAATTCTCATAATACTAAAAGGTAGAGCTAAAAACACAAAAATCCTCTCACATCCAAATACGCTATGGCAACTGCTCTCTACCTTTTGGTGAACATCCTTGAAGAACTTTCTCCACACAGGTGCACAAATCTCCTTGAGAGATCTGGGCGAGTTCGACAGGCAGGGCAGACATAACAAATGGTCATCCATCTCCTTTGCAGGGCATGTGTGTTCATGTCATGTCACAATCTGTTCAGAGTACTGTCATCAGCAACAGAGCATGGCTCAGCACGCGGGCAAAACTGCACCAACCACGATGCATGGACACAGCACCCATCTAGCCCTGACCTGGTGGTTTGTTTGTGTCCCCTTGCTCTGCCCTACCCAAGGAGGATGGGGGGTTCAGTGTGTAAAAAAATAAAGTCTGGACTCATAGATAATATTATTATACTGTGGAGACAGGTCCTTTTTTTTTTTTTTTTTTTAAAGTATTTTAAATATGGGAGAACCAGGCCTGGAGAGGTGAGCTAACCTGCCCCGGTCCCACAGTGTGGGTAGGACAGGCTGGGGCTGGACCCTAGCCCCCTGATCCCAGTCCCAGGCTCTCTGCTCCTTTTGGCTGGAAACCTCCAGCTCTAAGGGCTAGTAGGAGTTCCTCAGGGCTGGGCTCTAAGCTTCTGGGGGCCAGGGGAGTTGGGGCAGTGCCAGGAGTCCAGGGATGGTAGCATTTGGTTTTTCCAGCCAATGCAGAAACAGCACCTGCTATAACCCCAGAGGCCAGAGGACTTCCAAGAATGTACTGCTCAGAGTGGGGGCCTCTGCTGGAGGGGTGGGGCCAGAGACGGCAACCCCCAGGTTTGCTTTATCAGAGTGGAGGATGGGCCGGCCCCTGAAACCAGAGCCCGTGAGGTGCGGGAGCTTCCCTGCGCTGAGGATGGCTCACCAAGCGCCTCTGCGTGGACGCTTGTCCCCCCGAATTTCCTACAAGAGACACGAGGCAGAGCTGCCATTTGTCCCTGTTAGAAAGAGGCTCTCCACAGGTGGGGGTGCCCTGGCTTCTCGCTGGTTCATCCCTGGGCCCCTTCTCTCTTTCCGCTCCCACTTCCCCAGGCTCAGGGGCTGTGTCCCCTCAATGTGCCGATGAGGGCACGACATCTTGGTTGCTGAGCAACCAAGACACGAACCAGAGCCCCAGGGCTTCCTGTAGGGGCTGACGTGGCTGGGCCTCACCAGAGCGACCAGGTCTCCACCTCTGTCTGGGCCCTGGGTTTTCTTGTCCTTGTGTTTGCGTGACGGCCACAGGGCTGGTGCCTCCGACCTGCTGGGAACCGTGCCTGAGCGGGTCTGTGCTCAGCGTCTGCTGAGTCTCTGGGCCTGGCAGAGGCTGCTTAGGAGGCCAAGCAGGGAGCACCCCTGACGCCCATGGGATCCCAGTGAGACAGTGCTGAACTGTGAAATACACTCCAACTTGTCCAAGACAGCTTGGTTTTGTCCCCGTTTTTTCCCCAGAAGCCCCTTTTATTCATATTTTACCGATTTTTGGGTGCTCCAGACACACGCCGGCTCTGCTCCCTCGGAGAGCCAGCCCTTGGCCTGCCTGCAAAGGTCCCAGGCTCCTGGGAGGCCCCGTGTGGGGGTACACAGCACTCCCAGAGCTGGAAGCCTGCGCCATCCTTCCTAGGGGAGTGGCTGTCTCTCTGTCACTGCCTGGGGGCCGCTGCTCCAGAAGCTCTTTTTGGGGTCTGTTTTTACCTCTTTTCTTTCTGGGCTGCTTCCTCACCCCTTCCTCATTTTTTATTTTAATGAGAAAAGGTCTTGTCCTGACATCCAGGCTGGAGTGCAGTGGTGCAATCACAGCTCACTCCAACCTCCATCTCCTGGGGTCAAACGATCCTTCCTTCTCAGCCTCCTGAGCAGCTGGGATTACAGGTGCATGCCACCATGCCCGGCCCCATTTTTTTTTTATTATGAAAGTTTTCAAGCATTCAACATTTCAAGCAAAGAATGAAATAATAGAACATGATTACCCATACGACCACCACCTGGATTCAACAATGCACTCATCATGTTTCCTCCCGGCTCCCTCTCTGCAGCGTGGCCAGGGATGTGGCACCTCGGCTGGAGGCTGCAGCTCCTGTCAAGGGACTCTGCCTAGAACTGCCCTCTCAGAGCCCAGAATCTTCCCCGTTCCTTCTTCAGACCAGTGGGTGGGAGTAATGGCTCCCACTGTCGCTAGCACTGTGGGCATACCATTCATCTCAGGGTCCCTAACCCCGTCCAGAGAGTGTGTAAATTGTCCCTCTACTTCACGTCCCCAGCCACCCAGTCGGACTGGCCTTCTGACCGACGTCTCTGTGTCTCCTCCTCCTCCCCCTTCCTCCTCTCTCCTTCTTTCTTTTCCTCTTTTCGTGTCTTCCTCCTCCTCCTGCCTCCTTTCTGGTCTAATAACCACTTGGAAGAAAGCTGCAGGCGTCCTGAAACTTGACCTCCAAATAGGCGGATATCCCTCTCCTGAGAATAGGGACAGTTTCCTTCAGAACCACAGCATCAGCACCTGAGACAACTGATCATCCCCTCCCATCCCCTCCCATCGCCTCCCATCCCCTCCCATCCCCTGGGATCCACTCCGCATGTGAATTTCCTAATTGTTCACCTGACCATCCCCTCCCATCCCCTCCCATCACCTGGGATCTGGTCCACATGCGAATTTCCTAATTATTCACTTGACCATCCCCTCCCATCCCCTCCCATCCCCTGGGATCTAGTCCACATGTGAATTTCCTAATTGTTCACCTGACCATCCCCTCCCATCCCCTGGGATCCGGTCCACATGTGAATTTCCTAATTGTTCACCTGACCATCCCCTCCCATCCCCTCCCATCACCTGGGATCCCGTCCACATGCGAATTTCCTAATTGTTCACCTGACCATCCCCTCCCATCCCCTCCCATCCCCTGGGATCCAGTCCACATGCAGATTTCCTAATTGTTCACCTGACCATCCCCTCCCATCCCCTGGGATCCGGTCCACATGCGAATTCCCTAATTGTTCACTTGACCATCCCCTCCCATCCCCTGGGATCCAGTCCACATGCGAATTCCCTAATTGTTCACTTGACCATCCCCTCCCATCCCCTGGGATCCGGTCCACATGTGAATTTCCTAATTGTTCACCTGACCATCCCCTCCCATCACCTGGGATCCGGTCCACATGCGAATTTCCTAATTGTTCACTTGACCATCCCCTCCCATCCCCTGGGATCCGGTCCACATTCAGATTTCCTAATTGTTCACCTGACCATCCCCTCCCATCCCCTCCCATCCCCTGGGATCCGGTCCACATGCGAATTTCCTAATTGTTCACCTGACCATCCCCTCCCATCCCCTCCCATCCCCTGGGATCCGGTCCACATGTGAATTTCCTAATTGTTCACCTGACCATCCCCTCCCATCCCCTCCCATCCCCTGGGATCTGGTCCACATGTGAATTTCCTAATTGTTCACCTGATCATCCCCTCCCATCCCCTGGGATCTGGTCCACATGTGAAGTTCCTAATTGTTCACCTGACCATCCCCTCCCATCCCCTGGGATCCGGTCCACATGCAGCTTTCCTAATTGTTCACCTGACCATCCCCTCCCATCCCCTCCCATCCCCTGGGATCCGGTCCACATGTGAATTTCCTAATTGTTCACCTGACCATCCCCTCCCATGCCCTCCCATCCCCTGGGATCCAGTCCACATGCAGATTTCCTAATTGTTCACCTGACCATCCCCTCCCATCCCCTGGGATCCAGTCCACATGTGAATTTCCTAATTGTTCATCTGATCATCCCCTCCCATCCCCTGGGATCCGGTCCACATGCGAATTTCCTAATTGTTCAAAACGGCCCGTTATGCTTATTTTTGAGGCAGTGCATGCTTGTGCCTGGTGTGTCTGGTTCAGCCTTGGATCTGTTTTATGCCAGGACATGCCCATCTTCTATTTCCCCATGATGCTGACTTTTGGAGGCCAGAGCCAGTGCCTGGCAGCCTGTCCTGTTGCGGGGTCCCTCTTCCCCTGTGTGGCACCCCCAAAGGCTGGCTCAGGGTCGGTCAGCCTTTCAGAGAAGAGCGCTCCCTGCATAGTCCTGCTGCTGAGGCCACGTCATCTCCTGCGAGGGGCGTTGCTAAGGCCAGTGGGTTCTTTCAGCAAACCCACCCTGGCTCCTGCTGCCTCAGGACCAGTGACACGGGCCCAGCCCTGCCCACAGCAATCCCCCTTGAGGTCACGAATGCGGCTCAGGAGGCCCAAGTGTGCACAGTGAGCTCACACCCACTTCCAGCCAACAACCCTCTTGCCTGGTGAAACTTCCCTGGGCTGCCGGACCTGCGAAATCCCAAAATGCCAAACATTCCCGCCTCACATGATCCCAGAGAGAGGGGACCCAGTGTTCCCAGCTTGCAGCTGAGGAGCCCAAGGTTGCCGTCAGATCAGAGCCCCAGTTGCCCGGTCTGCCGCAGCTCTGCTAGATACGACGGGGTCAACAGGGCCCAAAGCCCTCATGCAGCCCGGCCCCGCCCCATGCTGGGGGTTCATACGGTGACCTCTTTCCCTTCCTTGACGGAGGCTCTTCGCTGGACAGTAGACAGGCAATGCCCAGAGTCTTCTGGCCTACGTGGCCTCCTGGCCTGGAGACGCTGTGCCTGGTCGGGGACCTGGTCTGGTGGGGTTTTCTCTCAGCTGTGTGCTCCCCCAGGCCTGATGGAGCCCAGCCTCCCGGGCACTGACAATCAGGTTAAAAGAAAGCACCAATGGGCGGCAGGGTGCAGTGCCTCTTCGCCACCAAGACTTCACCCGTTCACTGACCTCCTCTTCCTCCTGTTCCTGGGAGCCACCATGAGTCCAAGCACTGCCGGATGGTGCAGAGAACAGCAGCCCAAGTCTAGTGTGCTGACCGGCGGCAGCCTGCGCTGCGGCTGAGGATGAAATCACCGTGTTCGAATCCCAGCTCTGAGGGCCAGCCGGAGTGGCCCAGATGTTTCCACTCAGGGTTTGGCAAAGGCACCGCCAGGAGGAGGACAAGAGCGGAGAAAGGCGACTGCCTGAGTGCGGCGGGAAGTTGGGAGCTGCTGCCCTTCAGACAGCTGCCGTTGGAGCTCCCCGAGGGTTCCTTTGGATCAGCCCTGGCCCGAGACCTTTCCAGGGAGGCAGGCTCCTAGTGGCTCTTCTGAGCACCCATCGTTTGTAACCACAGAACCAGGGCACAGAGCCCAGGGGACAGAGTTGTGTGCTGCCCGAGGAAACAAGGATCTGTAGGCTGAAGCAGCTCTCGGGCATGCCGCCGCCACGGAGGGTCCCCGGAGAACAGGAGCCTTCAGGGTTTGGTGGTGTCTGTGGAAGGAGTTCCTAGGTGGCCAGAATTCAGAAAGACAGCACGAGGGGTCGAGGCTGCCCCAGGAACCCTCAACCCACCCTGTATCAGTGTGAATTTACAGGAGTGCCACAGGTTTGAAGCAGCCCAACTTTAATGCTTTAAACTCAGTGATTCATTGGTGGAAATCTTGTCTCACTCCATGAGGATTTGAGGTGGTTCTCGGGAAACTGTACAGTGAAGAATTAAAGTGAGAAGACACTAGGAAAACCCTGAGCCAGATGCTCGGGAACTGGAGCATGGAGATGGTTACACAACCTTGGGAATCTACTCAATGCCCCCGAACTGCACAGAGCAAAGTGGTTAAAGTGGTACATTTTATGTATTCTCCTGCAATAAAAAGACAAAAAAAAGCAAAACCAAAACAAAACAAGAAAACAACTCTGGGCTGGGGAAAATTCCAACTAGAGCGGGGAGAAGGAGAAGACAGAGCCGGGCCCAAGTCCTCCCAGCTGGTGGGGTGGAGCTGTGGCTCGCGGCCCCCTCTTCTGCCTGCAGCCAAAGGGAAAAGAAAACTGTCCATTTGCCGTCATTCTGAAAAGATAAATTGACCTGCTACGTGCCAGGCCCTGTGCTGGAGGCATGACACTGATGATGAAACCAAAACAGTCCCACCCTCAGGGAGCCCCCGCTGTGGGGAGCCCCCGTACACTTGTCCCTCTTCATGGGGACAGCAATGTGAGTTCCTCCAGGTGGAAGTCCGTTTTCAGGCAGTGAGTCTCCAAGAGATTTCACACAACCTTGTGGGGAACGGGGCTGTGGGACCATGCATGGCCCAGACGGGGCCCTAGAAACAAGCTAAGAAGAGAGACCTGGTGGTCCGGCGGTGGAACTGGGACAATGGAGTGGAACGTCCAACCATGCCAGGAGGTGAGTCACTGAGTGAAAGGGTGGAAGGCCCAGGGTGATGGAGAGGGGACATCAGATGGCAGCAGCAGAGGTTCCCGAAGCTTTCTGGAGCCAGGGAAGGTCTGTGTGTGCAGGAAGGGTGATGAGGGCTGGAGGCTGCCGGGCTCTCTGGGAGGGAGGGGCTGAGCTGCTCAGGGGAAGAACATCCGGGAAGCCCAGCTTGAGAATCGGAGCCGCCTGTAATCCCAGCACTTTGGGAGGCCGAGGTGGGTGGATTATGAGGTCAGGAGATCGAGACCATCCTAGCTAACACAGTGAAACCCCGTCTCTACTAAAAATACAAAAAATTAGCCAGGCGTGGTGGCGGGTTCCTGTAGTCCCAGCTACTAAGGAGGCTGAGGCAGGAGAATAGCATGAACCTGGGAGGCGGAGCTTGCAGTGAGCTGAGATTGCGCCACTGCACTCCAGCCTGGCCGACAGTGTGAGACTCCGTCTCAAAAAAAAAAAAAAAAAGAATCGGAGCCTCTCCCATGGGCAGGCCCCGTGGGGAAAGGGCCACATGCAGAGATGCATTGCAGAAGGTCTCAGAAGACCAAGGCTCGTTGGGAGCAGGGTTTGGGGACTTCCCTTGGGGATAGGAGGAACCACCAGCAAGTGCAGGAGGCTTCACGTAGGCATCTAGCTTGTGAGGAAGGAGCAACTGATGAGCGGATACATGTGCCTCCTCACTTGGCATCATGTTTTCCATGTCATTCTTATTGAAGCATGAATCAGAGCTCCATTCCTCTTCATGGCTGAGTAATACTCCATCAAATGGGTGGAATACATTTTATTTATCCATTCGTCAATCATCTTAGGAGGAAGCGTCCCCATTCTGTGCATAAGGAAGAGATTGAATAACTCACTGATGGCTTCACACTGCTGCATGGTGGAGCTGGGATTTGAGCCCTCCTCTGTCCAAGTCAAAGCCTTTGTCCTGTGATGAGGCTCTAGTGGAAATCGCCCAAACACCTAGAAGATCTGGACAAATTGCAACAAACATCCCCTCAAAGGCATAAATGATTGCAGAAAAAAATAACCTTTCTGAGAGGGAGGGTGAGGAAGCAGGCATTGAAAACCAAGCAGAGCGTGACCCATGAGCCCTTGGGACTCCTTGGGATCATTGCCGAAACCAGCTCCTGGAATTAGAGATGGGGGCAAGGTCTGGGCCAGTAGTGCGTGGAGAGTCAGGTCTCCGATGAAAGAGGAGGTTGGATCTCTGGAAGGGTGACAGCCCTGGGGAAAGAGTGGTCTGTTTTCTGGGACAGTTTTGTTGAGATACAATTCACATCCCAGGCAACCCACCCACTGAAGGTGTCCCCAGTCTATGATTTTTACCATATTCACAAGGTTGTGCAACCAGCACCTCAACATAATCTTAGAACATCTTCATCCCTTCGAGAGGAAACCCCATTCACATTCTCCTGACTCCTTCCCTCAGCAGTCATGAATCTACTTTTGGTCTCCATGGATTTGCCAATTCTGGGCATTTCATATAATGGGAATCAGGCAGTATGTGGCCTTTTGTGTCTGTCTGCTTTCACTCAGTGTCATGCTCTCAAGGTTCATTCTTGTTGTAGCATGGATCAGTACTCTGGGCCTTTTGATGGCTAATACTCCATTGTATGGGTGTAATACATTTTATTTATCCATTCATCAATTGGTGAACATGGGGGTTATTTTCACTTTTTGGCAGCTACAAATAATGCTTCCATGAACACCCATGTGCAAATTTTTGTGTGAATGGACATTTTCATTTCAGAAGTTGAATTTCTTGATTATGTGTTAACTCTATGTTTAATTCTGTGAGGAACTGCCAGACTGTTCTCTCACAGTGGCTGCGTTATTTTACATTCCCTCCAGCAGTCTATACAAGTTCTGATTCCTTTACCCGCTCACCAACACTGGTTATCATCTGTCTTTTCTGTAACAGCCATCCCAGTGGGTGTGAAGAGGTATCTCATTGTTGTTTTGATTTGCATTTCCCTGACAGTGAATGACGTTGAGCATCTCTTCATGTGCTTGCTGGCCATTTGCAAATCTCCTGAATAGACATTCAGATCCTTTTCCCTTTTAAAAATTACATTATTTGTCTTTTTATTATTGTGGTTGAAGAGTTCTTTCTATATTTTGAATATACAAGTCCTTAATCAGGAATGTCATTTGCAATGATTTTCTCCTATTTTGTGGGTTATCTTTTCATTTTCGTGACATCATTATTTACAGCATGGAGTTTTAAATTTTGATGTGGTCCAGTTTATGTCTCTCTAGTTTTTGTCATCGTGCTGATCTACTTTATTTTTGGGACAGGGTCTTATTGTATTGCCCAGGCTGGTCTGAAATTCCTGGGCTCAAGTGACCTTCCCACCTTAGCCACCCAATAAGCTAGGATTACAGGAATGGGCTGCAGAACCTGGCTGTGACCTCCTTTTGTTATTTTTTTTAACCTTTTTGCTCTGTCTCTGAGAATTCATAACCATACATCTTCTCTCATATGAATTCAGTGTTCAAATTTGTACCAACTATATAGTTTATGAAACTCTTAACTTGGGGATGAAGTTAAAAATGTTTAAGATGATTGCAGATGCATACAAGTGCAGGTGCACGCTATACAGTTCCCTCTGTTTTCCCCAAGATTAATACCAGCCAAAAATTAACTCACAATCCAAAATTAGAGACCATGGATGGAGGCAAACCAGCTCAGGCATAAGTCAGCAGAGAAAACAACAGCAGTGCTCAAGCCTTATGGATTTCAGATATTGATAGTATCAGATATAAAACACACTGATAAGTGTGTTTAAAGAAATAAAGAATTAAATCAAACATGAGAAAATATCAACAGTCATGAGTAATTTTTTCAAAAATAATCCAAATAGGCCTTTAGAAATAGAAAATAGAAGCATTCAATTGAAAACTTATTGGATGGGCCTAAAAGAAGATTAGATACCACTGAGGGGGAATTAGTGAACTAGAAGATATAGCCAAAAATTATTCAGAAAATAGTGGAGAGAGACAGCACAGAAAATATAGAAGAGGGATTGAGAGACATTTCAGAAGATGTCTTAGTTATTTATTGCTGCATAACAAATTACCTCCGAAATTAAGGTTCAAAACAACAGCAATCACTTCTCATTTCTCACTGTTTCTGTGCATAAGGAACTGAGAATCTCGGTTGGGCTGTGCTTGGGGTCTCATAAGGTTGAAGGTAGTTGATGGCTGGGGCTGCCATTATCTGAAAGCTCAACTGGGGCTAAGGATCCACTCACATGGCAGGAAAATTGTTGTAGGTTGCTTGCCAGGGCTCTTAATTCCTTTCCACCTGGGCCTCTTCATGCACTGCTTGGGTGTCCTCAGAGTGGCAGGGAGGCATGGTGCCCAGCTTCCTTAAAGTGAGAGATTCAAGTGGGTGTGTTTGTGTGGAGGGGGGAAGCTGCAAGGGTTTTTCAGATCCAGTCTTGGATGTCACACACTGTCACTCCTGCCACACTGTGTTGGTCATACAGGTCAGCTCTGATTCTGGTGTGAGGGTCCCCCCATCATGGAGGCCAGCTACCATAGAAAGAGAGAAGGGGGAAGATGGATACAGCAGTAATTAAAGCAATGGTAGCTGAGAGTTTTCTGTAACTGATGAAAGACATGCATCCTCAGATTCAAGAAGCCCCATCAAGGCAAGCTGGGTATTTACTATGTGACATTTAGACATATAGTAAATATGTGCTAAAAGCAAAGAGAAGATCCTGTAAGCAACCATACAAAAGACAGATTCCCTATCAGAGAGCATGTAGGCTGCCAGCCAATTTCCAACAACAACAAAAAAAGCCCCAAACAAAAACAAAGCCCCAAACAATTAGAAAATATTTTCAAAGTGCTCCAAAAGAACTGTTAACTTCAATTCTGTACCAGATAAATGTCATTGAAATCATGGTGGATAAGGAAAATTTCAGACAAACTAAAGCTGAGCTAGATCCTCCTCACAGACCCACTCTAAAACAACTTGTAAATAATATAAATCAAGAGGAAAGAAAATGATTCCAGAAGGGAGAATGAGATGCCAGAAGGAGTGACATGTGAAAGAATCATTTAGATTTACTCACACATTCATCCAAGGCCGACTGAGTAAGTACTCTTGGGAAGTCAGCAGGGAAGTGGGGAGTAGAACAGAAAGGGAGGTGGCCAAGGGGGAGGCTCTCAGCAAAGCCCGAAGAGTGAAGAGCAGGGCTTCGGCCTGGCTGTTACCCCACTCCGGGGAGGGGCTGGGTTTTTATGCTTCCCACCCTCAGGCCTGGTCAAGAGTAGGTGGAGGGCAGCCACCGTTCCCTCTGATTCTTCCAGCCTATGGGAAAAAATGCGCTGCAATATCCCAAGGGCAAAAAATAAAAATATAAATAAATAAAAAGACCTAGAATTGCTGCTCTTGGAAGCAAAAGTCCACTGACGCCAGAGGGTGCTCAAGAAATGGTATAAAGCGGAGGCCACACATCAGCCTTGTCTACTTTGACTGCATTAAATAATATCCAATTTGAAAGATTAAAAAAAAGAACTAAAATATCAGCCACAGCTAACAGGAGAGGATTTGGTGGCAGTTAAAGTGTCTTGCGTTTCTTTTACTGTTTAAGAGAAAGGTAGAGAAATCAATTTCAGGCTTAGGTATGCATGTCAAAATGGTGAGGACAACGGCTAAACATAAACCGAAATAGAATGGTTTACTGCCAAACAGCAGAGGGGAAAAACAGAATGAAATTGACAGGCTGGAAAAACATATGAAACCCAGGTATGTGCTGTTTTTGGAAGAAGGTTCTCATAAGGAAAGAGAATCAAGGCAGGACCCAGGTCTGTTATGGGGAGCCTTGGGTCACCCTGCCAGCCGAGGCCGTGGCAGAGGACAAGAGGAACGCAGAACCTGCATTGGGAGAAAGGAGCTAGGAGTGCTGACCTGGGTGCGAGGCCAGCTCCGGAAGCGGGATGGCGGCAGCTCTGCTCCTGTCATTTCCTTCCCGCCTCTGCTCTTTCCACTCCGCTGATGTGAAGAGCCTTGGTGGTAGCTGATCTGTCACATCTCACGAGGAGCCATGTCCAGACACCACCCATGATGACATGGTAGCACGTGGAGGACAGCAAGTTTTCAGCCAGAGGAAGGACACGAGTACATGGAGGTTGAGGGGCAAAAGGGGTGGAATGTATTGGGTGTATTTTTTTTCTTTTTTTAAAATGGCTTTATTGAGATTTATTTTATATACCAAACAACTCACCCATTTAAAGTGTATGATTCAATGTTTTTTGGTATGTTATTATTTTTAAAAATTGTGGTAAAATATATAAAACATACAATTTGTGGCCGGGGCCATGGCTTACGCCTGTTATCCCAATGCTTTTGGAGGCGAAAGTGGGAAGATCGCTTAAGCATTCCAGGAGTTTGAGACCAGCCTGGGCAACATAGTGAGACCCTGTCTCTACAAAAAAATTAAAAAATTAGCTGGGTGTGGTGGCACAGGCCTGTAGTCCCAGCTACTAGGGAGGCTGAGGCGGGAGGATGGCTGGAGCCCAGGACACTGAAGCCGCAGTGAGCCGCGATTGCACCGCTGTATCCAGCCTGGGTGGCGGAGTGAGACCCTTCCTCAAACAACAACAAGAACAATGACAAAAACCCAAAATAACCTTTGCCATTTCAACCATCTTAAGTATATAATTCAGTGGCATTAATTACATTGGCAATGTGTAACCACCACTATCTGTTTTCCGAATGTCATGAACCCAAAGAGAAACTACACCCACTAAGTAGTTAACTCCCCATTCTTCCCTCTTCCAACCCTGGTAACCTCTAATCTACTTTCTGTCTCTGTGAATTTGCCTATTTTAGATATTCCATAGAAATAGAATTATAGGCTGGATGCGGTGGCTCATGCTCGTAATCCCAGCACTTTGGGAGGCTGAGGCAGGCGGATCATTTGAGGTCAGGAGTTTGAGACCAGCCTGGCCAACATGGTGAAACCCCATCTCTACTAAAAAACATAAAAATTAGCCAGGCATGGTGGTGTGTGCCTGTA
Organism: Homo sapiens; assembly: GCF_000001405.40. NCBI lineage: Eukaryota > Metazoa > Chordata > Mammalia > Primates > Hominidae > Homo > Homo sapiens. The sequence continues at coordinate 134,533,347 of NC_000009.12, forward strand.
ATCTCTGCTACTGGGGAGGCTGAGGCATGAGAATCGCTTGGATCTAGGAGGTGGAGGTTGCCTTCAGCAGAAATTGTACCACTGCACTGGGTGACAGAGTGAGACTTCATCCCTGCTCCCACCTCTGCAAAAAAAGAAATAGAATTACATAGTGTGTGGTGTGGTGTTTTTCATCGGCTTATTCATGTCGTAGCAGGAATCAGAACCCCATTCCTTTTTATGACCACATAATATTCCACTGTATGGAACGAACACAGTTTGTGTATCCATTCGCCTGTCCCACTTGGGTGGTTGGTGTATTTTGGGGATTGGAAATAGGGCTGCTGGGAGCCTGTGTGTGGATTCACTCGAGCCCCTGTTTCCAATTCCACTGGGACTATGTCTGGAGTATCATTGCTGGGTTACCTGGTAGTTCTGTTTAGCTTTTTGAGGCGCCACTGCAGTGTTTCCAACGGCACATGATGCATTTGCCGGTGGGTCTGTTTGGCCCCTCCATACCCACCCTCCACCTTTCTCGGCTCTGCTCTGTAACCGGACGTGGTCCTGGGTAGACAGTGCCAAAGGCCCCCTTCCCCTCCAATTCCAGGTTAGGCTCAGCCGGCGGGCGGGGTGACAGGAGGGAAGGCAGGGTGGGCGTTCCCAGGGCCCTCCCTGTGAGGTTGTCTCAGGGTGGCCGTGCAGCTGCATGGAGGTGGCAGCTCTCCCAAGGTGTGACTCCATGGGGATCGGAAGTGCTGCCTCCCTCCTCCCTGGGCCTGCGGTGAGAGCCCTGTGACCACACTCTCCTGGGGCTCCCTTCACCCACACTATTGCAAACACTCCCTTTGTAAATCAGCGGTCCCTGAATCATCTGGGCTGGAGTGAGTCCCCCATTTCCTGTTGAAATCAGCCCCCAGCCCCCGTGTGCTCTGGACTGGATGTGCCTTCGAGGCTGGAGGGGCAGGAGCTCCCCTCCTCGTAATCCCCAAGCCGAATGCCCAGCAGGACGCAGAGGTCAGTAGGGATATTTTGGACGCACGAAAGAATGGCCTCACTGTTTCGATAGTTGCTCACATATTCTAAGCACGTCGGAAACGCGGAGCTTCTGGCCTCGGGCCTGAGTGGAGAAAAGACCGGCTTCCCCGAGGGCTCTCTCGTCTATCAAAGGGAATCAAACTGACAGCTAGGTGCTGGGGACAGCCTCATGAAGAGGAGGAAGTTCACTCGGCAGAGGACCAGTGAAGGCTCTGCACTCTGGGAAGAACGAGGTCGTGGCTCAGCCCCACCTCGGGCTTACCTGGGCAGGTGACTTCGGCTGCCCGCCTGGGAGTGGGATATTCTTAGCTTCATGTGATGACCCTGTAAATAGGGTGCTTGTGGGGATGAAAGAGCTTCCTGCTCATGTAGGGCCAGGTAAGGGGACTTGAGGGACCCGCGAAGAGCCTGATGGTGCCCCGGGTGTGTGGGTGGCGGATCCCAGCTGCGTGGAGCCCCGGCTTGCACTCAGCATAGAGCACAGATGCACAAGAACTATTTGCTGAATAAACAAATAACAGAACATGGTAGTCCAGAGAAACCCTTGTTTATATAACAGGAAGACAGAAGAGAATGTTTATAGGAATATGGCTTATAAAGCCAACAAAACGGACACAGCTCAGAGGCTCATCAACAGGTGGCTGGACAAAAGAATGGGGCTGTATCCACGTGGTAGAATATTACACGGCAGTTAGGTGCGCGGATAATGGCTCCGTGTGCCCCCAGGCGCACCTTGCCATGGATGAATATCAAATATGATTGAGGGAGAAAAGTCAGGGAAAGAAATATATGTATATTCAATTTCATACATTTCACAAATGCTATACCTACTGCTGCCGTAACAAATCGCCGTGAATTTAAAACGTGTAGTTTAAAACAACACATATTGATTATCTTATGGCTCTGGAAGTCAGAAGTCCAGCATTGGTCTCACTGGTCTAGAATCCAGGTGTGGGCAGGGCTCTGGAGAGCAGTCCCCCTCCAGCACCTATGGGCCACCTGCGGTCCTCGGCTCTTGGCCCCACCCTTCGTCGTCAAGGCCAGCAGCATCTTCTCTCCCCGACCTTGGTCTCCATCCTCACATCTTCTCTCTCTGACTCTGACCCCCCTGCCTCCCTGTTGTAAGGACCTGATTAATTACACTGGACTCACTGCCCCACTACATCTGCAAAATCAGGTGACATATTCCCAGTTCCAGGAACTGGGACACCTTTGGAGGCCACCATTCTGTCTACTGCACAGATGAATGACAAACATGCACCCAGGAGAATGGGGGTCTCTGGGGAGGGCAGATGGGATAGGGGAGACATACAGAGGCACGTCTTCGGGGCTGGACAGCTTTATTATCACTGTTGAATTAAGAAACAGGGGTAGCAGTTTCTGCACCCACCCCTGTCAGGGACCCTCTCCAACAGCCCAGCCCCCAGTGGCTGCATCTCTGTGTCCCTGGCACACCTCACCATCATGATGGGGCTGGAGGTGGACATTGGTGAATACATATCCCAACTCCCTACCCCTGAGAGGGAGGGGAATTCTGGGCCCTTTTTCCAGAGCATCACCGTAGGGTTCCCCATCACCCTCCCTGGGAACTGGCTTCACATAATGTAAAGATAACCATTTTAAAGTAAGCAGTTCCATGGCATTTAGTACCTTCATGATGTGAGGCAGCCACCACCTCTGTCCGGTTCTAAAACATTTGCATCACTCCAAAGAGAACTTTGTACCATGTCCCATCACCCCCCTCCAGCCCTTGATGACTGTGGATCTGCTATCACCGCCGTTATTCCCCCTCCAGCCCCCAGCCCCTGGTGACTGTGGGTCTGCCATCACCGCCGTTATTCCCCCTCCAGCCCCCCAGCCCCTGGTGACTGTGGGTCTGCTACCACCCCCGTCATTCCCCCTCCAGCGCCCAGCCTCTGGTGACCGCAGATCTGCCTTCTGTCTTGGAGGATTTGCCCGTTCTGGACATTTCATGGAGATGAATCACACAACATGTGGGCTCGGGTCTGGCTTCTTTTCTGAGGCTCTGCCGTGTGGTCGTCTGTGTGAGAGCTCTGCTCCCTTGCATGGCTGAGGAACATCCCATTGTCCGGATAGACCACCGCGTGTGGACCCTCCTCTGCTGAGGGGTATCTGGGCTGCTTCCACCTTTGGCTTCTGTGAATTGTGCTCTAGGAACCTCGGTGAACACACACTTGTTGGAGTCCCTGTCTTCAGTTCTTCCAGGCACACACCTGGCTGTGGAGCTGCACGTGCTCTCTCGATGGCTACCCCCCTCCCCGGTGGCCCCTCTCCCCCCAGCATTCTCTCCATCCTTGGGTCCTTGTGTCAGGGGTTGCTTCTGGGGAAACGGAAATGTCACAGAAACTTAACAAACGTGAGATCTGTTAGTTCTGGTTCTGAGTCACCTTCTCTAAACCTGTGCTGTGCAATGTGGAAGCCACGGTCCGTACTTGGCTGTTTCAATGCAGGTGAATTTAAAAAGATGGACTTTAGATGCAGGTCCAGAGGCACAGTGGCCCCATTTCAAGTGGCCAGTGGCTACCGAATGGGACAGGGCCGATATAGGACGTGCCCATCATCGGGAAAGTTCCACTGGACAGTGCTGCTCTATATTTTTGGGAAATATTTTGTACTTAAAAACGTGCCCCAAAGAACCCCAAAGTGAACAACGAAAACAAGCCATTTTGGAGCATGAGAGTGGCACGGGTGCAGCAGGGGCAGAATCGGTGGGGCCAGGATCAGCGGGGGCAGGATCCGCAGGGGGTGCCGGCGGTGCTGGCTTGAACGAGCTGACTCCGAGCCCTTGAAGCTAGGGCTCAGCCTCTCAATCTGGAATGTGGCCCCTACAGAGCTGGGTGGGTCTGGGGACATGGATGAGGCTGTCCCAGGTGGGGCAGGTCAAGGCACTGCTTAGAGCAGGGTTCAAAGCTGGGGCGTGCAGACCCAGGAGGCCGTAGGGTCTGTAAAGCACCCAGAGGCCGGTACAGCTCCAAGCCCCAGGGTGCCTGGGGAGGGCAGGCAGGGCCAGGCAGGGGCAGACCCTGAGTGGGGGCTATGTGCCCCCTCCCATCTTCCAGGAGCAGAGCACGTGCTGGAGCAGGAGTAGTGGGGGCCACCCTCTCCATAGAGCAGGTCTCAGGCCAACCAGCTGGGCAACTGGACAGGCCCAAAAGGCCCCTGGGTCTCAGTTTCCTTGTGTCTGAAATAAGCAGGGTCTCTGGTCTCCTACAGGGCCAGGGCACTCTCTTCCTCCTGGCTGAGCCTCTGGTGCATTTGCTGAATTTTGCCAGCACCTCGGAAGGACTTACCACATGCCATGACCCTTTCTGAACACTACAGAGTTTAGCTCATTGAATCGGTATGGCAACCCCATAGGGGGAATGGTCTTGTGAATCTCACTTTACAGATGAGGAAACCGAGGCAGGGAGGATAGGCAACCTCACCAAGGTCACACGGTCAGTTGGGGTCTGGGGGTCTGGCTGGGAGTCTGTGCACCTTACCACCAGGCCTCATGATCTGTCGATCTGTCCAGAGAGACTCAGGTCCCTGGGCTACTAGCTAGGGGTCACCTGCACTTTGGCTGGAGGCAACATCTTAAAGTAAAGGAAGAGCTTAGAGCCCTCAACCTCTGTCGCCCTGCCCGGCCGGCTGCCCCCACAGCCTGACGCCCGCCGAGATGCAGCAGCCTCCGCACTCTGCTCGTGTGGGACTGCACCAGGCAGCTCTCTTTGTGTCCAGGATCCCAGCAGCCCAGGCCGCATGACCTCATCCCCGTCCACACCCCGGGCCTCACACTAAAAGTGACCCTGCTAGCTTATTGTTTATTGGAGGTTTTGTGGAAACCTGAAGAAAATAAAAAAAACTACGAACTTTTGGAGTTGGGCAGAGTCTGTCTCCCTCCAAACACAGCATTGTTGCTGCATGTTTGAAGGTTCCTCCTCCCTGTGCCACGTGGACGGCAGCGACCTTCTCCCTGGGACGGACGTTCAGAGGAGGGAAGCGATGTCCAGCCCTTGGAGGGGCCTGGCTGTCCTTTGTGGGGTTCTGAGTTCTTCCCCCTTTGTGACTCTTAGAGCTGCTCTAAGCTGGGTTCTCACTCCAAGAAAGCAATCGGGGTTTTTCCATCGGCTTGCTCCTGTCCCCTTGGGTGCCAGAATTGTAAGCTGGAGATGATTAAACAGAAAGTGTGGGAATCCATAAAAACAAGGGTGCCAGGTACTGCAGAGGACCCACTCTGCACTCGGCCTTCCTTCCCCAGGTCTCCCAAGGCTGACCATGTGGAAATTAAAACATCATCTTCCAGGAAATTAATGAAAACCGAATTTATGAGGCAGCTGTTCTCGGATGTGAACTTTCTTAAAGGACCAGTGGGCCCAGGGGTGAGGTGCGGAGCAGCCCCCTCCCCGACCCTGTTGCTGCCATCAACCCGCCGCTCAGCAGAGCCTTCTATTTGGAAATGAACCCACAAAAGGCCTCTGGGTACCAGGGCCCTGAGCATGCGCCACGCTGGGGTGGATAGAGAGGCCGTCACTTGGTCCCTGGATTCATTCTCCTAGGACAGGGACATCCACAGGGGCTGGCCTTTCCATGCATGTGGGGCATGCGGTGCTGATGCACTGTTGGGGTTGCTCTGATGTGCCAAGGCCCCTCCCGGGCCCCACAGCCATTGCTTCATTTGTAATCCAAGTCGCTAAATGCAAATCAGCCAGCACGGTTTTGGCACCACTTCTCCGTCAGTGAGCTGAAGCGGGGTGGACTACATTTCTAAGATTCCATATTTATAGTGGCTGCCATTGTAACAGACTTAGCAGTGGGCTAAGCATTTCATAAGCACAATTTTATTCTGTCCTTGCAAGAATCTGTGGAATGGGCTCTGTTGCGTTCACCTCCAGTTTACGGAAGGAAAAACCGAGGATCAGAGAGGGGAGGTGACTTTCCCAAAGCAGCCCAGCCAGCTTGTCCAGACTCCTGTCCACTGTGCTCCACTCGGTTCAGGAGTTTCAGAGGTGCATGCCAACGCCGGGCAGACAGGACTAGAATAAAACCCACGCGTGGATGCTGCTTCCCTGCCCGAATCATGGCATCTCACAAGCCCAAAAGTAGGCCCTGGAGGGCAGGAGCGGGCAAGCGCATTCCCTGGGCTTATCATGATCCAGAGGAAGGTGGGATGTTTTGCCAAAAGCGTGCCCTCTGTCCACACAGAGAACTCATCTCAACTCCTGGGCTGAACTGAGGAGCGAAAGGTATTTTCCATATTGTGTTAAAGTCATCTGTATGGGAGGCGTGCAGATGGAAATAAAATATTTACCATTTGGAACAAAATTTCAACTGGAGCAAAAAGCACTCTAAGCAAAGGATGTGGGGGGAGAGGGGAAGATTTCAGACACAAACAGCTGCTGCCCAGCTGTGGCCGAGGGAGAAGGATGGGAACTGTTGTTGGGGACTTGGTCCTGAGGCTGGGGCCAGGGGTGTGCTTTCCTCCTCCGGGAGTGCTGGGCTTCTTCTGGGACCTCTCCTGGGGGCACCTCAGCTTGGGGGTGCTGCCTGGGTGCCCTCCCCTGCCCTTTGCTCAGCACTGTGTGCCAGGCCAAGGAGGCCCCGACCTCGGACGCTTTCCCAGCCCTTTCATGGACGTCCCCCTCTTCCACCTCCCTACCCAGCCCATCTGCTCGCGTGTCCTACCTCCTCCCTGTCCCACAGGGAACTTCACTGTCACCCCATGGTCCTGCCGTGGCCAGCTGTCCTCTGAGCACCTTACCTGGACACCCCACAGAGATGCCCCAAGAGACCTGGGGGAGCCCAGAAGGTGCAGCTGGAAGGAACCATGAGACCTGGTCAGTTAGGGAAACTGAGGACTGGGTGGGAAGGGAGCTTTCTAAGGTGACTTGGGGAGTGAATGGCCGAGTGCAGGCGTCCCCTGAAAGGCTGACACGCTCCTACGCCACCATCTCTCACCGACTTCGAGGTTGTGTTTCTAGAGGGGTGGTCAATGTCAATGCACAAGATGGTCTTGGCTGCGCCGGGAATAACTACAGACAGTTATTTCCTTATCAAGGGAGCGGCCTTCCCACCCCCATGCTGCAAACACACACTTGCTGGCTCCCTGGAGTTGGCTGTGGGTCTCTCCTGAGAGGAGGGTCCCACCTGGCAGTGGGAAGGGTGAAGCAGTTGTTAGGAGACAGAGCCCCAGGGCCCTGAGGCTTTGGGCCTGGACACTCCTGTGGAGGCCTCCAGAGTGGCCCCTGGAGACACCCCCTTCCCATGTGCTTGAGGGCCCTGTGGATGGTCCAAGGCTGGCACCAGGGAAGGAACCTGGAACTTCCTGGGTGAGAAAACCCAAAACCATGGATGTGTGAGGCATCTACTCCTGCCTTCTTTGTAGCTGCTGGGGGCTGAGGCCATGACATCCCCAGGCCCTGACCTCCAGAGTGACCTCCACGCTGCCTGGGGAGGCACCAGAGTCATCGTTTCAGCGACCCCGGGACCTACCTTCTCAACTGTGGGACAATCCCCCTATTGATTCTCTGGTTCAACGAGAGGGAAAAATCCTCCTGAACCTCCGCCAAGGGTGTGGGGAGCTGGTCTGGACCAGTTCCAGAGCCGGAACCCAGAGGAGGGGGAACACTCCCAACTTTTACGGCTGGCTTCAAATCACTTCCTGGAAATGGCCGAGTGCGGTCTGTAGCCCCCCTGGCCTCGTTGGAGAGCAATGTTCCGTGCAGGGGAGGAGGGTCACACTTGTCACAGGCCGCCTGGCCAACGCGGCCTTAGGCTCAACAGTCCAGAGGGGCTGCGGCTTTGCAGGGGAGGAAAAGGCCCCTCGTCTGGAATCCACGGAGCCCCTGGGCAATCGTGTATTAATGATCCTTTTCGGGATGCTGGGATCTGCCTGCGGCATCCTCCTGGGACAGCGACGGTCTCAGGACACAGCAGAGTCATCAGATCCGCCTGGTGGTTACAGCACTGCAACCCCGCATCGGGTCCACCCTACAATTTGCTGTTAGAGTGCTTAGCGAAGCAGGATCAACCTCAAACTTTTTGGGAGGGAGATCTAAGTCCTTTCAAGAAACGAACCACTACCCAGAGCACCCTGTGCCCACCATGATGACAGCAGCACTAGGCAGGGATTGGACACACACTGCACGCCAGGCTCTGTATCACGAGGCTCACACCCCTCCTTCACTGTGCCCCACGACGACTGGCGAGAAGGCGGGACTGCTGTGTGACCTTGGGCAGTTATTGAACCTCTCTGTGCCTCTGTTTCCTCGTCTGTGTCATGAGGATGAGGAGGGTACCTACTTCACAGGTGGCTGTGAGGATCAAGTTAATGTTCCCAGAGGACCTGGAGCATTGCTCACTGTTCGAGCCCTAAGTGTCTGAGCAACATCGCGTGTTTTAAGCAACGGGGTGGTGGCCATTCTCCTGGGTACATCTTGGCTGACTCCGTAAAAAGATGAAATAAAGATGAAATCCACTGCCGTAGAGATTCTAATGCTGAGGGTGCAGGGTATACGCAGTTTAGATACCGATTTGTGACCACACTGGCCCGGCAGCCAGCGCCCCCGTGGCATCACACCAGAGCACGAGGGTCACCTCTTCTCCAGTACACCAATGCCAGGTATTGAAAACTTCTTAACTGTTGCCAGGAGAATGGGTCAAAAATAATTCAAGTTGGTGTTTTAGTGTGTTCTCACACTGCTGATAAAGACATGCCCAAGACTGGGTAATTTATACAGGAAAGAGGTTTAATGGACTCACAATTCCACATGGCTGGGGAGGCCTCACAGTCATGGCAGAAGGCAAAGGAGGAGCAACGTCATGTCTTACATGGCAGCAGGCAAGAGAGAGAGCCTGTGCAGGGGAACTCCCATTTATAAAACCATCAGATCTTGTGAGATTTATTCACCACTACAAGAATAGTATGGGGGAAACTGCCTCCGTGATTCGTTATCTTTACCTTGACACATGGGGATATCGAGGTGAGATTTAGGTGGGGACACAGCCAAGCCATATCAATTGGGTTTGCGTCTCGCAATACACATAGCCTAGTTGTTTTCCCTTCCTTTGAATTGTCTGCTTCCTGTCCACTGTCTGTTTCTCCCACTGATTTGTACAAGCTCTTGTATGTTATGGAATTGAAGCCTTGCTCTATCCTGCAGCAATTTTTCTTTTTGTCCAGGTTGTCATTGTATTTGAATAATATGTGAGATGCTTACACATGTGTGTGTATGTATACACACATTCACACATGCATACATGTAGCATACATGTGTTATACAGATGTGTATACACATATGTGTGTGTGTGCGCTATACAGAACCTTCACGTTTCATGTACTCCAATCCATAGACATTTTGACATCACCTTTTTGGTGCCATCTAGAATCGTTCATGCTCCAGGATTGTATTTTAAATCCACACATGGCCTTTTCCTACTTTTTTATGTGTCATTTTTCATGTTTTAAACTCTCTCCTTCTGGAATTTGTTTTGGGGTAAGGAGGGAGGTAAGAATTCCATTCTTCCTTCAGGTTTGTTTCTCCGAATGTCAAGGCATTTGCCTCCCCACGCTTTATGGGACAGTCTGTCTTCTATCTTCAGTTTATCAGAATCTAAGATTCCACATGTCTCTCTGGACTAATTTCTGGACTCTGCTCTGTCCCATCGATGGCTCCAGTACCAAGGTGGCCTTGATACCACAAACGGCTACTTAGGCAACTTCATTACAGGATCAGAAATTTCTGGTCTGTCCTTGTAAATTAATTATTTTATTTGAAATAAAAATCATCTGTTAAGCACCCCCCTCCAGCGCTGCAGAGAATACTACTAGAGGTATTTTAATTAGCAGGATTGAATTCAACTTGTAGATAATTTTAGGAGAAAATGGCAGTTTTACCTTTTTTTTTTTTTTTTTTTTGAGATAGAGTCTCACTCGTTTGCCCAGGCTGCAATACAGTGGCACAATCTTGGCTCACTGCAACCTCCACCTCCTGGGTTCAAGAGATTCTTCCTGCCTCAGCCTCCCGAGTAGCTGGGACTACAGGTGTGCACCACCATGCCCAGCTAATATTTGTATTTTTAGTAGAGACGGGGTTTCTCCATATTGGCCAGGCTTGTTTCGAACTCCTGACCTCAAGTGATCTGCCCGCCTCGGCCTCCCAAAGTGCTGGGATTACAGGCGTGAGCCACTGTGCCTGGCCCAGTTTTACCTTTAATGAGTCTCCTATGCACCAGGAATTTCCTCTTTTTTCCATTTTTGTCTTAGGTTACTTAATAGAGTTTCTAACATTTCTTCACGTAGGCCTGTGCATTTCTTGTTAAACATCCGTAGTTATTTTGAACGTCTTGGCATTTTACAGCTGAGCTCTCTTCTTCCTTTGCACGTGCTCCAGGCTTTTGTTTCTTGGTGGGAAAGCAGCTGATTATCGTGGAAGGATTTTGAGCCAATAGCCTCTGTGGGTCGGGCATGGCTGCCCCTCCTCGCTAAGCCTGTGTGGCTTCTTCATGCCTCACATGTGGATTCTCCACCCTCTCTGTGCAGGACAGGACTTGGGCAGGGGACACAGATGTCGTAGGGGTGTTTGAAGTGCCAGGAGGGGGTGTCATGTTTTCTGTTCATTTTTTTGTTTTGTTTTTTGTTTGTTTGTTTGTTTTTTGAGATAGGGTCTCCCTTTGTCACCCACGCTGGAGTGCAATGGTGTGATCTCGGCTCACTGCAACCTCCACCTCCTGGGTTCAAGCAATTCTCCTGCCTCGGCCTCCCAAGTATCTGGGATTACAGGCGTGTGCCACTGTGCCTGGCTAATTTTTGTATTTTTAGTAGAGACAGGGGTCTCACCATATTGGCCAGGCTGGTTTCAAACTCCTGACCTCAGGTGATCTGCCCACCTTGGCCTCCTAAAGAGCTGGGATTACAGGCGTGAGCCACCGTGCCTGGCCGATGTTTTCAATCCTAGACTAGCTTTCGTCCTTTCATCCTCATAGTATTAAAAGAAAAGTAAAATCCGGAGAAGTGCAAGGGGTAGGGCTGCGCTATCCTGCGGCGCCCACTTTCACCAGCTGCAGGGAGCCGCTGGCTTGCAGTGAGAGCAGCCTTTAGTAACTAAGGTTCCTTCCTTCGGCTCACTGGAATCAGCCAGAAAATACCAGCGGCATGAGTCATACATGGGTGCCATTCATCGTCCATGGGGCAGCAAAGGAGGCCATTGTCCCACCCCAGAGTGGGCTGCCCTGGAGGTGGGGTCCTCCCGTCCCAGAGGCTCCCGGCCCTGCAGCTTTCTCTAGGGTTCGGCTCCTTGGAGGCATCTGACTTGGCAGAGATGAGTGGCCGGTCTGGCCAAGCCCCCGAGATGGTGTTGGTCCTGCCTGTCTCCCTGTTCCGCCTCTTGTCTGACCTAATCCCTGGTTCCCCTCCCCTGACAGACACCCACCTACCCTGCTTCCCACGGTTCCCCGCACGGCACAGCCCAAGCTCTCCTAGCAGATGTTCTCAGCTGGACAGGGCAGGATTGTTGCCTTCAAACAACAACAGGCTAATTTTCTTTTCTCCTTTTAAAAAGCATCCATGTGCTCATAAGCAATGGGAGTGAATGAAGAGCCAGGCCCAGCAACAGAGGGGAGCCTGCCCACATGGAGCAAAAGGAGCCGGACACCAGATTCACCCACGGCGCGATCCCGGTGACGGAGGCAGTGTGAGCAGGCAGGCGGCGGCCACTCTGGGGAAGGGAGAAGGAATGAGGGTGAGAGGGGCACAGAGGGCCTCCAGGGAGACGGTCCTATTGTGCCTCTTCTCCTGGGTGTCTGTCACCTGCATGCAAACTTTGTGATCATTCACTGAGTCACGTTTTCTTACATGTCTCCTTAAAAACAGTTCTTAAAAGCTCCAATGTGTATTTCACTAAGATTCACTTTCCTGAGTTGTGAAGTCTGAACTGGGGAACATCTGGATTTCCAGGCCTCAGGACATCACAGACCACGTTTCACATATCAACAACACGACGCAGCATCGGTCAGGGTGGAAATTGAGAATGAAAACCTTTCCCAAAGGCCGGCCCAGAAGCAGGCCATCTCTTATCCTTGAAAAGTCCCCAAAGACTAGTTTTAGCATCTGAAACTCATCTTTCCCCTCCTAAATCTGAACTTTGTGTTGCAAGGAAACCTCACGTTGCAAGCGTGTGTGTGCCTTCTCCCGAGACCCAGAGCTCAGCCTGTGTCACACAGGGAGCCCTGTGGCTGGGTGAGGCTGTGCCCTCGCCGGTGAGAGGCAGCACTCCCTCCACCGTCCATCCTGGGTTGAGATTTCATTCTGCAGGGTGAGTGGAGTGCCGAGGCGCCGTGCCCTGGTTACAGGTTCCAAACTCACAGCTGCCTTGTCAAATGTCCCTGTCTCAGGCAGGAAGACCCTATGGTTTGATCTCTGGGACCCTTGTCTGTCTAGGACCCTGCTGGGGCCACCTGTGCCTTCTCCAGGCGCCGGAAGGGCAGGAGAGCCCCGCCATCCTATTTCCCAATCCCTGGGAAGAGGTTTGGTTGATGGGGAAAACTGCAGCGTGTGCTCCTTCTGGTGAGTTCTGCATTCTTTCCTAGTGAAGTATTGCGCATGGAAAACCAGAATATATGGTCAGCATTCTTCCTATAAACGGGCGATTGTACGCTGTACAAGAATGACTGAGCAATGCCTAGGGGGTGGCCACGGTGTCCCCTCCCCATCCATGTGGTCCCAGCATGGAACTGGGTGGCTCGGTACCCGACGGACACGTGGCTGCAGACGCGCTGTCTCGCTTCCGTATTTCCAGTGGGGACCTTGCCGAAGCGTGGCTGTCGTTTACGTGACCGTCCTGTGCCTTGGTGTTTCCTTAGCCACAGGGCCCCTTTGTCACATTAATCACTTGGGGGAAGTCCTGCATGTGAAGGGGACTGAGATGGGGATGCTGGAAGCAGGGGTGCTGGCGTTGCTGCCCGGGGAAGCCTGCCCACTGCCCTGCGTCCCACCTTGGCTGCTCCCTGTCCCAGAGCAGCCTCTGAGCCTCCTCAGTGGGCTCCCGGGGGGCTGCAGAAAGCTCAGGAAGGACTGGTTTCTCACTCCTGCTGAGCCGCCTTTGAGCAGATCCGTCTCCAACCCGTCTGTATCCAGGCAGGCTCGAGTCCACATGTGAGAGCCGTTTCAGCCTGAGGCTTGCCGAGAATGTGTACATGGGATTACTTTCTCACTGGCTTTCAGCAGACTCTCAGATGTTTTCCGAAAGAAAGAAAAGTTTGGCTCTGAACCATATTGAAAATCCCAGTCAAGAATTCCACACACATGCTGAGAAGCAGTTCAGCCTTTTTCCGCGGCTAGTTGACGTGCAGTTAATTCTTCCAACAGCCCCTGAAAGGGAGTCGATGAACAGTCAATCCCCATGGGTTTTGGACAACTGATTACAATCACACTCACCATATGTTAGAATGTGCCACGCGGACATGGCCTCCTCTTGCTGGGAATGGCCTGAGCCTCCGTGGAGTGAAAACTCACAGCCCTGCCCTGAGGGGCGATGCTCCGGGGACACCTGCCCCTGTCTGCTGAGATGGGCAGCAACGGGTGACTCCTCCAATGCCCCAGGGTGGTAAGCGGGACCTGGCAAAGCACCTGGCAGCCACCACCCTCTTCTTCCAGTTATGACAGACAGAGCCGAGGCCTCCACCACGGGCCTTCTCTCCCATTACACCTGGCTAGGGGCACCATTCATGTTGGTTTGGGGTCTTGCAACCAAAGTGTCTTAAGACGGGCTCTCTGGAGTCCTTGGAAATAGAGAATTATGTATGGGTGGTTTTGGGGAAACGCTTTTGGGACCAACACCTAAAAGGGCGTGAGGGGTGCAGCACAGGGCGGAGGGAGGAGTTGAGTGGTGACGCGGTCGTGAACTCGGGCGTCAGCCCGTCCTGTGGACGGCTCTGGAGCTGGGATTCCCTTTGGAGTTGTCCTGCGTTGAGGTAAGCGGGCTGAGCCTCCGGACCGACTCCCATGCGGTTTGTCCTGAGATGTGGCTGGGCCTGGGAGCGGGCGTGACCTCACACAGTGCAGCTCCCTTGGGTGCAGGGCAGCTGGCAGAGACTCTGCTGTGATCCGCCGGCAGCTCCAGGCCCGCCTGGAGTGACAGCCTTGGTCTTGAGGGTGGCATCTTGGGCACACGAGAACATTTGCTGCAGCCTCCTCACTTCCTCGAACACTCAGTTACTCTGCGAGAGCTTCGGCTGATCTGTTTTTCTGGGGAAAGGTAACAGAAGGGTTATGGGATAAACCACGGCACCCTCCACCCTCGCCCGGTTGCAGCCAGCCTCGTCATTTCTCCCCTCAGCCACCCATTCTCAATTCCCTTCACCCCCGCCTGTTGCCTCTGCTGGTCTGGCCTTAAGCTGGGTGACCCCCACCCTTGCCCCTCAGGTCAGTGCCCCGGTCACCAGGCCCTTCTCCAACCAGCTCTTGCATCTGTCCTGTCACCCTCACACATGCTTAGGGGTGTGCGCAGAGTTGAAACTGTGTTCTTCCCTCCCCTGTTGTGTGGCAGCAGCACCCCACCCCCCCACGAGGAGCAGGCCCAGTGACTCCGGCTAAGAGGCCAATTTCCCGCTTCAGTGACCATCTCCTTCTTACGCTGCTGGTCTGTTGGCGTGAGGAGCCCACAGTGAGCAAGAGGCAGTCAAGGGAAACTGGAGGGGACTCTTCCTGTGTCTCTGGGGACAGCAATGCCTTAGGAGAAACTGGACTCCTGGGCTCACTGGGCCCGACGTTATGAAGACAGGAAGATGAGCTCCCTCACCCAATCACAGGGGTGTGGTGAGTGGGACCTCCCCTCTCCCTTCCCTTGGCTCTTAGACTGGTGTATTCTACCCTCTGGGTGCACAAGGCCATTAGATGGTCAGGGACGGGTGTCTGCCGTTCTGGAGAGGGGCCCCATCCTCGCTGGCAGTCTATGTCTGCTACTGCAACAAAACGTCTCAGGCTGGGTCATCTGGGGGCAGCAGACATTATTGCTGACAGTACTGGAGGCTGGGAAGTTCAAGATCAAGGAGGCGAAGGAAGGTTCGGTGTCTGGGGAGGGCCTGGTCTCTCACTCCAAGACAGTGCCTTGAATGCTGCATCCTCCGGAGGGGACACGTACTATGTCCTCACATGGTGGAAGGCAGGAAGGCAAAAAGGGGTCTAGCTAGGTCCCTTGAGCCCTTTTATAAGGACACTGATCCCATTCATGGGGCTGCAGCCCTTATAACTCAATCGCCTCTGAAGGGCCCCACCCTTTAATACTATCACATTGGGCCTTAGGCTCCAACATGTAAATGCTGGGGGGACGCACACGTTCAAACCATAGCACTCACCCTCCAGCGGCCTGTCTCCAAGTCAGAGTCTTGCAGCCTGGTCAAAAGGCCCCTCTGTCACCCGTCAGGCCAGCAGCTTCTGGGTGGAGCAGCCCTGTGCTGGGACCAGCGCAGCCGGTGGCGTGCGGGTAACTCTCACCTCCTCCCAGGCCCGCTCAGGGACATCGCGCGCAGAGCCAGGGTTTGGAGTATCTGCCCCGGGGAAGTCGACTCGGCGCGTGCTACAAAGTGGGTCTGTTTTCTAGGATTTTGTTTACCCCAGAGAGCTAAGATTGTTAAACATGTACTAGCCCAGCACTGAGTATATCTCACTTTCTGTGCCAAGCAGTGTGCGCATGCTTGTGTGTGTGCCTGCGTGTGTGTATATGCATGTGTGTGATTAAACACGTGTGTTACTGTGTTTCAACCTCACTGCTATCCCGTCTCATAGGTGTCATCTCCACCGATGAGGAGGCTCAGGTGAGTCAGGTTAGGCCCCTCCCCAAGGCCACGCACTTAGGATGTGGCAGAGCCGTTTGAGCCCAGGTATGTCCGACTCAGGAATCCTCCTTCTTAACCGCACTGACTACCGTATGTGGACAGTTGTGTTTCCCTTCTGGCTTCAGTACCTTCTGTGGCTGGCACCCAGACCATCTCTGACTCTGGCTATCCGTAGAATCCATGCTTCCATAAGTCTGTTCTCTCCGGGCCCCTCGGGAAGCGGGAGATCCGGGAGATCCAGGGTGCCAGAACACCTTCTTGGGCTCTCACCGACTTTCTCAGGCAGCTGGAATTCCGGGAACCCTCAGGTGGGCACAGGGCCAGGCCGCCCCTAACATCGTGAGCATCCGTCTGGGAGTCTACGCAGCCGTGGTTGTCCCTCTGTGCCAGCCTGAGGCTGGGGGTGGGGATGTTGTGGAGGGAGCAGGCCATGGGTCACTGGAGGAGCTGAGGGTGCCTCATACCATTTCTTTTGGGGACAGTTTGCCTCCAGAGTCCTGGCAGGGGGTTTGTGGGAGAAGGCAGGGCCCCGTTACCCCACATCAGCTGAAATAAAAGAAACATGCGGCACACACAGTCAGTAAGACAGAGCCACCGAGGCAGCCATCTGAGGGAAAGTGACATTTTCACTGGGCTCTCTCACCCTTGCTGAAGGGCACAACCTGTTTTGTTTTCAGCTGCAGGCTGGGTGGTGGAGGCTGGGTGGAGAAGGCTGGGTGGTGGAGGCTGGGTGGTGGATGCTGGGTGGAGAAGGCTGGGTGGTGGAGGCTGGGTGGAGAAGGCTGGGTGGTGGAGGCTGGGTGGCGAAGGCTGGGTGGTGGAGGCTGGGTGGAGAAGGCTGGGTGGTGGAGGCTGGGTGGAGGAGGCTGGGTGGTGGAGGCTGGGTGGTGGAGGCTGGGTGGAGAAGGCTGGGTGGAGAAGGCTGGGTGGTGGAGGCTGGGTGGTGGCGGCTGGGTGGTGGAGGCTGGGTGGTGGGTGGTGGCGGCTGGGTGGTGGCGGCTGGGTGGTGGCGGCTGGGTGGTGGAGGCTGGGTGGTGGAGGCTGGGTGGAGAAGGCTGGGTGGTGGAGGCTGGGTGGAGAAGGCTGGGTGGTGGAGGCTGGGTGGTGGAGGCTGGGTGGTGGAGGCTGGGTGGAGAAGGCTGGGTGGAGAAGGCTGGGTGGTGGAGGCTGGGTGGTGGCGGCTGAGGCCTCTCTCTGAAGGTCATCCCTGGCAGTGGTGGCTGTGCCTGGGACCCTCTTGCTTTCCCTGGGGGCCTCCCGGAGGAACAGCTCTATGGTGTTTCCGACCAATCCCCTTTCTTTGGGTCTTGCTGGTTATAAAATGGGAATATTCATTTCAAGTGCCGAGCCAATGCATATTCTTTTCCCACCATCATAAAAGACTTGCTTCCTAATGACAATAACCTTCATTGCAGGCCGTCGATTGTCATCTCTGTTTGTTTTTCCACTCCACCTTCTCAGCTCCTGTGCCACCTCCCACCCCACGTCTTGTTGACTTCATGTTTATCCTTCACTCACTCAACAAGCACATGTGTCCTTAGTGATGCCCCTGCAGCCCCTGTCCCATCTGGCACTGTGTCATTCAGGTGTTCCCGCCTCCCCGGACACCTCCTTCGGCCCCCTCTCCTGGGTGTTCTGGACAACTGCGGCCACGTGTCTGCTTTGCTCCAACTCTGAGTGGTCTCAGGCAGGTCCTTGCCCCTCTGAGTTTCAGTTTTATTTATAATGTAGAGAAACGGAGAACTTGTTTCATAAATGATCCTCACCAATTCCACGTGGTGGCCCAGAGGGCTGTGTTGAGAAGGACTCTGAGGAGCAGCCCAAAATTGACAGGAGGGAGGGCTGACCAGCAACGTGTGTTGTGAGAACAGGAGGGAAGGGGGCCAGGTGGACACTGGCTCTTTGCTGTCCTTGGACTGGATGGTGCTTCAGCACCTGCATCTCTCCGCCTCTTCACACCTGTCCCGCTTTACATCCTCCGTGTGGGAGACGTCACACCCACCTTCAGTTTAGAGCTGGGGCCGCTCTGTTCCCCAGGGCCGCAGCTGCGGGGCAGAGCTGGTTGTCAACTGCGTGTGAGGGTGGAATCGAAGGGGTCCTCTGTGCTGGAGGACCCCGTCCTGGAGAAGCAAAAGGCTGAGTCGCTGAGTTTTCGGGTCTTGGCTCCCTGCCCATGGCCCCTTTTCCCAAGTAGAGACCCCAGTGGTCCTGGGAGCCGCCCTGCAGAAGCCCTGCCATGACCTGGCATCCTCCGCAGGTGAGGGAGCCGGCCTTCCACCTGGAGGGGGCAGAGGGCAAAGGCTGCAGAGCCTCCGCCGCGTCAGCCGCTGGTTGAACGGTCCAGGCGTGCGCGCATCCCTCGCAGCCGTCGACACACAAACAGGCTGGTCTGACGGGACAACTCTCCACTGAGTTCAAGCTCAACAGGCTCAGATGAGACCCACAGACCATTATGTGTTTACATCTGGAACTTTCTTTTTCCTGCATGTGGCCCCCTTCCTGCACAAAAGGTTGGTCTTCTTCATCTCCCAAAATCCATACGGCTTGGCATAGGATAGAAGCACAGACAATGATTTCTGCGATTGATTTATTTTCCCTTGTAACTAAATGCTGAAGTGACAGTAATATAAGCCAGCCCTAGGGGATCTAATTCAGTGTCCTGATTGATAGGACAGCAAACTTGGTCTTGCTCTTCATCTCAGGGAGCCCAGACTCCCCGTGGACAAGGGGCCGAGAGGTTTGTGCAGCCTTCTCTGCCTTGTTTCACGCCGGCCAGTGGCTGGTCTAGGAGGGATCCTTCCCCCACCCCCCACCCCAAGTCTATTTCAGACCCACCTCCTGCTGACTCTGCTCCATCGAGAAGAGCTATAAATCAGCCTTCCTTCTGGGGTGATTATAAAAATCACTCTATTAGCAGTTGACTCACAGTCTAAAAATGTGCTCATGGCATAGTTGTGGCCACTGAGCCTGGTTCGGTGGGACAGGCCCCAAGCCCCAGCCCGCGCCTTTCTGCAGGAGGACTTCCCTTTCCAAGCACGCGCGCTGCCGCCAGAGCCTTCCGGCCGACCCGCCGCGGTGCCCTTCCTAGCGACGGCCTGTGATGTTCCTTAGCCACGGGGCTTGGCCCAGACCCGCTAGAGGGGGAACGAGGGAGGAAGCCATCTGGGGAGGAATCAGAGTTCAGACGAGAAAGGAAATTGCCCTGAGATGATTGAAATGGCAAGGAGAAGGGAGAACCTGGCCAGTCCAGCTGAACAAGCGGATGTGGGGTCGGGGGTGGCCTGGGGTCCCTGTCCTGGCTTTGGGTCTCCCTTGTACCCATGTAGTACTAGTACTACTACTACTCAGTGACCAGCTCTGCTGACACTGGGGTCCGGCGGAGTCTGAGGGACTGGAGGGAGGCTGCCTTGTCTTCTTCCACCTCCCTGGGTGCCAGCTGGGTGGGGCAGGCATGGAAAGCCCTCTGCAGATGTGCAGGTCCCCCAGGAACAGAATGGGGGTTCTAGGTGAGTGTGACCGGGGGCTTCCATGTAACCCCACTACAGTGACCTGAAAACAGGACCAGTAACCCCAGATCAACCGCCAGCCACACCCTGGGCACCATCTCCCCCAGAAGTCCTTTGGTGCCCCAGGGCCAGCACCTGCTAAGGTGAGAATTGGGACCACCTGTGCCCATGTCCCTCAGCCATGCTTGCCCTGGCTTGTAGCTCCCCAGGACAGGGCTGGGCCTTTGCCTCGGGTGGGGTCCCTGCAGCTGGCTCCGTACTGCTGGCCACACCTCAGGACTTGGTGAGCCTTTGAACACTAAGTTCTGAGCTCAGGGGGCTCAGCATTTTAGACTTTGGTTTTGCTGACACTCCTGACCAAGTGCACTTTCCCCTCTGCAGAGCCAGACTGTGGCTTTTCCCTTTTGGGCAGTGGAAGGGGCGGGCCAGAGGCTGGGTCAGGGTAGTGGAGAGAAGAGCCCCAACCAGCTGTGGCCCGTGATGCAGTGCCTGGGGCTGACCCGGGGCTCCAGCTCAGCCTGGGCCTCAGCCGCGTCAGATCCCCACCAGGCCTCCTCCTGGGTCCCAAGGGGCTTCCCTGCTGTCGGCAGTACCAGCAGCTGCAGTTTGATTTGGGGCAGAAGTCAGGGTGGGCTGTGTCCAGAGAGTCACCCTGAGTGGCCTGTAGGCACAGCATTGCTCGGAGATGGCGCTCACCCAACCTTCATGCAGCAGGCACTTCTTGAGTGCCCAGCATGTGCCAGGCCTGGCGCGGCCCGGCTGGCCCAGTGCGAGTGTGGACCAGCCCTCCTTGTTGGGACAGGCAGGCTGGGGAGAGGAGAGCAGGGGCCCGAGGCCGGCATTCTGCACTTTCCATCCCCTCCTCCTGGGCTCCCCGCTTCCTGGGAGGTCCGGGCAGGAAGCCGGGCAGAGCCCACCCCCATGCTCTCAGACTTTTGACAAGTGCTCCCCTTGATGCCAGGCTGTGACGGTGAAGACGCCACTCCCAGCAAAGTCAGAGTGATCTTCTTCCTGCCTCCCCAGGTTCTCCAGCCCCTCAGTGCTCCCTGGGGAATAGCAGCTCATCAGGGGTGCCGTCCAATCCCCAATGGGGTTTCCTGTGCGGCTCTGGAGGGCTCTGGTTCCCTCGGTCTCCAGAGAAACATGTGAGGACAGCGATGGTTTTGCAGTTTCTGGCGCCGCCCGCAACACAACTCCAGGTTAATAAGAAGAGAAAGCCTCTCCTTTCACTTTCTTGCCGAATGCCTTTCCGGGCAAAGAGAAGGGGAGGAAGAGGAAGGCTGGGGAGGGGGAATTCATTTCCCAGCAGGGGATGGGGGCTGTCAGCCCTCGGGGGGCCTGGGTGGGTCTGAGGGAGACACAGAGCCTGGGAGTCCTGCAGGCCTGGCGGAGTGAGCAGGGGGGTGTGGGGGCTGGGAAGGTGGGGAGACAGGAAGGCACTTCAGGGGACCCAGGTGGGCCGATGCCCTGTGGATGGAGGGCACTCCGGAGGCCCAGCAAACAGAAAGCCAGAGATGGACAATGCTGGGAGGCGGGCGTCTAGGGTGTCAGGATCTCTAGGCTGCCAGGACGTAGAGGAGCTATGAGCGGCACAGCCCGCTGGGGTTGGTGGGAGGTGGCTCCGCAGGGGCCTGTCACTTGGGCTTGAGAGAGATTTGGGTTCCAGACTGCCTTGACTGTGACCTTGCCCTGGGGGTCAGTGCCTCATCCGAGAGATGGACTGACTCCCCCTGCTCTGCGCTCGTCACCTGCTGGGAGGCTCAGGTGAGACGGTTTGGGTGACAGCAGCTCGGGTGCTGAGGTGTCCAGTTCTGCAGGACTGAGGAAGCGCCGCTGTTGTGGACGCCGCACCTGCCTTGGGCACTGTCTGTGTAGAGCGCTGCCCAGGCGGAGCCCTGGACTGACAGGGCCCCCCTTGCTCTCCTACCCATCCAGACCAGCAAACAAGCCCTAAGGTGGACAAGTGCCACAGCGACTCAAGGGCACCTCCATCGTGGTCCACACAGTGAGCCTTGCCCCCATCTATGCCATGGCAGGCATCACCAGCCCCTCCCTGCACTCACAGCATTGGCCTCCTCCCTGCTCGGCTCTGCAGCCAGCCATGGAGGCTCCACCCCCAGGCTTGCAAGGCAACCTCCGCTGGCTGTCCTGGCTGGGCCCTCCATGGCCTGGGCTCTGCGGGCCAAGCACGAGCTGACCTCTGTCTCCTGAGGACAAGCGTGCTGGGTGGGGATCAGAGGAAGATCGCCTGAGAAGGCAGAGGAGGTCTCACTGGGGCATCTGGGGACCAGACGCGGGAGGCTGAGCTCATCCACATGCTGGGCCAGCCGCTCTCCCCAAGGCCCTGGAGACAGTCTGAGCCCAGCCAGGGTGGGGCTAGAATCATCCAGATAAGCCCAAAGGCTCAGTGGTCCACAGATGATGGGTCCAGCCATGCAGAGTGGCTGGTGGCTGTGCCAGGTCCTGGGTTCGTGGATACTCTGGGCACAGGAAGCCTGGGAGATCTCAGGGAGGCCCCTGAGGATAGCGAGGTGGGTGGAGGGCATCATAGCATCCCAGCACCCATCCTACGCTGTGTGACCTTGGGCAGCTCGCTTGCCGTCTCTGGGCGGCTGTTTCCCCATTTCTGAGTCTATCGTGTTCCTCAGTGGTCACTGTCTCAGTGGATGCTGCCTTCTAGGCCAGCAGTTGTTAAAACCGCACAGCTGCAGGGACGGCTGAGGGAACAGGACCCAGTGATATGGAAACATGTGGGAAGGCATTGCAGGAAGTCATGGAAAGAGCACAGGAATTTTCTCTGAGCCACAGAGCTGGGCAGAGGGGGCAGGGCATTTTGAGAACCTTTGATAAATTACTTACCATGTTCTGGAAGGAAGGCTCTTAGAGCCAGCTGGGGCTGCAGGGGAAAGCTGACCCATGTGTTTCCCCATGGGAATGGGAGACCCACAGGAGGGTAGGGACTTGTCGAGGGTCCCAGGATGTTGGCTCCGATTGGGAGGCCCTAATTCCAAAAAGTAAAGGGCAGGGTTCTCTCCGAACCCGCCTGCCACCTGCAGGACTGTCTCTGGGACATGCTCCTCCCTGAAAGGAGTCTGGGCTCACAGGGAAAGGTCAGGAGTTGGTCATTGGACTGTGGCTGATTGGGGGCTTCCTGGAGCACCCACTGCATGCCAGCCCTGTGTCGGGGGCGGGGGGGAGCCCAGGAGCAAGCCCAGCAGTGTCTGAGCTCTATGGGGGCCCTGCCCACCCATCGGAAATGGTAGGTGACCTCATCCTGTCAGGTACCTGGTACAGGGCCTGGGGTGGAGGCTTCAGCATGTCTCGGGGACCCACAGAACCGCCTTGCTGCAGGCACTGTCTACTGAGCTCTCACCTCTCACTGCCTCTCTGAGTCCATTCAATAGATCAGGCACGGCAGGGCATGGTGGCTCACGCCTGTAATCCCAGCACTTTGGGAGGTCGAGGCGGGCAGCTCACCTGAGGTCAGGATTTCGAGACCGCCCTGGCCAACATGGTGAAACCCCACCTCTACTAAAAATATAAAAATCAGCTGGGTGTGGTGGTGGGCGCCTATAATCCCAGTTACTCAGGAGGCTGCCACAGGAGAATCGCTTGAACCTGGGAGGCGAAGGTTGCTGTACGTGGAGATCGCACCACTGCACTCCAGCCTGGGTGACAGAGCAAGACTCCATCTCAAACAAACAACCCCTGAAAACACCAAATCAGGTAGCTTTTATGGCTGCTTCTCCCAGATGAGCAGATGGAGACCCACAGGGGCAGCTTCCACCTCTCCAGTTTCCATGGCGAGTGAGGGGCACCGCAGATTCAAAGCCAGGGCTGCCTGAGCCCACAGCCGCTTCTCCCTACCAGTGGGCTCTGTGCCCCACTCCTGCCAAACCCTCAGGGGTGCCTTGGGCTGGACTTGGGCAGGGACCTCTCGTCAGGGACCTCTCGTCAGCGGTGGCTGGGAGATGCAAGGGAAAGCCTTCCAGCTCAGCTGGGTGTGGAGTCAACAGCGTGTCCAACACTGCAACATCAGCCCTGTGCCTGTGGACTGCAGCCCAGATGGCCTGGCTCTTTCTATACATTCTGTGTCTGCCTGAGATATGCGCTCTGCAAGGAAACAGATTTGCTCAAGAATGCTCAGGGCCCTGGAATCCCCAGTGAGGAGATGTTCTAATGCAGCAGGAAGCGAGCAGGCTGGGCCGTGGCCGCACGCACCATGATGAAGAGGCCGGGACCCTGGCAGCTGGCTTTGTGGGATAGACACTGGCTCGCAGATGTGCGCTGGAGACAGCAGGGGCCTCGGTGTGGAAACAGTAGGTGTGTCAGAGGGTGGACGCTTCCTCCTTTTCTCATCCCATAGCCAGGTTGCTTCTAGGCCGTCACACTGGGAGTGCTCAGCCGCCATATGCAATCAGGTCCCTGGCATGTTTTCTGTCTTTCCTGTGTTCATTTCTTCCTGGGAACAGGTTGCTGCTTTGTGGGGTGAGGGTGATGGTTGACGAATCCTCTGTGGGAATTGCAAGAGCATGCAGGGAAGGTGAAAGCTGCTTTGCATGGTCCCCGGGGTGTGACTCCTCTGGCCCAGTAAGCATGGCAGATGCACTCACCTAAGCAACTTTGGGAAACACAATTCTGATGAGAATCTGTATGACTACAGGAAAAGGCAACCGTGCTTCAACACTGCACTCAGCGCAGATATTGCTCACGGGAGGGCAGGTTACCGATCCTGAAGCTGCCGTGCGTGTGTACAGGGATGAAACGGCAGCTGGGCTCCTCGTTCTTGGCGAGGGAGGTTTTGAATGAGCAAGGATGCGAGGCTGGAATCAACCACAGGCACTGGGGACGTCACTGTGAACACCCATCAGCGTCCTGTAGCTAGAGGTGGGCGGGTATGGAAAGAGATCTAGCTCTGCATGGATACGTGGGCTGTACACAAACTTCCTAACCCCATCTGCTGAGCGAGACTGAAGCAAGGGTGCCTCCGCGGCAAACACTCCAGAGCCCAGATCTCGGGTTCTGACTCTATCCTCCAATCAAAGGGAACAGAGCTCCTTGGGGAGGGAGTAGACACACGAGATGGGAGCACTGTGTAGTGCCAGAAAGTAAAGACGGGCTCAAGGCCGGGCATGGTGGCTCATGCCTGTAATCCCAGCACTTTGGGAGGAGGAGGCGGGCAGATCTCTTGAGGTCAGGAGTTCGAGACCAGCCTGGCCAACATGGCAAAACCCCATCTCTACTAAAAATACAAAAATTAGCCAGATGTGGTGGCACGTGCCTGTAATCCCAGCTACTCGGGAGACTGAGGCTTGAGAATCACTTGAACCCAGGAAGTGGAGGTTGCAGTGAGCTGAGATCGTGCCACTGCACTCCAGCTTGGATGACAGAGTGAGATTCTGTCAAAAAAACCCAAACTGCCCCCCACCAAAAATAAGTAAATAAATAAACTCAAACAAACTCAAAGCAAAAGGATGGGGCACGTCACAGGGCCAACCTGAAGGAGCTCCCAGTGGCCAAAGCTGGAACAATTTGAGCAAGATATGGATAATGAGGTATTGGGGTAGAACCCAAATTATTATAAAATAAACACCCGTGACTCCACAGTGACGTAATAAATTATTCAGTCAGTCAGCGAATGGGGAGGAGAGACAGGCCCCCCGCACAGAAGAGCTCTGCTTTACGTAGTTAAGCCTCCTGCCCCACCCAGCCTGGAGTGTGGGCTGCACTTCGTGACTCCTTTCTGGAGAGGACAGAATGGAAAGGAAAAGGAAAGAACTCAGTGGTGGAGAAGCTGGCATGTGCTGTCCCTGCCAGGTGATCAAGGTCAACTCCGTGGTGATAAGTGATGTTGAGACGATGGGACTGCAGTGGCGCTTCCGTTCCACGGTCTTGCTCCCCAACACCCGTAGCCCCGGTGTAATCCAGAGAGAGACACCAGACACATCTCAGCTAGGAGACACTCCACAACAGACTTGACTGAAACACCTTCAAACTGCCAAGTTCATCAAAAAGAAGGAAAGTCTGAGACGCTGCTGCAGCTCAGAGGAAGCTAAGGAGACATGGTGACCGAAGGTGACATGGTGTCCTGGAGGCTCTCTGGGGACAGAAAAGGACATTGCGGAAAACTGGCGAGCTCAGAATAAAGCTTGAAGTGAATAGCACCAAGGCCGGTTCAGTTAATAACATCCCATTGTTGGTCTCTCAGCTGTAACAAACACACCATCGGAAAGTAAGATGTTAAAAATGAGGAAAACAGCGCAGAGTCCACTGGCACTCTCCGTACTGTCTGCAATTTTTCCGTAAATTGAAGCCCATTTTAAATTTTTCAATGCATTTTTTTTAAGTAGTCAGGTGTATTTGTGTGGCTTGATTTCTGGGTTTCCTCCTGTTTCACTGATCTGTGGGTATCGTTTCGCCATCATGTGGTCTGTGGCTTTATAGTGTCTTGCAATTGGGCAGCAGGAGTCCTCCTGGGTCTGGGGAGGTTGGAGCTGTTTCTGGGTGCCCTGAGCACGTGGTGCATGGAGAGGCACAGCACGGGACTTCTGTGTGCAGGCTCTGGGGCCAGAATGCCCCAAACACACCTTCACAGAATGCCCCAAACACACCACCTTCACAGAATGCCCCAAACACAGCTTCACCTCCACCGTCTGCTAGCTGTGTGATCTTGGCTAATTTTCTTAACTTTTCTGTGCCTTGATGGTTTGGCTGTCAAATGGGAAAACTGCTGTACCTTGAAGTGTGTGTAAGGGTTAAATAAACTCATATGGGCCAGCCACAGTGGCTCACGCCTGTAATCCCAGCACTTTGGGAGGCCAAGGAGGGTGGATCACCTGGGGTCAGGAGTTCAAGACCAGCCTGGCCAACATGGAGAAACCCCATGTCTACTAAAAATACAAAAATTAGCCGGGTGTGTTGGCGGAAGCCTGTAATCCCAGATACTTGGGAGGCTGAGGCAGGAGAATCGCTTGAACTCGGGAGGCGGAGGTTGCAGTGAGCCGAGATCGCACCATTGCACTCCAGCCTGGGGCACAAGAGCAAGACTTCATCTCAAAAAAAAAAAAACATGAGCTCATGTGTATGGAAATGCTGAAGACAGTACCTGCGCCTAGCAGAGCTCCATCCTCTCAGCCATGATCGGTTCCTGCGGGCAGTTGAAGGCTTGGACAATGAATGGCAGCCTCCAGCCCTGCTTCATCCAAGCCACTTATGAAAGGCCCTGGCCACTGAGTGGAGAATTCAGAGGTGCTTGCCCACCAGGTATACGTGGAGGGCAGCTTCATCCTTGCCCACGTTTGCGTGTGGTCTGGCATCAATCGTCCTGGTTGGCTCCTGAAATTATTGAAGGTGGAGGCAGAGAAGAAACCATGGGCCATGGGGTCAGATGTGCCCAGGGCTGGACTCGAAGCTGTCCTAGCTCTGTGACTGCACTCCGAGATGAGGGAGAGGGTTGTTCCGTGTTGTGTGTGTGCCTCATGCCCTTGGAGGCTGGCTTGGGGATGCTGCAGAACATAAAAATCACATGGAGACATCATGAGGTGCCCACCCCATGGATAAAAATTAAAATATTTATCTATAGCAGGTGTTGGCAAGAAGACAAAGCCATGGGAAAACATATCCTCACTGGGAGGAGTGGACATGCAGAAGGGTCCGGTCTGACCTGGGAAAGCCAAGGCCATGGCTGCCCACAAGGCAGGGCCTCCACTCCAGGAACGTCCCCCTCCTGTGGAAGCCCAAGCTTGGGTGCACCTGGAGGTAGGGATGGAGGCTCATAGGAGCTTTGCCAGAACCCAAATGCCCATCCAGAGAAACAGGGTTGAAGCGTGGTAGATTGATGCAATGAAACACCGTGCAACAAAAAAACCCGAAACCCACAAAATCCTCCAAGCACACACATACACCAATAAACCAAACCCAGGGAACAACACAGATCAACCTAGAAACATAATATTGAGAGAGAAAAAAGGCCAGACATGAAAGAGTTCTTACTGTATGTTTCCATTTATATAACATTCAAACACAGACGAAACTACATTGTTAGGGCAGCATAATTAGATAGTAAAACTCAGAAGAAAAAGCAGGAAGCGCTTACCATAAGAGTCAAGGTGGTGGTTATCTCCGGAAGGGGAGGAGGCCCTGCTCAGGCGGCCGGGAGCTCAGGATGTCCGAGACGAGGGCGTCTGGGTGTGGGCCATTGCCTATTTCTTGACCTGAGTGGTGGATACACGGATGTTTGCTTTATAACAATGTACATACTCTATTGTATATTATATTTCACAATTAAAATAATTTTCAGGTCAGGTGTGATGGCTCATTTATAATTCCAACACTTTGGGAGGCTGAGGTGAGCGGATCACCTGAGGTCAGGAGTTTGAGACCAGCCTGGCTAATATGGCGAAACCCGTCTCTACTAAAAATACAAAAATTAGCCAGTCATGGTGGCGTGTGCCTGTAATCCCAGCTACCTGGGAGGCTGAGGCAGAAGAATCGCTGGAACCAAGAGGCGGAGGCTGCAGTGAGCTGAGATTGTGCCACTGCACTCCAGCCTGGGTGACAGAGCAAGACTCCATCTCAAAAAAAAAAAAAGTTTTTTTTTTTTTTTTAAATTAAGATATATGGCAGAGCTGAGGCAAGTTTAGTGCCCTTGAAAAAAATATCCTAGAAAATAATAAAAGGAGGTCCCTAGTGCGGCAGAAAGGGCACCCTCTTTGGAACAAGAAAGAAGTGGGTTTGATCCCTGGCACCGCTCCTTACTATAATGCATATAATGCCTTGGGCAAGACATGAAACCTTTCAGAATCTTATTAACCAACCCATAAAATAAGAAAAATAGAAAAGGTACCCAGAAGGGCAGCTGAAAAGATTGTCTCTTGCCCGGTGCCTGGCACGGATTAAACCTTAACAAGTGGCATCTGTGATTGCTGGTGTTGACATCATGGCCAATGTCTCGGGCCACTAGATCCAAAGATGGCACCATCAGTTCACTCCCCCCGACGCATTGATGCCACCTCCCTACTGAGAGGTAGATTTTATTGCTCCTCCCCTTGAATCTGAGTGCACTGACCAATAAAATGCAGCAGAAGCAAGGTCTAAGAACTTCTGAGGTCTTGCTGAAGATCAGACTGGAGGGCTTCCTGGGACATCAGCCACCCAGACTTGGTCCCTGGCTCCTCCACAGCCAGGTTACAGAGGAGACATGGCACCCTGGCTCGTGGGGTGCTGGAGGCTCACCGTCAGGTGCCTCCGGAAGGCTGGAGAAGGTGCATCGAGAAACAAACCAGGGTGTGTCTTGCTAATAGGAATAGGAAAGGCTCTGCTGAATGTGAATGCTTCAGCTGGACATGTTATTAACCCAATTAGTTTAACAAGTATTTACTGGGCACAAGCTCCGGGCAAGGGTCAACCCCTGTCCCTTGCAGAATTCGCACCCTATGGAAGAATGCAGGTAAGCTCCGGAGTCATGAGTTAAGGTTGGCTCTTACTCCAGGTCTACGAGGAAAGTGGGAGGTGGAGCTGCACTTCCCAGCACTGTCCTCAGAACCCCATCCATGAGAGGGGCAGAGGGACCAGGCCAGGGCGGTCTTGCTGCTTTTAAGTCACAGCAGGACACCTTGACATTTGTCAGCCTGTGAAGGAGTCAGGATGAACCCCATCCTACCAGCCTGAGCCCACCACTCACACATGAAGTCTGATTCCTTGCCATGTAAATTGGAATAATCTTTCCAGAAGAAAATTTGGCACACATTCCTAAACTTAGAGTGCTCACACCATATCCAGCAGCTCCACTGGTAGGGATTCACCCTGCTGACATCCTCCCACTCACATCCCAAGATGCCTGCATGGCCATGTTCACTGCAGTATTGTTTATAACAGAAAATCCCGCACTCTCTCTGAATATTCGGTCAGTCAGGACCTGCTTAAGTCATGTTTTGTTCCTCTCCAGAATGAAATCCTAAGCAGCTGGAAAGAAAAAATGAGCTAATACTCTCAGCTCATGGGTAGAAACACTCCATTTCCTAAAGATGTCATCTGTCCTCACTTAATCTATTCATTCAATACAATTCCAATACAATCTAAAATACATTTGTGTTTGCTTTTAGTGACACTTGATCAGCCAACTCTACAGGGTGTATTATTGAGCAAGGAGAGGGCTGGAACATTAGCAAGGCAATTTTGAAGGGTGAGGTATGGTCACTTGTACCTTAAACTATCAAGTCTTTAAAAGCTAGATCAAAAAAATGTAGATTGGTGCAGAGGGATCAGATGGACAGAAGCCCAGGAGACCCAGTTGTACAGGGAGACTGGTGTGGCAGAGGACTGGGCTGTGGCGGGAAAGCACAAATGAAGAAATGGGGCCAAGATAATGGGTTATCAGTATAGAAAAGAAGTTACACTGGGTTTCTTTTTTTTTCTTTTTTTGAGATGGAGTCTTGCTCTGTTGCCCAGGCTGGAGTGCAGTGGCACGATCTCCACTCACTGCAAGCTCCGCCTCCCAGGTTCATGCCATTCTCCTGCCTCAGCCTCCCGAGTAGCTGGGAATACAGGTGCCCGCCACCATGCCCAGCTAATTTTTTTGTATTTTTAGTAGAGACGGAGTTTCACAGTGTTCGCCAGGATGGTCTCAATTTCCTGACCTCGTGATCCGCCCGCCTTGGCCTCCCAAAGTGCTGGGATTACAGGCGTGAGCCACCATGCCTGGCTACACTGGGTTTCTACACCACATTGCTCACAAAAGGTATATGCCAGGTGGATGAAAGGCCTAGGTGAGATAAGCACAATTTTAACACTTCTATAAGAGAAGGAAGGTGTGGTGATTAATTCGAATGTGTCAACTTGACTGGGCCACGGGGTGCCCAGATGTTTGACTAAACATTGAATCTGGGTTTGTCTGTGAGGGTGTTTCTGGAAGACATTGACTTTCGAATCAGTGGACTGAGCAAAGCTCACTCTCCCCATTATGGGTGGGCACCATCCAATCCATTGAGGGTTTGAGTAGAACAACGAGGCCAAGGAAGAAGTAGTTACTTTCTCTGCCAGCCTGGGACATTGGTCTTCTCCAGCCCTTGGACTAGAGCTGATACCATTGGTATTCCTGATTATCAGGACTTTGCACTCCAACCAGAACGACGCCACCAGCTTTCTGGGGTCTCCAGCTTGCAGATGGTGGGACTTCTCCACCTCCATAATTGTGTGAGTCAATTTCTTATAATCTCTCTCTGTGTGTCCATATATAGATATGGGTATTGATATAAATATGGAATATAGATAGGTATATTTCCTATGGGTTCTGTTTCTCTGGAGAACCCCAACTCATACAGAAGGAGATGACCTTTGTGATTCCAGTGTAGGGAAAGATTTCTTAACAAGACACAAGATGTACAGACAATGAAAAGTTTCATAAAGTCCTTTCTATTGAAATTTAAAACCTGTGATTGTCAAGAAATACCATACACAAAAAGAAAAGGCAAGGCACAGAGCAGTAGAAGGTATTTTCAACATGTGTGCAATAACGGATTAATATCCAAAATGCATAAATGATTTTAATAAATCAACAAGAAAAAGATCTCACCCTCTTAAAAATGCAGAAGAATGGGCAAAAGATAGGAACAGAAAATTCACAGTGGAAGACATCAAAATGGGCAAAAAAGAGAGAAATCCCATGGAAAGGAGCTCGATCTTACTATGAGGTTGAACCTTATGAAATTATCACTTTCAGCCACTCAACACAGTTGAATGCTGGTGCTTTCATACAGTTCCATCCTAGAGCTCAGGGAAGTCTGAGCTAGAACACAGTGAGCCATGATCTCATACCCATCCGAGTGTCCTCATACCCATCCTAGTGTCCTCACACCCGTCCGAGTGTCCTCACACCCATCCGAGTGTCCTCATACCTGCCCGAGTGTCCTCACACTCATCTGAGTGTCCTCATACCCATCTGAGTGTCCTCACACCCATCCAAGTGTCCTCATACCTGCCCGAGTGTCCTCACACCCATCTGAGTGTCCTCACACCCATCCGAGTGTCCTCATACTCATCCCAGTGTCCTCATACCCATCCGAGTGTCCTCATACCCATCTGAGTGTCCTCACACCCATCCGAGTGTCCTCATTCCCATTCGAGTGTCAAAGGTTTAAGCCTGACAATACCATTTGCTGGTGAAGTGTGGCACAGCAGGGACTTATAGATCCTGACAGAGACGCTGATGGATGACAATGACTCACCAACTTGGTGAACAGTTTGGTGGCATCTTGTCAAGTTACAGAAGCACATATCCAACTCTTACACATTGCTGGGGAATGCAAAATAGTGCAGCTGCTGTGGGAAGCAGGGGCTCCAACAACGCAACATAAAGTTAGCGATTCCACTCCTGCAATGAAAACTTACATTCACTCGGTAGGGTGCAGTGACTCAAGAACATTGGGAGGCCGAGGCGGGTGGATCATGAGGTCAGGAGATCAAGACCATCCTGGCCAACATGGCGAAACTCTGTCTCTACTAAAAATACAAATATTAGCCGGGTATGGTAGTCCCAGCTACTCAGGAGGCTGAGGCAGGAAAATCGCTTGAACCTGGGAGGTGGAGGTTGCAGTGAGCCGAGATCGCACCACTGCACTCCAGCCTGGGAGACGGAGCGAGACTTCCTCTCAAAAAAAAAAAAAAAAAAAAAAGAAAACTTACATTCACTCAAAAACCTGTACACAAATGTCTGTAGCAACCTTATTTGTAATAGCCAGAAAGTGGAAACAACCCAAGTCTTCATGAATGGATGAATGAATACATAAACTGTGCTACACCCACACAATGGAATAATATTTGTAAAAAGGAGTGAAGTACGGATACACACCGCAACACGGATACAACTTGAAAAGGTGCCAAGCAAAAGAAGCCAGTCACAGAAGACCACACAGCCCATGATCCCATTTATCCCATGTTCACGACAGGGATCTGCAGAGACAGAGCTGTGGTCTCTCAGGAATGAGGGGCTGCGGGGTAGCGGGCGATGGCTAAAGGGCATAGAGTTTCCTCCCGAGATCACCAAAATGCTATAAAATTGACTGGTGATGGTTGCACGTAACTGTGAAAACATCACAAACCATTGAACTGTCCTTTTTTTTTTTTTTGAGACGGATTATCGCTCTGTCGCCCAGGCTGTAGTGCAGTGGCACCATCTCTGCTCATTGCAAGCTCCTCCTCCTGGGTTCACACCATTCTCCTGCCTCAGCCTCCCGAGTAGCTGGGACTACAGGCGCCCACCAACATACCCGGCTAATTTTTTGTATTTTTAGTAGAGATGGGGTTTCACACCGTGTTCGCCAGGATAGTCTTGATCTCCTGACCTCGTGATCCACCTGTCTCGGCCTCCCAAAGTGCTGGAATTACAGGCGTGAGCCACCGCGCCTGGTCGAATAGTACATTTTAAATAGGTGACTTGCATGGCCTATAAATTATATCTCAAGAAAGCCGTTAAAAAAAAAAACCGAACAACAGCAACCAAAAGAAGTTCAGCTTCCCTCTATTCCATCACTGACCGTGGGCATTGAGCCACTCCCGTGTGCTCACCAGGAGCCAAGCCTCAGAAGGCAGCTGCAACAGAGTCTGACCATGGAAATCCAGAAACGACCCACGGCCAGGACCGCGAATGAAGAAATGAACATGGCATCCCCTGTGGAATACCGTTAAGCAGCGAAATGCAAAGAGCTGGCACCGTGCAGACCCGCATGCATACTCTTAGCGCAGAGCTCGAGAAGTTTTAGAGCACCCGCTAGATTTGCACAGAGTTTAACAGCTACGGATAACTGCTGACAGATCCTGGCTTGGTGGGTCCCTCTTCCCTTTCCTAGGGTCCTCCTGACCTTCACGCCAGGCCTCTGGGCCCCTTGGCCACCTTGGGGCCAGCTCTGGCTTCTCCATAACTTCTTAACGACAGGCTTTGCCCAACCAGCATGTGTGTGTCTGGCAATTTCCCGCTCAGAAGCCGTGTGGAATTAAGGAGTCTGATTGGGGAAGTCTGAGAGCTGCCTGCCAGCTCTGAGAAGGGGAACAAATGTATGTGCTTTGCAGTGATGGCCAATTTTCCAACAAGAAAATCACAGCATTTCAGATTTTTTTTTTTTTTTAACTCTGAGGGACTTTAAAAAGAGAGGCTAGAGAAAGAAAGATGCTAAGCCGTATGTGTCCCGGTAGTGATTGCTGTGTGTGCAAATCAACCCTGTTGTGTGCTCATGATCCTGTGAGGCAGGAAGCTAGACAGGGTGTGCTGGGCATGCCTGTTTCTGATTCACCATCTCTGGGGCCTTCTTTCTGGAAAGATTCAACAGCTGGGGGCTAGAACCACTTGAAGGCGCCTTTCCTCCCTGTGTGGTGGTTGATACCAGCAGATGCCAAGGAGCTCAGCTGGGACTGTTGACCGCAGCTCCTGCACACGGCCTCTCCATGCAGCTTGGGCTTCCTCACAGCATGGCTGCCTCAGAGGAGCCAGACTTCTTATCTGGTGGTTCCAGGCTCCAAAAGCGAGTGGACCAGTAGACCCAGCAGAAACTGCATGGCCCTGTGACCCAGTGACCAGATGCCACATGCATCACTCTTCCCAGATGCTATTGGCCCAAACAGTCACAAGTCCGCCCAGATTCAGAGGGAAAGAATGTAGACCCCACCTCTTGATGGAAGGGTGGTAAGGTTACACTGTAGACGAGTGTGTGGGAGGGAAGATAGTGTCACATTCATCTGTGGAAAATATAATCTTCCACGTCATGTTAACGCACACAGCCTCTTGGGTACTGAGCAATGAAATAAGAAATCGATCGATTGCCCTATCTATCTCTTTATCGGTCACTCCATCATCTATTATCTGTCATATATATCTCTATCCATCAATCACCTATCTGTAGCTATCTGTAGCTATCTATAGCTATATGTCATCTATCTATCCATTCATCATCTATCTGTCATCTATGTGTCTATCATCCCTTTTTCTACCATCATCTTTTATTTATCTCTCTGGGGTGATTTGACACTTTAAATCTCACCCCTCTCCCCATTCCTTCTATCAAATGCTTTTAAAGGAGTAAGTTTCATGAACCTATTGTTAGATTTTACTAAAATCTTTACTAAAGGTTTACTAAACCTTCCAAGGAAACATTAGCATGACTTTTAAAATAAAGGATTTTGTGGTAGTTTCTGATTGAGTGAGGCTGCCAGTAATATTGATTACAATTGTCTGAACAATGGTATTTTCCTGAGTTCCCATTCTGCAGCAGGATTCTGGACTCACCTGGGTTAGGATCCCCAGATGGGTTCAGGTGCCCCTCACACCTGCCCTTGTCTTTTCATCACCAAGTTTTGCACTGACATTTCCTTCCTCTATACCCTCCCTCGTCACCTCCAGAAGGCCCTGTGGAAGTTGTATTAGCTCCTGGAATGTGGTTAAGAAACTATTCCCGGCTACTGTCCACCACCCTTCCTGGCAGGGCAGCTCTGAGCAGCCTTCACCCCAGTTGGGTCAGACCCAGACCCGATTGCACTGTGGCCCACATGCCCTCAGCAGACCCTAGAGTCAAATGCCTTACAGTGCAGAGGGAAAATCTCTGGGCCAGGAGCCCCAGCCCTGTGTCATAGCCTGGGCTCTGCTGGGCCTCAGTGCCCTTCCATGTTCACTGAAGGGTCTGGCCAGAGGATCACA
The DNA here is from genome assembly GCF_000001405.40 of Homo sapiens. Taxonomy (NCBI): domain Eukaryota; kingdom Metazoa; phylum Chordata; class Mammalia; order Primates; family Hominidae; genus Homo; species Homo sapiens. The sequence continues at coordinate 134,568,381 of NC_000009.12, forward strand.
GGGTCAGTCCCTTACCGTCCCATGACCGTGGTGCGTGGACTGTCTTCCCTGGCACCCCAGATACCCTTCTCCTCTGTCCACCCCCAGATTTTGGAGGGGGGATTGGGTTGCAGGATCCTTGCTCTTGGACTGAGTGTGGGGTGAGCACCAGCCTGCCTCACTTTTCATCAAGGAAGGAGCAAAGATGGAACAAGTACCAGTCTGTTTCCAAAATGAGGTATTTTCTTATATTCTGTGAGGCTGTTAAGGCCTTAGAGCCCCTCTGACCCCAAGGAGGTTCCCCTAGCCAGCCCAAAGACTCTGGAGGGGGGTTAGCCTGTTTGAATGAAATTTGAATCAATAAATGTAAACACACACACTGCAAAATTCTTGTTTATGATTTTTAATCCCAAATATTTGATCTTTTGCTATTTTTCTTTTATGGCACCTGAAATCAAGATCACATTTAGAAACCAAAGCTCACTCTGTTCAGCTAAGCTTGATAGTTGAATCATTTACTATAAAGTCATGTGTGTGTGTGTGTGTGTGTGTGTGTGTGTAACAGTGACAAGACTGGAATTAGGCAAATGTTCATGTGTTGAAATGTGGGCATAGTGGTGTTTTGTGCATGGAATTTGAGTTCTGTTCTTAGAACTCTGGCATCAAATGTTTATGACGATCACCAGACTAAGTTTACTTTAATGCAAATGTTGAATTTCTGCCTGATTCTTACGTATATACACATGCCATAGATTATTTGAAGGCCTAACAAAAGTCTGTGTGCTTAACAGAGAAAGAAAAAAAATGATGTTTGAAACATTAATATGTAACATTCGTATTTTGGCAAAAAAGCAAAACAAAACAAAACAATCTCAAGCACATTTTTAATCCAGAGAAAATACACAAAGGGCAAAGACGATAGAGGAACAAAAGCATCACTTAGATAAATGTCACAGAGGAAACACAAATTAAAAGTGACTGAGACATGAACATTTCTAGATTAAAAGGTGACTGGCAGCAGGGAGCTGTGCCTACTGAAAGTGACATAGGAGAGTTCATCTTCTCTGTAATAAAGACCTCGTTGAAAGTGGTAAGTTGCATTTTCCGAAAGAGAAAAATAAAGAACAGAAGTAGACTAGTAATAACAGAAGGAATGCAAATGAATGCCCTAAAACCTTTTAACCTCTTGAAGCCAAGGTGACCTACACTCAAAATGATGGTCAGTGTGGTCACGGTTTATCACTCTACCCAGGTATCCACACATTTTTGTATTCATGCAACAAATTGTCATTAGCGGAAATGAGGCTCTCAAAATTATAGAATGCCACATTTAGCCCTCAAAAGTTTATGTGAGTCAGGGAGACGGACGAGGAGACCTGGTCAGTGAAATTGGCCTCAACACGGATTTCCTACAACTCATAAAGGGTCAGAAGCTGGACAGGCCCTAGAGCCACCCAGCCCTGTGTGTCCCAAATGATGCCAGTGTGGGTCGCATTTCCACAGGACCCAGGCAAAATAAACCAAACAAGGATAACACACCAAGGTTTTCGTGAAGCTCCATTTATCCTGCCCTTTATTCTGAGATCATATTCTTCCTGTTGGCAGGAGACAGAGGGGTTATTAAATGGTTTTCAAATATTGGCAACTCCTAGGTTGCCTTTCCGTTTTTGAGGCTTGGGGGAGAATTTTACCGATAGACAAAAGTCCCAAACCTGGCGGCCTATGAGCTAATTCACCCCCATCCCTGGTGCAGAGGTGAGCTGCACCAGGCCAGGAGAGGGCCAGGAACTCGGCCAAGACCCAGGTGAACACCGAGGGCAGAGCTAGGGTGGCAGGTGCCCTCAGGATGCTCGTAGTTCCTCCTGCCTCCTCACTGCCTCCTTGGCGGGGAGGTCTCTGGCACTCCTGTGAAGTGACTGCTTTTGGATGGTTGTGCCTTGTTCCTCTGGGGCAATCAACGGAGTTGGCAGATGTAGGCTGCCCTGTGAAGCACATGGGCAATGCCTCAGCAGAGCATCTGTGGCTCTCCTTAGGGACCTGGGTTTCCTGTTGGCTGTACTGCACTCAGTGCTGTGAGCAAACACTGCGGCCTCTGTGGGTAGATGGAAGCCAGCACACAGAGGGGCTGGCAGGAGATGGATCAGGGTGGATGGAGGCGCCATCACTTACTCGAATTACTTAGGAGAGTGGCCAGAGTGGATTTTGAAGAAGTCTGAATTGAGTTGAGGTTGTACGTGCAGCTGTGCGACTTGGTGCGTGTGTTGATCGCTTGGAAACGGTGTGTGAAGGTCACTGGAAGTTGTCTTCTTGAGATCCTTAAAGAAGCAGGTAAACTGAATAGCTGGATTTGTTTTTTCCTTCTGGGTAAACAGTCAGGAGAGGTTTCTGAGAGTGTGTCAAACATTTTCTCAGGATTTTCCAAAGCTTGCTTGGCAGTGGTGCTGGTGACATGAATTTGTGGTGCCCATGAGGAAATGTTTCTTTAAGAAAAGGTTCCATGTTTGCAAAATCGGAATTAGTGTCCAAATTAGTGACAGTCTGTGGTTTTGGAGCCCCCAGGGGGTTAGAAGTGCAGTAAAGTATCAGAGCTAAAAGCAAAGGCTTTAGGATCAGAAACACATCCCGACCTTGGCGGGCAGGTCTCAGCAAAGCGCTCCAAATCCGTGTCCTCATCTGGGAAGTGAGTGTGAGACCCGTGGATGAGGTTGCTGTGAACCTCGCGTGCTTAGCAGGTGCTGGTGCAGAACCGAACCCATGCCTGGCACCCGGCCCACGGCGGCTGCCAGTACCGCACTTGTTGCTGGGATTATCCTGCTTTACATGTTTCCAGCGTCACTGAGCAGGTGGGGACTCATTAGCTGCCGAGAAGCCTTCCGTTCATTCATGTCCCACATCTTCTGATGAGGATTTCAGGTCTCAGGTGGAATTGTTTAGGACATCGTGTTATTGGGATCGTAGTCAAAACTTTTTGGCCGGGCTGGGCGTTCTCATTTTGTGGCACAGCCCAGGGAACGAGTGGAGACCCTCCCTCTGCATCCAGACATCCTGGGCCTCTGCAGCCAAATCCACACTCTCTCTCCCAGGCATCTCTCCCCAGCCCACGGCAAGGCAGCCCTTCCTGTCTCTGCCAGCTCTGCCCTCATACGGGTGTCCTGCTGCCACTGTGACAAATGACCCCCCTGTGTAATGGCTCAAAACAATACAGTTTATTTTCTCACGGATCTGGGGGCTGGAAGTTCACAGTCAGTCTCATGGAGGGGAAGTCAAATTGCCAGCTGGCAGGACTGGCTCCTCCCAGAGGCTCTGGGGGAGAATCCGCAACCCTGCCTTTTCCAGCTTCTAGCGGCCTCCTGCCTTCCTTGGCTTGTGGCCCCTTCCTCTGTCCTCAAAGCACACCCTCCAACCTCCACTTCTGTGGCCCATCACTTCCTAATTCAGACTCCTCCAATCCTCCTGTCTCTCTCCTACGGGGAGCACTGTGACTGCCCCGGGCCCACCTAGATGAACCGGGTTAATCTCCCATCTCAAAATCCTTCATCACAGCTGCGAGGTCCCCTCTGTCCTATAAGATCACATCCTCAGTTTCAGAGATTAGGTCATGGGCATATCCAGCCGACCACACCCACCCATGGTTGCCCCTTTCTCCAGGAAGTTCCCAGGATAGATGGTGTGGGATGATGGAATCACCATCCCTCCCACATCCCTGCACGTGCTGTAGGGGGAAAGCCTGGCCCTGCATGGGTGGCCCCTTGGGAAACTCAGCCCCTCTTCCCAGGGCTCTGGTTCATCTCCTGGGAAACACTCTCCGCTCAGGCTGGGGCAGGCTGTCAGGATGCCCTGAGGCTGGCTGCATGTCCCTTCTCCCCATTTCAGCAGCACCCCTCTCCATACTACCCACCCCCACTCTGCCGCAGCACCAGTATATCAAGTATGACTGCCTGGACAAACACCCTGCTCCACTAGACTTGTGCCCTGCTAGTGTGGATGGGACTTGACTTCTGGTTGGATAGGTGCTGGATAGAGAGGTGTTGAGCTACCGGAAGTCAATGGGGGTTCCGTGAGCCCTCCGTGCGACAGCGGGCCTGGGGCTTGGGGTGCCAGTGGTCAGGCAGCTGCTGGAAATTGAAGTTGCCCTATAGCAAGCCTCCTTGGGACTCCCACTCTACTAGGTCATGGACCAGGGATGATGGGGGTGAGCCATCTTCTCCCAGGCTGTGGAGAACTCAGGGGCAGATAGGAGCCCAGGTGACCCGACAGTCCTACCGCCAGCCCTGTGCCTGATGACGGGGTGCAGCAGAGCTGGGGTCCCACCCGCCTGCCGCTGAGCGGGGGCCAGGACACTTCCTCTGTCTCCTATACCAAGGGCCTTCCCCAGTGATGCTTTCTGTTCATTCAGTGGTGTGTGTTGAGCACCTGCTGCATGCAGGTCCTGGGCTAGGAGTCAGAGGGTCGCCTGTGAGCACCTACTGTGTGTGAGTCCTTACCTGAGTGTCAGGAGGGTCGCCTGTGAGCACCTACTGTGTGTTGGTCCTTGCCTGGGTGTCAGAGGGGCGTCTGTGAACACCTACTGTGTGTGACTCCTTGCCTGGGTGTCAGGGGGCGCCTGTGAGCACCTACTGTGTGTGACTCCTTGCCTGGGTGTCAGAGGGGCGTCTGTGAGCACCTACTGTGTGTGACTCCTTGCCTGGGTGTCAGGAGGGTCGCCTGTGAGCACCTACTCTGTGTGACTCCTTGCCTGGGTGTCAGAGGGGCGTCTGTGAGCACCTACTGTGTGTGACTCCTTGCCTGGGTGTCAGGGGGCGTCTGTGAGCACCTACTGTGTGTGACTCCTTGCCTGGGTGTCAGGGGGCGTCTGTGAGCTCCTACTGTGTGTGAGTCCTTGCCTGGGAGTCAGAGGGTCGCCTGTGAGCACCTACTGTTTGTGACTCCTTGCCTGGGTGTCAGGGGGCGCCTGTGAGCACCTACTGTGTGTGACTCCTTGCCTGGGTGTCAGGGGGCGTCTGTGAGCACCTACTGTGTGTGAGTCCTTGCCTGGGTGTCAGAGGGGCGTCTGTGAGCACCTACTGTGTGTAAGTCCTTGCCTGGGTGTCAGGGGGCGTCTGTGAGCACCTACTGTGTGTTAGTCCTTGCCTGGGTGTCAGGGGGCGTCTGTGAGCTCCTACTGTGTGTGAGTCCTTGCCTGGGAGTCAGAGGGTCGCCTGTGAGCACCTACTGTGTGTGACTCCTTGCCTGGGTGTCAGGGGGCGTCTGTGAGCACCTACTGTGTGTTAGTCCTTGCCTGGGTGTCAGAGGGCGCCTGTGAGCACCTACTGTGTGTGACTCCTTGCCTGGGTGTCAGGGGGCGTCTGTGAGCACCTACTGTGTGTGACTCCTTGCCTGGGTGTCAGGGGGCGCCTGTGAGCACCTACTGTGTGTGACTCCTTGCCTGGGTGTCAGGGGGTGCCTGTGAGCACCTACTGTGTGTGACTCCTTGCCTGGGTGTCAGGGGGCGTCTGTGAGCACCTACTGTGTGTGAGTCCTTGCCTGGGTGTCAGGGGGCACCTGTGAGCTCCTACTGTGTGTTAGTCCTTGCCTGGGAGTCAGAGGGTCGCCTGTGAGCACCTACTGTGTGTGACTCTTTGCCTGGGAGTTAGAGGGTCGCCTGTGAGCACCTACTGTGTGTGAGTCCTTGCCTGGGTGTCAGGGGGCGCCTGTGAGCACCTACTGTGTGTTAGTCCTTGCCTGGGTGTCAGGGGGCGTCTGTGAGCTCCTACTGTGTGTTAGTCCTTGCCTGGGTGTCAGGGGGCGCCTGTGAGCACCTACTGTGTGTGAGTCCTTGCCTGGGTGTCAGGGGGCGCCTGTGAGCACCTACTGTGTGTGAGTCCTTGCCTGGGAGTCAGAGGGTCGCCTGTGAGCACCTACTGTGTGTGAGTCCTTGCCTGGGTGTCAGGGGGCGTCTGTGAGCTCCTACTGTGTGTGAGTCCTTGCCTGGGAGTCAGAGGGGCGCCTGTGAGCACCTACTGTGTGTTAGTCCTTGCCTGGGTGTCAGGGGGCGTCTGTGAGCACCTACTGTGTGTGAGTCCTTGCCTGGGTGTCAGGGGGCGCCTGTGAACACCTACTGTGTGTGAGTCCTTGCCTGGGAGTCAGAGGGTCGCCTGTGAGCACCTACTGTGTGTTAGTCCTTGCCTGGGTGTCAGGGGGCATCCGTGAGCTCCTACTGTGTGTGAGTCCTTGCCTGGGAGTCAGAGGGGCGCCTGTGAGCACCTACTGTGTGTGAGTCCTTGCCTGGGTGTCAGAGGGGCGTCTGTGAGCACCTACTGTGTGTTAGTCCTTGCCTGGGTGTCAGAGGGGCATCTGTGAGCACCTACTGTGTGTTAGTCCTTGCCTGGGTGTCAGGGGGCACCTGTGAGCTCCTACTGTGTGTGAGTCCTTGCCTGGGAGTCAGAGGGTCGCCTGTGAGCACCTACTGTGTGTGACTTCTTGCCTGGGTGTCAGGGGGCGTCTGTGAGCACCTACTGTGTGTGAGTCCTTGCCTGGGAGTCAGGGGGCGCCTGTGAGCACCTACTGTGTGTGAGTCCTTGCCTGGGTGTCAGGGGGCGTCTGTGAGCTCCTACTGTGTGTGAGTCCTGTGCTAGATGCTTCAGGGCACTGCTGAGTGGCAAAGCACATGGGCAGAGAGACAGACACCCACCTCCAGCACCATGTAGAAAACCCCACGTGGGGTGCTCCCAGGGGCCCACGGGAACATGGAACAGGGAGAAGGTTCAGCCCAGAAAGGTGGTTGGCCAGGGAAACCATGGAGGTGCTGGAGGAAAAGGTCCAGGTACTTTGGGCAGATCCAGCTCTTCTCCCTCATCACAGACTTTCCCGTGTGCCCTTCTGTCAGGGCTGGAGTCACTAGGCTTGAGGTCTGTGGCAAGCCCCGGGCTTCTCTGGGCCTCAGTTTCCTCCCCGATCAATAGGCATAGTGCACTTGCCCTGCTTTTTCAGATGAGACGATGGTGGCGCTGGGGCCTTGTGTACTTGGCACTCTCTGATTTCAGAGGAGCATTTTGAGTTTTCTCCAGCCCTGGGCACCTACCTGGCCCTCTCTGTCTCCTGCCCGTTCCGTGGTGGTTCCCTGTGCAGCAGGCCTTCCTTGGTATCTAACCCACTGAAGGCAAGACATGTGAGGGCGTGGGTGCCCCTGACGGCTCCCACTTGGGCTGGGGCTGCCCTTGACCTCCACTCGTCAGCCATCAGAATCCCTTCTGCTGTTTGCCTTGGCCTGGGTGCCTCCCTGCAGCCTCAGTGCCCCAGCAGTCAATGTAAACCTGCCCTGCCTCAGGAATTCCAGACACAGCCTGCCCCGAGGGGCCCCAAGGGGAAGGGAGGGATGGCTGCATTCTTGGAAATGCCGAGGAACTGGGAACCAGATATCCCCCCACTAGCATCCCACAGCCCTGGATTCAGATCCTCTGGAAGCACCCAGTGGGGTGCCCAGCATGCGGCCCATGGTGGACCCTGTTCACAAATTTAACCCAGCTGATCAGAGCCTGTCTGGGTGCTGGGAGACGGAGGGAATGAGGCTGGCATAGGTCTTGGTCTCTTGGGGGAATCCAATTCAGGAAGATGGATTCAGAAACAAACAAGGATTAAATCACGTGACAGCAGTGGGTGAGGGAATTGGGGCTCTGTGGCAGGTCTGGATCTGGAGGGATAAGAGGGGGTGCAGGGTGGCTACAGTCAGGGGAGGCCCAGGCAGGAAGGCGGCTGGGCCATCCAAGGAAGGCTGAGACGTGGGCTGATGACAGTGTGAGAGTTGCTCACTCTGTCAGCAACTCTCAGGAGGAGAAGACAGGAGGAAGAGCTCTTAGTTCCCATCTCCAAGACTCTCCTGTGGCTACCACCTCGCACACTGCACTCCACCCTGCACCCATGGTGAATTCTAGCTCTCTCTGGCTTGAACTGGCATCTCTCAAAAATGTGACTGCCTGCTTCTATCTTGGCCACCAGAAGGTGAATCCATGGATTCCTAGTTTCTCTAGTGGCCGTGCTTTGCAGAGAAGGGCACTGCTCTGGATTTAGAGCCAACTTTGTATCGTACAGAAAGGTAAATGCAATTTGAGGAGGACCCCGAGCCTCTTTTCCTCTCACCTGCCATAGTAGCAGAAGTCTTACCTTTAGTGCTACCCCCTCTGTCTCTGGCTCCCATGAGGTCATGACCTTGATGCTCCTGAAGAGGAAGGGTTCTGAAAAGCCCCTGCAACCCTGCCTGGCCCCCTCCCTGGCAGGCGCCTGATGTCTGCTTCATCCCTGAGGAACAGGATTGCAGCTCCTGGGATGGACAAGCATTCCTGTGCCTTCTGGGCTTATGTCTCGAACATCATTCTCTTCCAGACTCAGGATTTCCCTGCATTTTGAGGAACTCATACCTTTTCCACCAATGCCTCCACTGTTTTCAGGGTGAGCCCAGCCTCAGTATTTCATAGGCCCCATTGAAATTGTCACTCCCTGATGGATGATGGGCTCCCTGAGAGCAGAGATCATGTCCTTCTTATGTTTGTCCTGCCTGGCCCTAGCTCTGCTAGGTGCAGAGCCGGAGCTAACCATGTGTGTGTTATATGAGGAGATGATGAGGTCACGGACACTCTGAAGGGTTCTAGCTTACAGACTGGCTTTGCTCCTGGAGGCTTAGAGACTGGCACTGTTGATCCAAAGATGTGACTCTTGGCTTCTGCCCCCTAGAAGACGGTAGAATCCCTTCCCACAGACGTATCAACAATGACAGACTCTTCCATGGGATACACACAACGTTGTCATCAGATATGGGATTTTAAAAAACTATGATATATATATAAGAAATTAAAATTTAAGATTGATAATTTTAGCGAAAATTCCAGAAACTATTTAAAAAATAGAAAATTTGGAAATGAAAAAATAGGACTACACCTTTATGGATGCATTTAGCAGTAGACAGCAGACTGGATAATTAATTAACTGGAAGATAGGTCTAAAAAATATTCAGTTTCCATGGATAGGCAAAAGGATAGAAAATGTAGAAAAGAACATAAGAGTTATATAGGCTATGGTGATATAGATTAATACATGAAACTGGAGTCCCAGAATATGAGAAGACACAGAATAAGGCAGAAGCAGTATTTGAAGAGAAATTTCCCAAATTGAAGAAAGACAAGAAGCCACAGATCCAAGAAGTGATATATCCCAAAGTAGAATAAATCCAAAGGAAACTACATGTTGGAAAATTGTAGTAAGTATACTGAAAACCAAAGACAAAATTTATTATCAACCAAAGAAAAAGACATATTGGTTTTTTTTTAAAAAATGTTAACGTTAGATGGATTGCTAATTTTCTCCACAGAAATGATGGAAGCCAGACACAATGGAGTGATAACTTCAAAGGACTGAAAGAAAAAGTGGCCCGTCTGGAATTCTATATTCAGTGAAAATATCCTTTAATAATTAAAAGGAAACAAGAACATTTTCAGACCATCAAAACCTGATAGAACCAGCTGATTGGCACAAAAAGAAATACTAAAGAGAGCTCTTCAGACAGAAGGAAAATTAACCCAGATGGCAGAACAGAAATGCAAGAAGGGATGAAGAGCAATGAAAAAGGTGAATATGTGGTTAGAACTCAATGGATAAAACAATACTAATATCTTGTGATGCTTAAAATGTGTAGAGAATAAACTATGTCCATGAAAGCATGTAAGTTGAGAGGAAATGGTAAACGAAGTCTTGTAAGGTCCTTTCCTTGTCCAAGAAGTGGTAAAAGTGCTAATATAGACCAGACTTTAAAATGTCAAGAATGCATGCTACCATCTCTAGGGTAACCACTAAAAGAGTAGAAAATAATGTCTAATTAATTTGATTAGATAGAGCAAAAATGAAACAATAAAAAACAAAGAGAAGTCAAGAAAGAAGAAAAAGAAAAACAGGGCAGATGAACCATACGGAAAGAGTAATATGGTTGATTTAAAGCTCAATATATAATAATTACAGAGGCTGGGCGCGGTGGCTCACGCCTGTAATCCCAGCACTTTGGGAGGCCAGGAGGGCAAATCACGAGGTCAGGAATTCCATGCCAGCCTGCCCAACATGGCGAAACCCCGTCTCTACTAAAAATACAAAAAATTAGCCAGGCATGGTGGCAGGTGCCTGTTAATCCCAGCTACTCGGGAAGCCGAGGCAGGAGAATCACTTGAACCCGGGAGGCAGAGGTTGCAGTGAGCTGAGATCGCACCATTGCACTCCAGCCTGGACGACAAGAGTGAAATTCCATCTCAATCATAATAATAATAACAGAATATTGGCGGAGGTCTGGTCAGGGAAACAGAAACCACAAGAGTTATTTCAAACAAAGGGAATTTATTAGAGGGAATCGATCACACAGTTGTTGAAGAACAAAAAAGAAGCAATGAGATAACACAAAGATGGTAACTGCAGGAAGACTGTACCGTTCCTAGGTCTGGAGGAACCAAAGGGAGGAGATGGGAAGGGTGCTGCGGCCTGGCTACTGCTGATATTTCCAAGGGCATAGGATAGGGTGAAAGAAGATGCCCACAGCAAGAACCAACTGTTGCTGCCACAGGAGCAATGCTGAAAGGGACAGGAAAAACCAGAAAGTCCCCTCACCCCAAGTCTTGTGTCTCGCTCTAGGCCATTCTATCAGTGAATCCCAACAAAGGCCAGCTAGCAAGGAAGAATGAGAACCGTAATTGGCAGAGTCCCAGTCTTAGCATCACTGAAAAAAGTGTAAAATAATGGATGAGAATCAGAAAGAATGGATGAATATTAGCTATGTACAATAAATGTATATGGAAAAATACTCCAAATATAAGCCAAAATTTCCCTCACTGGATAAATAACCCACTCTATATTACTAAAAATATTTATATGTAAATATAAGGATTTAGAAAGGTTGAAAGCAAAGGCATGGCAAACATACCCCAGACAAATAGTAACTATAAGAAAGCTACTATAGTTGTGGTGATATCAAAGTAAAGAGGCATTGCTAGCCGGGCATAGTGGCTCACATCTATAATCCCAGCACTTTGGGAGGCTGAGGCAGAAGGAGGATTGCTTGAGGCTAGGAGCTCAAGACCAGCCTGGGCAACATAGTGAGACCTTGTCTCTACAAAAAACATAAAAAGTTAGCCAGCTGTGGTGGTGTGTGACTCTAGTTCCAGGAGGCTGAGTGGGGAGGATGTCTTGAACCCATGAGCTATGATCATGCCACTGCCCTCTAACTTAGATGACAGAGAAAAACCCTGTCAGAAGAAGAAGAAGAGGAAGAAGAAGAAGAAGAAGAAGAAGAAGAAGAAGAAGAAGAAGAAGAAGAAGAAGAGGAGGAGGAGGAGGAGGAGGAGGGAGGAGGAGGAAGAAGAAGAAGGAAGAAAAAGAAGAAGGAGGAGGAGGGGGAGGGGGAAGGGGGAAGAGGAGGAGGAGGGGGAGAAGGAGCGGGAGGGGAAGGGGGAAGAGGAGGAGGAGGGGGAGAAGGAGCGGGGAGGGGAAGGGGGAAGAGGAGGAGGAGGGGGAGAAGGAGCGGGAGGGGAAGGGGGAAGAGAAGGAGGAAAGAAGGAAGAAGGAAGGAGAAGAAGGAGGATGAGGAAGATTGCCAGAGATTAAGAGGGGTTGTAATGATAAAAGGATCAAGTCCTGCTAGGAAGATATAATTCTAAACTTGCATGTACCTATTATTGAGAGATTTGAATACACCCTATCAGTAATTGGATTGTTCTAATCAAACAAAAAATCAGTAAGAAAATAAATGCTTTGAAAAATGCTGTTAATAAATATGACTTTCTTGACATATAGAGAACTACATCCAACAACTGAAAAATACACATCCTTTTTCAGGTGTACTAAACCACTTTCCAAAATTGATACTAAGCCAGTCCATAAGTGATCTTTCAACAGAGTTCTGATAGTTGAAGTAATACAGAATATCTTCCCTTAACCACAGTGGAATTCAGCTAGAAATCAATAATAAAAATATAACTAAAGAATCTCTAAGTATTTGGAAATTCACCAAAATGCTTTCAAAAGTGGATAAAGGAAGAAATAGAAATGGAGATTTAAAAATATTTTGAATTGAAAACAAATGGTAATATGACATATTTACAATTTTGGATACAGCTGAAGCTATACCTAGAGAAAAGTTTATAGTCAAACAAACATATATTTTGGAAAAGAAGAAGACTTGAAAATAATGATTTAAGTATCTATCTCAAGAATCTAGAACAGTATCTTCAATCAAATCCCAAAAATGAAGGAAGAAAAAAAAAAGACAATAGCAGAAATCAATGAAGTAAAAAAACAAATATATTATAGCATGGATCAACAAAGTCAAATGTTGATTCTTTGAAAAGACTATTAAAATTGACAAACCTCCAAGGAGAGAGAGAAGCATAAATTCCCAATATCAGGAAGAAAAAGTGGGACATCACTACAGATCCTACAGATATTAAAAGCTAATAAAGGAATATTTTGAACAATTTTATGCCAATACATTAAAAAATTTAGATGAATGGAAAAATTCTTAAAAACAATACAACCTACCAAAAGAGATATAAGAAATGAAGTAAAATTTAATTTAACTAGTAAAGAAATTGAATCCTTAATTTAAAATGTTCCTACAAAAGATCTTCAGGCCTGATGGCTTCACTAGTCAATCCTTCCAAATATTAATGGAAGACTACCGCTTGTCTTTCACGCATTCTTTCAGAGAATGGGAAAAGATGGAATGTTCTCAACTCCATTTGTGGAGACAACATATCCTTGACATCAAATCTGATAAGGATGTTACACAAAAGAAAAAGTATAAACCAATCTCTCTCATGAACATAAATGTGAAAATTCTAATCAAATATTAACAAATTTAATCTGGTGAAATAATAAAAGGCTAATACATCATAACCAAGAAAAGTATTGCACAAGGGTAGTTTAGCATTCAATAAATCAAGCAATGAAATTCACTACAGTAACAGTATAAAGGAGAAAAAACAAGTTGTTATCTATGGGTAATCCAGAAATACAGGAAACTTCCTTAATCTGAAAAGAGAATTTTCAAATTAACCAACCAAAGAAACGAAAAATATCTGTAGCAGATATTTTACTCAATAGTGAAATATTGAAATTTTCCTCTGAGATTGGGACTGGAACCAAGCTTCCGCTACCACCATACCTTTCCAAACTGTACTGGAGATTTCAGAGGAAATCAAATGAAAGGTGTGAAGATGAGGAAGGAAGGAATAAAAGTATTATTCACAAACTGTATGATTATTTGCATAGAAAATCCAAAAGAATATATAAACTATTGGAATTAATAAGTGCATTCAGCAAAGTCACTGAATATAATGTCAAGACAAAAAAAATTGTGTTTCTCTATATCCTTAACTGACATTTAATAAATTTTAAAGATTTATAATGGTATTTTATATATAATGGTATTTATAATGGTCATTTATAATGGTATTAAAATACATAAAGTTTTCCAAAAATAAAGGCATTAAAAGATACGGAAGACACCTTCATAGTAAACTACAAAACCTTGTTTGGAAAAATGGAAGAAGACCCAAACAAATAGAAAGATGTTTCATATTCATGAATGGAAGACTCACTTGTGTAAAGATGCTCATTCATCCCCAAGTGTATCTACTTTCAATGGAATTGAAATCAAAACCCAGCATACATTTTGTGGAAATTTCTATGCTGATTCTAAAATTTATATGGAAATGTGAAAGGCCAAGAGTAGTAGCCTAGACAATCTTAAAGAAGAAACAAAATATTAAGAGTTACTTTACTACATACTAAAATGTGTTATAGAATTACAGTAAGGTAGTGTGGTATTTCCTCAAGAATAGGCACAGGGACCAATGGAACAGAGTTAAGAACAGAAACAGACCCGTCTATATGATCCCTTGATTTATGATCAGCTAGTTCTGAAGAGCAATGGAAAAAAGATTTTTTTAAAAAATATGGTGTTCAATCATTTGGGTCATATGGGGAGAAAAAGAGAAAAAGAAAAGAAACTTACAGTTCTAGGTGGTTTGTAGAGCTGAGTATGAAACATAAAGCAATATACTTTCTAGAAGATAACATATCCACTTTCATGACTATAGGGATAGGTTAAGTGTTCTTTTTTTAAAAAATAAATATATAACTATATTTATTTTGAATATTAAATAGTTTTTAAATTACAAGCAATTTATTGAATCACACTATGCATCAATATACAGTAAAAATCTTACAATTTAAAAATGTACACAATTTAAACTGAAAGTTCATTGACTGTTACATTGCCGTGAACCTTTTTTGCCTGTGTTAAAAGACAGCAGGGAGGCCCGGTGGGTGGGACGGCCCCCTACGTCCTCCTCTGCAGACAGAATCTGGCGGTGGATCCATACACCAGTCTCATGATCAAGATCCCGCTCGGCCCACGAAGGCCTGAGCTCTTAACCAGCACGCGTCCATGCCGGTCAAACTGATCTTCACAGGCTGTTGGTAATTCAATACTGTCAACGCATCTTTAAGAATTCCTTGGCCGGGTGCGGTGGCTCATGCCTCTAATCCCAACACTTTGGAAGGCCGAGGCGGGCGTTTCACGAGGTCAGGAGATCGAGACCATCCTGGCTAACACGGGGAAACCCCGTCTCTACTAAAAATACAGAAGGATTAGCCGGGCGTGGTGGTGGGCGCCTATAGTCCCAGCTGCTCGGGAGGCTGAGGCAGGAGAATGGCGTGAACCCGGTGTGGGGAGCTTGCAGTGAGCCGAGATCACGCCACTGCACTCCAGCCTGGACGACAGAGTGAGACTCTGTCTCAAAAAAAAAAAAAAAAAAAAAAAGAATTTCTTTATAGACGAAAGAGAATGTTCTTTGTTAATAAAGACTTGAGCCAACCCCATTGCTACTTAGGAATATTGTTTTGGAGATTTCCATCGGAAGTCACTGCGTACACCCATTCTTTTTTTAAGCTACTTCTTATAATGCTCATGTTTTGAAACCCCTGTTAACAGAAGCCCAACCTTTGGTGTCTAACCCTTGGTTCACTTCTGAATTTTCAGATGACGGGCTGAGTCGAGGAAGAGCAGGCGCTGCCTTCCTTCCACCGGGGCCCTGGGGACAGACATGCAGTAGGTCCTTAGCTGTGCAAACACCCTATGGGGAACAGGAAAAAAAGGAGGGCTTCGGAAAGGCCTTTTACAGCAGCAAGACATACCAAGACTTTTCTTAGATAAACCCATTTCTATAGAAACGATCGGACCTGTACATTTAAAAATAGAATGAACGCTGTTTGCAATTAAGCTTGGTCAAGCTTTCTGCACCCTTATGATGAATGGCTTCTCATCCAGACACACGGGCCAAGTCTCAGAAGGATTTGGGGAGCACTTTTTCTGTGTTGCCCTTTCTGGCTTATTGACAGGGTCATTTGAAAAGACAAATTCGCATCTAGCTAGGAAGGAAATGAAAGCTAGATTATTTTTGTCATAGGATTTAAAATGTACAAACTCCACCAAAATAGGACTAATTCAGATTGATTCTGGGTTCCCACTCATAGGAGGCCGGAAAATATTCTAGCCTTCCCCCACACTATCTAGAGAATGCCACTGATTTATTTCATTGTACAACTTATTAGAACAAGTACGTTTTGAAAACCCACCACTGATAACCAACTTATTAGTTAAAAAATAACAAAACGAACAACAAAAACCTCAGCTGAACACAGCACGTGCTGACATTTCAAAAATGGGCTGCAATTTTTATTCTACTTAAATTTCCTGTATATTGCTTGGATTTCAAAAAAGCGTGTTAACCTACATGTTGATTATAAATATAAAATCTCCCCCTTCCATGCAATACCACATTAAGACCCACTATCCCCCACCCCCAACTCAATGTATAAAATGCTTTTTTGGCAACTAATTGTGAGTGACTCAAAATAAATAAACATGGGAATTATGTTGTTAAAGTCATCTTCTTTTTTTTTTTTTTTTTTTGAGACAGGGTCTGGCTCTGTTACCCAGGCTAGAGTACAGTGGCATGGTCTTGGCTCACTGCAACATCCATCTTCTGGGCTCAAGCCATCCTCCCACCTCAGCTTCTCAAGTAGCTGGGACTACAGGTGCACACCACTATGCGCCCAGCTAGTTGTTTTTTTTTTTTTTTTTTGTTGTTGTTGTTTGTATTTTTAGTAGAGATGGGGTATCTCCATATTGCCCAGGCTGGTCTTGAACTCCTGGGCTCAAAGTGAACCACCCACCTTGGTCTCCCAATGTGCTGGGATTGCAGCTGTGAGCCACAGCCAAAATCTCAATCCTAGTGGAAAATGGACAGCCCCAAAAGGTCAATAAATGTGCTCGAGGCTGACAATGTGTAAGAAGACGACAGATTCCATTATCTGCGTGACTTTGGTCATTAAATCTGAACTCTTTAAACCTACAATTGGAAAAAGTAGCATAATCACATCTCATTTCTCCTCAGCCAAGACTAATCTTAGATGTAAAAGCTGAGAAAACTCAGGAAGTCCCCACAGCAGGAATTCAGAGTCATGACAATTTTGGCAAAATCATCTTCTTATGCCCTGTTAATTTTTTTTTAAATCCACGCATCCCGAGAGCCGGTGCTCCCCATACAGCCCAGGTGGGCACTGCGTCCACCCCATGACTAGACAGGAGGGGACTCTCTCCATCCTGAACTTCTTGCTTTGGAAAGTTATTGCTTAGTATAATAAATGAGCGGAGCGGAGCAGAACTGGCAGCGAAGGTTGTCATTTGCTGTGCACACTCTGGCAACCTCCACCTGCATTTTGCACTAGGACTCAACTTCCTTCCGTGTACCCCAGGCGGTGAGGCAGCTTCTGACTTGGGCCAGAGCTCCGATGTGGGTGGCATCATCTCATCTCACCTGAGAACACATGAACGACTTCTGAGGGGCCGGGGCCCTGCTTCCTGTGTGGGCCATCCTGGGACGCGGGAGCCCCTCGAGGAAGTGGGGGTGGGAGTTGGGGTGCTGCTGCACACTGACACCGCCTTAGGAAGGCCTCCCTGGTGACTGGAAGCTGGCTGCATGCCAGGAGAAGCACGCGAGATCTCGGAGGGCAGGGCTGGGCTTCAGAGGGTCTGTGAGACACGGGGAGCCCATGGGACATGCTGGGTATGTGTGCATTTATGCACTTGGCGTTTTTCTGGGGAAAGGGTCCAAAGCCTTCATCGTTAGGTCCAGAGCTCTAGTTCTAGCACACTCTCCACTTTACAACTGAGCTGAGATGCAGGTCCTCCCAGCCAAGCCAGTGCAATCAGGGAAGGGGTCTCTGCAGGCAGGGTGGGAGGTGGAGTCGGCAAGGGCTGGGTCAAGGCTTCGGAACTTTTCTCCTGGTTTCCAGCAACTCCTGTTGGAATACAGTCATCTGCTCAAAGAGGTCGTCTCCAGCAAAAGTCTCATAGCGGCTCCCGGTTTCCTGGACAGACTCGCAATATGGGAAGTCTGTTGTTTCTCATTTTCTGGATTTCTTTTTCTAGCATTACCTCAAGGAGGTTTCTAAAACCCGTGTCGCAGGCACAGCAGAGTGAGGCTCAAAGCCACGACCCTTGACGAGGAGGGCCAAATGGCCTCACCGGCACTGCCCGGCCGGGAGACAAGGCAAGGAATTACCCCGCTGGTCTCTCTTTAAGCTGGGTCTTGTTCGGGAGTATGAATTTATAGCCAGCTGCCTGGTCTTAAGTGCAATTTCTGAAAACAGGCAGAGTGACCAAGCCTTTTCTGGCCGGTGGTGGCCCAAGGTCCAGTCATCCACACGTGGGGTCTGCTCCCAGACTTCCATCCATTTCCAGGCTGAGTTGGATTGTGCAGGTCAAACGTGCGGCGAGGCAGCTGGGCCATCTGCTTTCCTGGCCTCCGCCACCAGCCCCACTAACAAGGGAACCAGCATCTGCTCCACCAAGAAACCATCCTGAGCTCAGTGGCTGCAAACACGAGCAGTTCTTTAACCCAGGCCTCTGCTGGGCTGGGGAAGGGGAAGGATGTGGCTCACTCCTTGGTGTATCTAGTCCACCGTGGACCCCTCCTAGGCAGCTGGGACATGGATGTTGGCGGGGAGGGCCAGCAGTGAGTCTGCAGGCTGCTGCTGCGTGCCCGAGGCCCCAGGCTGGAGGGTGTGTGACTCACCAGCTTGCGAGCCCTGTGGCTGGCGGCTCCCAAGTGCCAGCAGAGGGATCTCATCCTCTCGGGCCTGCTCCTAGTGGTGATAAAGCCAGGGCAGCCCCCCACGCCTACCCCATCAGGGCATTTGGGTTGTGTGGCCCAGAGGATGAGGGTGTGTGGCAAAAACTCTGCCTCTCACTCATCTGGCTAATTCTTCCCAAAATAGGACTTTGGATTATTCCAGTCCCTGCTCAGTGCCTCCCAGGGCTTCCCAGGGTCTGTGGAATTGGGGGGTCTGAGCCTCTCAGGCTGTGCCCTGCATTGCTCTTTTTTTTTGATATTCTTTTTTTTTATAATTTATTATTATTATACTTTAAGTTTTAGGGTACATGTGCACAACGTGCAGGTCAGTTACATATGTATACATGTGCCATGCTGGTGCACTGCACCCACTAACTCGTCATCTAGCATTAGGTATATCTCCCAATGCTATCCCTCCCCCTCCCCCCACCCCACGACAGTCCCCAGAGTGTGATGTTCCCCTTCCTGTGTCCATGTGTTCTCATTGTTCAATTCCCACCTATGAGTGAGAATATGCGGTGTTTGGTTTTTTGTTCTTGCAATAGTTTACTGAGAATGATGATTTCCAATTTCATCCATGTCCCTACAAAGGACATGAACTCATCATTTTTTATGGCTGCATAGTATTCCATGGTGTATATGTGCCACATTTTCTTAATCCAGTCTATCATTGTTGGACATTTGGGTTGGTTCCAAGTCTTTGCTATTGTGAATAATGCCGCAATAAACATACGTGTGCATGTGTCTTTATAGCAGCATGATTTATAGTCCTTTGGGTATATACCCAGTAATGGGATGGCTGGGTCAAATGGTATTTCTAGTTCTAGATCCCTGAGGAATCGCCACACTGACTTCCACAATGGTTGAACTAGTTTACAGTCCCACCAACAGTGTAAAAGTGTTCCTATTTCTCCACATCCTCTCCAGCACCTGTTGTTTCCTGACTTTTTAATGATTGCCATTCTAACTGTGTGAGATGGTATCTCATTGTGGTTTTGATTTGCATTTCTCTGATGGCCAGTGATGGTGACCATTTTTTCATGTGTTTTTTGCCTGCATAAATGTCTTCTTTTGAGAAGTGTCTATTCATGTCCTTCGCCCACTTTTTGATGGGGTTGTTTGTTTTTTTCTTGTAAATTTGTTTGAGTTCATTGTAGATTCTGGATATTAGCCCTTTGTCAGATGAGTAGGTTGCAAAAATTTTCTCCCATTTTGTAGGCTGCCTGTTCACTCTGATGGTAGTTTCTTTTGCTGTGCAGAAGCTCTTTAGTTTAATTAGATCCCATTTGTCAATTTTGGCTTTGGTTGCCATTGCTTTTGGTGTTTTAGACATGAAGTCCTTGCCCATGCCTATGTCCTGAATGGTAATGCCTAGGTTTTCTTCTAGGGTTTTTATGGTTTTAGGTCTAACATTTAAGTCTTTAATCCATCTTGAATTGATTTTTGTATAAGGTGTAAGGAAGGGATCCAGTTTCAGCTTTCTACATATGGCTAGCCAGTTTTCCCAGCACCATTTATTAAATAGGGAATCCTTTCCCCATTGCTTGTTTTTCTCAGGTTTGTCAAAGATCAGATAGTTGTAGATATGCGGCGTTATTTCTGAGGGCTCTGTTCTGTTCCATTGATCTATATCTCTGTTTTGGTACCAGTACCATACTATTTTGGTTACTGTAGCCTTGTAGTATAGTTTGAAGTCAGGTAGTGTGATGCCTCCAGCTTTGTTCTTTTGACTTAGGATTGCCTTGGCGATGTGGGCTCTTTTTTGGTTCCATATGAACTTTAAAGTAGTTTTTTCCAATTCTGTGAAGAAAGTCATTGGTAGCTTGATGGGGATGGCATTGAATCTGTAAATTACCTTGAGCAGTATGGCCATTTTCATGATATTGATTCTTCCTACCCATGAGCATGGAATGTTCTTCCATTTGTTTGTATCCTCTTTTATTTCCTTGAGCAGTGGTTTGTAGTTCTCCTTGAAGAGGTCCTTCACATCCCTTGTAAGTTGGATTCCCAGGTATTTTATTCTCTTTGAAGCAATTGTGAATGGGAGTTCACTCATGATTTGGCTCTCTGTTTGTCTGTTGTTGGTGTATAAGAATGCTTGTGATTTTTGTACATTGATTTTGTATCCTGAGACTTTGCTGAAGTTGCTTATCAGCTTAAGGAGATTTTGGGCTGAGACAATGGGGTTTTCTAAATATACAATCATGTCGTCTGCAAACAGGGACAATTTGACTTCCTCTTTTCCTAATTGAATACCCTTTATTTCCTTCTCCTGCCTAATTGCCCTGGCCAGAACTTCCAACACTATGTTGAATAGGAGTGGTGAGAGAGGGCATCCCTGTCTTGTGCCCGTTTTCAAAGGGAATGCTTCCAGTTTTTGCCCATTCAGTATGATATTGGCTGTGGGTTTGTCATAGATAGCTCTTATTATTTTGAGATGTGTTCCATCAATACCTAATTTATTGAGAGTTTTTAGCATGAAGCGTTGTTGAATTTTGTCAAAGGCCTTTTCTGCATCTATTGAGATAATCATGTGGTTTTTGTCTTTGGTTCTGTTTATATGCTGGATTACATTTATTGATTTGCGTATATTGAACCAGCCTTGCATCCCAGGGATGAAGCCCACTTGATCATGGTGGATAAGCTTTTTGATGTGCTGCTGGATTTGGTTTGCCAGTATTTTATTGAGGATTTTTGCATCAATGTTCATCAAGGATATTGGTCTAAAATTCTCTTTTTTGCTTGTGTCTCTGCAAGACTAATAAAGAAAAAAAGAGAGAAGAATCAAATAGACGCAATAAAAAATGATAAAGGGGATATCACCACCGATCCCACAGAAATACAAACTACCATCAGAGAATACTACAAGCACCTCTACGCAAATAAACTAGAAAATCTAGAAGAAATGGATCAATTCCTCAACACATACACTCTCCCAAGACTAAACCAGGAAGAAGTTGAATCTCTGAATAGACCAATAACAGGAGCTGAAATTGTGGCAATAATCAATAGCTTACCAACAAAAAAGAGTCCAGGACCAGATGGATTCACAGCCAAATTCTACCAGAGGTACAAGGAGGAACTGGTACCATTCCTTCTGAAACTATTCCAATCAATAGAAAAAGAGGGAATCCTCCCTAACTCATTTTATGAGGCCAGCCTCATCCTGATACCTGCATTGCTCTTTCTGCCTGCCCCTCACCTGTGTACTCCTGGGGGTCCAGGGTGGGGGCTGCTGCTACACTCAAAGCCCACCTCCTGCTGTCTCCTCAGCCTGCACGGCCCATCCTGCCCACTTCCTCCTGGTGACAGCCTCCTCCCTCCCAAGGAGGCTTCTGAAGCTCCCTGCTCCTAGCACACGGGGATGCTCCTGTGGTGACCTTCTCGTCTTTCTCCTCCTGGGGGCAGGGGCACCAGCCAGGGCCAATTTGCATATCTGGGAAGGGTGAAATGGTTGAGTGAGAAGGCATCACCGTTGGAGGGCGGTTTGAGTAACTAGGACGACTCCAGTGAGCTTCAAGGGCCTGGACAGCTTAGCCGGCCAGGCAAAAGCAGAGGGGCTGGGGTGTGGGGGATCAGAAGGAAAGGCCCGAGCAAAGCCACAGAGACAAGCGGGTGTAGAATGAGTGCCAGGAGCCAAGGATGGTTCTCGATTTTTCTTTCTTTCTGAGATGGGGTCTTACTATGTTGCCCAGGCTGGACTCAACCTTCCAGGCTCGAACAATCCTCCCACCTCAGCCTCCAGAGCAGCTGGGACTCTAGGCATGCACCATGGTGCCCGGCCAAGGGTGGCTCTGCTGGGCTGGGGAAGGGGAAGGCCGGCTGGGAGGCTGGTCAGCCAGGTGAGCACAGCCAGGCACATGGATCCTGAGGGCGATCGAAAGCCCCCAAGTGTTCTTGCAGGCCTGGGACTGGGCCTCCGGCTTCAGAAGGTAAAGAGGCACTCTTGACTCTATGGTTGCACAAATGCCTGAGTTTTTGGCACGACTCCAGAAAAATTGCTCTGGTGCTGGTGGAGAAGGAGCCAAGCCTGGAGCTGG
Organism: Homo sapiens; assembly: GCF_000001405.40. Taxonomy (NCBI): domain Eukaryota; kingdom Metazoa; phylum Chordata; class Mammalia; order Primates; family Hominidae; genus Homo; species Homo sapiens. Next base: position 134,590,606 of record NC_000009.12, read on the forward strand.
GGAGACAGGCAGTGTCGGAAGCCACTGCTAGGATCCGGGGGCAAGGACTAATGTGGATGCAAGAAGGGGATGGGGGTCATCCATGGGTTTGGGGTGGTGTGGACAAGGGGTGGTGGAGGTGAGAAAGACCCTGGGCTCTGGCTTGGGCATGGTGAGAACAGAGGGTCCGCCCACAGAGAGAGGCCCTGGGAGGATCCACACACAGATATGGTGCTTAGGAGAGGGGGCGAGACGGAGGCAGGGACAAAACCCTCGGCCTGTGCATGTCACCCAGATACCACTCAGGGCATGTCCGTGATAGGAGAGGACCACCGCAGACCGGGCCCTGAGGAGAGGCAGTGACAAACCATCCAGAGAAGAAGGCTTTGCAGGGAGACTAGGACTCCACGGAGAGGGAAGGGGCTCTCTGAGATGGGGGTGGCAGTTCCCAGGAGCAGGGAGCAGCCGCCTGCTCCCCAGGGCACCAGAAACGTGGGGCCGGCAAGCGCCTATCTGCCTGTGTTAATCGCGTTTCTTATCTTCTGTATTTTGTGATGCTTTGACATCCTGGGGCCTTGCTAATCCTGGAGAGACTGCTCCTCCCATGGCTGGCTAATTCCTAGAGCCAGCAAGCAACGTGACTACCAACACGCCTTTCATGTACATTCCAACCACTCCAGAGCCTGTGTCCCCAACCGCCTCCTTCATCTGACTCTCACACCCCAAACCAATATTTTCACTGCCCTAAATCACCCCAGGGCCAGGTGCCAGGCAACTAGAGACCATCCCTGTAGACCAGAGCCTGCCAAAATTATTCAAACTGCCCAGTCCTACGCTCACTGTGACTTGTCTGCACTCTGGGGCACCCTCTCCACTCACTCCTGCTGCCTCCTGACCGACCCTGGTGCCTCCCCGGGTGGCCCTGCATGGCGTGGTGTGCCCCTCTTTTCTTGGGAGCTGTAATAAACTCTTCTTTCAATGACATTGGCCTCTCTGTATCATCACCTGGTTACCTCCATAAATTAAACCCCAGGTGCCATCATGAAATAGTACCCAATGCACTCCCTCCTGGGGGTTTAAGCATCTGCCTCTTCCTAATGTGGTTCTCACGGAAGCACAGCCCAGAACCCTCCAGCCGGGCGAGCACTTTAACAAACGCAACCACACAGATGACAACCCCCAGAATACATGCTGCTGGCCCCAGCCTCCCCTGTGCCTGTCCTCCCACACCCTGCTGGGAGCCCAGACACTTACTGACTCCTGTTTTTTTTTTTTTTTTTCCTGAGACTTTTGGCCCCAGGATAATGAAGAAATCTATTTACAGTAGCAATATTCAGTCTGGTGCCTTCTGGAACAAATTAGCCGCAGGAGAATATCTGAGTGGTTTTTTCTGTTTGGAAAGCAGCGCCGCCGATGTGGGAGCGAGTCCTTGGAGGGCCATTTCTGATGTTCGGGGTCCCGGATCCACCGCACGAGGCCCTCCTTAGCAGGTCCCACTCCCTGCACCCAGAGGCGGTGGCGGCCTTGGCTTAACAAGCTCCGTGCCGTAGTTGGCCACAGAGCCGGTGGTGACCCTGAGGTCGCGGGTGCCCAGCCTGAGAGAGCCGGCTTTCGGGTCCCTTTAATTGTGTCCCTTCAAACACTCCAGTTCTGAAAGCAAGTTATTTATATCTGCTCCTCAAGGCGGGCCTAGCAAGAGGCTGAGCTGGTGGCCAGCCTCGGCCTCTCTCTGCGGCTGGCGGTTTGAGCAGAGTTGGGTTTTGAGAACAAAACAAAAGTTTCTTCATTTCAGATGTTCACTAATTCAAACTGGCCCTGGGCCCATGGGTGGTGCATTTCTGAGGACTTTGTCTGCGACCGGGCTCCCTGCCCCCTCCCAGGGCCTCCCCTTTCATGCGTTGTGGGGTTTGGGGAGCAGCGGCCTTCTCCTGCCTCCGTGGACAAGCGTGTAATGACAGAGCCACATCTGTGCTGACTCACTGTGCAAACATCTTCCACTGGCCTCACTGCCCCTCCCGGCCTGGCCTCCAGGCCCCCCTGGGGTTCCTAGACTCAGGCCACGCTTGTGCATCACTAGGCCCGGGACTCAGCGTTCTTAGACGGGGGTCCCAGGGTGCCCCACGTAGACAGCGCCATGGCCAGCGAACAGGGCAGGCGCTGAGCCAGCTGGCTGCATGGCTCCGGAAGCCTCCCGGATGATCTAAAGTCCAACCTGAGTGGCCCTGCAGCCTGCTGGAGCCGGGGTTCTCCTGAAAGCAAAGGGTCACCTTGTGTCTGTGCTCAGACCTGGGAGAGGCTGGGCTGGGTGGACGCCACGTTCAAGTGAAGTCACACCCCATCCTCCTCCTCTGTTGTTCTCCCCGATGCCCCTGGAACTTTGGACCACCCAGAGGGAGGAATAGCGACCACCGCGAGAAAGCGCTGAAGGGCAAGGTGGGCAGGTGGGGGACTCAGCACTGGGAGGGCAGGTGCTGCAGGGGACTGGGGTCCCACTGCTCTCATCCCTGCAGCCCCATAGACCCCCCATCCATCCCCTCTTCTCCACCCCACGGATCTCCCTGGTCAGGAGGTCCCACCCCCACTCTCTCATTCCATTCTTTACCCTGCAGCCAGCAGAGATTACAAGGCTGAGCTATACCTGGACCTACCTTCGACCCCCACTGGCCACGCTGACCCCCACAACCCTGCCCCGGCCATACTGATCTCCTCATGGGCTTTCCCTCCACCTGGAGAAGCCTCTCCTGACAGCCCCCACCCCCATCTAGGCTGCTCTACCCTTCCCAGCTGAACTGAACTCGGCTGGGTTCTGCCAGCTCAGCCCTTGGGGCCTCATGTCACAGCTCACCCCTCCCTGCGTCACCTGGCCGCCCCTTCTTGCCATGCACCGCCCTTTGGGGACCTTGTCATTTACTCCCTGCAAGCCCGTGTTTCCCTGTGCTGACCTCGGGACCCGTTGTCCTTGCTCGATGCCTGCGGTCCCTGCTGAGCTGAGGCTCCATCCTCCACCTGCGCCTGGAGCGCCTGGGCGCAGCCAGGCCGGGTGACGGCACGGCCAGAAGTCATTACAATCACCTGCCCTCCTCTCTCTCTTCCCAGCCCTTCTTGTTTCTCTTCTCTTTTTCTTTGTCTCTTTCTTTCTCTTTTTTGGCTGGTTTCCCTAATGTTTAGCACGGAATGTAACATAAAATGTGCTCCATTCATATTTGTTGAGTGACTGAATCAATACGGGGGCCTCGAGCACCTTTGAGGACTCAGCCTTGCATGCAGGAATCATCTCCGAAGTGCCAGGTGCACGCTATGCCCTGGGCCATGCCCGCTCTGCCTCTCTAAGGTCTCCCGAGGTAGCCCCGGGTCTGTGTGGGAAGCGCTGGCCTGGGCAGGGTCTGCTCTGCATTTTGCCTTCTGAGGTCACCCCAAGGCCAAATGCTGGCTTTACGGTGATGTCTTGTGGGGTGCTGGGGTTAGGTATCAGTTGGGAACCTTCTCTCTGTCTTTCGGGGCTGGTGGCTGACTTGATGTCCCCTGCCACACCTCCGCTGGGGCTGCCAGGCAGTGAGGCTGTGTTCCCCGGGCAGCCCAGTGCAGGGCTGGCCACAGAGCCACTACTTCATCTTCCACAGGGACTGAGAAAGGCCTCGCCTGTCCTGGAAAGTGGTGGCTGCAGGGCCTCATCTGCTGGACGTTTGAGGGTCCCATGAGGGGATGGGAAGAAGGCCGGGGCTTGGAGGAAGCCAGAGAAGTGCCTTCCCTGGTCTGAATCCTCCAACAGCCCAGAGACTCCGCCCCAGGGAGTCCCAAGGAGCACTCCTCAGGGAGGAGCAATGGCTGGCCCAGCTCAGGGGTGCTCCTTGCAGGAGTCCAGGGCCCCACTCTGCCCCCAGCAGCACCTGCCCCAGGATGGCAGTCCCAGTGGAGCAGTCCTCAGGGGTCTGCTCCTCCCCACCCAACACTGTGCAGGCAGAGGTGGTGCAGTGTGAGCCTCTTACCAGCTGGCCCTCTGTGGCCTCCTGTCCTGCCCTCTTCCAGCCACTTCACCCTCTGGGGGCTGCATGCTGGGTCCTGGAACCCTCTAGGTGCCCTGCCAATGGCCCGGCCTGCACTGCTCCCCTCCCAAGCACCAGCCCCCACGCACCTCCCACTCACCTGAGGTCCCACTCTACTCAGCCCGTGGACTGAGTGTCCCTCCCCATGCCGAAGCCTCATCCCCTGTGAGATGGCGTTTGCAGGAGAGGCCTCAGGGAAATGACTAGGGCAGATGAGGACATGAGGGTGGGGTGCTTGCACCAGGATCGGTGCCCTGGGAAGAAGACACCAGGGTGTCTGCTCCTCCCTCTGGCCCCGAGAGGACACAGCGGCAGTGAGATCCTGCCAATGGGAAGTGGCCTCATGGGCGCTGGGTCGGCCAACCCCCAAGCTGCTAGTGCCTGAGTTCCCAGAACAGTGAGAAATCCATATCTGTGACTTGGGCCACCCACTCTGGAAATTGGCTATGGCAGCCTGTGCCGACTGGGCTCTTATCACCCTGAGCCTGGCTGAAATGCCCTCTGCCTGAAGCCTCCCCTTGCCCCAGCTGTTGGGGCCCCTTGTCCTGCACCTGGGGTCACCACCTGCCTGGGAATGGATGACTCGTCTCGCCCTGTCATGGAGGCCCCCAGGAGAGGTGGGGTCTGTTCTACCCACTGCTGCACCGCGTCCTTAGTTGGCCTGCTGCTGGTCTCCCGGGGGGCAGACCGTGCGGGGACTTCTGGGGGTGGACTTCAGTGAGAGCGCCTGAGAGTTGCCCCTGGCACCAAGGACAATATCAAGCCAAGGCACTGCCCACCTGGGGCAGACCTGAGTTCACAGCCCGGCATGGCTGGTCACCAGCCACGTTGTTTATCCTCTCTGGGGTTCTGTTCCATCATCCATAAACCACAGGCCACACTAGGACCTACCTGACCAGGGGCTTGCTCCTGGAGCTAGGGCTTCCATCTTCTCCTGGCCTTCACCTTGGTGCTCCTGGTTCTCCAGCCTTCAGGCTTGGGCTGAATTAAACACCAGGGGCTCTCCTGGTTCTGCAGCTTGTAGACCGCAGACTGTGAGACTTCTTGGTCTCCATCATAAATCTCCTCATATATATGTCTATGTATGTACATATACACACATATACTCATATATACACACATATATACTCATATACACACTTATACTCATATATACACACACATATATGCTCATATATACACACATATTATACTCATAGACACATGTATATACTCATATACACACATATATACTCACTTATACTTGCACATGTATATACTCATATACACATGCTCATGTATATATACTCATATATACAAGTGCACACATATACCCACATATACACACATATACACTCATATATACATGCACATATATACTTATATACACATGCACACATATATACTCATATATGCACACACATTTATATACTCACATATGCACACATATATACTCATATATATACACGTGTATGGTATATATACTCATATATATATACACATATACTCACATATATATGCACACCCATATACACTCATATACACGTACACATATATATATTCATATATACACATCCACACATATATACTTATATATACACATGCACATATATACTCACATATACATGTGCACATACATACACCACATACATGCACACATATATACTCATATATACACATGTACATATACTGATATACACATCCACATGTATATATACTTATACACACACACATACTTACATACACATACACATACACTCATATATACACACATATATACTCATATATACACACACTCATATATACACACACATATACTCATATACACATCCACATATACTCATTTATACATGCACACATATATACTCATATACATGTACACATATATACTCATATATACATGCACACACATATACTGATATATTCATGTACACATACTCATATATACACACACTCGTACATGCACACATATATACTCATATATACACACACATATACTCATATATACATGCACACATATATATTCATTCATACACACACATACTCATATATACACACACATATACTGATATATACATGCACACATATATACTCATATATACATGCACACGCATATATTCGTATATACACACACTATATATACACACGTACTCATATATACATGCACATATATGTATACACATATCTAGACACATGTATGTTTATTCATATACACACATCATACTCATATATACACACGTATACTCATATACACACATACTAATATATGTAAACACAGGTGCTCATATATATACACACATACACACATATATATATACACTCATATACATATATATGAGAAGAGCCTACTGGAGATACGTATACACACCTAATACACCTCCAATTCCGTAAGCTAATTCCTTGTGAAGTCTTTATATCTGCCGCTGGTGGTTTCTCTGTTGAATCCTGACCCATACAGGGCTTCATGAGGAGATGGGATGAATCACCAAGCTCACACTCCATCCAGCAAGTGCTGCTGAGCCAGCCCCTGTACTCATCACACGTGGCAGGTGGCACGAGGCTCCAGGTGGCCCCGCTGAGTGACATCAGATGTGCACAGTCACCACTTACCCGCTGCGTGCCTATGAAGCACTGTGCGGTTTCGGCACCCCAGCCCCAGCTCTCAGCAGACACAGGCCGGGGCCCAGGACCTGGCGTGCCTGGTGTTTGAGTGTTTTCACTGTGGACTCGCCTCAGAGCCTCGGTTTTGTCCACCTGTAAACTGAGGACAGCAAGGTCTACCTGACGGGCCAGCAGAGAGGGTACAATCAGTTTCTGAACCTAGGAGGCACCAGACACACCATGGGTGGGCAAGTGTCTTCTTTCTCCAGGGCTCCGGGTTCTATGCCTGGGCCGCAGTGTCTGTCTTCACCGGTTTAGGATTCTAACGCTTCCCCTGTACGTTAACGGAGGCCCCACAAGCAGGGTGAAAACCCCAAATGCAGGGCCGCAAAGTGACCAGGGTATGTTAGACTCAGGGTCACTGTGGACGGCTGTGCAGGTTGTGTACTGCACAACTCCAGGGATCTGTCCACACCGTGTGACTTGTATCCTCTAGAGTCATGCAGTGACAGCCTGCTTCTCTTAAGCAGTGCTCTGCCGAGCCTTCCTACCCTGTCCATCCAGGAGCACGGGGGAGCCAAGGATGGACCCACTGTGCTTCCCACTCAAGGACGTGTTGTCTCAGCCTCAGTGGCTGCAAGAGAGCTGCACTCTTATTCCACAACCCTTTGTCCTCTCCCTAGTCAGCTTTCTCCCCAGACGGCCAAGATTTACAGAGAAAAATTCTAGACTAAGAATCAGGAAACTGGATACAATCAGAGCCTTGTGGAAGTCATTCCTTGTGTGTGCCTCAGTTTCCTTATCTGTAAAATAAGGGGCAGACTGCACTCTCATCTGTGGTCTCTCCTGCTAAAGCTCCATGTTCTGTGATCTTTGGGGTGTCCAGGTTGTGCCGTCCCCCCTCTTTCAGGCAGGTCCTGGCCCCTTAGCCACCCACATGCTTGGTCCCTCTCTGGGAGCAGATCCTGCAGGTGGCTCTGCCTGCCTTTGGATAGGGGAGCCTTGGCCCTTTTCTCTGTTCCTCACCGTGCAGGGGAGGAGAACCTGCAACGTATGAATTTGTGCTTTCCTGTAAAAGCTGGACTGCTTTTCCCTCTTTTTCCTTCCATCATCAAACTTTACTGCCTTGAAAATCTGTTCAGTAAAACTGAGAGCAAGAGGCACGTCTGTTTCTCTAGTCTCTAATCTCCTTGGTTCCAGCCTTCTCCACGCCCGCCCCTGGGACCCGTGCACATCCCTAGGCCCCCAGTCCGCGTCTGGCTCTGACAAATGGCTGATCAGGAAAAGCCGCGTTCGGCGGTGGAAGCTGTCGCCAGGCCCTGGCTCGGCCCTAAGCTGCAGAGGGACACACATACTTTTTGTGTATCTGGTGCCAAAGATGGTTCCCACAGAACAGGAAGGCCGTGTGCTGTGGGATCCAGGGCAGGGACCCTCGGTGGATCACAGCCCATGCGGGGAGCCAGCGACCCACCGTGTGTGCCCACCGGGCAGGCACTTGAGGCCAATGCAGAAAACATGAGGCCCTGGAAGGGGAAGCTGAGGCTGCTCCATCTGCTGGCGCCCCAGCCGTTCCAGCAGGCCTGTGACTGTCATCAGCCCACTGGGCTCCACGGACTCCGCCAGCTTGTTTACCGGCCTCCTGGACAAGGAGAGACCTTGGCGGCCTCTGTGAGGCTCATTTTCCATGAGCAGGGAAGTCTCTGGACTCCAAGGGATTTAGAGCTGTGAGGGGCACCCAGCGTGCGGTCCCAGGGGTCTGAGGAATCTATTCCAGGGTCGGGGTGAGCCCGGGGTGTCGTTTGCTCTGCCCTGTCCCCATGAGAGGGAGGGCGTCCTTCTTTCCTAAAACAGCAAAAACGTGTGGGTTGTTCAGGCATCACACATGCGGCTGCTGGGCTCCAAGCAACATTATGTGGTGTTGTCTGGACCGGAAGACGGAGGGAGAGAGAGAGAAGAGAGACACATAGAGACACACACGGAGACAGAGAGAAGAAAGAGGCACAGAGAGAGACACACAGAGACAGAGAGACACAGAGACACAGAGAGACACAGAGACAGACACACAGAGACACAGAGAAGACACACACAGAGAGACACAGAGACTGAGAGACACAGAGATACATAGAGACAGAGAGAAGAGAGAGACACACAGAGAGACACAGAGACAGAGGCACACACAGAGACAGAGAGACAGACACACACAGAGACAAAGACATACAGGGACAGAGAGAAGAGAGGGACACATAGAGACAAACAGAGACAGAGAAGAAAGAGACACAGAGACAGACACAGAGACACACAGAGAGACAGAGGCAGAGAGACAAACACACAGAGACAGAGAGAAGAGAAAGACACACAGAGAGACACAGAGATGGAGAGACGGAGACACACAGAGACAGAGAGAAGAGACACAGAGACAGAGAGACACAGAGACAGAGAAGAGAGAGACACACAGAGAGACATAGAGAAAGAGAAACACAGAGAGACACAGAGACAGAGAAAAGAGAGAGACACACAGAAAGACACAGAGACAGAGACACACACAGAGACAGACAGACATATAGAGACAGAGACACACACAGAGACAGAGAGAAGAGAGAGACAGAGAGAGACACACAGAGACAGAGACACACCCACAGGGACAGAGAGAAGAGAGAGACACACAGAGACACACACAGAGACAGAGAGAAGAGACAGACACACACAGAGACAGACACACAGAAAAAGAGAGACATACAGAGACAGAGAAAAGAGAGACACATAGAGAGACACACAGAGACAGAGAGACACACAGAGACAGAGAGGAGAGAGAGATACCCACACAGACAGCAAGACATATAGAGATGGAGAGAAGATAGAGACACAGAGACAGACATACAGAGACAGATACTGAGAGAGACACAGACAGACAGACACACACAGACAGAAGAGACACACAGAGAGAGGAGAGAGAGGAGACAGAGACACAGAGGGAGAGACAGAGAGAAAAGAGAAGGAGGAGAGAAGCAGGGAATGAGAGAAGAGAGACAGGGTGAAAGGGGATGAGGCAGGAAGGAAGAGGGAGGGAGAGAGAGAAAGAGAAGAGAAGGAGATGGAAGAAAAGAGAGAGAATATAAAGATAAAATCCCAGCTGCCCTGGACGGGGTGGGCTGGGGATTCCACGCCCCATTCCATGGGGCTTTGCACTTGAAACCAGACTCTCCCACCTGAGTTCTGTTGCATCTGGAGCTTCAGATAAAACAAGATCACTTCTTAAGGATCACAAGGACCTGGGGATTTAGAAAATTGGATGATCCCACTTTTGCCAGGTTGCAACATTCTTCCTTTTCAAAGGAGTGTCCGTGAGTGATCTCCAGAGTAAGGTCCCCAACCTACATCAAGTAAAGGGAAATGAGAAGAAAAAATTCACACGGGCCGGGCGTGGTGGTGCCTGTCTGCAGTCCCAGCTGCTGGGGAGGCCAAGGAGGATCGCTTGAGCCCAGGAGTTCAAGACCAGCCTGGACAACATAGCGAGACCCAGTCTATAAAAAACAAAAAAAAAAAAAAGAAAAAGAAAAAAAGAAACCCACACGGGCAATGGAGAAGTAAACAGGATCATGGTCCCTGTTCTGCTGGCCAGGCCAGGCCAGGCCGTATTCTCAGCTGTCCCTCCCTGAAGCTCCTCCTTTGGGTGCACACGCTGCCCCTGAGCCACTTCAAGGAGTATCACTTCCTACTCTACCTGGTGGCCTGGAGCAGAAAGAGCCCCATCACCCGCCCTCTGGCTTTTCCAGCTTCCCATAGTTAACTGTCAGCGACCATGGAGCGCCCAGGGCAGAGTCCCCAGGCCCTGCATTTGCTGCTGTTTGCGTACACCGGGGTGTGCTGCTGGCTGTGGGGTCAGGGTCTCCTTGTCCCCCATGTGGACCCTGGGAGGGAATGAGCTGTCATTCCTACTTCTCACCAGTGCCCACCTCCCTCAGCTTCTGGGCAGGGGGCAGCACCTCCTCCCTCCTTGAAGTGGAGCATGGTCATTTGACTTGCTCCTGCAAATGAAGCCACCATTTTACTTCTGAGCAGAGGCACTGAGAGAAGTCCTCTGTTCCCACGGCCATGGACGATATTCCCAGGGGGTGGAGGCTCCAGCAGCCAGGACCACAGAGTGAAGGTGTCCAGAGGTACAGGACAGGCCCCTGACCCTCAAGGTACAAGGAGCAAGAAATACTTCCTTCTTGTTTTAAACCATGTAGATGCCAGGGGATGCTTGTTTCCCAGCATAACCATGCCTGAGCTAGCAGATACAGGAAGGAAGTATTATCTCCCTAAAGAAATGAGTGAAGTGACAACTGAAGGCCACAAACCCACTTCGTGACAGGACAGAGTTGGAGTCCAGGTTTTCAGGCCCAGGCAGGACCCTGGATCCTATGGAGAAACTTGGCTGAGCTGCACTCATTTCTTATGGGAAACACGAAAACCTCATTCTTAGGGTTCACGTCCTCCTGAGAGGGAGAGAAAGTTCATTTACAAAGGAGCAGAATCAGCTTGGTCCCAAGATCTCTCTGCAGCATGAAATGAAATGCCACTGGAGCAACAACACTCCAGCACACACTGAAGGATAGAGAACGTGACTCTAAATTCCATGCCCAGCGAGCTGCCTGCAGTGGGTGATGGCCGCAGAAGGGCGTGCTCTCAGCGGCAGCACACCCTTCTGGAAAAATATCCCTGAGGGGTGCACTCCAGCTGTGCCAGAGAGCAAGATGTGAAGACTTGCAAAAGGAGGCCATGGGGTGAGAGGTGGTGGTGATGAATGACTTCCATGTGAAGTCTTGCAAATTTGCTTATAAAGTGGAAAAATGCATATATGTCCTCAGCAGGTCACGTGGGAGGAGAGCCTAATGGTGGACATTTCTAGAGTCGATGCAGGTCCTGTGGTTTATGCTGTTTAATGCTCTGGGACCTGGGGTGGAGGGGGGACTCCTTTGCTCTGTTGGGCCTCAATTTCTCTGTTTATAAAAAAAAAGTGGCCTTTGGTCTCTCTAAGTTCTCTGTCGCCAGATGACTGGGGGGTCCTTCCACTATTTGGTAATAAGACTCCCCCCCCACCAACTCCCAGCTCCTGGTGTCTCACCAACATTCTGGATGTTTGGGGTGATGGTAAAAGGGTTTGTGTGCCTGCTGAGGAACAGTTTTATTCTGGGGACTTGGGGACACTCGTAGAAATTGTTTGAGGCCCCTTAGAGAATTGTAGAACCAGGATGCAGAGGCTGTGTTTGTGGTTTGAGCTGGTCAACTGGAGGAATCCAGGTTTCTGGGAACGTTGACCAGTGACTAAGTCCCATCCTTAGCTTGATGGCCCCCACCCCCACCCTGTCCCCAGATAGTGCCTATGGGGAAGCCTCGGGAAGGAACACTGCCCTTCCCCCTGCCCCGACACCACATCTGGGATGAGCCCCAAACCTCAGTTGGCTTTGATGCTGCAACTTTTTCCAAACCCTGAGCATGATTCACAGCCCAGACCGGCAGTGGAATTTCTGCAAACAGAGCCGGGGGCTCCGTCTGCGCTCTTGAGAGGTCCGCAGCTCCCACCTTCGGAATGGCCCGAGAAAGAGACTGGGAACGCGCGAGCCACATTCTTCCTGGATGAAACACTGGCCTTATCAGGAGGAAGTAATGACAAATGGCCTGAGCAGCTCCCAGCCAGGGGGCTGGCTCTTCTTAAATTTGCTTAGATGGATTTTCTTTGATGAGCCCAGCAATTATGGGAACCCGCAGGCCTGCTCAAGGCCTGCATCATTGCCATTTCCTGACAAAGACTGGATCATCCGTCCTTCCCATCACCGCCCCTTTCTTCTTGGAGGAAAAGCCTGCTGGTGTGGTGCGAGGATGGCGGGTGTTCCACCCTGCCCTGGGCCACCAACACCACGGCCAGGGCGGCCCCCCTGCAAGCACCGAGGGGGTCAGCTCCGTGTTCTGGCAGAGCCAGGAGAGAAACGAGGAACTCTTGTCTGGTTAATTGCTATGTGTATATATGACGATAAAGGCATGTCGGCCGGGCGCGGTGGCTCATGCCTGTGATTCCAGCACTTTGGGAGGCCGAGGCGGGCGGATCACAAGGTCAGAGATGGAGACCATCCTGGCCAACATGATGAAACCCCGTCTCTACTAAAAACAATACAAAAAATTAGCCGGGTGTGGTGGCGGGCGCCTGTAGTCCCAGCTACTAGGGAGGCTGAGGCAGGAGAATGGCGTGAACCCAGGAGGTGGAGCTTGCAGTGAGCCGAGACCACGCCACTGCACTCCAGCCTGGGCGACAGACTGAGACTCTGTTTCAAAAAAAAAAAAAAAAAAAAAAAAAAAGACATGTCGTGTTATCTGGTGCCTTTCACCTGGCAGGCAGGGCATCGTGGGCCAGCGCAAGGGCACCACACTCTGGCCCAGAGCACAGCGAGGCTACAGAGAAGCAGTGGCCTCCTCGGGCCTCCAGCGCCCAGGGAACAACAAGGCCACCATTGTAAAGGGTACAGAAGGTCAACTTTCCAAGTCTAGGCACAGAGGGCCACAGGGAGAGAGACCCAGAAGGGATGAGATGGGGGGAATGTCCTTGTGGGAATGTGAGTGTGGCTGGGATTCTGCTGAGCGCACAAAGGCAGACACAACGCAGTGGACTTGAACGGGCATCCCCCAGTGATAAAAGCCGTTGTCCCCCAAGTGATGTTCCTTGAGGTTAGACGGAGCCAGCCTCATGTTATAGGCCTGATATAGACCTGGGGCACAGTGGACACTGGATGGGTGTTTGAATGCATGAAGAAGTAAAAAGAAGAAAAAAGGAAAGAAAGAGAAAAAAAGAAAGAATGAAAGAAAGAAAAGAAGGAAGGAAGGAGAGAGAAAGGAAGGAAGGAAGGAAAGAAAGAAAAAAAGAAAGAGAGAGAGAAAGAAACAAAGGTAGGGAGGGAGGGAGGGAGGGGAAAGAACGGAAAAGGGAGGGAAAAATAAGAAGGGAAAGGGAGGGGAAGAAAAGAAGGTGGGGGAGAATTTTCACTGGCAATGTGGTTCCCTCTCTCTCCTTCTCCATAGCTCCCTCCCCTCATGGCCTTCTTGGTGTTCCCAAGCTCCCACTCTGGGTCCCGGAGCCTTAGAAGGTTTGAGCTGTGCTGATACTCATTCTGGATACACACCGAGTGGAAGCGATTCTCACTGGAAATTAGGAGGAACAATTGCCCAGCACGTCACAGCTTGCAGAGCCTCTTCGACTATCAGCATTTTATTAGGGCGCCCCTCAAACAGCCCTCTGAGGGAGGCTTTTCCCTACCTTCATTCCACCAAAGACTCCACGTTGTAGAAACAGGTTAGATGAACTGTGCAGGGCTAAGCTATCTCTAGGAGCGAGAATTTAGATGGGGTTTGTCTTGGAATTCAAATTCCATTCATGCACAATTTCAGTTCCATTCTCAAATCCAATCTCTCTCTCTCTCCCTCACACAAACTACACTGGACTCCTCTGTGTGTGCCCGTGGTGTGATCACAGCGAATGCTGCTCCAGTGTGCCAGTCTCTGCCGATCGACAATCAGCTGCAGTTAGGAACTCGCTTTGTCACTTCACGTTACATGGTGAACATTTTCCCTGCAGCTAAACAGTCCTCAAAGCCTGTTTATTTTTTTTCCTTTATTAGATCAGATGTGGGTGAGACCAAAGGTACGATTCATCTTGAGGCAGATTTCCCTCCAGCTGTGAGCCTGTGAAATCAAGCACGTTATGCTTCCAAAATTCAATGGTGGGACAAGTGTAGCACAGACACTCCCATTCCAAAAGAGATAACTGGTGAAGAAGACAGGATAACAGGCCCCAAGCACGCCCGAAACCCAGTGAGGCAGACTAGTCTTAGACTCAAGAATAATCGTTCAGGCCGGGCGCGGTGGCTCATGCCTGTAATCCCAGCGCTTTGGGAGGCCGCGGCAGGCCGATCACAAGGTCAGGAGATTGAGACCATCCTGGCTAACACAGTGAAACCTCATCTCTACTAAAAATACAAAAATTAGCCAGGTGTAGTGGCGGGCACCTGTAGTCCCAGCTACTCGGGAGGCTGAGGCAGGAGAACGGCGTGAACCTGGGAAGTGGAGCTTACAATGAGCCGAGATCGCACCACTGCACTCCAGCCTGGGCGACAGAGTGAGACTCCATCTCAAAAATAATAATAATGATAATCATTCCACCTTCCGCACACACTGGGGCAGGGACTGGGCTGCAAGGCTCCTCCGGCACCGCCCCTGAGACATTGCTGGGTGGCGTCTGTAACTCTCTTGGACTGAAATCACAAGCCAGTGGCTCTACTGGTCTGGGATGGAGAGGGAGCCCTGGCCCCACAGCTTGGCTCCCGCAGGCATTACCGCTATGGGCCTCTCTGTGGGGCCCAGCCCCTGAAGTCATGCCCTGTCTATGTTGTGGGTCGTGAACCTGTGTCTCCAGCTGGCTCCATCTTTAGAAATCTAGCTGGAGGCAGCCACAGCTCTGTAGCTCATGCACTGTGCAAACTGGCAAAGATAGCACCATGCAGACACAGCAAAGGTTCACCCCTAGGTCCCCAGAGAGCAGGGCCAGTGTGGCCTGTGCCAGGTCTGGGCCCAGTGGATTCTAAGCTAGAGTGGCCCCTTTTGAATCATCTTGGCCCCCAGGCCCTGGCATTCTGGGCCTGTGATGGGAGGGGCAGCTCCAGAACCTCTGAAAGTCTTCGGTCCACTCTTCCATTGTCTTAGACAACAGCTCCTGGCTTCAGTGTAGATGGAACTGTCTCCTTCTCAGATGGGAATGCAGCCACGCCTTGAGTGTCTTCTCCTGAATACACTTTCTCATTCTTTTCAATGAGGATAGACTAAGAATTTTCCGAAGTTAAAGTTTTGCTTCCTTTTTGATTACAAATTCCACCTGTCTAAAGTATTCCTCTCTTCTGGCATTTTACTCCAAGCATTGAGAGAAGCCAGGCTTCACTCTTGACACTGCTTAGCAATTTCTTCTGCCAAATATCCTGTTTCATTGCATACAAGTTCCACCTTCCAGAGAACACCCAGACGCGACACAATTCAGCCAAGTTCTTTGCCACTCGGTAACAAGGATGGCCTTTCCTCCAGTTTCCAATAAGTGCTCCTCATTTCCATCTGAGACCTCACAATCATGGCCTCTCCCGTCCGCATCCCCACCAATCTTCTATTCACAGCCACTTAGGTCATCTCCAAGAAGACTGAGGCTTTCTCTCCTGCTCTCCTTCCGAGCCCTCACCAGAATCATTCCCGACAGTCAGTTCACAGTGATGTGGGCTTTTCCTAGCACACACCTCAAAACTTTTCCAGCCTCTACCCATTATCCAGCTCTGAAGCTGCATCCACATGTCCAGGGGTTTGTTATACCAACAGCCCACTTCTCAGCACCTATTTTCCATCATAGTCTGCTGGGTCTGCTATAACAAAATACCCTAAGTCAGGTCACTTGAAAAAAAACAGGGGCTGGGCACAGTGGCTCATGCCTGTAATCCCAGTACTTTGGGAGGCCCAGGCAGGTGGATCACTTGAGGTGAGGAGTTTGAGACCAGCCTGGCCAACATGGTGAGACCCTGTCTCTACTAAAAGCACAAAAATTAGCCAGGTGTTGTGGCACGCACCTATAATCCCAGCTACTTGGGAGGCTGAGGCAGGAGAATCACTTGAACCTGGAAGGCAGAGGTTGCAGTGAGCTGAGATCGCACCACTGCACTCCAGCCTGGGTGACAGAGCAAGACTCCATCTCAAAACAAACAAACAAAAAAAACCAGGAATTCATTTCTCACAGTTCTGGAGGCAACAGATTTGGTGTTAGGTGAGGACCTGTCTCCTGGTTTACAGAAGGTGCTGATGCAAGGCAGGTGAGCCCCAAATTGGGGCTTAACCCACAAGAGTTCTTGGCTTTGCGCAGGAAAGAATTCAAGGGTGAGAGGACAGTGTTGAATAGCAACTTGTATTGAAGCAGCCATGCACACAGCAGCCGAGGTCCTGCTCCTTGCAGAGCAGGGCTACCCCATAGGCAGTGAGCCCAGAGTAGCAGCTCAGAGGCAGGGCTGCAGGCATATTTATACCCATTTTAATTATATGCAAATCAAGGAGCCGATTATGCAGAAATTTCTAGGAAAAGAGTGGTAACTTTCAAGTGGTCAGATGGTTGCCATGGCAATGGTAAACTGACAATGGCGCATTGGTGGGTGGGTGTGTCTTATGGAAAGCTCCCTCCTCTCCATTCCTGTTTTATTTAGCTTGTCCTCATTTCCTCTGGTGTCTGAGCCCCACCTCCTGAATCAAGCCCCGCCTCCTGAATCCAGCCCCACCTCCTGAATCGAACCCCACCTCCTGAATGGAGCCCTGCCTCCTGAATCAAGCTCCGCCTCCTGTCTCAGCACCTTCCTGCTGAATCCTCACATTGTGAAAAAGGACAGAGTAGCAGCCGGGTGTGGTGGCTCACGCCTGTAATTCCAGCACTTTGGGAGGCCGAGACAGGTGGATCACGAGGTCAGGAGATCGAGACCGTCCTGGCTAACACGATGAAACCCCGTCTCTACTAAAAATACAAAAAAATTAGCCAGGTGTTGTGGCAGGCGCCTATAGTCCCAGCTACTTGGGAGGCTAAGGCAGGAGAATGGCGTGAACCCCGGAGGCGGAGCTTGTGGTGAGCCGAGATCGCGGCCACTGCACTCCAGCCTGGGTGACAGAGTGAGACCCCGTCTCAAAAAAAAGGACACCGCAGCTCTGCAGGCCTGTTTTGCACCAATTTTGTTCATGAGGAGACACAAACATTCAGAACATCGCCTTTATTTTATTTTGTTTTAAATTAATACTCTATTTTTTAGAGCAGTTTTAGGTTCACAGCAAAATTCGGAGGAAAGGACAGAGATTTCCCTTGGCATCCTGCCCTAACCCACACACAGACTCCCCAGCAAAGCGATTTGCTGCAGTTGAGGGCCCTCCCTTGACATGTCATCATCTCCCAGAGTCCAGAGTTTACATTAGGGCTCACTTTTGGTGTTTGCATTCTGTGGGTTTTGACAAATGTCTAATGACCTGGATTCATCAGTACCATATCATGCAGGATAGTTTCACGGCCCTAAAAATCCTCTGGGCTCCAGCTGTTCATCTCCCCTCCTCTACCCCTTTCCTTGTAACCACTGAGCCTTTTACTGCCTCCATGATTTTGTCTTTCCTGAATGTCATAGAGTTGGAATCACACAGCATGCAGTCTTTTCAGGTTGGCTTCTTTCTCTTAGTAATATGCACTTAAGATTCCTCCACATCTTTTCATGGCTTGATAGCTCATTTCTTTTTAGCTCTGAGTAATATTTCGTTACTTGGATGTACCACTGTTTATGTATCTATTTACCTCCTGAAGGACATCGTGGTTGCTTTCAAATTTTGACAATTTTGAACAAAGCTTCTATAAACATTCATATGCATATTTTTTGTGGACGTAAGTTTTCAGTTCCTTTGAATAACTACTTACAAATGTGATTGCTCCATTGTATGGTAGGAGTATGTTTAGTTTTGTAAGAAACTGCCAAACTGTCTTCCAAAGCAGCCATAGGGAATGTTGTTTGCATTCCCACCAGCAGCAAATGAGGGTTCCTATTGCTCCACATCCTCACCAGCATCTGGTGTTGTCAATGTTGTGGATTTTGGCTGTTGTAGGTGTGCAGCGGTGCCTCCTTGTTGTTTTAGTTTGCAGTTCCCTAATGACATGTGCTGTTGAACATCTGTATATCTTTTTTTTTTTTTTTTTTTTGAGACGGAGTCTTGCTCTTGTTGCCCAGGCTGAAGTGCAGCGACACAATCTTGGCTCACTGCAACCTCCACCTTCAAGGTTTAAGCAATTCCTTTGCCTCAGCCTCCTGAGTAGCTGGGATTACAGGTGTGCACCACCACGCCCAACTAATTTTTGTATTCTTAGTAGAGACGAGATTTCACCATTTTGGCCAGCCTGGTCTCGAACTCCTGACCTCCGGTGATCTGCCCGCCTCGGCCTCCCAAATTGCTGGGATTATAGGCATGAGCCACCGCGCCTGGCCTGTACATCTTTTTTGATGAGGTGCCTGTTCGGGTCTTCTGCCTATTAAAAAATTGGATTGTTAGTTTTCTTATCGTTAAGTTTTAGGAGTTCTTTGTATATTTTGGATAGCAATTCTTTATCAGGTGTCTATTTTGCAAGTATTTCCTCATAGTCTGTGGCTTGTCTTCTCATTCTCCTGACATTGTCTTTTGCAAAGTGTTGCATTGCCTTGAGCAACAGTTTTCCATTTGAAATGACCTCCAGCTTATCAGTTATTTCTTTCAGAGATGTGCCTTTGATTTTCTATCTAAAGAGTCACTGCTATACCCAAGGGCATCTAGATTTTCTCTTATGTTATCTTCTAGGAGTTGTACAGTTTTGTGTTTGGTCAGCTCAGGTGGAACCTTTGTAAACCACTTTAAATAACTTAGCTGATCCTCAAAGCCCTCAAAGCCACTTTACTGGGTAGATTTCATTATTAACTCTTTTAAATTTAGGTCTATGATCCTTTTTTTTTTTTTTTTTTTTTGAGACAGAGTCTCGCTCTGCCACCCAGGCTGGAGTGCAATGGTGCAATCTCAGCTCACTGCAACCTCCACCTCCCAGGTTCAAGCAATTCTCCTGTCTCAGCCTCTCCCACGTATGCACCACCACACCCGGCTAATTTTTGTATTTTTTTTAGTAGAGATGGGGTTTCACCATGTTGGCCAGGCTGGTCTCAAACTCCTGACCTCAGATGATCCACCCACTTTGGCTTCCCAAAGTGCTGGGATTACAGGCATGAGCCACCACACCCGGCCCTAAGATCCATTTTGAGTTAATTTTTGTGAAGGGTGTGAGGTCTGTGTCTAGATTCAGTTTTTTACATAGGATGTGTGGTTTTTTTCAACACTATTTGTCTTCTTGCCTGTCTTTGCCCCATGGTATTGCTTCTGCTCCTTTGTCCAAAGCCTGATTTTTTAAAATCTTTGTTTTGTCATGTGTCAACTCTTTGGATTTACCTTACTGTATTTAGTTGGTTTTTATTATTAGATATTGATTTCATGGTTGTTACTGTTTTGCTAATAACAGTCATATGTATCTGGATCTCATTTATCCTCAGAAAACAATTATACAAGGGGAATTGCTAGATCAAAGTGTTGGAATAGTTTTATAGCTCTTGATACAGAATGCCAAATTGTCCTCCAGAAATTACAATTTAAATTACCATCAGGAGAGGAAACATCCATTTACCCAAACCTTTACTAACAGTGTTTTCATTGAAAAAGATTTGGTGAGCCTGGAAGCTATATTTCTTCTAATGAACATTTCTTTGATTACTAGTGAACATGAGAATTTTTGGTATAGTTTTCTTTTTATACCATATTCTAGCCTTTGCTTTATTAAGCTGTAATATTTCCTTAAAGGCAAACAATATAAATCTTGGTCTTTGCCGTGACTCCCATCCACTTCTGTAATTGGCCTTTGCCCATTAGTTTCAGTCACTACAGTCTCTCATGAATAGAAGTTTAAATATTTTAAATTTTATTTTATATTTTCTTCCTTTGCTTTTTATGCTTCCAAATGACTTTCCCACCTGGAGATTGCTTGAATATTATTTTTCTCTTTGAATATCCTTTTATGTTTTCACTTTTTACTGTTGACTCTTTAATCCATCTGCACTCTATTTTGATGGACAAGAAACCCTAACTGAACATTTTTCTAAATGGCTGATACCATTGGTTATTTGTTGATAAACTCTTTCTATCTTCATTGATTTAAAATGCTTCTTATGACAGGGTCAGTTTCTAGACATTTTATTTATTTTTGCTGATCTCTAGTTGTGACATGAGCTAGCGCCGTAGATGTAAAATTATTAGGACTTTCTGTCGTGCTTTAACATATGATGGTATGTTATGACTCACTATTTTTTCCCAAAATGCCTTGGCTGCTATTCTCACCTGTTTATTCTTTGAGGTTCATTTTAAAACTGCTTTGTCAAAGCACTCTCCTGGCAAGAAAGCAAGGATTCTCTGAGGCAAAATACCCCACGTGTCTGAACAGGTCTTTGCCATGACAACCTTAGGTGAATGTCACCTTCTGTGTTGGTGGCTTTCCAGGGTGCAGGGAACAACAAAAGGCCAGCATTTGCCCAATGAGGGGACTCTAACAGGAGTCTGCTGTGGTTTGGATGTTTGCCTCCTCCAAACTCATGTTGAAATCCAGTCCCCCCAAGGTGGCAGTATTAAGAGGTGGGCCCTTTAAGAAGTGAGTGCATCACAAGGGCTCTGCCCTCATGACTAGATTAATTCACTGTGGATTACTGGATTAGTGGGTGATCATGGGAGTGGGAATGGTAGCTTCATAAGAGGAAGAGAAATTTTAGCCAGCATGCTTAGCCCCCTTGCCACACGATGCCTGGCTCTACCTTGGGACACTACAGATGGCCTCCCTTTAGCAAGGAGTTCTTCACCAGGTGTGGCCCCTTGACCTTGGACTTCTCCAACTCCATAAGTGTATGAAATAAATTCATTTTCTTTATAAATTACTCAGTTTCTAATATTGTCCTGTAAGCAACAGAAAATGGACTAAGATAGACCCATTGCTGCAATGCCAAAGGATTCATATTAGTGTGAGGGTGAGTTAAACATACCTCCAATATGCCCTGGGGCAGTCAAGAAAACCAGCTATAAACAACTTGGCACTGAATAGAGAAAAAAGTTCTCCCTGAAATTTGTAGCCTCAATCCAGCCCTTACATGGTTTGCAGTGTGAGTTCACACTACCTAGGTGGTCCAAAGAGCCTCAACTTGAAAATGCAGTTTAGAGTAGCCAGAGTCTGCAACACCTTGAGGTACTTAAAAGAAGTAAGGATACATCCTTCTGGGAGAAACTCCCCTTCAAATCTGGCCTCAAAGTATTCCCCAAAATAAGCTCATTTCAAGTGGCTTGAGTTTCCTGTCACATTACACACAAGAAAACAGAGACCCATGAAGAAGACTCAAATGAAACCCAAAACACAAAATGGAACAACTGGAAGAATAGGAAGCAAAAGACTTCACCTACTGGAATTATTAGATAGGAATATAAGTATCCTTAATATGGTTAAAAGAATAAAAGAAGACATTGAAAATATGAGTAGGAGTAGGAAAGTATAAGAACCAAACAGATTTGAAAAACAGCCAAATATAATCGCTGAAAAGGAAAACATTTTAACTGAATTTAAAAACTCAATGGATGGATTTAACCACAGATTAGATGCAACTAAAGAGAGGATCAATGAACTGAGAGATAGAGCTGTAGAAATTATTCTAAATGCAGCACAGAAACAAATGATATAAAAGATCATTTTTATATCAACAAACAACAAATTTTGTTATATATAACAAAATGATGTAAAAGCACAGATGATATAAAAGAGAGAGAAATAATCATAGAAACAGAGAGAAAAGCTTTCACTTACATCTAGTTGAGGAAGAAGCAATATTTCGTGAAGTAATGGCAAACAATTCTGATGAGAAATCATAAAAAAAACCCTGATCTTCATATTCATCAAGCCCATCAAATCCAAATTAGGATAAATAAAAGTCACACAATATCTAGAGACAAGAGTGAAAATGCAGAACACCCCCACAAAGAATAAGAGAATATTTAAAGTACCAGAGAGAAAAGACAAATTTCCCACAAAGAAATGAAAATGAGACTGACATCTGACTTTTCAATATTAACAATGGAAGCCAGAAGACAGTGAAATCATGTTTATATTTTCTTGGCAAAAAAAAAAAAAAAATTCTACTTTGAATGTGCATACCCAAAGTAAATATCTTTCAAGAATAAACGCAAAATACAAGTATTTTTGGATAAATGAAATTGTCTCTACCTACATATCTTCCCTAAAGGAAATTCTGGAAGATGTATGTCAAGCAGAGTGAAAGTAATCTTTGGTGGGAGGTGAGATGCAAGAAAAAATGATAACCTGGCAGATGCCTGTAATCCCAGCTACTCAAGAGGCTGAGGCAGGAGAATCACTTGAACCCGGGAGGTGGAGGTTGCAGTGAGCCGAGATCATGCCTTTGCACTCCAGCCTGGGCAACAAGAGTGAAACTCCACCTCAAAAAAAAAAAAAAAAAAAAAAAAAAAAAAAAAAAAAAAAAAGAAGAAGAATAAATGATAACCCAAGAAAGTGTTACTACATATGTAAGCCAATGTAATTAGTAATTGACAATGTAAAACAATGAAAATGACTTAGGGAGTTTTACAAATTACAATAAAACAAAAGTCAGGAGGGAATGGTTTGAGTTGAAGTGCTTTATACCTTTGTTGTTTTGGAGCAAGGTAAATCTGTTGATTGACTATGAAGTTTCATAAGTTCAATGTACATATTAAATATTAATGTTTAAGGTAGCCAATAAAATAGTGAAAATAGTATGTATAACTATAAGGGGAAAAACTGGAATAAAGATATTAAATCAATCCAAATGAAGTAGAAAATAGAAGAAAAAGAAAGAAAAGAGGCAAGATAAATAAAAAGTTCAAAATAAATAGCAGGAATAAATCCACATATGAGTGACTAAAATGAATGTAAATAAACCAAAAATTCTGTTAAAAGATAAAAATTGCCAAATCACTTTAAGAAATTCAATTATAAGCTGTTTTAAAAAGATCTATCTAAAACATCAGGATACCTAGAAGTTGAAAAAAAAGGATGAAAGTTAATAGACCAAGTACATACTAACAACAACAGAAAGACATAGCTAGATTAATACCAATAAATAGACTTTAAGAAAAAAATCCTTACTAGAATAATTCCCCCCAAAATGCAAGAACTTTATAGTAGTTTTACTCCATTCACACACACCCCATGCCGTTTGTGCTATGTTCGTATATTTTGTTGATTCCTGCATATAATAAACACCAAAAAGACGTTGTTGTTGATACTGCCTTACATAATAACAACCCATTGATATTTACCCACATGTTTACCTTCTGGGCCCTTTTCATTTATTTGTACAGTCCTATGATTCTATTTGGTATTATTTTTCTTCAGCTTAAAGAACTCCCTTCAGTACTTCTTGTACTACAAGTATGGTGGCAGCATATTCTTTAAGCTTTGTTTTTACTGCATGAAAATTATTTATTTCATCTAAATTTGTGAAAGGAATTTTCACTGGCTATAGAATTCTGTGTTGACACCTTTCTTTAAGCACCCTAAAGACATTGTTCCATTGTGCTTTGGTTTCCATCGTTTCGCTGAAAAGTCAGCCATCGAGTTTACCCTTGCTCTTTTGAAGACAATATGCCCCCCACCCTCAGGCTGTTTTTAAGGTTTTATTTATGATTTTTAGCATTTTGAGTGATATGCCTAAAAGACTGTCATAAATCAAGAATACACATTGTAATGTATAAGTTATCCATTTAACTAAAAAGTTGACACAGAAGAAAAATAAATCAACAAAATAATTTTTTATAGAAATTTATAAATTGAGTCTAAAATGTATAGAAAATGCAAAGAACATAGAGTAAATGGGCAAAATAAATTTGGAGAAGAAGATAATGTTGGAGAATTTACACTACCTAATTCCACAGCTTCTTATAAAGGTACACTCCTTAGGTCAGCATGACTTTGGTGTGAAAACAGACATACAGATCAACAAGACAAAACAGACAGTCTAGAAATAGGTTCATACAAAGGCATTGATTGTATTTAGTGGAGAAGATGAAAGTCTTTTCAATAAATGGTGTTGAAGAAGCTGGATATGATACAGGAAAAAACAAAACAGAAACTTGATCGTCTACTTCACCACATGAACAAAAATTACTATGGACTATAAGCCTGATTGTGGAAGCTAAAACTATATCTTCTCTAAAAGGTAATATCACGGAACATCTTCATGGCCTTGAGCTAGGCAAAGATTGATTAAACAAGACACCAAAGGCACTAATTGATATATTGAATTTAATAAACATTTAAAGTGTCTTCTATTCAATAAAATACTAAGAAAATGAAAGGTAGTTGATAGATTAGGAGAAAAATAAAA
Source organism: Homo sapiens (assembly GCF_000001405.40). Classification (NCBI taxonomy): domain Eukaryota; kingdom Metazoa; phylum Chordata; class Mammalia; order Primates; family Hominidae; genus Homo; species Homo sapiens. The sequence continues at coordinate 134,615,258 of NC_000009.12, forward strand.
TATCTGCAATGTACACACCAGAAAAGAATTGGACCAGAATATATTTAAAAATGCCTACAACTAATTAATCAAAAGGTAAAAAGCTTAAGTTTTAAAATAAAAAAACTAATAAAATTTTGTTATAGAGATAATGAATAGCCAATAAGCACATGAAAAGATGCTCAACACCATTAGTCATCAGGAAAAGGCAAGTATAAACCATAAAGAGATCTAAATACACACCCATCAGAACGGCTAAAACCTGAAAAAACCCAGCGGTAATTCCGGATAACTGTCCAAGAAAAGTGAACATATAAAGACACACACACACACACACACACACACACACACGCAATGTACAAAAATATTTGTAGAAACTTGATTGATACGAGGTCCAAACTAAAAACAATCCAACTGATCACCAAGTGAGGAGGGCTCAGCAAATTGTAATAGATTCATACAAGGAATGCTTTCCAGCAATAAAGAAAGAACAATCTGCTGATGTTCACAGCAACAGGCATGGATCTCACATCACTATCCTGAGCAAAAGGGGTCAGACACAGAGGTGCACATGCTGTGTGCTTTCATTTATTTAAAATTCAAGAATAAGCAAGACTGATGTGCAGGAATCTACGGATGGCAGTGCTGACCTCTAAGGTGGGTTTCCACTGGACAGGGCAGGACAGAGCCTTCTGGGGTGATGGAAGTGTTACATATTTGATCTGGGAGGTGAACCTCAGCATGGAACTTGATGTTTTTGTGCCTCAGTTTCTCTTATGTAAACTGGATAACAATTATATCCCTATCATTGAACAAATAAAATGCTTCAGTGTTTTTGTTTGTTTGTTTTGGTTTTTTTTTGAGATGGAGTCTTGCTCTGTTGCCCAGGCTGGAGAGCAGTGGCATGATTTCGGCTCACTGCAACCTCCCCTCCTGGTTCAAGCAATTCTCCTGCCTCAGCCTCCCAAGTAGCTGGGACTAAAGGCACACACTACCACTCCTGGCTAGTTTTTGTATCTTCAGTAGAGACGGGGTTTCACCATGTTGGCCAGGCTGGTCTCAAACTCCTAACCTCAAGTGATCCACCTGTGTCAGCCTCCTAACGTGCTGGGATTACAGGCGTGAGCCACTGCACCTGACCTCAAACAGTGTTTTACCCATGGAAGCACTCATACATTTGCTTTTACTTTCTATGTGTTTGATTTTGACATAAGAATGATGCAGTTCCATGAAATGAGTTAAACAATTTTTGCTTCTTCTGTGACCTGGAACCACTTACGCAGCCTGGGAATACATACTTCTACCATGATAGAATTCTAATAATAATTCTAGAACATTTGAAAGAGCACTGTCATAAAACTTTCTTGGCCCAGACCTTTATTCTCTGAAGGTATTAGTCAGAACAAGTTTTTTCTCTCACATCTTTTCCACATTACTTGGATTTCAAATTTATTAAAATACACTGTTTTTTTGTTTTGCTTTGTTTTTTTAGATGGAGTCTCGCTCTGTCACCGAGGCTGGAGTGCAGTGGCACCATCTCCGCTCACTGCAAGCTCCGTCTCCCAGGTTCACGCCATTCTCCTGCCTCAGCCTCCTGAGTAGCTGGGACTACAGGAGCCCGCCACCACGCCCGGCTAATTTTTTGTATTTTTAGTAGAGACGGGGTTTCACTGTGTTAGCCAGGATGGTCTGGATCTCCTGACCTTGTGATCTGCCTGCCCCAGCCTCCCAAAGTGCTGGGATTACAGGCGTGAGCCACTGCACCTGGCCCTAAAATCACTGTTTTAGCAGATACTGTTAGTTGCCTACCCAAATTTCTCTTTCTTGTTGGCTGATTGGCTTCAGAGCTCACCCTTTTCTGTGATACCCATGTGCTCAGCGAATACACCTGTCTTAGCCTTTGGTGAAGGACTGCATGCTACAGATTCATTTGGGGGTATGGCCTCCTGGAGCAGACACGGGATGGGGGGTGGGGTAAGTCTCCCGTGAGACAGGTTCTGGGAAGCCTTACACCCGGTCTTGGGACCATCACTCCAGGGGAAGAAAGTGGGAAAAATTTATCCACCGGCTTGTGCTCCTGTTAGTCCAGGTGTCCCCCGTGGGGTAGGAACTCCCCGTTGCTTTTGGGTGGCTCATGCCTGGGCACTGAGTGGTGTCTGGTATTATATCCAGGCCCTCGCTGCACAGATACATCAGAGTGGGGAGGCAGGAAGCTGCACAGGGTCAAGCTGGCCTGGTGAAGGATCTGCAGAGAGTTGAGCCCTTAGGGGCCCCTGGATCAGCAGCCCAGGGAGGGTGCCTGAGTGTCACCCCACACAGCGACCCTATCGCCCACCCCAGAAACAGGATCATCCCTGCTTTAAGCCAATCACCGTGCCTCTGTTCTTTTCTCTGACTGGTAGGGAAGGGCCACGAGGGAGATGCTGCTGGTTTGGGTATGGAGGGGGTTTTCTGAGAAAGGAAAGGCCCTCAGCTCTTGAAACAATTGTAAAAGCTCAGAAAGACCCAGTGCTCTTCCGCCCCAGGATGTAGGTGTGCAGGATGTGATGCCCGGGGCTGCCACTGTACCCAGGCCACCAGCGCAGGTGAACGAGAAGAACCAAGGCTTTAGAGGCGTGGGTGAGCTGCTGGCCCAATCCACCCTGCAGCCACTGGACCCGAGCCCTCCTGAGACCTAGGCTCCTCGCAGTACTGGCCCTCAGTGAGCACTCTGTTACCTGTAGACAGAGCCTCCTGGTTGCCAAGAATAGGGCTCCTTCTCATGCAAACCCCTGGCAGAATCGCCAGCCCCTGTCTACTGAGTGTGACATCCCAACCCCCTTCCTCCAACTACTCCACCGCCTTCGGAATTCCGGGCCCTATCCGTGGGCTGCTTGTCCAGCCTCCTTTCCCCCAGGGAGCTCATCTCCAGCTCCTGGCTGTTGGCTCTCGGGAGCCCAGACAGACAGGGCACTCTGGGAGAAGCGGGGCTGCAGGGCTGCCTGTGAACCTCTCTCCCCGCCTGCTCACTCAGGCCATTTCCTGCTCCACGTTTCAGCTCCAGACCCGGCCGCCTTTATGAGCTTCGTGCAGCTTGCACATGTGGGTTTCCACGCGCACGGGTGCCAAGGCTGGCTCCTCTGCCTGATGCTTGGACCATCTGCACTGGAGCCCACAGGCCGGGCCGGAACCTCCTTGGCTTCCTCCAGCTCCTCTCTTGGTTCTCTTGCCAGAGAAAGGATTTGATGTTTTCCATTTCCTAAGACCCATCAGCATGTGTTTGTCTAAGGCTCTTTCACTTCCCTTCTGCAGGACTCTGGGACGTGCCTTGCCTGCTGGTTCCCTCTCTGGTGACCAGGGTGGACATGAGGCTGCGGGAGGCCCATGGAGGGACCACGCCCATTGCCCACCTTGTTCAGAGTGACAGCTGAACTGGGACAGTCTTGCAGAAGGGAGGGCCCTGGCCGCTTTGCTGAGGGAGGTGGGAGTCAGATGGGACTTGAGGGGTGGGTTCTCATTCCTGGAAGGGTAGCCCAGCTTCCTAGAGAAGGGTGTGGGGAAGAAAAATATGCAAAATGCTGTGCCGTGAGGAGGCAGCAATCTTGGGGCAGCGAGGCCGAGTGAGAGGCTGGCCCCATGCTCTAGCTTCTATGCCTGCTCCTCTGTGTGGACATTTACCCCAGGGGAGTGGTGGGGTGTGCTCTCCAGCTATGCTGTGTCTCATGCCTCTATCCCCCCAGGGGGGCTGCTCTTCCCACCTGCACTGCAGGCATGTGGCGGTGGGACTGCACCGGCCCTCCAGGCAGCCTCAGGGGTGGGTCCAGACCCAGCCCCTGTTCCCAAGGTGCCCTTCTCCACCCTGGTAGGCTCTAATGATCCATTCTCGTGTCTCTCTCCTCAACCAGACTCGGGGCTTCTGGCAGGTGGAGGCTGCACCGTGCCATCTTGGAATCCCCAGGGCACGTGGTCAGCCCGGTAAACTGCAGGAGTGACCTGTGAAGACTGGCAGGGGCTCTATGACAGGCTACACCAGGGTCAGAGAGGACGAGGACATGAGTTCCAGGCAGAGGCTCGGGGGCTTAGTGCTGAGAGGATGGGGTCCCGGAGGCTGTGCAGGGACATGGGGGTGACAGCTCACACCCTCCCCCACACCCATGTGTGGCGATCATTTCTATCCATCACAGAAGCAGTCTGCTTGGATGGGACACGGCCACATTCTGAGTCTCCCAGCTGGTGAGGGGATCTCAGGGTGGTCTCCCTTCATATTGCTCAGCTGAGGGTCTCCTACCTATGAACAGCAGCTTCCTGCCTGAGCCCTTGTTGTGTGGGGGGTGGAGGGAATGTGTCATCTGGAGAGATAGACTATCACATTGGGCTTTCCGCTTCTGATCTCACCAGGATTAGAAAAAGTGCTGCTTTATGAAGACCAGACCTGGCTCTAATCCTTCCCAGGAGAGAAGAGAGGAGGCCAAGAGGAGGCAGACCCGGGAGAAGTGGCCTGTGCCACTCAGCAGTAGGGTGCCTGCCCGTGGGGCCCTCAGTGCATGGCCCAGCAAGAGCCTGAGTTGCTTCTGCTGAGGTCTGGGGCCACCTGCATCTGCAGGCTCAGGAAGGACACGTGGGTGATCAGATGGAAGCCAGGGCTTGAGCCTGGGGTTGTCTGAGCCTAAGCCCCACCGCTGCCCCCTGTGCCATCAACTTCCTGAGGATAATATCCTCTCCAGCACTGTGGGCCGATGGGAGAAGGACCCGGTGCAGGGTTGGCTGGTGATACTGTGTTTGAGACCCAGGCCCATCTAGTCCAATGTACCCTTTATGGTTGGGGTAACTGGGGCCCAGAGACACTGATGGATGCTCCCAGGGTTTCCCGGCCAGCTGGCCACTGGGAGGTACCTGGCCAGGCCTCCGGTCCAGGCTGCACCAACACCTGGCATCTGGCCTGGGTTCCCATTGCCCCCAGGCCCCTCTGGGATGACCCATGCTGGGGGTATTGGCTGCGTCTTCATGGCAGGTCTAGCTTTTAGCCTGACAGGGGATCCTGGGCGAGAGGCCCCATGCCCCTGTAGGGTCACAGTGCTGGGAGGATCCAGAACAGGCCCCTGCTTGCATCTCGGGGTGGGCGTGTGGCTGCGGAACTGTGGCACATCAGGGGGCAGCGCCTGGTCCTTGCCCAGAGAGAAACACACACAGTGGGGCTGGGCCAGGACATCTGGCCTCCACTCGAGTGCCTGCGACGGGCCTGGCTCGACCAGCTGAGCTCGCGGAGGCTGCCCTCATGTCCTCCCTGAGGCTGGCTGTGCCCTACTCACCCACATGACGGCCAGGCCCCACCCTTGCCCGCAGCCGACGTGTCCTGGCCTCTGGCAAAGCCCAGGCCACTGCCTTGCTGGGATCCTAATTGTGTCTCTGCCTCAGCAACCCGATGGAGAGTCCAGCAATTTTGGTTCTTGGCTTCGTCTCCACTGACCTACAAGTACCCGTTTGGAAGGAGAATTTATGGGTGGGCATGAAATTGCCGTCTTGAGAAGGTTTGGGTAGAGCTATAAATAGGGCAGCCTGGTCCCTGGGGGTAGACTCCTCTCGGGGAGAAGGTGTCCCAGGCCAGCTGTGTGTGCTGGGGCCGACCACACAGCTGCTGAGACAGGCCCTGGAGGAACCCCGTGCCCCCGACAATGGAGTTATCTTTCCTCCTGCCAGATACATGGAGTGGCCAGGTTCTGATAAGCCACCTGCCCTGGGCTTTTCCTGACCCTGCTGTCACATTCTGATGGCTTTCCCCCGCACTGGGATTAACTCGGGGCAGTGACTAATCCAGCTCTTTCCTGCTAATGTCAATCTCTTTCCCCTCCTCACCAGACACTCTCCACTCTGGCCAGGAAGAGATCCGGAGCTTCAAGTGTGCCCCAGGTCAGAGGCCGACTGGGCTGGCCCCTTCCAGGGTCCGGGTGTGTGATCCAAGGTGGGAGGGGGCAGCAGGGTACAGGTGTAGGGTCGGGGCAGCTGGACGCCCGTCAAGGGTACCACTTATGGCTCATGCCTCTGGACGATCCCACTGACGCATGGGCAGAAGGAGAGGCTTGCGCTACCACAGGGGCCACCAGCCAAATTTGCCCCAACGCTTGTGCCTGTGCGGCCAAAGTATGTCCTGGCTAACCCTTTACAGAGAGAGTTTCTGATGTTTCCAGATCAAGGGTCTGAACTTTTAAGGGTGTGGGCCCTACGGCATCTGCTGAATGAGGGCCCCCCCAACCTCGGGAAGGGGCAGGTGCGGAGCATCCGCCCTGTGGCTGCCAGAAGGTCCAGTCCAGGACCCCCCCAGATCCATGCATATTCATGGTCCTCAATCAAGGGCAATTTTGTCCCCCAGGGGACATGGGGCCATGTCTGGGGATGCTTTTGTATGGCACATGGCAGGGGGATGCTACCCACGTCTAGTGGGCCGAGGTCAGAGGTGCTGTTCCACACCCTGCAATGCACAGGGCGGCTCCCACGACAAAAAATGACTCGGCTCCATTACAGTAGTGCTGAGGTTGAACAGCCTCGCTCTAAATTAACACGATTCTTGCCTGTGTGTGAGTCATCGGGGTAGACCTGCTGCAGAGATGGGGGGACGCAGCTGGACCCGGTGGGATTGAGTGTGTGGCCAGGAGGAGAGCTGCCCCCTGGCAGGCCGGTTGCACAGGGGCACCTGGGTCTGTGTGTTCAGCTGGATTCAGGGTAGTTCTGCATCGGTCTGAGAGCCCTGAGCCTTTTGGGGTACCCCTCAGGGCACCCATGTGCCAGGCTCCACACCCCACATTGAGGAGCAGGGGCTACACAGAAAAAGCTGGCTTGAGCTTTTAATTCATTTTAATGACAATTCTGGACAAAAATCACACCAGTGACAGCAGACAAGGACCTTGGTGATTAGCAGCCCAGCTGCCCACCATTGCCTTCCATGCCTCTCCATCTTCTGATGACCCACACACAACCTCCTGGGAGGTGCAACTCCCTGGAAGGCACAACACCCTGGAAGGGGCAATTCCCCGAAGGGGGCAATTCCCTAGAAGGGGCTTCTGTGCTTTGTTCAACGTTTGAGCTTCCAGGCATCGTTTAATCCTTCCAGCCTCATTCAGCACAGGTACTTCTTCCTACGCAAAGCCCTCTTTCTTCCCTCCCTCCTTTCCTGACCTCCATCCTTCTCTCCCTCCTTTCCATCATTCCTTCCTCCTCTCCATCCTCCTCTTCCTCCTTCTCCCATTCCTTTCCTCCTTCCTTTCTTGCCCCTTCCCCCCTGCCTTCCTCCCTGCCTCCATCCCTGTCTCTTTCCTCCCCCCTCCTCTTTCTCTTCTCTTTCCCTCCTCTGTCTGCCCTTCTCTCCCTGCCTTCCTCCCTGCCTCCATCCCTGTCTCCTTCCTTCCCCCTCCCCCCTCCTCCCTCCTCTTTCTCTTCTTTCCCTCCTCTCTCTGCCCCTCTCTCCCTGCCTTCCTCCCTGCCTCCATCCCTGTCTCCTTCCTTCCCCCTCCCCCCTCCTCCCTCCTCTTTCTCTTCTCTTTCCCTCCTCTCTCTGCCCCTCTCTCCCTGCCTTCCTCCCTGCCTCCATCCCTGTCTCCTTCCTTCCCCCTCCCCCCTCCTCCCTCCTCTTTCTCTTCTTTCCCTCCTCTCTCTGCCCCTCTCTCCCAGCCTTCCTCTTGCTCCCACAGGATTCATCACAGCCTCTCTGGCATGCACACCGCTTTGTATGGGCTTTGTACAGGGCATCTCTGGTGCTGCAGCCAGCTGCTGACAAGGGTGTCATTGCCACCAAACTGGAACTCCACAAAGGCGGGGTCTGTGCTTTGTCCCCCTTTGTCACTGCAGTGCTAGCGGCCAAGCTGGCCAGAGCTGGTGCACTTCGGAGATCTGGTGACTGAATGGAGACATGGAACCATCCAGCATGGCGTGGCATCTGCTTACAGTCATGTGAAGGGCTGGCTTGGGACTGCAGACCGCCTTGGGCCTGAGTTAACTGGAAAAGTTCTTTGGCAATGGTGGCCTGGGAGGATGAGCAGGGCTGCAGGAAGAGGCTCTGCAGGTTGCAGAACTGCCACGGCGGCCACACAGTCCAACAGACGCACGTTCAGAGCCCTCCTCTGGGCCGCACTGATGAATTTTCCAGAACTCAAGTGAATCCAGAGATGACTGCGGCTCTGAATGAACAGAAAGAAGCATCAGTCCTGTAGAAACCCGGGGCCAGGCTGGAGCCAGCCCTACATGATTCATTTGCAAGAAACGGGCTCTTGGCTCCCTCGCCAGTTCCCTCTATTTGGAAGTCACTTCCATTCAAATGTTCTGGAGCGCCAGGATGGTTTTCGGTGGACTGGGCTAGCACACGGGGTCTATGACAGGTCCTGTGTTCCGGCGCCTCTGGGCTTCACACTGAAACACCCAGCCCTACCATGCTGTGTGTCCAGAATGCAGCACACTGTAATTTGGGGAGACCAAGGAGTCAAGGGTGCCAGTCCCTGTCCCCTGGCAGGCATGGGGGCCGAGGCTTCTCATAAGAGGAGCAAACGTCCTCCCCTCCACCCCTGCCTAATGGGCAGCTCCTTCCCTGGCTGTGGGGCCTCGGCAGGTTGCTGGGCCTCAGTTGTGTTTTCCGTCAAGGTGCCTCTCGGTTCCGCGTGTCACTCAGCGGAAGCAGCTGTCAGAGTGGTGGGCGTGGCTCCGCGCCTGGTCCTGGCACTCTGGGGAACATCACCAGGACTCCACTGAGTAGAATCTGTAGAGGGCAGTGCAGGGGTCTGCAGTTTTGGCCAGTGTCCCGGCTGACTGTGGGTCCCCCAAGGTTCCGGACAGATGCCATCCGACGTCCAACAGAACTCTGCACCAATGGAAACATCCTATATGTGGGCGGGGTGATTGGTAACCACTACGCACATGTGGCCATTGACACTTGAAATGCGGCTCGTGTGACAGAAAAACTGAATTTAAATGTTGCTTAATTGTAATGACTTTTAAGTGAATATTTAAGTAACCACGTCTGGCCACCGGCTATCACATCGCACAGCGCAGTTGCATAACGGCCGAGCTGGCAAAGCCCCTGGTCTCAGGCAGCACTGAATGAGGGTCAGGTCTACATTTGACAGCTGAGATTCGCAGAGCTGTTCCATGCCCGGCACGGGAGACACTCACAGCGTGACTTGCCCAGGGAGGAGGAGCTGAAGTTCAGAGGGGATAAGTAAATTGCCCAAGGTCACATGACTGGCCAGGACTGACGTGCAAGGGTTTGTTCATTGGTCTCTCAGGCTGTTTGCTGACCCCCACTGCAGTGTAGGAAGAATATAGTCAGCTTCTGCTCTATTTTATGTGTGGGCATTCAAATTCTCCGAGATTCTTTCTTCAGAACAGAAAACAAAAATTCAGCTTTTGTAAGAAGAAATGGGACAATCCACCAGCCATCTGGTCTGCCTCTTGCAGCATCTATGTGCAAGGGGACTTGTAGATGTTCCAGAAGCCACCAGGACATTCCGGCAGCCCATAGCAGCCACCACATTGCCTCAGAAAGGCCAACACCATCCAAGCTTACCTTCTGGCACTCCGCTTAAACACTGCCCGACTGGGTGCCTCTTCCTGGGTCCTGCTCTCGCTTGCCCCAGCCTCTGCAGCTCAGGGCCCACCATCTACCTGAAGTTCTGCACGCCAGCATGCCCCTGAGTCACCAGCTGGCCCTGCCAGTGGGGCTAGGGTGTGAGGCATGTCTGTTGACCTCCCCACACTCTGGTCATTGAAAACAGTCTCTCTGCAGAGGAGGGGAGCTGTCTCAGTCCCTCCAGACACCCACCCGCCAGCACCATTGCTCATCACTGGGAGGGACTGAGTTTCCTGCAATTGAGTCATGCAGCCTGGAGGGTACAGTGGACGGGGCACAGCCTTTCTGGAGAGTAAGTCTCATTCCAAAGAGGAGGAGGGAAAGTAGGTCAGTCATTTGGATTTGGCAATGAATGGACCCCCAGGCCCTCCTGACTCTGCAGCAAATGCTTCCTCACACAGGCCCAGCAGCCCCTCAAATCCACACCTACATACATGTTTGAACAGAAGACTACATGTTCCTTCTTTAGCAAGAAGCCCAGTTTTCTCTGACCCCAAGTCAAGCCAATAAGAGGTCTAGGCTCAGGGGAGAGCTGGTTAGTTCCCTAAGCACTGAAGGTGTTAGGATGCAAAGGCAGAGACGGAACATGGCCGTGGACCTGGGAAGGCTTGGTCCAAACTCCGGCCTGGAGCTTTGCTCCCCGCAAGCTTCCAGCCTCACAGAATTCGCGTTCCCAGGACTGTGACAATTATAGACCGCAATTTGAGTCTTGAGTAACCACGCAGCGCCAGGCAGATGTGACACTCCACTTGCAGAATCTATTAACTGAACTACGCTATCATTTTTGAATGAGGAAAGTTGCCATTCCACACGGGAACGAAGACGGAGGCGGTGGCCAGGAGCCCTGAGCTCTCCTCTCAGCCTCGCCCCACACAGCACCACGCTGGGCCCACCCGTGGCTTCTCTGTGCTGCGCTTACTTTCCTTGTGGGCCTGTCTGAAAGCACTGCGTAAACCAGAAACAACACGGAAGTGAAATACTTACATTCCCCAGATAAGACCCAACCTTTTCCTGTGACATTAACTCACGATTCATCTTCAGGCACATGTGATCACTGACCCTGCCCCCAAAAGACTGTCAGTCAACCCAGTTTTAAATCTAGCCTTAATTGTTTTAATTTGTTTCAAAGGTAAACAAAACAAACAAAACAGCATGTTTTGTATCCAGGCTGTCCAGTGGCCAGTCTCAATGCAGGCCGACAGTTTGGCCATTTACCAAAGCAGCTCCAGACCCCATGCAGGCAGGGACAGCTTCCCCACTCAGCAAGCCTCAGCTGGGGGCTTTGATGAAGAAATCAGCCTCCTTTCAGGGGGAGTCGCTGAAAGTTAACACGACACCTCTGAGAGTCCTCCCAGTAGTTCTACGATTTGATGCGAACGTGGGCCTGGGACGTACTGATGGTCAGACATTGAATTCTCACCAGGCCTGTGTCAAGAGCTGGGCATGTATTCTCCTTTCCCTGGGAGGGCCTCTGGGTGACAGAAGCAGGGGCAGGGATAGGCACCCTTCATAACTGGCCACAGCAGGGGCTTTGCAACGACAGTATCTCTGTACTCTTTAAGTGAGTGGAGTTTGGAGGGGTCCTCAGAAAAGAGAAATGGGCCTGGGAAGGGCCTTTGTGACCCCATGACATATGCGGAGTGAAAGCAAAACTGCTTCCCCGAACTTCCATGCAGCGATGTTCCCTCTCTTCTCCTGGCCCATATGGAATAATCCTGCTCCCCATGATGGCCATGCAAATATCTTCAGGCAGCTGTTTAGGAAAGACAGCTTCTTAAGAAGGCAGATGGCCACCCCACAGGAAATCCGGGCTTTTAACATGGATAACGGGATGATTGAACTTCCCATCCTCCCCTGAGGGCCTGCCACATCACTGGGAGGGTGCAGGGAAGGAAACCCGAGTCCTCAGGAGGGAAGGCCAACGTCAGCTGGAGCCCGAGGGCCTGCCACATCACCGGGAGGGTGCAGACAAGGAACCCTGGGCCCCCAGGAGGGCAGGCCAATATCAGCAGGATCCCGCTGGGGTGGAACCAGTGGGTGCTGCCGAGTGCTTAATGATTGCCTCACTCTTCAGAGAAAAGGCCTTAATTTGCTGCATCTGCCTATTTCTGTGGTGTAAGCTCTCCGGCCGAGGCAGATTTTGACACAGACTTCGGAAGAGACATGCACTGTTGGCTGCAGCAAGCCGGAATACCTGGACCTCTCCTAAGGCTAGGAAGGTGGACCAACCTCAGGTGAAGCAGTGGGTCAGGGTCAAGGTGAGGCTGCCAGGGCCTCAAGGTCTACAGAGTAAAGGAGAAGGGCAGCTCGGGCAGCCTGGTCCAGCTGTGGGACTGTTACCAGCCTCTAGGCCCCTAAGTGTCTGAGGTTTGCACCCTGGCTGGGTCAGAAACACACACACAACCAAGAGCCTCTCTGATCAGCTCTCCGCGTCCAGGCTGAAGCCTGATTGATATTAGCACGTGTGAATCCAGCTGCTTCTGCAGGCACTTATTATCTCACAGAATCCTCATGACAACGCTTTGAGGTCCCCCAGTTTACAGATGAGGAAAACGAGGCACAGAGAGGCTAAGCACTTTGCCTAAGATACGTGATCATCTTGCAGGAAGCATTTCTGCTCCTTTACCCTCCTCCTTACAAGGGAGGGAGAGGAGTCAGTGTCCTGCCCTGAGGTCAGCTCACAAAGAGGAGAATGACGTTGGGGGACAGTGGCATCAGATGCCTGAAGCAGAGGGCCAGTGAGCTGGAGGGTGACGTGCGGGACGGGGCGCAAGGCCAGGAGAGAGACGGGAGTTGCCCTGCTGCTGCTGAGGCCCCTTCTCCCTAGGATGCCCTCCCTCTTTCCCCATCCTTCCCTCCATCCCCACTGTCCCCAGATTTGCAGCTGTCCCACCTGGGGTGGAAGCCGGGCTGCTGCTGTTGAGACCTGCAGGAGTGGAAAATCTGCTGGTTCCCATTAAAACAAATCTCCTTGTTGACAAAAATAAAGAGAACCGAATCTCTGCCAGCATTTACTGTCTGCGAGTTGCTTTTATTCTCCCGCAAGGAGCTGGATCCCCGTGTTCCAAACTGGCACAGACCCACCAGCTTCAAAGCGGGGAAAATTCCTCATCGGGCAGGGGCTTTGGCGGGGCGCCCTGGTGAATGGAAGTGCCTCTCCAGGGGGCAGCAGCCAGGAGATGCCCAGGCCCATGGTCTCATTAACGGTGCACAACATTCTGCCTCATTTTCCTTGGCGCGAGGCGTGGGTTTTCCTAAGCCGAGAGGTGAGACGTGAACGCCGAGTGGAAGCCCATGGCACGCTTGGGCTGCACAGCCGGCACTTTCTGAGCTCAGGCAAGTGGGTGGGCGTGTCTGAGACGCCGACGATGGGTGGTCCGCTCACGGCGCAGGGTACCTGAGACAGCTGCATCCTGGAGCAGAAAGACCGCGGCAGCTACTGTGCAGGGGAGAGTGGGGTGTTGACAGGCGGGTGGACGCCACGTCACCATCTCAGCCCTGGTGGGAACCCCGCCGGGCTCTTACAACATTGAGCTTTGGGTCTGTAGATGGGGAAGTGGGAAACCTACATTAAACAGCATGTTAGTGTCCTGCACAATATGCCACAAACGAGGGGACTTCAAACAACACAAACGCACTCTCCCATAGTTCCAGAGGCCAGAGGCATGAAATCCGGACCTCAGCAGGGCTGCTGCCCTCCAGAGGCCCCCGGGGAGGCCTGCCAGCCTCCTCCAACTCCCAGTGGCTCCAAGTTTTCCTTGGCTTGTGGCCGCGTCGTTCCAGCCTCTGCCTCCTTCTTCACACCAGCCCTCCTCTTCTCCCAGTGTTTCCGCTATGTGTCTCTTACGAGGACACTTATCATTGGATTTAAGACCTATCTGGATAACCCAGAATGATCTCATCTCAAGACCCTTAACTTACCTGCATCTGCAAAGACTCATTTTTCCAGATAAGGCCCCAGCCACAGTTTCCAGTTAGATGTGGACCTATTGTTTTGGGGGCCACCCTTCAACCCACTCCACACGGTATTCAGTAGGATATGTCAGGTACATAGAAGGCAGAGACATGTAAGAAATTTCTCTTCCTAGGAATTTGCACAAGACTTGGGGCAAATAGTTCTTTCTCAAGGTTATTTAAGGAGAATGGATGCAAACAGCAACACAATTCTAATCAGCTATGGCTGTGCCTTCCGTTTGAACATCTATGGGGCACACTAACCCTCTCCACACATTGTACTCAGAGACAGACACATGCGTCACCCTCATGTCAGTGGCCTCTGATTGGCTCTCACCTTCTGGCCATTCAGTGCAGCCCCACATGGACATGTGTGGCTGGAGGAGGGCACACAGCCGAGTGACCATCTCCACTGAAGCTCATGGTCACTCAAGTGAAGTAAGCGCGGCCCCCCTTCCCTGGCTGTTCCCTGGAGGACCATGCGCTGCCTTTCCTTCCCTTCCTGTTCACCCCCCACCCCGAGCCAAATAGAAGCAATCAGAAGAGAATGTCCATTCTCCCTCACCAGAAATTCGTGCCTCATGGCTGCCTCGGCTGATGCCGACGTGGGTTAGCCGCCTCTGTGCCCCTCGGGTGGGGGCTGCACGGGCTCCCGCCGCTCACCCTGTGTGTCACCCCCAGGCCCATTCCCCCGCAGCTCCTCTGCGGACCCCTGCCCAGCTCGCATTTCTGGCTGCAGAAGCCCGCAGTCCCCTGTGGCGTGGTGGGATTGCTCCTGCAGCTGGGGCAGTTGGGTCTGGGAGTCGCTGCCCCAGCGTTTGAATAACATCCTGGGCAGGGCCTGCCCTGCATCCATGAGAATTCCCAGCCCTGTGCCTGGCAGGAAAACCCTGGCTCATGGGTGTGACCTGCTCCCTGTCTGGACTGGGTGGGCAGCCTGCCTGCTCCTGCCTCTGAGCCCATCCTCTTCTTCCAGGAGTCCAGCCCAGAGTGGCCACAGCAGACGTGTAGGCCTCCCTGGCTGGCACCCTGTCTCCAGCCTGTCTGGGGCTGGCCCAGGCCTGGTGCCTTCTTGGTCAGCCTCACTGGACAGGCATGGGAGAGATGCCGAGGGCCAAGTCCCTGGCCCAGTCGCACAGGGGTCTTGGCACAGGTTGCTCGACCTGCCGCCTGGCACTTCCCGCCCCCAGCCCCTCCCCTGCTGGCGCTGTCCCAGCCCTTCCAGGTGCCCCATGCTGTGGGCCTGCCCACTGAGCCCTGAGCTCAGAAGTCTGTGTGGGTGAGTCCTGTGGCCACCACAGGATGGAAGGAGCACAACCTCGAAGGCTAGAGACGGATCTCTTCCCTCAGCGCTGGAGCCTGGAGTCCGCAGCCAGGGCGTCGGCAGGGCTGCACCCCCAGAGGCTCCAGGGGAGCACCCTCCTGCCTTCTCCAGCTCTGGGGGCTCAGGTGCTCCTTGGCTTGTGGCCGCCATGCTCCAGACTCCACCTCTGTCTTCACATGGGTTTTCTCTTGGCTTTTAATCTCCTCTGCATCTCTCTTATAAGGACACTGGGGGTGGTGATTGGGGCCCATGAGGCAAACGCAGGAGGATGGCCTCATTTACAGTCCTTAACCTAATTGCACCTGCACAGACCCTTTTTCCAAATAAGATCATATCCAGGGGTTCGGGGCGTGAGTGTGGGCCTCTCTTCAGGAGCCACTCTTGGCCTGCCGCAGCCGAGCTTCCCTGCCCACGCTCCTGTCCCGTGCCCCCGCCAGGCCCTGGGCGTCTGATCAGCCCTGTTTTTGCTGGAAGGTGGAAGTGAAAGAGACGGCGCCCTGGAGGAATGGGCTGGGAGGGGGTCCTGGCTCCTTCACCTGGGCGCTGTGGCCCTCAGCCTGCTTCTAGGGTCCTGAGCCTGAGTGTTCACCTCCTGTGTGGACTCTTCCTCTGTCTCCTCCTGCTGCTTCTCTGTGGCCCGAGAACCCTCCCGGAGGCTCAGCTTGTGGACCAGGCTCAAAGACTTTGAGGGTGGAATACATATGGCTTCTGGGTTCGACTCCAGTTTGAGAGTCATTTTAAATTCTATATCCGTTTTCACTTCCTCTTATGGAAGAAAATCTAATCTGGGAGGTATTTCCATTAAAAACATTGGTTTAATACTAAAAATGAAAACAAATAAAACTAGAGCCTGCTGGAAAAAATAACAGCCCCAGACGGCGTGCATCTCACATGAGCACTGCGCCACCGCACGCAGCCTCTGACCAAGCTCCCCACGTGTTCTTGCCAGCTTGAAGCCTCCTGTTGGAGACAGGTTTCTGCCCCCAACACCCAGGTGCACAGCAGGCACCATTTACCCCCCATTGCTCCAAACCATGGCTGTCTCCACCCCACTGTCTTCTCAGCCTCCAAAGCTGGAGAGCACAGGAAGACGTGGGGTACAGAGGCCTCTTTTATTGTGTCCTGGAATGTAGTGCATTGCGATGGTTAATATTGAGTGTCAACTGGATTGGATTGAAGGATGCAAAGTACTGTTCCTGGGCGTGTCTGTGGGGGTGTTGCCAAAGGAGATTCACAGTTGAGTCGGTGGACGGGGAGAGGCAGACCCACCCTCAATCCAGGTGGACAGCATCTAATCAGCTGCCAGCATGGCCAGGAGAAAGTAGGGAGAAGAACATGGAAGGAAAAGTCTGGTTGAGTCTTCTGGCCTCCATCTTTCCCCCATGCTGGATGCTTCCTGCCCTTGAACATTAGACTCCAAGTTCTTCAGCTTTTGGACTCTTGGATTTACACCAGTGATTTGCCAGGGGCTCTTGAGCCTTCGGCCACAGACTGAAGGCTGCATTGTGGGCTTCCCTACTTTTGAGGTTTTGGGACTCACACTGGCTTCCTGGCTCCTTAGCTTGCAGATGGCCTATGGTGGGACTTCACCTTGTGATCGCGTGAGTCAATTCTCCTTAATAAAATCCCCTTCATATGTACAGCTACCCTATTAGTGCTGTCCCTCTAGGGAACTCTGACTAATACGGGGTGGAAAGTGGCTCCCAAAATATACTCCCATGTCCCAGACCCCAAACCTGTGAAGATGGACTTATTTGAAAAAAGGTCCGTGCAGATGCAATCAGCTTAAGGACCTGAGATGAATGAGGACATCCTCCTGGATTAGCCAGGCTGGCCTGGCCCTAAATACCATCCCAGGTGTCCTTGTAAGATGGAGGCAGAGGAGGCCAAAACAACAGCATGCCCTGAAGACAGGTGGTGTGAAACGAAGGTAGAGATTGGAGCCACGCAAGGAAGGCCTGGAGCCGCCAGGACCGGAGCAGGCAGGGAGGAGCCTCTGAGGCACGTGACCCTGCAACATCTAGGTCTCGAGCCTCCAGAACCGGGAGAGAAACATTTCTGCTGTTTTAAGCCTCGCTGTTTGTGGTATTTTCTTATGGCAGCTCCAGGACTCCGAGGCAAGGACCATAATGAAGTTGGCGTGGCTCAAGGACTAGAATTTTTAACAAATGAAGCTTGGCTGTTTCAGCCAATGAGCAGGGCATCCTTGTCCCGCCTGAACACTGCCCTGAGAGGCAGAGGGTGTGCTCGCATGACGTCAAACAGCCTCAGGCCTTACCCCAGATGA
This sequence comes from Homo sapiens, assembly GCF_000001405.40. Taxonomy (NCBI): domain Eukaryota; kingdom Metazoa; phylum Chordata; class Mammalia; order Primates; family Hominidae; genus Homo; species Homo sapiens. Next base: position 134,632,391 of record NC_000009.12, read on the forward strand.
GCGGCCGTGTATTCTCAGGGTCTGCCCGGGGGCCAGGATGCATGTAAATATGCATCCCACAGTGAAGCCCAAAAGTCATGGTGAGCTCCCTGCACTTGGGGGACCCTGTTCAAATTGCAGAATGACTTTCCCAAAGCCATGTAACACCCCAGGTCTTCAGTGTCTGTCGGCTCCCACCGCATGGCCATGGTGAGGGGATGGATGAGACAGTGAATCCATGAAACCTCTTAGCACCCGGCTCAGGAAGGGGGTCCCCAAGGCCCCATGGATGGGGATTTTTGATGAGGCTTGACGTAAGTGGGCCAGGAAGTATGGTTAGGGTGTGTGTAACCAGCAGGCAGCCCTGCCTCTCTGAGGGAAGAACGCGCCATCTGAATCTCATAGGTCACTCGCAGGGGCTCTTGCCAGACCCGGGCAGATGCGCTGGTTTCCTACCTGAGACAAATCAGTCCTATCTCAAGGCCTCAGTTTCTTTATCTGTGAAATGGGAACTGCGGCCTTTGCCTCCCTCACAGGGAAGTTAGTGCCAAGGGCCAGGAGAATGGGGGGTGGGTGGTTGCCATGTGTGAGACCATGAGAAGGAGGTGATGGTATGGAAAACAATATCCGAGAGAGGTTCCTGGATAGACTCTGTTTTCTGCTCCCTGTGGGAGGCCCTGCACAGGGTCCTGAGTGATGGGGTCCATGGTTCCCATGTGATATGGTTTGGCTCTGTGTCCCACCCAAGTCTCACCTTGAATTGTAGTAATCCCCACACGTCAAGGGCGGGACCAGGTGGAGGTCATTGAATCATAAGCGTGGTTTCCCCCATGCTGTCGTTTTGATAGTGAGTGAGTTATCGCAAAATCTGATGGTTTTATAAGGGGCTTCCCCGCTTTGCCCAGCACACATTCTCTCTCCTTCTGCTCTGTGAAGTGGTGCCTTCTGCCATGATTGTAAGTTTCCTGAAGCCTCCCCAGCCATGCGGAACTGTGCGTCAATGAAACCCCTTTTCTTTATAAATTACCCAGTCTCGGATATGTCTTCATAGCAGTGTGGGAACAGACTGATACACCACGTCTGGGAACAGGCAGGGCCACAGTGCCTACCTCGCGGGGGCCTGGCCAGAGGTGCACTCTGCAGCTGACAGTGTCCAAGGCAAAGGCCTTCAAATGATGAGAGGCACAGCCTGGGCGGGGTCCTGGGCACCGCTGCCCTTGCTGCTGGCGAGTCCCAGCCGATTCCTCCTCCACCGTGTACTGGAAGGCATCCCACCCGTCTCCCCTCTCCCTGGAAACCATAGCTGCCTCTGACTTGAGCCCCACCTCTTGTTCCTCTAAGCAATCCTCAACACTGAAGTCAGAGATCTTTCCAGGATGCAAGTATGACATAGCCTTCTCCTCTTAAAACCCTCTACGCATCCCCATTCTCCTTGGGAAGAATACAAACTCCCTGCCTAGACTGACTTGCCCTGTGCCAGCCACCCCGCTCTCCTGTCCCTGTGCCAGCCGCTCCACCCTCCTGTCTCCAGCCCCTCAGCCCCCAGGCCACCTCCTCCCTGTTCCATCACAGCCTCCTTGGAGTGGCCTTCTGTGGCTTCCTCTGGGCCTGGGCATGTGCATTCCCTCTGCAGGGGGAGAAGAGTCCAGGATGGCATCAGTGAGGGGTGGCACCTGGCCCCAAGATGCCCCTCCTCCTCTTGTATCCTTTTGGGACGTGCTCCCACAAGCGTCCCTACTTCTTGAACCCCTGGGCCCTGAACCTGGGCCCTGCTGACCCCTGTCTGCAGGGAGAAGTGTCTAGGAGGACAGTGTTTATGTCAGGGTCCTTGGTAGCTGACTCTGAGGCTCTGGGTTTTCTAGGCGGACTCTGGAAACAAGGCCTGTGGGGGCGAGGGCAGCAAGCCGGGGCGCAGGTGCATGCATTCTGCAGAGGCCTCATGGAGCCCCCCGACCGCAGGACTCGGAAGCAGGGACGGCCCTTCTGAGTTGTCCCACATTCAGGAAAAGGGACAGGATCTGGAACCTTCTTCCTGACCGGTCCTTGGGTGTGGGCTGCCCTTGAGCAGGGATGGGGTCTAACCTCCAGTAAAAGGTAGTTTAGGCAAGGAACTCAGCTGTTGGCTGTCAGCAAACCATGCTCTTGACAGAGGCCAGGGGAGTCTGGGCCCTGAGGGGGTCTGGGCCAACCCCCCTCCACAGTGTGGAGCACTGGCTCCTGACTTTTTGAGAAAGCCTTCAGCTAACAGGCATTTCTGCTGGTACCACTGCCTTATGCTCGTGGCGTCCTGGAGCGTCGCTGGGGCAGTTGGTCATGGAAAGAGCTCTGTGCCCAGATGGGGTGGGGCTGTCTCCAATTCCTACACCTCCGAGTTAAGTGGTTTCACCCTCTGAGACTCTGTTTCCCCAGTCGATCATGAAGCTGCCGGAAGCAGGACGGATGGAGCCTTTTCTGAGCCTGTGCTCTGTGCCCGGCACAGTCTGTGTGTTATCTCGGATAACCTCCACAGCATCCTATGCAGGGGTGCACTGCGGTCCCCACTTTCCAGAGGAGAACCTGAGCCAGCGTGGGGAGGCTGCAGCCTCAGGCCCCTTGCTGAGGCAGACTCATATCCAGGACGCCGCTTGCTCCAGATTCTGAGGTCATGCCTGCCCTCACCTTCGTCGGATGGTGGGAAAGCTTCAGTGAGATCCCTAGGTGGGGAATCGTCACAGACACCCTCAAAAGCTGTTTCACCAGGGTGATCTTGTTGACTCCCGGGGAACAGCCCATTGAGTGGGAGGCATCTCTTTCCACCTATGCAGATGGTTCTTTAAAAGATTTAATAGCGGGGACCTTTCCAACTGACATTTCTTTTGGGCTGTAAACTCAACCTTTATCTCTAATATATTCTCCTGGAGGATGACACGCCAATCCAGGCCCAGTTTGGAAATGTGCCTTGGCACACTGTGGCCCGAATTAATTGCGAACTCACTCTATATATCTAAAGTCTGTTTGGTGTTCGTCATGGGCTCTCTCGCCTGGAAATTCCATTATTTTGCAGGGTTTACTTGGCACCTGATGGGATATCCAGGTCCAGTAAAACCAGGCCTTCGTGGACATGACATGGAAACAGAGCTGTGCCGCACAGCGGAGCGGGGCCAGTGAGATGGGAGGGCCAGTGAGATGGGAGGGCCAGGCGCAGCCAAGGGACAGCCAGGCTGTTTCAGCCATCGATGTCACGGCTCCATCCCTTGGTGATTTATGCTGCTCTGTCCCTGGGCTTGAAGGAGGGGCAGCCCCTCAGCTGCTGAGAGCCCTGCTTCCTGGCCCTCCATCAGACCATGATAAAGAGCATGAGCCGCCATGCTTGAGAAGCCGCCATGATGAAAAGCGCCTCCAACCTCCAGCTGCGTGTATATGTTTGATCAGATGCCAGGGCCAGCTGTGTCTGGTCCTGCTTGTGTGGCTTGATAAATTGGGCTGGGGGTCCTGGCACCGTGGTGTCCCGGGATGGGAGCTCTGGGAGGAGAACAGCTCCTCTGCTGGACTCTGGGTTGGGGAAGGCTGAGGGTTGGGGAAGAGGAAGAGGCTTCAGCTTCACAAAGTGGTAGAAGTTCAGGTGCGGGGGAAGGGCTTCAAGTAAACCACTGAGTCAGCGGATTGCATTTTCAATGGAATCATGGGGCCTGGAGTTCACTGGACCACAGCCTGCCTGGGTTCTTCCCAGCTCACTCCTCTCACCCCCTCTCACCCCCTCCCACCCACTCCTACCCCCTCTCACCCTCTCTCACCCCCTCCCACCCCCTCTCACCCACATCTAGATGGAGCACAGGCTGCAGGCTTGGACTGGGGAGACTGGGGTCAGACCCACGGCTGCTTCTCCGGAAGCAGAGGTATACACAGATGTGACTACACAGTGTCCCAAGGCCTGTGCCCCCACCTACCATGCTTGACTGTGTGCCCCAAGCCACACCTGCTTCTGTGCCCACCTGCTCCAGTGCACACCTGCCCCATGCACACCTGCTCCAATACACACCTGCCCCTGTGCACCACTGCTCCCATGCACACCTGCTCCCAGACACATCTGTCCCAAAGACTGACTTATTCACATGCACACCTTCATATCCAGAACAGAATGTGCTCCTAACAGGCAGCATGGGCAGGGGCACCTCACTCACAGAAAGGGGAGGGCAATTTGCTGTGGGGAGGGAAGCAAAGAGAGGAGACTCTGGAGTGGGCTTGGAGCCTTTTGGAGGAGATGCTGCATCTGCACTGGTGTTCTGGGCCCTCCAGCTGGCCCCACTCTCACACCCATGGTGGACAGTGCCACCGAGGAGAGGTTCAGCCTATGTGCTAGAGGGACAAGGAGACAGGGTGGTACACATTCATCAGAAGCCAGGGTCCCCTCTCACTGGCCAGGGTCCCCTCTCACTGGCCAGAGTCCCCTCCCACTGGCCAGGGTCCCCTCTCACTGGCCAGAGTCCCCTCCCACTGGCCAGAATTCCCTCCCACTGGCCAGAGTCCCCTCTCACTGGCCAGGGTCCCCTCTCACTGGCCAGAGTCCCCTCCCACTGGCCAGGGTCCCCTGCCACTGGCCAGAGTCTGCACCCCTCACCCCTGCCCCCGCCTTGGGGTGTGAGAATCCACAATAAGAGAGCACCTAGGTGGGTAAAAGTCTCTACTGTGCCAGAAAACAGAGCCCCTCAATCCTCAGATTTCTGCTAAAGGCCCACGGACTGGGACTGTTTTGCAGGAATCCAGTTTTAGGGGGATGAATTGTGTCCCCCTAAAATTCGTACATTGAAGCTTTGCCTCTCAGAATGTGGCTGTGATTGGAGATGGGGCTTTTAACAAGATAATTAAGTTTAAGTGGGATCATTAGGGTGGGCTCTCATCCAACTGACTGGGGTTCCCGAAAGAAGAGGAGATGAGGACGCAGACACACACAGAGAAATGACCGTGTGAGGGCATGGGGGGATGGTGCCGACTGCAGGCCGAGGAGGGAGGCCTTGGCTGAAACCAGTGCTGCCGTCACCTCAACCTCGGACTTCCAGCATCCAGGACTGTGAGGGAATAAATCCCTGCTGTCTAAGCTGCCCCATCTGTGGCACTCTGCTGTGGCCGCCGAGCTGACTCACACACCCGGGAAGCCTGGTGACCTGGGGCATGGCCCCGGCCCCTCTCTCACCCTCTCCTCTACTCTCCACTTGGCAGACACAGGCTGAAGAAGGCTGCAAAAACAAGGCAATGAAGGACATGCTTTGTCCAAGGGCTTTAAAGTGGCGGCCTTCCCCAAGTAATTTTTCAAAGAGAGTGCTGGCTTGAAAGGGGCTCCCTCCCATCTGCCCCGCTCCAGTACGTAGGGAGAGTCCTGCTGGCTCTGTGGGCACAGCGGTGGCCTCTGGTCTGCTGAGAAGCCACAGCTCACATGGAGCAGTGGTCAAGGCCAATGGGTCAGAAGGTAAACTAGGGCCAGTGGGGGTCTGGGCCCCTGGAACCGGCAGGACATGCGGTCAGCCGCGGGCCGGCCCTCGGACCCGGCGCCTCCTTGGTTTGCTCTGCTGCTGGTGTGCAGGCTGCACGGTGGTTAAGGGCTGCGTTCCGGGCTACTGGGTTTAGCCACACCCTTGCTGTTCAGCCTCCAGCAAATAGTTTCACCTCTCCGAGCCTCAGCTTCCTCCTGCCTCAAAGGGTTGTTGCTCCATTGAATGAGATGATGCAGGTAAGCAGGTGAAGCCCTGGAAGGCGGCAGGGGGCTTGGAGGAGGCAGAAGAGGATGAGTGCCCAGCGGCAGGGAGCAGGGAGGGAGGGGACTGTGGCCAGGCCTCCCTCACCTACCTTCTCATCTGAGCTTCACAGGGACCCCCCAGCGGTCAGTTTCTTCACCGCCCATTCACAGATAACAAACTGAGGCTCAGAGACAGAATCCTCTTGCCCAAGGTCATGTGGCTAGTGGCTGGTGCTGCTGGGATTCTAACGGAAGTCTGTGTGACTCTGGAGTTGGCCTGGTCCCAGGACATCAGCTGAAGGACACAGCTGCAGCCCCAGGTGCCGGATGCAGGTTCAGAGCATTCTCCTTGCGCAGCTAGAGGGAACTCCTCCCCTGCATGGGACAGAGTGGGGCAGCTTCCAGCCCCTCTGCCAGGCCGTGGCTCACCCAGGCCCTCCTGGGCCCACTTCAGCAGTCTCTGGACCATAAATGCTTAGAGGGCAAGCAGATATCTGCCTCCAGGCACTCCAAGAAGACCTTGTTCCTCCACCTCCTCCATGGGTCTAGGAGAAGAAGAAGGGACAATCTGGCTGCCCCTCAAGGCCTTTGTCTTGGGAAGCAGCTGGCCATTTTCCAGCCAGACGTGACTCTGGGAGGCTGGTGTGACCCCTCAGGACTGGTGGTGAACCATCAGGTCCACATGAGAGCAACACCTGATGGTTGCCATGGCCGCTCTGTCCGGACCACAGCTCTGCCGCTCGAAAAATAAATGAGAGGAAACACAGCCTTGGAAGGAGAAGTTGGGCCATCGGACTCCACGTGTAAGGTGCAGGGCACCTGGCCTGCTCCACTCTCTGCTAGGCACTGTGGGAAACACGCAGTGATGGGTGGTGGCGCTCCCGGTGGCCCAGGAGTACACAGGGTACAGGACCTGGTTAGCCTTCTGCGGTGAGTGCCATGAACAGGAGCAGGCAGCCGGGGAGGGCTAGATGGGAAACGATGGATAGCAGAAGACAAGGAAGACACACATGCAAAAAAGGGGCCACCTCTGCATGGGCGTGGGAGTCACTGCTGCATTGCAGGTCAATGTGGAAGGGACCCAGGCACCTTGCTCACCACATACTCCCTAAAGCCTAGAGCGGTGTTGGCAAGGAGTATGCGCGCAATAAGCAGTTTTCCAAGGACTCTGGTTTTGCTCAGTTGTGGGAGGGCATGGAACATGGTGAGTTTGGGACAATCTGCACCAGTTGCTGTTGTCTGAATCTGGGCAGGGTGGTCCTGGCGGCAGGCGTGTGGTCCGGATGCCATGGGGAGGCAGGCAGTGCACACTGGGCTCCAAGCATGGAGACCTGGGTCCAAATCCGGACCCTGTCACGGATGAACTGGGTAAGTCCCCTACCCTCTGTGGCCCCTGATTTCCTCATCTGTGGATGGGAGAGATGCCAGTATTCCCTACCGGTGCATGAGAACTGATGCACGTGTGGGTGAAGAGTGTGAGGCAAAAGCCTTAAGATGTGGCTGATATTCTTAGCTTGGCAACACAGTTCGAATCCTGATTGGTACTGCCGGGCCATTCTGCCATAGTCCCTGGCTGACACATCAGGCCGCCAAGTTTGGGGACTTCTCTCTGAGTTTCCTGGTGGGATAGAAACTCATCTCTCCACCCAACTCAAGGCTCAGATGAGGGTGGAAACTCACATTTGACAGCTTTCCAAGCCACCGCACCACTTGCTCTCCAAGAGAGGATAAAGTGCATCTGTCATGGCTGCTTGAGCTGCAAGACTGAGCCATCTTACCATTGCTGAGAAGTCAACTTTTGGGGGACCTTGGGGTGGTCACTTGAGTGTCAGCTCTTAAGGCGCCAGTTGTGTTAATTCAGGGCAAAGTTTAGATGCTGGCTGTGAGTTACAGGAGGGCTTGCTGACTGGCACGGATGTGCACATGGGACTGTCAGAAAGGAACTCCACTTGTGCTTGGGGAAAAAGAAGCTGGAACCAGAAAGCCTCCACTCTCTTCTGATAACCAGGCCATGGCCTGTGTCAGCACCCCTAGTCTTCAGGGGTGAAGCTGGCCTTGCTGGTAGGGGCGGGGGCACTCCAAGGACCAAGCACAGCTGGGGCTGGCGCGGAGTCTGGGGTTTGATGGAATTTCTCACTCATTGAAGTCCACAGGGAAAGTAAAGGGCCAGTGGCTGCAGGTTAACCAACGCACAGACACGCACACAGGCACACACACAAACACACACATGCACACAACTCACACACATTTTTGCCTGATCACATATGCCTTATACAAGTTGTAAAACAAAATAAAATCAACAAGGAAACAGGTCAGAACTAACATTTGCTTTACTGAATGTATCTCAAGCACCTCCCCACGTCTGTGTGTGAAGAGCTTCTCATTCTTTTCCTGCGAAATATTTGATATCTATGCAAGCGCATGTGGCAGATATGGAGACTAAAAGCCTCATCACCAAGTTAGCAACAGCGACCTATCACCCAGCTCCGGAGCCTGCCATGGCTATCCTGGCAAACCTAACCTCGGACGCCTCTCTCACCTCCTGTTTCCAGAATGGTGAGAATTAAAGAGCATTTGGGGAATTTCACGCCCAGTCTGGAGATGTAACTGGAGAGGGGAGTCCCAGCCCTGTCTGGCATCTCTGGCTAAATTGTTTGTTCAAAGGGAATGGGGATGGCCCAGGGTTTGCAAATCGTTCTTAATTCATTCTGATTCCCTCCTTTTAAAAAACTAGCCCTGCAGCCCTTGGGGAAGGGGTGTGGGTCAGGCTTCAGGAGGCTGTGCAGGGAGGCCAGGCCTGGGGAAGCTGGAGGGAGAGACGCCCACCTACCACCCAGAGACTGGCGGGCCTCCTGCTGGAGGAGACCCCGAGGGGCTTAAAGAAGCCAGGCAGGAGAATCAGGGCCCCAGCTCTTCTCCGAGAGCAGCCGATCAGGAATGCCTTCTCCCTGCGCCAGCTGTCACTCCCAAGGGGATGCCTTCTTTGGTTTCCTTTTTATTGCAGAGGGGCCACCAGGGAGTGGGCAGGAGTGAGGGGTGAGAGCCTGGGGGCCGCAGAGCCAAACTTCGCCTGATTAATAACCCAGATGTTCCCGTCCAAGCACATGGAGGTCCCGGGAGCTCTTGGGAAGTCAGACCCCAGCTCGGTCCCGTGCCAATCTGCAGTTAGGAGGCAGGTCCTCGGTCCGGGTTGACACGTAGGCCACAGTCTTGGGCGCCCTGATCTGGCTGGATGGGAAGTTTAGTCTCCACCCAGAAGAGGAGCTCTGAACTCCTCCACGTTAAAGAAAAAGTTAGGCGGGGTAAACTGCAACTTTCTTTTTAACCCGAAGTGATCAAACCTCGGGGCCCCTCTGCACTGGTTCTTGGAGCATGGCCAGGTGCGGGCACCTGGGGTGGGAACAGTGGGGGGACCAGGGTGGGCCCCTGGGCTCCGAGGCCGCCCCAGGCCCGCCCGCCTACCGGCTCTCAGAGAAAGAACAGGGGGCCGCGCCCGCCCCACGTCCGCTCCGCCCCGGGCCAGCCCCTTCCTCGCTGCGACTCGCCCGCTGTCCCCACCCCCTCGCCCGCGGCGCCCAGTGGGAGGCGGGGGCTGGCCTCGCCGAGCCCAGCGCCGGGCTCTGATTTGCTGCGGGCGTTGGGGATCGACAGCCTCCGCGGCTGCCTTCCAGGAGAGAGGGAGGGAGGAAAAGGGGGAAAAAAGTGCTCCGCGCCGAAGGCGAGGTCCGCACTCTCCGTCCCCGCGGCTGGCGCAGGACCTCACTCGAGCGGAGCGCCCACGGGGAGCGGGTCGCGGGGCGGCGGCGGCGAGGAGGAGGCGAGAAGGAGTTGGAGGAGGAGGAGGAGGAGGCGAGGGCGAGCTAGCCCAGCGGGGTCCCGGCCGCCCCGCGGGCCAAAGTCGAGCCCTCCCGCCCGTGGGCGAGCGCGCCAGCCGCCCCTTCCAGAACAGCCGCCGCCACAAAGAAGAACGGGGGGTGCCGAGGTCCCCATGACCTCCTAAAGTGGTGCGGTCCCTGCTGAGTGCGCTGCCCGGGCCGTGACCCGCGCCCCTGTGCGTCCCCGCGCGCCTCCGAGCGCCCCTGTGCGCCCCGGCCCGCGCCCCGCCGGCATGGACGTCCATACCCGCTGGAAAGCGCGCAGCGCGCTCCGCCCGGGCGCCCCGCTGCTGCCCCCGCTGCTGCTGCTGCTGCTGTGGGCGCCGCCTCCGAGCCGCGCAGGTAAGGGCGCCCCGGGGCGCGGGGCTGCGGGATGGGGCGCGCGCAGCCCGGGCGCCGCTGTCATCCCCGGGCGCCTTCGCCCGCAGAACTTTTCTTCCTTGGCCTGTGGAATGCACGGGCCAAGACCACGAATGCCATTTGCTGGGGGCCCCCCCGAGATGACGACACGCAGACACAATGCCCGCGGGCGCGCCGCCGCCCCCTCCCCAGACGGGCGGGTCGGGTGGGGCTGTCGCGCGAGCCGAGGAAGGACCGAGGGCTGGATCAGCAGGAGGGGTTGTCCACGAGGCGGGCAAACTTTTGTCCCAAAAACCTTCCTTCTCTGTCCCACATCACAGGCGCCCAGCTTGGGCCCTCACAGCCCTACAGCAGAACTTCCTCTGCTCCAAACCGGGCAGGGCCGCCCCCTAGAGTTACAGCCCTTCAAATCCCGGGACTCCTGGGGATGGGGGGAATCCCAGAAGCCTGGGCCCCCAGCACTGAACTTCCCCCAGGCACTGTCACTCTAGGCTGAGCTGGCGCCCTGCTTTCCCCAGGGACAGCGTTTCCTGCAGCCTTGGTCACCTAAGTGTTCGGGGGCACTGGGGACCCCTGCAGGGTGGTAGACAGCCCTGCTCCTAATCCCACCCCCAAACTTCTTGATCCCTGGAAGGCAGCTTTTCCTGGATTCGCTGCTGAGAGATGGGATGCGTGGAGCAAAGCCAGAGATGGGCTTGCAGGCGGGGCTGTGAGTGGTTGGGATGATATGCAGATGTGGGATTCCTTCTGCCAAGGGTCAGCCCTTAGAAGGAGGCTTGCTTCCCGGGGAGGGCGCTTCAAGGCGGGGACTGTCTGCGTCCCTGCCTGGGTTCTCGAGGGTTCAACTCTCCCTGGCGCAGCTTCCTGACGGGGGAGTTTTTCTAGGCATCGCTCTTGGTAGTTAGTGGCGGGGTGGGTTTTCACAGACTCTCGAACATCAGAGCCCCCAGCCCTGGAAGGTCCCCCGAATCCTTATTGACAGGCGGGGAGATGGAGGCTCAGAGCTGTGTGCTGCCAGGTCAGGAGAAGTGGCGGGCAGAGCGATGGGACGGTGGGCTCAGCGAACGTCTGGACCAGCCCGCCGCCTGCCAGCAAGAATGCTTCTCTCTGCTTCACGATTGGAAGACAAGTGGGAAGAATCATTGTCCGTGTTCCGCTTGTCAATTAAAACACTCTTTTCCTTTTTCCCTGGCACGATCAGTGCTTGTTGGGCTAACTGGATGAGCTGGAGTCTGGGTGTGGGGGCTGCCCTGGGGCTCTGGGGGAGGAGCCAGGAGCCTGGCCTGGCTCCCAGGACCTGGGATCTCATCCCTGGGCCGCCACCAACTCTCTCCTGACCCTGGGCTAACTGGGCTTGTGTTTCTCCAGGGGTTAGCTGAAGGTGGGGGACAACAGAGGTCCCCAGAAAAGTGGAGAGGAGAAGGAAGGTGTGGTCAGGGACTGTGCCATTGCCGGGGGACTAGGCCCTGTCTCAGCGCCTCTGGGGACTTTTCCCCAGAAACTCAGGAGGGAGTCCTTCAGGGGAATCGTCACCCTAGACAGCTGGGGCAGGGCACTGCCTGGGGACCATGCACCGGACTGGGCTTGGGGTTCCATTTCCCTCCCTGCCCATCTCCCCACCTCCACACTGTCTTTTTCCCTCTCTGGTTGCCCTCGCTAATCGAAGTGCGGCTCGTTGGAAGTGGGAGTGAGGATGGCCCAGAGCAGCAGGCTATGGAGTTGGACATTTTGCTTTTGTCAGAACAGACTTTTAGAAGCATGTGGAGAGACCACTTTTCTTAGTGAGTTTTGCCAACGTCTCTCCACCTCCCAGGGTGGGACCTATTTGGAAGTCATCCTTCGAGCATGGCCAGAGGGGGCGGCTGTCCACTGGAGATGCAGGCGCTGGGGGGAGGGGGCGGCTGTCCACTGGAGATGCAGGCGTGGCGGGGAGGGGGCGGCTGTCCACTGGAGATGCAGGCGCTGGGGGGAGGGGGCGGCTGTCCACTGGAGATGCAGGCACTGGGGGAAGGGGGCGGCTGTCCACTGGAGATGCAGGCGCTGGGGGGAGGGGGCGGCTGTCCACTGGAGATGCAGGCGCTGGGGGGAGGGGGCGGCTGTCCACTGGAGATGCAGGCGCTGGGGGGAGGGGGCGGCTGTCCACTGGAGATGCAGGCGTGGCGGGGAGGGGGCGGCTGTCCACTGGAGATGCAGGCGCTGGGGGGAGGGGGCGGCTGTCCACTGGAAATGCAGGCGTGGCGGGGAGGGGGCGGCTGTCCACTGGAGAGGCAGGCGCGGGGGGGAGCCACCAGCAAGTGCCTGCTGTCTTCTCCATCTTCGGATCTGCCAGATGTTTTCTGAGGGTTTTCTGAACACAGTTCTTTTGCCTGCTTTCTTTTGGCCAAGTGTGTGAAGGAATGAAAAGTAAGATTGCATTTGGGGCTGCTGAACAGTGTAACGGGGAAGGAGAGTATGGGAAATGAAACATGACCCCAATATTTGGAAATTGAGGTCATCTCCTCTACACGCCATTGGTTGACTCCAGTCACGTGATTGCTTTTTGCAATAATTTGTGGGGAGAGTCGGCCAAGTTTTGTGAGACTTGACAGGTATCAAATGGTTAAATTTCCTCTGACTCAATCAAGTTGGCTGGAAAGACATCCTTTTCCATCCTCTGCCCCCTCCCTCCCTCTCCCCATAAAAGAGCAGTGAGTGGGAGGAGCTCAGAAGCCCCAAGAATTCCCCAAGCCCTCTCCCTGCTGTGGTCCAGATTTGCCGGAGGGGTTGGAGTTTTGGTTGCTACCCAGGGCTGTGCCCACCCAGCAGTGCGGCAGCCCCAGGCAGGGGCGTGCTCCCAGTGCCAGGCTCACAGTGGTTTCTCCAGTGATGTTACTCCTGGGCTGCTCCTGCGGGGCTGGCCAGAGCCTGCTCTTCACCCCGCCCTGCAGATATTTCTGGACTCCCCACCGCCACGCCTCAGCCGAACACAGCTGGTGCTGCCCGTCCCGCCCTGCCTTCTCGCTGCCTGGCCTGTCTGCCTGCCCTGCCTCCTCCCTGGACCGCCCCATCCCACCTCCTGGGAGATAGACCTTGATAGGTGGAGTAGGGGCTGTGCAGAGCAGTGAGCTGCCCCGCTGGAGGGCGAGGATGAGTCCCCAACACTTCCCGAGGGCACCCACATAGGAGCCTGAGCCAAGCTGCATCTGGAACAGTGCAGGACCTGTCCCTGCTCGGTCACGTGACGTGGCTCTGGGAATGGCCTTGGGAGACAATCACACATGGGAATGGAGGGGCTGGCACTTGCCTGGCCTGTGGTGAGCATCAGCTGCACCATCTCACTGCACCCTCACCCGGGCCTGAGAAGGGACAGAGCCTAGGAGTCAGGGGGCAGGGATGCCAGGCAGATGTCTTCCATTCCTGCTGTGGGGCCCTAAGCCAGCAACGGCCCTTCGCCTGGCATGGTCACTCTTTGACTTGTCACAGTTCCCTCTTCTCACTTCCCATCGGTTTATCAGCTCTCCCCGGGGAGAAGGCCAGGGCCCTGAGCTATAGTCCTGGCCTGGGGGCCCAGTCCAAACAGGGTCCTGGGAGCAGAGCCATTCCATTTGGCCAACACAGCTTTTAAGTTCCTTTCTTTCTCCTTCCCCCTCCATCCTTCCCTCCTTCCTTCTTTCCTCCCTCTCTTCCTCCCTCCCTCTCTCCCATCCCCTTCCTTCCTTCCCTTTGTCCCTCCATCCCTTCTCTTTTTACTCCAGTGCCTTCAAGAGGGATGCAGCAGCCACAGTCTCCACCACTTCCCAGGCCTCTCTGCACATCAGCATAACCTGCCTGGACCCTGAAGGCTTTTGCCTTTTCACCTGGGTCGGGCCTATCTTGGGGAGACCGAGGCAAATGGGATGGGACCCCTCGTTTCCTTCCAGGAGCTCACAGTCTGACAGGCAGACCATTGTGAATTTTACTCAGGGCCCTCCATGGGATGTGCTGGGTCTTGCATCCGACAGTCTGGGAGGGTTAATTGCACTGGGGAGAGCTGGGGAGCTTCCTGGAGGAGGTGATGTGAAACTGGCCTTCCCTCCTTCTCTTCTCCTTCCTTTTATTGCAGAAATGACCCTCCTTCGTGGGGTCCTCCTCCACCTCTGGCTTTAATCTTGCTCTCTTCCCTCCTTCTGACAGGACATTCCACACCGTGTCCCAGAGCTCTCCTGGGCGGCTCCCTTGGCTGGAAAGCCCCTCATTCACGGGCTTGGCAGGTGCTCCCAGTATCTGTTTGCCAGGAGAATACAAGTGCCCCTAAGGGAAGTGGCAGATCCTGGCAGCTTCCTTAACCCTTTCTCTGCCCCCGTTCCTCCTGTTTCCCTTTGACGAGCCCTGCTGGCCTGGCACAGTGAGCCCAGTCTGCACAGCTCTGCAGACAGCTCCACAGCTGTGGATTAGGATGTGGGGGCCTCTGGGGGTGATTTTGGGTACCTGTGCTGGGTGACAGGTGGTCGGATGTGGGAGGGGACATTCCTTGGCAATCAGATTACTGAACTCCAGGCCAGCAAGGTCGGTGTGAGGCTGGAGCTGAGTTTCCCTGCCTCTGAGGGGCTGTCGGATGGGCTGGGCGAGGACAAGTCACTGCACCTCAGCTTCCCCTCGTGAACATGGGGAGAACCACATTTCTTGCTTTGAGGCATGGTTGTGAAGATCGATTGAGGCCACACCTGTGAGAAGCTTTGCAGGCTGCCTGACCTGTACTCGGCACTGGCTGTGTGGGGACGTTACCATCGCCCCCATCTTCAGTGGTGGTTTTGCAGGAGGAAAGAGCAGTGTTCCCACAGCCCTCTTTAGCTCCCAGAAGCACAGGCGAGGGAGGTGTGCCTGTGTGGGGCCTGGCCCTGCTGAGACCCCTGGGGCTCTGCTGTTGCCCGCTTAGCCGGTCTCTGCTGCCCCTTTGCCTTCCTTGGCCTCGGTTCTTTGCTTTCCCACGGAACCTCATGGGGTCATTGTCCAGGCCGTGGGGTGTGATGCATGTGAAAAGCTTTAGAAGCCAATTCCAGGGTTTGCACTCATGTGTGCGTTTGTGTGTATGTGTGTCATGTGTGCGTGTGTGTGTGTGTGTGTCAGGCCGTGTGCACGTGTGGACAATGTGTATATCTCCCCGCGATCTGCCTGCACACATGTGTTTGTGGGTATACATGTGTGTTTGAGTGTGCACGCATGCGCATCCTTGCACATGTACCTGCGTTCACATGGGTGTCCCTGGCTGACTCCACGTGCAGGGCCTGGTGTGTTTGAGGAGCTCGTGGCAGGGCGACGTTTCTCTCCTTACCGTGACCCGGCCCCAGCTGGACGGGAGAGGAGGAGATGGCACGTGGAACCTGCCGGTTGAGCGTGAGGCTGTGGGTTCTGCCGCAGGGCAAGCCGGGTCCAGCTGGATCCGACAATTTCATGTCTTTTTAAACTCCCGGGAGGGCGATGTTACATTATGGCTCCCGCTTCTCCTCTATTTACATTCTCCCATATAATTGACTCGTCTGCTCTCTCTCAGTGCTTTGCCAAGTGTCGGTTTTAAAGTTTCTGGCCTGGCTGGTGGATGTGCCTCGATCCTGCAGGCGGAGCCCACAGCGGCCCTTGTGGTGGTTACTACTGAGTGTCAATTTGATTGGATTGAAGGATACAAGTATTAATCCTGCGTGTGTCTATGAGAGTGTTGCCAAAGGAGATTAACATTTGAATCAGTGGGCTGGGGAAGGCAGACCCACCGTTAATCGGGAGGGCACAATCTAATCAGCCGCTAGCAGGTGTAGAGCAGGCAGAAAAACATGAAGAGACGAGACTGGCCCAGCCTCCCAGCCTACATCTTTCTCCTGTGCTGGACGCTTCCTGCCCTCGAACATCGGACTCCAAGTTCTTCAGGTTTGGGACTCGGACTTGCTCTCCTTGCTGCTCAGCTTGCAGACAGCCTATTGTGGTGGGACCTTGTGATTGTGTAAGTCAGTACTTAATAAACTCCTATATATATATATATAATATATATATATATATTTCTATTATTTCTATTCCTATTAGTTCTGTCCCTCTAAGGGAACCCTGACTAATACAGCTCTGCTCATAGGCAGGACTGCAGGACTGCAGCCACCAGGACATGGCATAGGGACCAGGGTGGCCTGCTGGCAAAGGACAGGCAGCCGGCAAGACTCCTGGATTCCTATCCTGGCTCCAGTGTCTACCAGCAGTGCATTTTCCCACCCTGTGCCTCACTTTCCCCATCTGTAAGAAGGGGGTGGTGACTGTAACTACAGTAGGGTTTTAGTGATGTCTAATGTATTACTCATATAAAGCACAGAGTAAGACCCCATTACTGCCCTTGCCACCAGGGGCCCCAGTGCAGCAGGAGGCTGTGAGGTGGTTTGGGGCCCTCTACTCGCTGGCCTGTGCGTGCTCCCTTGCCATCCTGTGTGGTGTCACACTGCTGCTTCCCTCACTGGGTACGCAGGAGAAAAGGTAAGGCAGTAAGCACCAGTGGTCAGTTCAGCGGATCGCTCGCTGCTCGCTGCCTCTGAGGCTCTGAGCCTGAGCCAGGAAGGTGCATCCTTGGGCAGTCGCGGGCCAGGCCAAGTTCAGCCCGCAGAGTGGCCCTCCCCTGCCTCCTCTGGCCACTTGCTCTTTACAAGGAACGGAGGTCCAGGAGGTGGATGGACCTGTGCACCTCCCAGCTGCAGGCCTCTGTTCTGTCTCTGTGATGTGATGGCGGTGAGTGGTGGCTGATCACTGAAAGGAGGTGTTCCAGGCAGGGGTGGGTGAAGTTGGTGCGGGCGGGGTGTGGGGGGGGCTTTGCCATCTCAGATGTTGTTTTTGTGCCAGCCCAGCCCCAGGCCACTGGAGAGAAGACCGTGGAATGAATGAATTGGTGGCTGGATGCTCAGTGGAGGGGTGCGGGTCACTTTGAGTTATCCATGTCAGATAGTCCGAGCCGTCACACCCTCAGCTTCCTATCAGCAGAGGAGTTTTTCTGGAGGAATCTCAAACTAGGTAATAACCTCATATTAGCAGTAAATGTCACCATCCTTTGATGACTCAGACCTAAGAAATGGAACCACAGCCTGACCCACTTTTCTCAAAATTTAATTACTCAGAGCTCTGGGGACATGGGCTCAGCCTATTTGCCGAGATGTCTCTGCCCATGAAATGGAAGCTTCCTTTATTTTCTGTTTCCTAGACCCGTGTTCTTGTAGGGAAATTAGCTCTTCTGTCCTTTTCTTCCTTGCCAGGACCTCGGCAATAGGGTTTCTGGTGGCCTCTTTTTTTTCTGTAAATAAATGCCACAAAATGACATAAAAACAGTGTGGTGATTCCTCAAGGATCTAGAACCAGAAATACCATTTGACCTGGTGATCCCATTACTGGGTATATACCCAAAGGATTATAAATCATCCTACTATAAAGAGAAATGCACACGTATGTTTATTGCGGCACTGTTCACAATAGCAAAGACTTGCAACCAACCCAAATGCCCATCAATGATAGATTGGATAAAGAAAATATGGCACATATACATCATGGAATACTATGCAGCCATAAAAAAAGGATAGTTCATGTCCTTTGCAGGGACATGGATGAAGCTGGAAATCATCATTCTCAGCAAACTAACACAAGAACAGAAAACCACAAACACCACATGTTCTCACTCATAAGTGGGAGTTGAACAATGAGAACACACGGACACAGGGAGGGGAACATCATGCACCAGGGCCTGTTGGGGGGTGGGGGGCTAGGGGAGGGAGAGCATTAGGAGAAATACCTAATGTAGATGACAGGTTAATGGGTGCAGCAAACCACCATGGCATGTGTATACCTGTGTAACAAACCTGTGCGTTCTGTACATGTATCCCAGAACTTAAAGTATAATAAAAAAAATTTTTTTAAATGTGTGTATGTAGCAGGAGTGACTTAAGTTGAAAAACTCTGACCCTTGCATTGGGAAACAGTGATCTCCCAGTGAGAACACATGAGCATCGTAACCGTCTTCCATTGGAAGCGACCGTCTTCCATTCTGCTGGCGGGTGGCCTGGGGGACCAGCACTCTTTCCCGTGTGTGGGTACAGAGGGAACAGATGGGGTCCATATGCAAAGACATTGGGTGTGTCAGCAGGTTTGCTTGGCAGCATTTATGGACCCCTAACATGAGACGGACCTGTGCGGGGGGCACAGGTGAGCGATAGGCGAGCCGTCTGTGCCCTACTGGGTCTTCCGCTGCGGCGGGGGAGTCAGCCATCTGAACAGGTGGTTTTACCCAGTGAGGTGCAGTAGAAGTGGGAGTAGGGTGTGGCCAAGGCCAGTCTAGGGAGGCACCTGCCAGCCCCATGGGGCGGTGGCCAGTCAGAGACCAGCCTGCTTCTCCAGGGCCAGCCCTTTGGGATGCATGCGCCTGAAGGCAGGCTCCCATTGGTGGATGCAGAGGGCACGTTCCCGTGCATGTTCTTCCTCTGGCTCTTGTTCATATTTTCATATTTACACTGGACCCTGCTCTGAGGGTGCTCCCGTCAGCACCTGTGATCCTCAAACCCGCCCTTCGTGCCAGGTGGGATCGGCCCATTCTGCAGATGTGCCAGTCTAGCTCCTTGAGTCCAGCTGGCACAAGGGGATGAAAACCACCCTCCACGTCCCAGTGGTCACACGGCCTGCATGTTGGTGCAGGTCCGTACAGTCACATGCATGGACGCAAGCAGCCTCTGTCCATTCTCAAGGCCAGGTGAGGGCGGCGTGGCTCCGCTCCCTCCTGTTTGTTTGCTGGCGCCAGCCTCCATGGCAGCTGGGTCCCAGTGCTTCAGAAGGGGAGCCATGGCCCCAGGCAACAGTGCGTACCTGAAGCCTCTGCCTCGGTTTCTTCTTCTTCCTTTCAGATGCATAAAAATGCACATCAAGCCTGGGCACCATCTGGTGGCCTCTTTATTTTTTAAATAAATGCCATAAAATGACATAAAAACAGTGTGGCGATTCCTCCAGGATCTAGAACCAGAAACACCATTTGACCCAACAATACCATTACTGGGCACCACCTCTACAGAAATTTCAGAAACAATTAGCCAGGTGTGGTGGTTCGTGCTTGTGGTCCCAGCTACTTGAGAGGCTGAGGTGGGAGGATCACTTGAGCCAGGGAGGCTGAGGCTGCAGTGAGCTGTGTTTGTGCCACTGCACTGTAGCCTGGGTGACAGAGTGAGACCCTGTCTAAAAAAAAATGAAAATAAAAATAAAAATGTACACCAGAGAGCACGGTGGTCTCAGCTTTTCCAGCTGTAGTTTCGTCTTTCTTCTGGAGGACAGAGGCCCAGCCATCTGCATCCTCAGCACACAATTAGGTCAGTCACTGGGGCCTGTTGTGGGGGTGACAGGCAAGCCTGGGTGTGGGGAGAGCCGGCCCGTTGCCCATGGGCTCTGCACAGTGGGTGGGTGCAGGTGCGATGACAGGCGCGGGACAGAGGGGCCCCTGGGGGGACTTTTCTCGGGTCCTCTGCCTTCCCACCACTGTGTCCATCAGGGACATTCCCAGGATCTGTCTTTGCTGCTGGTTGTCTTCCCTTGATTTTTTGTTTTGTTTTCTTTCTTTGGGGATGATCTGAAATCCTCTTCCTGTGCTATTTCTCTGCTCTTCCCCTGGGGAAAGGAGAGTGAGGAGAAAGTGTCCCGTGTCCACGTTCCTGTGGACGTTCCCCTTCCTTCTTTCTAAGGAGGGATGGTGACTCCCAGAGGTATTAAGGAAAGGAGAAAGTGACACTGACTCTTCTCAGAGCCTTTGGCTACAGAGTGTTCCCGCGGTCGAGGTGGGGTGAAGGGCGTTCTCGAGGGAAGGGTAGGGAACGATTTCTGACTGCGATTGTAAGAGCTTTCTAGGTAATTATTATTCATGCTATTTAGGGTCATAGGTCTCAGTAATGGTCGACTAGGTCAAAAAGTACTGCTTGAGCAGTGGAGATACTCAGCTGAAGGTTGAGAACACACAGGGCGTCCTTGGGCCGGTGTGGCGGTAACAGTGAGCTGGTGACAGCAGGCAGACCCAGTGTAACACGGCTCTGCTGGGTGGGGCAAGGAGATGCCCCAGGTGGAGCCATCGGGAGAGGGAGAGGGGGTGGGAGGGCAGGGGAGCGACTGTCCTGCCAGGGATGCCAGTGTCATCCTCCTGCCCCTGAAACAGGTGGACATCATGGCTTCTCAGCCCAGGCCATTTGGGGACATGTGGCAATGTCTGGAGATGTTTTCTGATTGTCGCACCTGGGGTGGGGGCAGGGCTATCGGCCTGTAGTTGGGGGAGTCCGAGGATGCTGCTCTGCACCCCACAGTGCACGGGACAGCCCCCACCAAAAAGACTGACCCAGCCCGGAGGCTGCAGGAATCGTGGGATAGAGGAAGCAAAGGTGAGATTCCGTGGCCTCACCCCATGGTCTTCTCATGGCTCATTGTCAGACAGGAGGGAGGGCCTCTTCTTAGGCCGGGTCCAGCGTTTCTCCTCATGGTGTAGACCAGCAGTTCCCAAACTTTACCAGGCCCCAGAATCCCCCCGAGGCCTCTCTTAAGGCACAGATTGTTTCTGACTCAGGAGGCCTTGGGTGGGCCCAGGAAACTGCATTTCTAACGAAGTCAGTTCCCAGACCACGCGGATGCTGGAGCGTCTGGGGGTGCCACACTTTGCAAACCACGAGTCGTTCTGCGTCCTCGAGCCCAGGGTCTTGGATTTCAGCATTAATGGTGGTCGTGGGGTGGGGAGGGCACCTGCCAGGGGAGAAGCGCTGGAGAGAAGAGAGGAGGGTGTGGCTGTTCCTCCACCCATCTCAGGAACCTCCCGCTTTCTTTATGGTGGTCCCCGCTTCACAAAGCACCCATGGTGCTGTTCCCCTGCACACCTGGCAGCGGCACTCACTCATCTCCAAAGCAAAGACCCCACTATCCGGCAGGTCTTAGGGAGCAGGGAGACCCTGGGGGTGGGGGTGAGCTTCCAGAGAAGGGGTTTCCCATGGGTTTGGCCATGAGATTCTGCTGTTGTTGATGTTCTTATTATGGGAAGGCTCAGACACAGCGCAGCAAAGGTCGTGTTCTGCCTGGGGCCACAGGGACCAGCCCACAGCCAACCCCGTTCCAGCCAGAGGCCAGCCCACGCCCCCGCACCCGGTGATTTTGAAGCCAGTCCCTGACATCAGCTGCGTTCTTCGGTAACTATTTCGGTCTCCGAAAGAGGAGGACCCCTACTCCAAACTCACCTCAGCTTGCTGGCCGTGTGCCGTCTGTGCGTCTCCCAAGGGCGCCCCCCTCACCCAGACCTCCCCTCCATCCGTACTGTGCTCGGTCCACAGGACCAGGCTCTGCAGAGCCAGGGATCTGTAGGACTGCAGGTTTATAGGGCTGGGGATCTGTAGGGCCAGGGTTCTATAGGGATGGTGGTCTGCAGGGCTGGGGGTCTTTCAGGCAGGGGGCTATAGGGCTGGGGACTCTGCAGGGCTGGGGGTGTCTGCAGGGTCAGGGGTCTCTCAAGCTGGGGATCTGTAGGGCTGGGGGTGTGCAGGGCCGGGTGTCTGTAGGGCTGGGAGTCTGTAGGGCCAGGCATCTGTAGGGCTGGTGTCTGTATGGCTGAGGGTGTGTAGGGCTGGGGGTGTGTAGGGCTGGTGTATGTAGGGCTGGAGGTGTGTAGGGCTGAGGGTGTGTAGGGCTGGAAGTGTATAGGGCTGGTGTGTGTAGGGCTGGAGGTGTGTAGGGCTGGAGTTGTGTAGAGCTGGTGTGTGTAGGGCTGGAGGTGTGCAGGGCTGGGTGTGTGTAGGGCTGGGGGTGTGTAGGACTGGGAGTGTGTAGGGCTTAGGGTGTGTAGTGCTGGGGGTGTGTAGGGCTGGGGGTATGTAGGGCTGGAGGTGTATAGGGCTGGAGGTGTGTAGGGCTGGAGGTTTGTAGAGCTGGTGTGTGTAGGGCTGGAGGTGTGTAGGGCTGGGGGTGTTTTGGGCTGTAGGTGTGTAGGGCTGGAGGTGTGTAGAGCTGGTGTGTATAGGGCTGGAGGAGTGTAGGGCTGGGGTGTGTGTAGGGCTGGGGGTGTGTAGGGCTGGGAGTGTGTAGGGCTGGGGTGTATAGTGCTGAGAGTGTGTAGGGCTGGTGTGTGTAGGGCTGGAGGTGTGTAGGGCTGGAGGTGTGTAGGGCTGGTGTGTGTAGGGCTGGAGGTGTGTAGGGCTGGAGTTGTGTAGAGCTGGTGTGTGTAGGGCTGGAGGTGTGCAGGGCTGGGTGTGTGTAGGGCTGGGTGTGTGTAGGGCTGGGTGTGTGTAGGGCTGGGGGTGTGTAGGGCTGGGAGTGTGTAGGGCTGAGGGTGTGTAGGGCTGGGGGTGTGTAGGGCTGGAGGTGTGTAGGGCTGGTGTGTGTAGGGCTGTAGGTGTGTAGAGCTGGTGTGTGTAGGGCTGTAGGTGTGTAGGGCTGTAGATGTGTAGGGCTGGGGTGTGTGTAGGGCTGGTGTGTGTAGGGCTTGTGGTGTCTAGGGCTGGGGTGTGTAGACCTCGTGTGTGTTTAGGGCGGGGTTTGTAGTGCTGGTGGTGTGTGGGGCTCGTGTGTGTAGGGCTGGAAGTGTCTAGGGCTGGGGGTGTGTAGGGCTGGGGGTGTGTAGGGCTGGTGTTTGTAGGGCTGGGGGTGTGTAGGGCTGGGGGTGTGTAGAGCTGGGGGAGGGTAGGGCTGGTGTGTGTAGGGCTGGAGGTGTGTAGGGCTGGGGGTGTGTAGAGCTGGTGTGTGTAGGGCTGGGGGTGTGTAGGGCTGGTGTGTGTAGGGCTGGAGGTGTGTAGGGCTAGGGGTGTGTAGGGCTGGTGTGTGTAGGGCTGGGGGTGTGTAGGGCTGGTGTGTGTAGGGCTGGAGGTGTGTAGGGCTGGTGTGTGTATAAGGCAGGGGTTTGTAGGGCTGGGGTTGTGTTGGGCCGGGCGTCTGTAGGGCTGGTTTATCCGAATGCACTGGGTGGCCTTGGGCTTTAGGGCCTGCACTTTTCTGTTTTGTGCATCGATGTGGGAGGCAGGGTGAGTCCCCACCCGAGGGAGGCGGAGGTGGAGCTCAGAGAAGCACAGAGCCCCGGGAGGCCCCCAGCCGGGAGGGTGGAGGGCGGCTGTGTCCCATACCTTTAGCCTCTCAGCTGGGCTGTGCAGCGTCCTCATGAGCCTGAGCTCAGTGCTGCTAAGGCAGTTCGTAGCACCTTCCTGTGCCTCAGTTTCCCCATCTGTCAAGTGGGCATGAGAATAATACCTGTCTCACAGGCATGCTGAGAGGACTCAGGATTCACATGTGTAAACTGCTAGGACCACCACAGCTGGCTATGGTCATTACTATTACTGTGTGTCCCAGGCATGCCATTGGTTCAGAGGTCACAGGTGGCCCCCATGAGGTGACTTGCAGGAGTCTGCTGAGCCCATGGAATTGAGCTGGGCTTGTGAAAGTGCCACAGGAGACAGGAATGTGTGACCAGGCTGGACTCAGCCCGAAGGCTGTGGGTGAGGACCCAGAGGGTGCCATGGGTGCTGTGCCCACCAGGCTGTCCTATGGCACGTGGGCTTGTCAGAGCCTCTGGCACCTGCAGCAGGGCTCCCCTGTCCTGCCCTCCTTGAATGTCCTGGCACAGAGGGCTGGTACCAAGACAGCAGCTGCACTGCCATTTTGCAGAGGGTTGGAGTTCTCTGGGTCTGTAACCCTGGCCCGGAGTTGCCTGGTGTTTTCTGGGATTGACTGGAAGCAAAGGAGGGTGGGCAGGTCCAGCTTCCTGCAGGGTGGGGCTTTGCAGGGCTCACCACCGGATGCCAGAGGATGCCGGAGCTTGGAGCCTGGGACCCTCACAGTGGACAGGTGCAGGAGCCCCGGGGCCCCACCTTGCAGCTTCAGATTGAGGGTCTGAGGTGGAGCCTGGGGCCTGCGGCTCCTCGTCCTGCCCGCCCAGTGCAGCGGCAGTGACCAGTTGAGGGTACTTTGGGAAACTCTGAGCAGAGGAGGGTGGGGGCCTGTGCCTCCCTCCAGCCCTCTGTCCTTCTGCAGAGCCTGTCCCTATCACCAGCTCACAGTCACCTCTTGGACTTTTGCAAAGAGAGCTCAGGGGATGAGGAGGGAAGCAGTGATTCTCAGGGACACCGGGAGCTTCGGAGGCCGAGAGAGCAGGTTTGAACTCCTGGCTGTGGGATCTCCAACATGTTACTTAACCTCTCTGATCTGAGGCAGCTTATCTGCATATCAGAGGCAATAGCACCACCTACCTGGACTGGCAGCTGTGAGGATCTAAGGAAGCAATACTGGTGTGGATGCAAAGCCCTAGGTGTGCCCGGTGTGCAGGACATCGTCCCGTGCAGTGCAAGCACCAGGTGCACTCGTGGTATTGATAACGATGCCTGCTGCTTTTATTGGGATGGTCGCAGATGGTATCATATAATTCTTATTAGAGATGGCTGTTATTTTACATGGCTGTTAATACGGAGGTTGGGAGGCAGTAATTGTAACTTTTATAAAGTGTGAAAGAAGGACTAAAGCTGCTGTTTGCAGCTTCAGGCCCAGCCAGGGACCTCAGAGGATGCTAAATGGTTGGCACAAAAGGGCCAGAGGTTCCAATTGGCAGGGCAAGGGGTGTACATTATAGATAATATGGGGGACGGGGCAGGGGGTGCACTTTATAGATAATATGGGGGGGTGAGACAGGGGGTGCAGTTTATAGATAATATGGGGGACGGGGCAGGGGGTGCACTTTATAGATAATATGGGGGGGTGAGACAGGGGGTGCAGTTTATAGATAATATGGGGGGTGGGGCAGGGGGTGTAGTTAATAGATAATATGGGGGTCAGGGCGGGGGTGCAGTTTATAGATAATATGGGGGCAGGGTAGGGGGTGTAGTTTATAGATAATATGGGGGTTGGGGCAGGGGGTGCAGTTTATAGATAATATGGGGGCAGGGTAGGGGGTGTAGTTTATAGATAATATAGGGGTCGGGGCAGGGGGTGCAATTTATAGATAATACAGGGGTGGGGTAGAGGGGTGCAGTTTATAGATAATATGGGGGTGGGGTGTAGGTGTAGTTTATAGATAATATGGGGGCTGGGGTAGGGGGTGAAGTTTATAGATAATATGGGGGTGGGGTGGGGGTGTAGTTTATAGATAATATGGGGGTGGGGTGGGGGTGTAGTTTATAGATAATATGGGGGTGGGGTGTAGGTGTAGTTTATAGATAATATGGGGGTGGGGTGGGAGTGTAGTTTATAGATAATATGGGGGTGGGGTGGGGGTGTAGTTTATAGATAATATGGGGGTGGTGTAGGGGGTGTAGTTTATAGATAATATGGAGGGTGGGTTGGGGGTGTAGTTTATAGATAATATGGGGGGTGGGGTAGGGGGTGCAGTTTATAGATAATATGGGGGGTGAGGGCTGTGGAACCTTCCTCTGTATTCAGTTCCCAGGAGCTTCTCCAGATGAGTTTCCTTTGCCCGGGGGTGCCAGGCCTGACGGGGAAGGGCAGGGGGTGGGACAGGACCTGCCTGGACTCCTGGAGAGGACTCTGATGTCTTCTGGGGAGGGGGCACAGAGTCAGTGGCCTGGCTTATGGCCTGGGGGCCGTTTGGCAGATGAATAAGCTCAGACTTAGAAGGTGTGGGTTCCTGGTGTCACAGGCTGGTGAGGAGTGGGGAGACCAGGCCTGGGAGTCCTGGCCTGTCGGGTGGGCTTCACTGACGAGGGATGGGCCGGGCACGGAGATGCTGCTGGCTATGGCGGACTGCACTCGGAGTCCTGTCGCTGGGGAAAGCAACCCTGCCCGTCTCTTGCCACCGTCAGGGGACGGTGTTCAAAACTGGGTCTTTTCTCAGCCTCAGTGGGCTGGAGGGGTCCCAGGCTTTCTAATGCAGGGGCTTTCTGCCCAGGGCAGGCTCTGAGGACCAATGTTCACCCTACAACCGTGGTGGTGGGCAGCTCGCCCCTCTGTGAGCAGGCAGCACCCACGCTGGGAGGTTCTGGACCCCGGCCTCCGCAGCCCATAGGTTTCACCATTACCCTGAAAATCTCCTTGCTCACCAGTGATAAAGGAAAGCAGCTCCGAAGTGCAGACACCCGCTCCCTCTTTCTTTCCTTTTCTGGCTGCCCGGGTCTCCAGTTCTGCTGGGACAGCCCTGGGAGGGGCAGCCCAAGCCAAGCCTGCATGTGCCCCCGCCCCTGCACGTCCCCCCGCCCCTGCTGGGCCTGTCCTTGCACGCCCTGGGCCCCTTCACATGCATACGCTCCCACCTCCCCTTCCTGCAGCTAGGGCCTGGCCGATTACAAACAGCTGCCTAGCCCTCAAGCAGGATTTGCAGGCCCCGGAGAGGGGCTATAGTCCGAGGGCAGTGTGGGCCTAAAGGCATGTCGGGGGTCTTAATGGAAGCCGACGCCCCTCTTGTACCCTGCCCGGCTTCTGTCCCCTGGAGGGTGGCGGGGGGTGGGGCAGGCACCCTGTGGTTGTGCGGAGAGCAGCTGGGAGGCTCTGGCTCCAGGCCTGGAGGGGAGGGGCTGCTGGGCTCCAGGTGGGCTCTGGGGTCCTGGCCCTCTTCAAGGTCTCTCCGGAGCCCGGAAACTGAAATGTCAGTTAAGGTAGAAATTCACATGAGACATACGAGGGAGGGGTTCGCTGAGACTTTTCTCTGCAGGTGAAGAGTAGGACTCTCTGGGACTTGTCTTCTTCTGACCTGACCCCAAGTGCCTTCACACTGTGTTTTATCCCGATGGCCTCTGTGTAAGGCAGGAGGTGTCATCCCATTTTACAGGTGAGAAGCAGGCTCAGAGGCCCTGCAGCTAGGAAGTGGCAGAGTTAGGCCTTTAAAATAGCCTTTGAGGCCGGGTGTGGTGGCTCAGGCCTGTAATCCCAGCACTTTGGGAGGCTGAAGCGGGTGGATCACAAGGTCAGGAATTTGAGACTGGCCAATATGGTGAAACCCTGTCTCTACTAAAAATACAAAAAACTTAGCCGGGCGTGATGGTGCATGCCTGTAATCCCAGCTACTTGGGAGGCTGAGGCAGGAGAATTGCTTGAACCTGGGCGGCAGAGGTTGCAGTGAGCCGAGATGGCGCCATTGCACTCTAGCCTGAGCGACAGAGACTCCATCTCAAAACAATAATAATAATCATAATCATAAAAAAGCCTTTGAGTTGTGGGCATTTGATTCTGTCCAGCTGCTTGGGAACATGCCTGATATGAGTCCAGGCCTTCCGAGAGTGCCAAGTAGCCAAGGAAGGTGGGGTTTTGGTCCCTATCTGAAGGACGGTTGCACTTTTTTTCTTTGGGGTCTTCATCCCTGCAGTAGGCACTGAGAGAGAGGAGCAGGAGGAATGTGAAGTCCGGTGACCCCACCAACAACCCTCTGTCCTCCCTGCCCTCCTGCATCACCATGGCCCTGGTGGCGGGTCTCAGGAGGGAGCGGGGCCTTTTGGATCCTGTCACTCAGCAGCCTCTTCCAAAGCCCACAGAGCCGTGGGCTCCACAGGCGCCCCGAGTACCGTCCTCGATGAGATCTGCGGATTAGATCTGGAGCCTGTGCCCAGCTGTGTGTGCACTGTTTGCTTAAGGGGGTGAGCTGCCCTGGTCTGAGTCAGTTTTTCCATTTTAGCGGGAAGGAAAGAGTGATAGGGGAGGATTATCGCCAGGTAGGTGCTGCCTGTTTAGTTTCAGCCGACACACGGCCAAGGAGAAATGGGGCCCAGCAAGCCAGATGCTATAGCAGATAAGGCGCAGGCGGGCCAGGGGTAGAAATGGACCAGATGTTTCAGGAACTGAGCTGGAATAGCATCACAAAACCCCTCCTGGGTCAGGGACCTGGGCCACGATCCACATCTTTAAACCATCAGCATTTCAGAAAAGAAAAATGCAAACTCTGAGAGAAGCAGTGCCCCAGGCCTGATTTCCAAGTCCACCCTTTATCCTATTAGCAGAACGATGTGTTCTATGTGCCATGAGAGTCCTCAGGTTTGCCAAGGACCAGGCTCAAAAGAGTTTTACTCTTGGTTTTCACTTAAAATGGACCATGAGTCCTAAAGAATTGTCAAAGTCCTCTGAAGATTCGCTACCTGGGTAACTCACCTACGCCTACTGTATGCCCCAGACAGATTCTATTAGGAAAAGTTAGGAAGTTTCAATTTATTAGAAACCAGTGGAATAGAGATGCTGCTGCATATGTGGTCTTAGGCATTTCTAGTTTCAGGTCACCTCAGTAGCCAGAATTCACTGTAAACAGTGGTAACCCAAAGCCCTAGTTCATGCTCATGACATCAAAGCCTCAAACTTCAGTGTCTAGCTAGAGACCAGTGGTGGGAGTGGTGCCCCTGGAGGTTAAGGAGGGTATTGCATCCCAGCTCTACTAGACATTGTGAAAACCTAGGCTTGGCCTGGGTTGTACTAGAGTACTCATGGTGCGACCTCAAAACCATAACTTTCTTCTGTGCCTCAGTTTCTTCATGTGTAAAATGGAGCTGATGATGTCTCTCTACCTCATAGATTTGTGGTGAGCATCTAAGGAGGCACAGTTTAGATCTCTATAGAAACAGGCAAGGTCTCTTTGAGTTCTTCTTGCATCTCAGAGTGCCTGCCACTGTGAGGTGCTCAGTGAATGGTCACTGGGTTGAATTGTGAGTGCTTTGTAAACTCAGAGGGTGCTGACCAGCCCAGAGAATTGCTATGTTTTGAAGTAGCTCTCTGAAGTGGGGTGGAGAGCAGATGTTAGAAGCTGTGAACCATGCACCTGGGTTCTTTTAGGGGAGGATGGAAGGTACCAGAAGAGTGATCTCAGCTTACCACACCCACCACTGGCTGGCAGAGGTGGGGTATGCTGGGTTTGCTGACCCCAAAGAGGCTGGGTGGGAGAGGAAGCCGAGAGTTGCCTAGGGTGGCCTGGGGAGTTTGGTTGGGGAAGTGTCGGGGACACTATTCTCGGTGCTGCATCCAGGGAAGCTGCCCATCAGCCTTCCTTGGATTGGGATCTTTGGGATCAGGGATTCACTAATTGTCCCACATCTGACATTAATCTGGGCTCAGCCATGTGTTGCTGAGCTTCACACAGCTGTTTGCACCACCCCAGATCTTTCAAGGGGTCCCCAAGCAGATGACCAGTTTGCAGCAGGGCGTGTGTGTGAGGTACAGGAGCCTCCAGTCCTGTGGGCAGATGCTGACGGATGGGCTGATGGCTCCCAGCACCAACTGCTTTCTGTCGGTGACTTTCACTCCACCCACCAGTCCTGTGAGGTCAGTACGGTTCTCCTGACTCTGTGAGGACGTGCCCAGTTGACTTGGCCAATAGGGAGCAGAGCTGAGACTTGGTGGCTCTCTTAGACGCCAGTGTCCCCTCTGTGCTGCACCCATACCCCCCTCCCCATGCAACCCTGCCCAGCCCACTGCATCTTCCTGAGAGTTTTCCCAGATGTCACCCAGCACCTTCTTAGCTGTAATCTCTCCAGGCCCTTTCAACCTAAATGTCTTTAATTCTGGGATCAATCATCTCACCCTATAAATGACTCCCAGGAGCTCTTCCAGCTGTGCTCCAGAATTCCTTAAGCAGTGCCAACCTCGCTGTTCCTCCGACCGCTTCTTCCCTTTCCAGCCCTTCCCTCCAGCGGCTTCTGTTCTCTAGGATGCTAAGGCGAGTCCCAGGATGGCATTCAACTGGACACGGATGCCAGTGTTGTGAGTGCTCCATGCTGAAAGCCGCCTTCTCTGGGGCGGTTACTCACGCAGAGGCGGGAACCTGACTCTGTGCCTGTCTGTTGGCTTCCGTAATCCAGCCCTCCCTGTGCTGAGTTTAAGCCCAAATGAAATTACTGGGCTCTAAGTATGTGCCTTTCTCCATAAAATGTGATGCCTGGTCAATATCTTGGCCAAAAAAAAAAAAAAAAAAAAATTCCTCTGAAGGAGGGTAGTCTGGTCTCTTTCTAGTCACTTGTGAAAATATTTCCTGATCTGATCTCTGCAGTCGTGTACGCGGCCAGCACATAACTGCCCCCAGGCAGGGCCCTGACTTCCAGGCCGCTCAGGGCAGCTACCCTCCCTGGGATATGTCAAGCTGAGGGCTTCGCACATTCTTCTCTGACAACTCAGCTGGTTTCCAGCCCAGTCCGGCTGCCTCCTTCTTTTCCACTTTGACTTTCCTAACAGCCTGGGAAGCTCTGAAGCCTGTGTTTTCAGGCCTGCCGGTGCCAGTGGAGCTGGCCTAGGCCTCCCCAGCACCCTTCCTGACCCCTACGTAGATGCCCAGTGCTGCCTGCCAAGGACTTTGAATCTCTCCAGTGGGGACATTCCGCGCTCCTTGGGTGATGGGAGGCTGAGGGTAGAAGTGAGGGTTGATTTAAGAGAGCAGCCCAGATGGAAGGGCCTCTGGGGGTTGTTCTCCACCCTCATGCTCTGCAGCCCATATCTCTCCTCTGATCTCTCTCCCGGCCTCAGCTTTCACAGCTCTAGAGTGAGGTGGGGACATGGACGGCTGCCAGCTTGGATGGGGACGGGCTAACTCGCATGAAACCCTCTGGGCTGCAAAGCGATGCTCTGAATCTGTTGTTAATTACATCTTCCTCGGGCCGCAAGTTCTGCACCAGAGTTGGTCACTCTAAACCTGGGGCTGTTAGCTATAGTAGAACCTCATCTGCCTCGTTAGCAGAGACCGATGAGTGTTTGCTGCACAGCTACTGCCTGCTCTGTGAGCCTCCATGTTTGGAAATTTACTAAAAATACTGCCTTTGCATTCAACTCGCCACACATTTCTGTGAGCATGTACGATGTCAAAGGCCCTGTGGGTGGCTTTGCTGAGGGGGTGGTTGAAGAGACCATGTTCTCAAAATGAAGTTCGACGTTTCCTGAACAACTGTTCTCTGCACGTTGCTGTGCTGGGTGCATCCATCGGACGCAGCCCCTATCTGGAAGGAGGGCCGTGTGGGCCAAGAAAGAAGAGAGGATGCCTGGCCTGACCTGGGCTGGCCCTGAGGCTTTGAACACCTGGGCTCCTCATCCTGGAGTCAGTGTGTGGTGGCCGGGGGCCTGTCCCAGAACGTAGCACACTTCTCCTCTCTGCTGTCCCCATACTGTCCTGATAGCCTAAGAGGGTGAAGGGCTGGGGCTGGGGGAGGGAGTGTGGCCCAGGTGTTCAGAGGCCTCGGGAGTCTGCTGGGGAGGTGCAAGGAGGCCGCCCTGGCCAACCTGGCAGGGCTGGGAGGCCATGGGCACTTGAGGGGGGAGGATAAATGTCACTTGAGCATTTTCCTCCTCCTCCAGTTCCTTCTTTAATATCTATTTTTAATGAAAATAATACATTTCATTATAGTCATTTTGGAAAACACCAAAAAGTATAAAGAAGAAAATAAAAATGACTGTAAACCCAGATTCTCCCAAACCCAGATTATGAATACAGAGAAGAAAGTACAGAGGGAAATGCGTTGTGGTGGCGGATGGGGAACGCCTAGACCATCCCTAGGCCTCTGCCCTGAGGACTTGGACTTGGACTTTGTCATGCCACATTAGAGTGCAGGCATTCTCTTTCATTCACGACAGCTGTCAAAAGTCTAATTTAAAGTGTCGCCTATTGGATATTGGGGTGGCTCCCCCTTTTTGATACTGCAAGGGCAGGGGTGTTGAGGAAGCTTGCTGTGGCGGGTCACCAGAGCTGCCACCACCGGAGGGTGCTAGAGGCCTTCTTGGGCTCTCCAGGGGGAAGGGAACATCTTGGGGGTGCTGGGCAAGCAGCAGACCCCCTGCCCACCCTCGGGAATCAGTCAGCTGGTGGGAAGGCAGAGCTTTTGCCCTTTAAAGCCAGGGCACTGGCAGAAATGTAGGGTTTGGTAAAGACAGCCTGTCATGTTGGCTGGGAAAGACAGGATTCATCATTGAACTGGGCTAGAGTGTTGCAGAATCCGTCTGGGAAAAAAAGATTGGATCCTGCCCTACTCTTCTACCAAAATGCATTCCAGATGGATCTGAGATGCGAACTTTAAAAATGAAACCATAAAACTACTAGAAGAAAACATGGGAGGCCAGGTTTTACAGTCTTGGGATGGGAAGCTTTTCCGAGTATGACGTAAGCCCCTGCAGTTATAAAAGAAAACAGTTTGACCCCATAAAAGTCAAGATTTTCTATCTGGCCAAAAGAAAAGCAAAAAAACAACTGGTCACCGTAAGAAGAGAATCTACACCTATCTGACGGAAAGGGGGTCGACCTGCAAGGAACTCCCACTGATCAGTCAGAAAAGTCCAGCAAACAAACACCAAGATGGCCGACACACATGGCAAGTTCTCAGGAAGGAAAATACAGGTGACTTTTAAACATGTGAGAAGATGTTAGACTTTACTCACAAGGAGAGAATGGAGGTGAATCCCCAGGGAGAGGCACTGCTCCCTCGGCCAGATGGACAGAGAACAGAAGCTGAGAGTCTGTGACACTGGCTCCTGTGAGGGGCAGTGGGTGTTCCCATGGTGCCTTCTCTGAAAGGCATTTGGCAATATCTATCCAAGCATTAAAACACATGTACTTGGCCGGGCATGGTGGCTCATGCCTATATTTCCAGCACTTTGGGAGGCTGAGGAGGGTGGATCAACTGAGCCCAGGAGTTCGAGACCAGCCTGGCCAACATGATGAAACTCCATCTCTACTAAAAATACAAAAACTAGAGCTGGGCACGGTGGCTCACGCCTGTAATTCCAGCACTTTGGGAGGCTGAGGCAGACAGATCACTTGAGGTCAGGAGTTCGAGACCAGCCTGGCCAACATGGTGGAACCCTGTCTCTGCTGAAAATACAAAAATTAGCCAGGTGTGGTGGCGGGCGTCTGTAATCCCAGCTGCTCAGGAGGCTGAGGCAGGAGAATCACGTGAACCCTGGAGACGGAGGTTGCAGTGAGCCGAGATCATGCCACTGCACTCCAGCCTGGGCGACAGAGAGAGACTCCGTCTCAAAACAAACAAACAAGCAAACAAAAACACACATACTCTTTGACCAGCATCTCCAGTTCCCAGAATGTTTCCTGCAGATATACGTGTGTGTGGAGAACCGCTGTGCAGCACTGTCTGGAAGGGCGAGAGCCGTTTAGGTGGGTTACCATGCAGAACAAAACAAGCACAGCAGCTAAGAAGATGAAGTTTTCATTTGCTGAGGTACACCAATCTCCAAGATATGTTAAGTAAAGCAAAGCAGAATGAAGAATGTTCGTCGTAATGGATCCATCTCTACTCAAAGAAAAGACACACAAATCTAGGCTTGTCTATGATTATTGAAAAGGGATGCATACAAATTGGGACTCGTGTGTAGTTTCTGTAGAGTGGACGGCTGGGTGCACAGGCTGCAGGTCTCTCCTGAATCTTTTGAAAGGGGTTGAATGCGTTGTTGTTCAGCAGGTGGGTCTTTGGAAGGTGGACAGTTGTGTGTGCACAACACAGAGCAGGGACAGGGACGTGGGGCTGGCGGCTCTGGGAGCTGAGAACCTTTCCAGCAAGCAAGCAGCTGGCCTTTGGCTGAAATGACTTAGTCAATTAAAACAACTTGTGGTCTTAAAAAATAAAAAGGCCAGGCATGGTGGTTCACGCCTCTAATCCCAGCACTTTGGGAGGCCAAGGCAGGTGGATCACCTGAGGTCAGGAGTTCAAGACCAGCCTGACCAATATAGTGAAACCCCGTCTCTACTAAAAATACAAAAACTAGCTGGTGTGGTGGCACATGCCTGTGGTCCCAGCTACTTGGGAGGCTGAGACAGGAGAATCGCTTGAACCCGGGAGGCGGAGGTTGCAGTGAGCCGAGATCGCGCCACTGCACTCCAGCCTGGGTGACAGAGCGAGACTCCATCTCGAAATAAAATAAAATAAAAATAAAAAAAGGACAAAGACAGGAAACAAGATCAACCCAGGCAGAGGCTGGATTGACTATATATGATCACTCAGTAATGCTCCGAAAATAGGAGTGTGCCCCTGTAGATGCTCAGAACTGAAACTGTCGTTGCCATCCTTCATCCACTCATTTTACAGGTGGGGAACCTGAGGCTGGTACCTACCTCTCCTGGTGTCACTTAGTAAACTGGGGGCAGAGAAACTGGCACGGGGTCCCTGGGCTCAGCACAGGCTCCTGGGGCCATTCTGCTCAGGCCCATGGCCTTCTTCTCTGGAGAGTGGCTTTTGGCCTCAGGCGAGTCTGTCCAGAAAGGAGAATTCTCTTCTTGGGGAGGCTCTGGGCCTTGGGTGTCAGTGGGCATGAGCAGGCTTCAGGGGACTCGTTCTCAAAGGCACACAGGTTGGGCTGGCCAGGGACAGTCCCAGCCTGGCATGCGTCTTCCTCTTCTCTCTCCTGGATGACTGAGAGCTCGTGAAGGTCAAGGCCTTTGCCTCTCTTGTTTGGCCTCAGGGTGGGGTAAGCTAGTTTGTCCTTTCTCTACCAGGGGGCTCCCTCACTGGGGGTGCCTGGAGGATGGAGTGTGGCTAGCCCATCGTGACCCTTTTCTTCTGCCAGCGGGTATGGGGACACAAACCTGGGCTGGCCTTGATTCAGCACTGAGTCTGTGAGATTTGGGGGAGTAGACTCTTTGGGACTCAGTTTCTTCACCTGTGCGATAGGGTAAAACATTTTGGTCCTTCATTAAATTCACTATTTTCTTCTTTCACGGTATACATGTTGAGCTGCCTTTGCAAAATAACTCACATCTCCTCGAGGATGGGGATGACATGACCCCAGTGCTGATGACAGGGTGATGACACATAACCATTTTTTGATTACTTCCTGTGGGTCTGGCATTGATCTCTAGACATTATGTTTCAGTCATCGGGCATAATGACGAGCTTGTTTTAGAAAAGAGGAACATGAAGGAAATTGCCAGGAACCATACGACTGAGAGCTGGGACCTTGGATCTAGCTGCTTATGGTGACTTTCCCAGCACAGAACTTCTGTGGGCTCAGTGCCTGTCCTGTTATTTGATGTTCACCCGTGGAATGGATGCACACACATTGTACCTTATTCACAATTGGCAGCATCCTGGCCATGCATGGCACCTGTCCCTAGCCTATCTGGTGGGCACTGGAGGTTTGGAAATGCCTCCAGGCCCTCTCAGGATCAGTGGCTGTGGAACGCTGACCACCAGGGCCTTCTTCAGGGAGTCAGAGGGACAAAGGATGTGACAGCATTTGCAGTGGGATGGGCTCTGTTTGGTCACTGGTGCTCAGCAGTTGATGGCTTGGAAGTGGTGTGGCCGGTGACCTCCAGCCCTGCCAGCACCACCCCACACCCTGGTGCTCACTTGTCACTCATAACTGCACCATCTCCATGCACTGCCCCACTAGGGCCTCACCTTGGTGTCCAGCAGCAGGGCCACCTGCTGTCGCTAGGCTTATCTCTTTCCACATCACAGGTATCCTTGCAGTCTTCCTTTCTGGCTGATTCTCTGCTTAGAGGTGCCCCACCTCCCAGGAAGCCAGCCCAGACACAAGATTTGAAGGTCCTTCACCTGGAAGTCCTCAGGCACAGACAGTCATGGGAGGGGGTGACAAGTGCCTGACTCTAGGACAGGGGGCTCTGTGGAGCAATAGGGATCCGTTCATCCTAGAAAAGGAGCTGAAATCCCTCACTTCCTAGGGCGTTTTGTGTCTTGTTTCTATGCAGTCCCTGCTGGAACATGACATTTCCCCCAAACTTCAGCCTCTGCTCTTCCTACCAGGTAGGCTGAGCTGGTCTGTTGTGTTGGAACACAGAGCTGTGAGGGGTGGGAAGGAGTTGAGACCTGCTCATCCACCTTTTCAGCTGACAGTGTTGTGGATGTACCAGGCACTTTGGGTCAGTCATAGCCCCAAATGTCAGAAGCAAAAAGGTGAAGTGTGGTCCCTGCTCTCGAGTCCTGTGTCCTGCTGGGATTGGACAATCAGAAGATCTTGTGATCCATGTGGAATTGCTATCCTGTAGGCCAGAATGATCAAACATTGGCCATTTCACATGGTTCAATCTAATGCTATAAGAATAAACACATAGGATGGCCACTGATCCAGCATGAGGCTTAAGGAGCCCTTTCAGAGGTAGCAATGTCTAAGATGAGGTCTAGGAGATGAATAGGAATTCACCAAGAGTGGGAGTCGGGGGAAGAGGAGGATTCCAGGTCTGAGGAACAGAATGTGCAAACGCCTGATCACTGTGTGATCTTGGTCTTTGCGTGAGGCATTTAGCTTGGCTATCACTCAACACCAGGTAGGGTAGCAGGAGAGAACAGCAAGAAATTGGGTGCCTTAAATTTAGTTTAAATCAGCAAAGGTGTATTGGTGTCTTTACCCACCCATTCATCCATCAATGCATCCATCCATCCATCTATCTACTTGTCCATCCATACCATTAATCTACCCATATATCCATGTATATACCAACCCATCCATCTAAACTATAAATCCATCCAATCAGACACCCACTCACCCATCCATCCAACTGTTCTTCCATCCGTTCACCTGTGCATCCATATCATTAATCTACCCATCCATCTGTCCACCCATTTGTCCATACTCCATGTGTCCATATACTCATGTACCCATTCACTGTTCATCCACCTGTCCACCCACCTATTCATTCAACCAACCATCCAACTGTCCTTCCATCTATGTATCCATTCATCCATCCATCTACCCATTCATCCATCAATCCATCCATCCATCCTTCTGCCCATCCAATCATCCATCCTTCCACCCACCCACCCATCCATCCATCCATCCATCCATCCATCCATCCACCCACCCACCCACTCACCCAACCATCCATCCCATTTATCCATTTACTCACCTATCCATTCATCTACTCATCCTTCCATCCATCCATCCACCCATCCTTTCACCCATTGATCCAGACCATATATCTATTCAATCACCCACCCATCCACCCTCCCTTCCACCTACTCTTCCTTCCTTCCCTCCCTCCTTTTCCCTTTCACTTTTCCTTTCCCTTTCCCTTTCCTTTTCCCTTCCCTTCCCTTCCCTTTCCTTCCCTTCCCTTCCCTTCCCTTCCCTTCCCTTCCCTTCCCTTCCCTTCCCTTCCCTCCCCTCCCCTCCCCTCCCCTTCCCTTCTCCTTCCTTCCTTCCTTCCTTCTTTCCATCCCTTCTTCCATCCATTCATCTACACATCCATTCATCCATCCATCCACTTATCCACCCATCCATTCATCTGTCCATGATTTTGTCATAGCACTGGGCTGCCTCCTCTACCATAGCGATTGGCATTTTTGTGTTAGGGTGGTTTACGACCATCTCAGACTTCCACTGTCTACACTAGGCGGCCAGGAGTGGCTAACTTACTAGTTTCTGCAGTGCTTTGAATGGTACCAGATACAACTAGATTCTCAAGCTGTTTTGTTGGCTTGAACTGAGAGACAAGAGAAATCCAGTTGCAGCAGCAGCCGACGGTACAGTCAGAATCATCATGAGGTGCTGAGTGCTTTTTAAGAGTTATGAGAGGAGGCAGCCTACCACGCCGGAGGAAGTGGGGATGTGGAAGTAACCCTGGCTCTCCGCAGAGGTGGGGTGTGGATGGGAGGGGAGAAGTGAGGAGAGCATTCCTGTTGACAGTAAGACATAAGACAACTCCATGGTGGGAACTGAGAACTGG
Organism: Homo sapiens; assembly: GCF_000001405.40. Lineage (NCBI taxonomy): Eukaryota > Metazoa > Chordata > Mammalia > Primates > Hominidae > Homo > Homo sapiens. The sequence goes on from NC_000009.12 coordinate 134,669,859, forward strand.
GAATTTAAAGTCCACATGTTCCTGGATATTGGCTTATAGATTCAGAGACGCAACTCATTCTCCAAATAACTTTGTTAACTTTTCTTGACTCTAAAAGGAACGCATACTCATTATAGTACATTTGGGAAATATCAAAATGACTTTATTTTCCTTTCCTCACATTTTTTCTTTGCATGGTTGAACTCATGTGCAGAAACGGTGTTGTGCCCTGCACTTAGACACAGAGATTTTCTGATGTCATTATCAGCTCTTTGTAAATATCTCAACGGCTGCTGAACATTCCACCGCATGTTTGTATCATAGTTTTCTTAACTGTTCCTCTCATGTTGGGTTTGGGTTGTTTCCAATCGTTTGCTGTTATAAATGACACTTGGATGAACATCTTTCTGATAAATCCTTTCTGTCTCTCTGATTATTTCCTTAGGGCGGATTCTTAGACATTGACTCACTGCATCCAAGCATAGGGACATTTTAAAGCCTTTTTATTGCAGAATTACATTCCAACCAACAGGCAGTTGTCACCTGAGCAACTGTGCCCCAGGCAGTGTTATCCTTAGGTGTTAAACCCAGGTGGACCCCATGTCCGAGAACTGGGGCTGCTCACCCATGCTAAGCCAGTTACTTCCCCCTCTCTGCTCCTAGAGAGGCAGTGGGGAGCTGTGATTTAATGCTTGGGCCCTGGTGTGATTGTTTCCTGGGCCTGTGGCACGTCTTGGAGACCCTTTTAGGCAAGCCCCCGGGTCGTTGTCTGGAGGATGGAGCAGCACTTCCTGCTCCACAGGCTGTCCCGAGAAGCTGAATTACTCTTAAGAGTGGAAACTCACATGCATGTAGAGCTTTAGACCTCTCCTCCCATTGAGTCAGAAAATGTAAGGGAATCTTCTAGAACCCAGCAGACATTCACTAGATGCTCATTACTTTCCCCTCCTTCCCTCCCTTTCTCTGGCCATCTGTGTGCTGAGTCCCCACTGCGGTGATGGAGTGGACAGCTCTGTCTGTGTGGGGGTTCTGCTGACTTGCGGGTCTTCTCCCCACCTGGTGGCTGCACTAAACGCATGTGCCTGGGCCTGCCTTCCACACTGAAATACCACAAGGCCGGGAGGGAGCTGATGTCTGGAGGTGGCTGGTAGAGAGGTGGGCCTGGGCTGCTGTGAGGAGACGTGAAGTCGGGGCCTGCTGCAGCTTTGGGGCCGCAGCCTGACTCAGTCGTCTGGGGCAGCAGGTTGGATTCTTGCAGATGGATTTTTTCAGTGTGAAAATGAGCTCCATGTGGCCCCACACACTTGTGCTTCACCCACTTCTGGGAGGGCAGACGGAGCTGTTCAGACAGCTCCTGCGCATGAGACACCTGGAGAGCCCCCAGCTGCCCACCGCGGAGGGGACCTTGAAGCTTGGCTCCATTAACCCACTGGGTGTGCAGACTCACAGGGGAACGTCAGCTCCAAGTCCTGCCCCCAGTGCACCAATGTGTGGTGCATCCTTTGTTGCGTCTCTGGGATCTCGCACAGTACAGTTATGTGTTCATTCAGGGCCCATGTAGCTGGTTTTGAGTCCATTTCTAGTGTTTTGAAAACTTGCAAAGCTCTCGTAATTGAAAAATGCCTCTGGTCCCGGGGAAGTAATGTAAAATATTCCTCCCAAAGGTCACAGTGACCCACCACAATGTTCCTTTACTTGCATCAAAGAACTGAATAAAATAATTTCAGAGCTGAGTCAGCAGAGCCAGAGAGGAACCCCACTGGGCTCACCCGCAGCTCTAAAGTGGCTCCCCTCGGATGGGTGTGAGGAACCACACATCTGGACGAGTGCGTGAAGGGTTGAGTGGACAGAGAGGGGCTTTCATTTGTAACTGGAAGTGTATTCCTTTTAGCTTCCTCTATCACGTTGTCTGTTTTGCAGCATTTAATAGGTGCTAAACCATCTCCCGGGGCCAATTTCCTTGTATTTCTAAATCTGCCCGTTGTAATGAAACCGTAAAGGCAAGTGCTGTCCGATGCCAGGGCTGGGGAAGAACAATGAGCCAACAGGCGCGTTTGTCTTTTGTCCACATTCCACAGTTTTGTCTGAAAGGGCAAGTGCAAGCTGCACTTGGGCCTGACCAAGGGCCCTGTGAGGACACTTGGTGTGGGGGGGCCCACTTCAAATGTCACACTCCTGGGAAGTGGAGACATTCCTGAGAAGTGCAAATGCAGTTTTGTTTTATAAAGGCCAGTTAAAAATTGCCCATTATCAAGGCAAAGGCCAAAGATCCATGACTGTCTTGCAGCTTCAGTTAGATATGGAGAGATGTTAAATATCTATGTACTTAATTATGTAATGCAATTTCCTGCTAGATGCCAATTGGCATTTATTATTCCATTCATTTGTTATAAAAGCAATATGTGTCCATGATAGAAGTGTTAAAAGCTACCAAAAAGTATAAAAAAGAAGATGAAAATGAGTCATAATGTCTTATTTGTTTAAACCATTATGATGGTGATGGTGATGATTATGATGATGTTAATGATGTTGGTTTCTATTAAGTATAACCAAACACATTACTAAAGGAACATTTTGATGTATTTACTTTCTACTATTTGTTCCATGCCTGTATTTGCAAAATTGGGATTACATACTACTTTGTAGTAGTTTTAAACTTAAAACATGATGAGCAAATCTCAATAAATTAGGAATAAAAGAGAAGCCCCTCAATTTGATAAAGGACATTCATGTAAAATCCACATACTAAATGCTTTCACCCTAAGATCAGGAACAAGGCAGGAACGTCTGCTCGTATCACACCTATTAACATTGTATGGAGATCCTAGCTGGTGAAATAAGGTAAGAAAATAAAATAAGAGGCATATTGATTGGAAAGGATGAAGTAAAACTGTCTTTATTTGCAGATCACATTAGTGACTATGTGAAAAAAATTCTAAGGAATCTACAAAATAACTTCTAGAACTAAAAAGTTTAGCATGGCGACAGAATACAAAGTCAATTTACAAAAATTCATTGTATTTCTAGATACTAGCAATGAACAGTTAGAAACAGGAATTTAAAAAGCTGTTACAACAATATTAAAAATATAAAATACTTAGAGATATATCTAATGAAAATATGCATGACTTATTCACTGATGATTACAAAATATTGCATAGATAAATCAACGAAGATCTTAAGATTTAAATGCAAAGATATACCATTCTCATGGACCAGAAGACTCAATATTGTTAAGATATTATTCCACCTCGACTTGATCTATAGATTCAATTCAATGTCAATTAAAATCCCAGCAGGCTTTTTAAAAATAGAGATTGATAAGATGATTCTGAAATTTATGTGGGGATGCAAAGGACCTAATATAACCAAAACAATTTTGAAAAAGAAGAACATCGGAGGGCTTATGCTTTGTGATTTTGAGACTTGCTCTAAAGCTATAGTGATGAAGACAGTGTAGTGTTGACAGAAAGACATATAGACCAATGGAATAGAATCAAGTCCAGAAATAGACTCACATGTAAATAATCTTTTGGTTTTCCATAAAAGTGCTAAGATGCTGCAGTGAGCCGAGATCACGCCACTGCACTCCAGCCTGGGCAATATGGCGAGACTCCATCTCAAAAAAAAAAAAAAAAATGCTAAGATACAATGGTGCTGAAACAACTGGATATCTATTTGCAATAGAATAAGCCATGACCCTTACCTCAAATAATATACAAAAATTAAGATGGGTCATGTATTTAAAGGTAAGATTTAAAACTTTTATAAAGCATAAGACAAAAGAGAAAATCTTGAGTTTTTTTACCTTGAGTTAGGCAAAGATTTCTTAGATAGGAAACAAAACTATGAGCCATTAAAAGATTAAAAAGCTGATAAATCAGACTTTATTAAAACAACACCTTATACTTTTCAAAAGACACTGTTGGAAAATGGAAAGGTAATAAGATTGGAAGAAAATGTTTATAAAACACATATCTGATAAAGAACTTATGTCTAAAATGCATAAAACATGGTCACAACTCCACAGCATGGAGGCAAATGACCCCACTTAAAACTGGGCAGAAGATTCAGACAAATGTTCCAGAAAAGAAGACAGAGGCGTGCCAACATGCATCTGAAAAGATGTTTGTCAGGGTTAGTCATTGGAGAAATACAACTTAAAACCATAAGGACATACTGCAAAAGTGTGAGTGAGGATGTGGAAAAACTATCACCCATTCTTGGTGGGGATGCAAAGGGGTGCAACCACTTTGGAAAACAGTTTGGCTGTGTTTTATAAGATTAGCCCTTCCTTTACCACAGGACAAAGTAATTCCATGTATAGGCATTCATCCAAGAGAAATGAAACATGCGTCCATACAGAGACATGTATGTGAGCACTCATGTGCTGTGTTATTGCAATAGCCTCAAGCAGGGAGCAGCCCAAGTGCCCACCTGGTACGGGGACAAACAAGCGGGAATACTGCTTGGCAACAGAAGGCATGAGTGCCCGAACAGGGTGGCACGAAAGCACTGTGCTAAGCGAGAGAAGCAGACACGAAAGACGCAGGGGACACGGTTCCATTTATATGACATTTGAGAAAAGGCAGAACTGCAGGGACAGAAAAAAGATGAGTGAGGAGAGAGACATAAGGGAACTCCTGGGGGTGATGGACATGTTGTGTATCTTGATAGTGTGTGTGTGTGTTGGATGAGGGTGTGGAGGGTACAGCACTATCCATTTGTCCAAACTCATTCAACTGCACACTTACAAAGAATGAATTTGGCTGGTGCGATGACTCACGCCTGTAATCCCAGCACTTTGGGAGGCCGAGGTGGGTGGATCACCTGAGGTCAGGAGTTCGAGACCAGCCTAGCCAACGTGGCAAAACCCTGTCTCTACGAAAAATACAAAAGTTAGCTGGGTATAGTGGCGCATGTAATCCAGCTATTTGGGAAGCTGAGGCAGGAGAATCGCTTGAACCTGGGAGGTGGAGGTTGCAGTGAGCTGAGATGGCGCCACTGCACCCCAGCCTGGGTAACAGAATGAGACTCCATCTCAAAAAAAAGAAAAAGAATGAATTTTACTGCATATAAATTATACCTCCATGAACCTGACTTAAGCCACAAATGCCTTGAGCATTTCCTCACGTTTCAATATTCCCTTATTAATACTAATAATTATTAATAAATGAAATAAATGGTAATATTAATGTAACATTAAGGCACAGATGAGTGGCTATGGTATTCTGTTGGTTGTACAGAGTGTACTGTGATATGTGCAGTCCTCTCCAGTTGGGACATCTGCTTTCTTTCTATGTTTTTTCAGTATTGCATGTAATTGTTGGGTGAGCGTTTTGATTAAGCATTTGTATTCATCTCAAATTCAGTGTTAAACTCCCATAGGAGCATAAAGAGAATGAATGTCCCTCAGACTTTCAGTACTAAGTGTCAAACTGTTTCCTGAGAGGTGTCAATTTAGACTCCTGTGGGTACTGAATGAGAATTTGCATCCTTGCCAAAAATTGGTCACTTAAAAAAAAATTTGTGCCAGTTTGATGGGAGACAAAGTCCTCTTGATTTAATTTGTATTTAGCTACTAGTAACATCGAATGTTATTTATTTGTTCCCCCCTTTTTCTAGTTGCAAGAACATCTCCTGTGTATTTCTGTTGTACACATCTTGTTGTTTATTGCCTGTTCTTTTTTGTTGTTGTTGTGGTTCTCTATTGCTGCGGAACAATCACTTCAATACCTGGTGGCTTAATAGCATCCTCTTATTTTGTGTGTGAATCTGCGTTTTGAGCACGGTTTGTTGGGGACCCTTTGTGTGCTCCACATGACTTCAGGTTGAGTGGCTTGTTTGGGGCTGGGGGATCCATTTCTAGATGGCTTTTCCACATGTGTGGTGTTGATCCTGGCTGTTGGCTGAGGGCCTGGGGTTCTCTTCACATGGAGCCCTCCAAGGGGCTGCTTGAGCTTCCCCACAGCATGGTGTCTTGGTCCTAAGAAGGAGCATTCCAAGAGACATGGGAGTAGAGTCTCCCAGTTTCTTAAAGCCTAGACTTGTGAGCCAGCAGTGTTGCTTCCATCACGATCTATCAGTCAGGTGGCCACAAAGCCCACCTTGATTTAAGGGAGGGGACATAGACCCCACCCCTTGATGGGCTGTTATGTTAGATACTTTGTGGCCATTTTGAAACTTCCACACTTTAAAAATTTTGTTTTGGCATTTTTTTTTTGTTAACAAAATTATGCCAGTTGTATGTGGCTAAGTATTTACACAATTTTTATGAAGTGGAGGGATATAGAGAATGATAAGCAGACCTTCCCCTTCACTGCTCCACCAAACCTCAGCCCCTTTCCAGAAGTAACCCCTCAACTCTCTGATCGGTATTGTTCTGGACTTACTGGTGTGTGTATTTGCATGGTGTTTTATCAGATGACATTGCCATCTTTTACTTATTTTAAGATGAAAGGGATTGTGCTTTATAAGGATTTCCATGGCTTAAGGACATGTTGGGCCATCTCTCCATCTCAGGCCGTCTGCATGAACCCCTTCCTGTCTGGCCTCTGCAGCATATTTGGCAAATGCAGCTTTGTTGATTTAACCAGTTCCCGATTGATGGGCATGTGCTTTGTTTTCAGTTCTTTGCTGCTGTGAGCAAGCCTTGGATGTCCTGGCACAGAGCAAGCCTTTCTGTAGGATTCAGCCCTAAAGGGGGGCATGGCAGGTCAATGCATGTGTACATCTGCATTGAGATCCTGCAAAATTGCTGCTCCCGAAAGGCTCCTTCTTCCACTGGCATTCGTCTTGGAGCCACGAATGCACAGTTCCTTTGTTTGTTCATTGGTTGATTTGTTCATTTAGTCCCTCCTTTATTTGCTGGTGGGGGTGGTGCTTCATTGTTCACTTATTGTCCCTTAGTTGGTTTGTTCATTTGTTCCTTCATTTGCTCTTTGGTTGGGTCATTCCTGCATTTGTTCACTGGTTGGTTTGATCATCTGTTGATTGGTTCCTTTGGTTATTTTTTCCTTTGTTTGCTCATTGGCTGGCTTCCTCCTTCTTCCTTCCTTTGAGCGCTGTACCAAGCATCTGCTCTGAGCTAAGCTCTCTTCTCTGCTGTGGATTAAGGGCAAGACTTGTCCCTTCCCTAAAGGAGCTCACGGTCTGGGAAATAGCAAGTCCCTTGGAGCACCTGCTGCCAGTCCTGGGCTTGGGGAGGCCATGGAGTGCTCTGGTTGTGGTTTGCTGGGGAGACACAGAAGAGGCAGGGACACCAGGAAGCGGCGGTCCATCCCCTCGTGATTGGTGGCAGGGCCTCTCATCTTCCTTGAGCTTCATGAAGGAACAGTGTCTCTGCTGGATGCTACCTTGAATATTCAGAATAACTTACTTGAGAGTGGGAAGCCTGAAAGTCCAGCCTTTTTATCCAGATCTCAGCTACCAGTCATGGCTTCTCGGGGAAGGCAGGCCCTGGTATTACACCTCCTTTCCTGCAGGGGAAAAGGCTCAGGGTGGTGGAGCTGCCCTTGGTTCTCAGGTACATCCTTGTGCTGGGTTCCACTGAGCATTTCAGGACAGCAGGAGAGGTTTCTCACTGCCTTCTAAATCCCGAATCTGCCCACACAGGCAGGAATCCAGTGCATCCAGTAGAGAGAGGCCATGTGCAAATGCTCAGGTTCGTGGAGCCAGGCTCTTGCCCCTGATGCTGAAATGATAGGAGGGTGAGGTTTATCAGCGGGATCTTCGGGGTGATGACATTCCTTCCCCCATCACTCCTTGGCACAGCCACCCTTCATCCAGCCGTCCCTGGGGCCATTCTTCAAGCGCCCTTTTCCATCCTGTAGTGAGCCATCTGTCTATATCCATCCCTCCATCCTTTCTCAGTCCGGCCATCTTACTCCCTGTTCCTCCTTCATCTCTTCACGTGTCTGTGTGTCTGTCCTTGAGTGAGTGCCCAGCTGCAGTGTGTGGTTGAGACAGTGGATGCGGGAGGACTGTGAATAGGCTGCTTTCTCCACAGCTGCCTGGAACGCCCCATGGCATGGTTCCACGGGAGGGGCATCTTCTGCCTGGCCCTTGTTCCACCGCTGGGGGTCTCAAGATTCTCTGTCGCCCCATAGCTTGGGTATGGAGGGCCTCCTCTCCATGCAAGGCCTCCTATGGTCCTGAACATCCTGTGAAGAACAATTCCGCTCTTCCTCGGATTGAGCCTCGCTCTGCCCTCATCATGGCCCCAGTGCTCTCCCCAGCGTCACTCCCTCCGCAGCAGGGTATCTGCAGGGGTCTTGGAGGCATTCTCCCAGCTTGCAGCCCCATGGTGCAGAGGAAAGATTTTGGACCCAAATGGATGCTGTCTGAAACTCAGGTGGTCTGTATCTCTGGTGGTCTGTGGCTCTGAAGCCATGGGCAGCTTGCTCTACCTCTCTCACGCTGAGTTTCCTCATGTACCAGTGAAGGGGCCGACACTGTGGGCCAAGTTGATGAATAAGGGAAGTGTGGCAGCTGGGCGCAGAGCACATAACAGGTGCACAGTCCTCAGCTGCCCCTCCCCCATGGTGCTCGGGTGCATGGATGGTGCCCAGGGTCCAGTCCCCCAACAACAGGCTCATTGCAGTGGCCTGCCGCCCCGGTGTGTGTCCCTGACTCAGGGGTCCCATCGGCAGGTGTGTTGGCTGGTGCCAGCCCCGGGAAGCTGTCTGCATCCCTGCAGGGCAAGCACCTGCTTCTCACCACCTGCTGCTCCTCCATGGTCTCTTCAGAGCCTGTTTTTATCCTGGCTGCTGTCATTCCTGAGCTGATGTGCACTCCTGCAGTGAGCGACAGAGACCCCCATTTCCTTCCCTGTGGCTGGGCAGCTGGACCACCCAGGATGACAGCCCAAGTGATCCACCAGGACTCTCGCAGTGCAGACAAAATGAAACTGGCCCTCGCTGGAGGAACGGGTGGGCCGGGCCCTGGGTGAAGGGGCTGGAGCTAAATGCCGTTGGAACTGGGTGGCCCCTGAAGTGTCTGCTTTTTGCCAAGGCAGAGCCTGGGAAGAGGGAGCAGGGATCAGGCTGGTTGGTGTTACCCCCTGCTGGGGGGCAGGCGTTAGATCTGTGCAGGGTGAGGCTCCGAGGCTTGCTGGGTCAGTCCCATTCAGTGGCTCTGTGTTGGGGTCACGTGGTATCTGCCCTCTGTTATCCGAGATGCCTTTCAGGCCTTCAGTTCTCATCAATTCTCAGTTCATTTGGAGCCTCCTCTTCACTACTTGACACCCTTAAAGTGATACCCTGCCATCAGCGCTGGGAAACTGATCATCCTTTTCTTCCTTTCGCTCTCTGGGCCTCCTTGTCTTGTGTCTTGTGTGGAAAGAGCAGTCTCCGAGGCCCTAACCTACCACCCCGCAGTCCCTCCCCGATCTGTCCCCTGCACTGTGGGGCTGGCTAGGGGGCACTGCCGGGCTGGTTAGGGGGCACTGCCGGGCTGGTTGGGGGTACTGTGGGGCTGGCTAGGGGGCACTGCAGGGCTTATTAGGGGGCACTGCAGAGCTAGTTGGGGGCACTGCGGGGCTGGTTAGGGGGCACTGTGGGGCTTCTTAGGGGGCACTGTGGGGCTGGTTGGGGGCACTGTGGGGCTGGTTGGGGGCACTGCGGGGCTTCTTAGGGGGCACTGTGGGGCTGGTTAGGGGCACTGTGGGGCTGGTTGGGGGCACTGCAGGGCTGGTTGGGGGCACTGCGGGGCTTCTTAGGGGGCACTGTGGGGCTGGCTAGGGGCACTGTGGGGCTGGTTGGGCACTGCGGGGCTGGTTGGGGGCACTGCGGGGCTTCTTAGGGGGCACTGCGGGGCTGGTTGGGGGCACTGCGGGGCTTCTTGGGGCACTGCGGGGCTGGTTAGGGGGCACTGCAGAGCTGGTTACGGGGCACTGTGGGGCTTCTTAAGGGGCACTGTGGGGCTGGTTGGGGGCACTGCGGAGGTGCCCCGGTGCTCTCCGGTGGTCAGATCTCAGGCTCCTGCCAGCCAGTCCCCTCGCGAGGCCCCACTGCCAATATGTCCCTCTTACAGATAATGACAGGCAGCCTCTGGGATGGGACCCACTTTGCCCAGGACCATGGGGCTTGTACATGGGGGGTTTAGGATCCAAGTCAGTCCACCCCGGGAGTGGGGTGGTGCCGGGTCAGGTGGGCCTGTGCCTGTGGGGAGGGTGGTCTAGTGTCAGACACAGATGAGCCATAGATCCTTTGCACAGAGAATCTCATAATAAGCAATGCAGTGAGAGCAGTGACACTGTCATCTTCAGGAAGGACTACCCCGGAGGCCCTTTGGACGGGCCCTTCATTCTTCAGCAAGGAATGATGAGCTGGGAGCCATGAACAAGCGCAGTGCCTCTGGGTACCTCAGAGCCCACTCAGGGCAGCCATCCAGGCGAAGGTTAACATAGAGCCTCCAGGCCCGGCTACAGGCCATTTTCTCACCCTGTGAAACACTGCGGGTCGGTGCACAGGTGTCTGGATGTGGACTTAGCTCAGTCCTGAAGGCTCTGTTGACAGACAAGCTGGGCAGGTGGGCAGAGTCATTTTTACAAAGGTTGGTGGCATGGAGGGGTGGGGACAGCAGGCCCCTTCCAGGTGCGAGCTCCCTGCCCGGCACACCTGTACCTGTTCCTCCATGACCCATGGCTGAGGACACCAACCTGGTCCCCGCTGTGGAGGGCGGAGCTGGCATCCTGACTAGCCCTGGTCAGTTCCAAACTGCTGCTCTCTGCTGTACCATGTCCGGTGAGGTCCTGAAGTGCAAAAGGCCTTGAGGTGGGGCCCCAGGGGCTTGGGGAGGGTGGCCATGCTGTGCACTGCACAACCCCAGGGAGCGCTGTTCTAATGCACCATGATGGGGTCTTGCAGGACGGTGACACTGGTGAGGAGATGGACCTGTGACAGCCAGGGCCTCCCGGGAAAATTCCACAGGGGCAGAAGGACGGGTGAGGGCCGGGACTTTGACATCAGGCAGAGGAGTTGGACGTTGATGGGAGCTTTTAGGTGGGTGCATGGAACCTGCTTTGGCGAAGTGGCAGTGAGCGCAGGGACAGGCTGGGAGTTTGGGCTCAGGTCTCCAGGTCTCCGCCTGGCACTGCAGCCTCGGGGGGCAGCGGGAGAGGCCGGGCCATCTGCCATCCTCCCAGGATGGTGTCCTCGGCCTGTGCTGCAGCCCCAGGCCCTCTGTGCATTTCCCACCCCCTGCCCCTTTGCTTTGCTCCCTGGTTTAGTCATTGAGGAAGAATTTCAGTCGCAGCCTCCAGAGCGCCTCTGTTTTTCGACCTGCTGGGTTGACCTCACTGATGAGGCCGCCTGCCTTGCAGGGAGGGCTGGGGTGGGGGGGCCTCAGCCCTGGGCCAGACCCTCCCTGGTGGCTCGATGGCTCGGCCCTCAGCCCGGCCCTTCAAGAACTGTGGCTCTCTGGCTTCCAGGAAATACAGGAAGGGAACTAGGAGGGACAGCCGCCCTTCCCCGGCTCTGCAGGGCCCTTTACAAACAGAGCAAATTGATGGCTTCGTGAACAATTTCTGCGAGCATCTGCGGGTGCCGGGCTGTGCGGGGCCCCTGCCCTCCTGCAGTTCACAGCCCGTGGAGGAGACACACGCTGCCCATGGAACACACATAGCAGGGATATGGTTCCAGTGATGGGGCCACGGGTGGGACCGGAATGGAGGCTGCCAGCTGTGTCTGGAGAGGCCAGCGTGTGCCTGTGGTTTCGGGAGCCTGTCACTGGCTCCAGAGTGGAATAGCGCTTGGGACTGGGGTGGACTGGGCACTGAGGGTGACTCCCTTGCAGCCCCAGCATGGCACCAGCCTGCGAGTGACCATGCTCACCTGCCCTGTACCTCGATTCCTCTTTCCCAATGAAGGCTCTTAGCCCAGATGCTATTTATGACTCCTGGCTCTAAAATTAGAGTTCTAGCCCGAGAATTGTGAAGACCTCAAGCTTGGGGTTATTTAGAGACTCTCAAGTTTTTCTTGAAGTTAAGGATATTGACTTTGGGGCCTGCAGAAACCTCCCCTCTCTTCCTCGCTCTTCCTCTCTTTCTCTCTCTGTCTCTCCCTCTCTCTTTCTGTCTGTGTAGCTCTCTCTCTCTCCCTCTCTCTCCCCATCTCTCCCTCCCTCTCTCTCTCTCTTGCTCTCTGTCTGTCCCCACAGCTGCCTTCCCCGAACCCCTGATCCCCAGCTCATTCTATCAAGTCCACCCTGGTCCCTTGGCTGTGCAGGCCACAGACATTTGGCAGGACGTGGCCTGGGCTCAGTGTCTGGGACCGTGGTGCTGAGTGTTTGGCGGTGACCTCTGGAGGACGGGCCGGGGAGCTTTAAGGGCCAGGCAGAAATGCTGCCCTGTTCGGGCTGGGGGCTGGACTGGGTGTCCCCAGAGCCGACAGCACTATTCGGCTGGGTGCCAGGGACCCAGCCTAGTGCCTCGCCTTCCCCCAGCCATGCTGCCTGGAGGCCGGGTCCTGAGCGGAGCACTCTGTACCTGTGTCACCCAAGAGCTGCGGCTTCCTTTAGCCACCACAGCGGGCATGGGGAGGGGACTGTGCGGGTGAACATGGGGCAGAGAGATCGGGCTGGGCCAGCACACTTCCCCAGAGACCCTGACCCCAGGACCGACGGAGCCAGCCCAGTGCCAGGGACAGAGTTGGAAATAACCTTCTAATGAGATAAGGAGATAAAGATGATACTAGAATCCTACCACACTGCCTGGTGGGGTGGGGGAGAGCCTGCTGCCCAGGAAGGGCGCAGGAATCCCGGAGGTCAGGCAGGTGGGCGAGTCAGAACTGAGGGGCACTCCTTGACTGGAAAGTAACAGTGGGCACTGCTCCGGCTCAGGGGGGCACCGGGACGGGGGAGCTGAGGAAAAGTCACCCCCAAGTGACCACGAGTGACCAGGTGGAATCTGCTGGTGTGTTGTGGTTCTGGGGCCAGGGGAGCATCCCTGTGCATTTGTTGGCAAAAAGGAGCAGGCTCTGATGGATCGCAAATGCCCAGCCTTTGGGAGCGGGGACTGCGGCCAGCACATCATCCGGTGGGGACAGACAGCCTGGGCTTCAAAGGCAGCCGACCCATAGCCAGTGCTTAAAGATATTGAACTTGTTTAGGGGAAAAAAAGGAATTAGAGAAAAAGATCCAATGCAGACCCCAGCAGGCCTCGTAGGAGCGTGCGATCCCACGGCCTCAGACCCGGCTTCCTTCCTGGGCAGGGGAGGCACCCTCCCCTCTGTTCACAGCTTGCTCTTGCTCTGTGAGGGCCGCCATGAGACGGTGACAGCAGAGTGGCACGCCAGGCTGAAGTGGGCTTTTATTTAGAAAAGTAGAACGGCTGTAAGGTGGTCAGGGGTCACCTCCTCCCGTGGCAGTGCTGAGGCTACAGGTCCCCTGGCTGCAGGAGTCCTCGAACACCGGCAGAGAGGAAACCTGTGTGGCCATCCCGTCTCACCTCCAAACCTTCTGCCCTTGGGAAAAAAGTGGGACTTTCCTCTTGAGCCCGTCGCGGGCTGATCACCATTCCTCCCTGGGGAGGAGGGCCAGGCCAGGGAGCGGGGAACTGATAGCTGAGGAGGCCCACACCACTGCACCCAGAGATGGGCACTGTTTAGTAGCAGATGTTGGGATCTAACTCTACTTGGCGTTAGCATAAAGGTGGATACACCAGTTTCTGTAGATGTTCAGGCACAGCTTGATCCAGCTACTCAAACTGTGTGGCCAGTCTGTCTCTCTGCATCCTCTTACACCCTCTCCCAGGCTGTTGTGTGTAGAAGCTGTGGGTTGCTCAGTCGTTCAGCAAACACGGCTGAGTGCCCAGTGTGTGTGGGCTCCTGTGCAGGCCCCGGTCCTGCCCTGCATGCAAGGGCTCTGTTCCTGCCGCCCTTTGATACTCCCTCTCCATCAGGGCCCACCCCACCTGAGAGTGGGTGCTTGTGCCCTGGGAGCAGCTCATTGCACCCCCTTTCCTGGGGCGCCGGCACCCGGTGGGCTTTTCTGGCTGATTGTCTTTTGTTCTGAAGACCCGTTCCCCACTGGGGAGATGAGGCTCTGAGGTCAGCACTTGGCAGGGTGCCCCCAAGCGTCTCCCTTCCTCGAGGCTGGCAGGATGGTGGTGCTATGGAGCGTCCAGGCTCAGGTTCCGGATTCCATTCTGAGGACACATCTGCGTCACTCAAGAGGGTGGCCCCAGACCTCCACTCTCCTTCCCGAAAGCAGCGGACTTCTGCAGCGTTTCTGTTGTTGGTGGAGAAGCGTTCTTTCATGAGGGGCCCCACTTCCAAGGGGAGGGGCTGCTGAGCCTGAGAGATGCTCTCCAGCAGGGCAGGCTGTGACCGGGCCGAAGTTGCCTCTTCCTTGCTTCTGAGCCCTCGGAGGAGTGCTCGGGCACCAGTGGACGACCAGGAACTGATTTAAGTTCCCGCTAAAAGCAGCCATCTCATTCCATCAGCTCCTGTAGGTGCCGGAGCCCTGTACAGATGTCCAGCAGCCCCCCAGGTCTCGGGGGGAAACAGAGCGTTGCTGGGCTGGGTGCTGTGATGCTGCCCTGCCATGTCTTCAGCCACCTGGCTGCCAGCATTCATCCTTCTCAGCAGGTCTGTGAGCCTCAGGCCTTAAGGGGAGCCCAGGGCTCCATCCTCATGCCTCACCAGCTCAGTTTCAAGCCCTCATCTCTGGTTCTTTGTGCTGGGCCACATTAGTCCACTGCTGGTCCAGGCCAGGAGCACCTGGGTGCGCTGAGCACTGTAGTCCTTGCATGAAGTTTCAGCATCTCATGTCCTGCAGCTGTGTGATGAGAGGGTGGCAAGCCCTAGAGTGACATGGAATGCGGTTATTCTGGGTCAGCTCTGGAGGAGCAGAGAAGCTGACCTCCATGGGGATCGTGGAAATGCCTGTTGGGGACAGAGAAAGTTATCCTAGCATGGTTAGTGGAGGCATTGTTATTGGCTGGTGGAAAGGCTGACAACTTAGTGCAGCAATTGTAAAATTGCCCTATACCTCCTGATTTTCACCATTCACTTGCTCATCTGTTCACTGATTGATCCATCCACTCATCCATCCATCCACCATCTATCCATTCACCCATCCATCCATTCATCCATCCATCCACCATCCATTCATCCATCCATCCACCATCCATCCATTAATTCATCCATCCATCCACCATCCATCCATTAATTGATCCATCCATCCATCCATCCATTCATCCATCCACCATCCATCCACCATCCATCCATCCATCCATCCATCCACCCACCATCCATCCATCCACCATCCATCCATTCATCCATCCATCCATCCATCCATCATCCTCCCATTCATCCATCCATCCACCATCCATCCATTCATTCATCCTTCCATCTGTCCATCCATCCATCCATCCACCATCCATTCACCCATCCATCCATTCATCCATCCATCCACCATCCATCCATTAAGTCATCCATCCATCCATCCATCCACCATCCATCCATCCACCATCCATCCATTCATCCATCCATCTGTCCATCCATCCATCCATCCGTCCATCCACCATCCATTCACCCATCCATTCATCCATCCATCCACCATCCATCCATTAATTCATCCATCCATCCATCCATCCATCCATTGTCCATCATCCATCCATCCATCCATTCATCCATCCATCCATCCGTCCATCCATCCATCCATCCATCACCATCCATCCATCCATCCATCCACCATCCATCCATCCAGCATCCATCCATCCATCTATTCATCCATCCATCCATCCTCCATCCATCCATCCATCCATCATCCATCCATCCACCATCCATCCATCCACCATCCATCCATGCATCCATTCATCCATCCACCATCCATCCACCATCCATCCACCATCATCCATCCATTGTCCATCATCCATCTATCCATCCATTCATCCATCCATCCATCCATCCACCATCCATCCACCATCCATCCACCATCATCCATCCATTGTCCATCATCCATCTATCCATCCATTCATCCATCCATCCATCCATCCACCATCCATCCATCATCATCCATCCATCGTCCATCATCCATCCATCCACCCACCCATCCAGCCACCATCCATCCATCCATTCATCCATCCACCCATCCATCCACCATCCATCCATCCATCCACTCATCCATCCATCCATTAGCCATCCATCCACCCACCCATCCATCCATTCATCCATCCATCCATTCATCCATCTATCCACCATTCATTTATCCACTATCCATCCATTCATCCGTCCATCCTGCATGTCTGTGTTGAGCTCCTCCTATGTGCCAGTGCTGCAGTCTTGCTTGTATTTCTTATCAGGGTCTTTGTGCTGCCTTTTGTGGTGCATGACACCCACGCAGAACTCAAACTTTCATTTCCAAATTATTCTCCTTCTTCCTTCCTCCTTCTCCTTCTCCTTTTTCTTCTTCTTTCTCTTCCTTTTTTTCGAGACCAGGTTATGCTCTGTCACCCAAGCTGGAGTGCAGTGACACGATCCTGGCTTACTGCAACCTCCACCACCCAGGGTCAAACGAGCCTCACACCTCAGCCCCTCAGTAGCTGGGATCACAGGTGCATGCCACCAAGCCCAGCTAATTTTTGTATTTATGTAGAGACGGGGTTTTACCATGTTGCCCAGGTTGATCTCCAACTCCCGAGCTCAAGCCATCTGCCTGCCTCGGCCTCCCAAAGTGCTGGGATTCCAGTCCTGAGCCACCGCGCCTGGCCATCAAATTCTTTTCAGTCACCTCCCTTCTTCCTTAAAACTGACCTTGCTGGCGTCCATTCCTTTATAGGTCTGGGGACCTGATGCCTGGTTATATCCTCATGAAAATGGGCCTCTGGGATGCCAGTGACAAATACTTCTACTTGTAACAGTGCAGGGGATGCAGGGGCCAACTTCTCTAACTCTGATCAACTCGGGGATGGACAAGAGGTATTCCCTGGGCAAGCGAGGCTGTGCAGGATGCCTGACCCCTAGGTGCTGGGGGTAAACACTTCTTGTAGTTTAAAGATTCTGATGCCCGTGGCCTTGTGCTGGGCCCATGTCCCATAGGTGGTTCCAGGGAGGCTCCTGGTTTCAGTGCACACAGCTGATGGGAGCAAGCCACGATGGGGAAAGGGATTGAATGCAGGGAGTCAGGTGGATACAGTCTCCGGGAGACCCGGCGTGGTGGGGTCAGGAGGCCCCACTCCACTATCCCATTTGGGGTTGCACCACCATAGCGAGGCTGCCACCCAGACTGCAGGAAGTTGCTGCTGCCAATGCCGCCTGGTGCCCTGAAGCTGGTCCCAGGCCGTGGCATGCGTGGGGGTCTGGACATGAGGATCACCTCCATATGCTGTGTCTGGGGATATGGCCCTGCTGGCTGTGCCAGGGCGGAGGAGGCTGCCACCTCCCTCTCACTGTCCAGCTCCATGAGTCTCTCTGATTGGCAGATTCTAATTTGCACCCTGCATCCTTATGCAAAGGCACCTGGGAAGTGTAGTTTTTAGCTCCCCAGACTGCAGAGCAGGATGGTGCCTAGAGGAGACAGGGCTGGAGCTTGGGTGGCCAAGGCACAGCAGGACACCTGCTATTCTCTGGGACTTCATCCATCCATCCATCCATCCATCCATCCATCCATCCATCCATCATCCATCCATCCATTCATCCATCCATCCATCCATCCATCCACCATGTGATGGACTGACCCCATAGGTGATCCGGTCATGGCGAGGGTTCCATGGAATCAACAAAGTTTTTGTTTCATGAAGCTTTCGGAGCTGGCCTTCTGTGCATCAGATGGTCGGTCTCAGGAACCTCTGGGCACAGCTGCATGGTCCTTCACTAAAGAGTAGGCACCGGGCTGGGTGTGGAGACCACACGCGTGATGCCATCTCGTCTTCACTGAGCACCTGGGCTGCTCGGTGGGTCCTCTGGGAACTGCTGGTGATGGGCCCCTGCCTGGCTGTCTAGGAGAAAAGGGCAAAAGAGAGGGGCTCTTGTTTGTTGAGCCGGGAAGTGCACGGGCCAGTGTGCGGTGGCCACTGTTGATTCTGCAGCTTCTCTCACTGGCCTTGACCCACTGGGATCCACCCTCTGGTGGGGGGTGCCACTGGCTTCAAACCCATGTCCACCTGTCCCCAAAGCTTGTGCTGTGTCCAAGTGGAGTTTTCATCCTGATGGAGGCTGGAAGAAAAGCTCCTGAAAGGCTGTGCGCCAGGCTCCTCCTGGGCTCTCCCCAACCTTTTCTTTTTCAAAAAGTACTTAATGTTTTCCTCTGCTCTGGCACAGGAAGCCCCTGGCCAGCAGGAGGGGTGGCACTAGGCCTGGGAAAGGTCTGGTGGCCTCTTAAACTTGTTGCAACAGAGATCTGCGAACATGTCCACCAAGCCTGCTGGAAAACAGCTCTTGCCTTCAGCAATGGAGAAAACAGGCTTGCGAGCCTGAGTCTGGGAAGAGCATCACGGGCTTGTTATGGTGTGAGTCCAGGAAGCCCCGGCCGGGATCCTTGCTCCCCTGCCCCGGCCGCTGCCAGTGCTGGAATTGAGTCTTAGGGATGACCCAGGGCTCGGCACTGTGTCATCTTCAGCAGGTGGACCGGCAGCTGGCGCATCCTCTCTTTCCACGGGCTGCATCCAGGCCCAGGGCTGCGCGGTGCAGCCTCACCAGGCACTGGCACTCAGCGTTTCTTCTCAAGTCAAAGGCAAAAGCCCACCAAAGCCTTCTTTGCTGGGGCCAGGTGGGAGGTGCCATACATGCCCGAGGGGGTGACAGAGCTGGGTGGGCTGTGCCCTGCTTGGCAGCCGAAAGCCACCCAGGAAAACAGAGAGGCCATGAGAGGCCTGGACGTGGGGTGTTCTGGGTCCCTGTGCCGCCCCTCCCCTTTGTCACTGTTCCCACGCCGCAGTGGGAAATCCTCAGCTTCTCCATGTTTCTGGCTTCTTGATTTAATTGGCAGAGGACTGCAGCAAAGCCAAGCTGTAGAAATGACACCGTCAGAGGCAGGGACTTCAGAACCCTGGGACCTGGGTACTGTGGAGCCTTCCAGAGAACTGTGGATGGGGAGGGGCTTCATGAATGAGAAATGCGGCTTCGATTTCCCTCCACCCTGGTCTCCTTCAGAGCCCTGCCCAGGCTGCTGTCTTCCCTGCACTGTCAGCTGGTCATGGCGGGGGTGGGGGTGGCACAGGTTCCTGTCTGTACCTCCTTGTGGCCTGCGCACCAAGCACAGTGCCCGCGCTGAGTCCCCTGGAGGGACAGGGAGTGCTGGGGAGACAGAGTCCTCCGTCTGGGTGCTCCTCTTGCTGAGGGCCTGCTGGGACAAGCAGTGACACTGCGCCATTGTCTCTGGCAGCCACCTCCTCCCGTGGCAGTGCCGAGGCTGCAGGTGCCCCTGGCTGCAGGAGTCCTTGAAAACCAGCAGAGAGGAAACCTGCGTGGCCATCCCATCTCACCTCCAAACCTTCTGCCCTTGGGAAAAAGGTGGGACTTTCCTCTTGAGCCCGTCGCAGGCTGATCACCATTCCTCCCTGGGGAGGAGGGCCAGGCCAGAGAGCGGGGAACTGATAGCTGAGGAGGCCCACACCACTGCACCCAGAGATGGGCACTGTTTAGTAGCAGATGTTGGGATCTAACTCCAATTGGCATTAGCATAAAGAGGGATACACCGGTTTCTGTCAGGCACAGCTTGATCCAGCTACTCAAACAGTGTGGCCAGTCTGTCTCTCTGCATCCTCAGGCAAGCACTCTCCACCTGCTCAGGAGACAGTTGCCAGCAGCTCCAGGTTCCTGTTCTGTGTTTGGAGCCAGCAGAGCAGGGAGGATTCCTCTTTCTCAAAGGAAAAAAGCCCCAGGACGGAGCTTCCTTATCCTGGCTGGTCTCACGTCCATCCCTGAGCTGACCGTCTGGGACAGGGCGGTGTCATGCTCTGATTGGCCAGCAGAGGGGGCACGGCCAACCCCGTCCACATCTACTGGGCAGGGCAGTTGCCGGCTGCTGGGTTCCTCCAACTCCCAGGCCGCCCCAACACACACCATTCTGTCGCTGTGATGCCAACTTCGAGTTTATTTTCTCTGCCGGGACTCCCAGGGAGCCTCTTGCTCGTGGGCACAGGAGCAGTGCTTTTCCCATAAAACTGACCTTGTTCAGGGCAGGTTCCTGGATTCGCGCCTTGTGGTGGATGCAGGTCTGGGGTCCTCGTGGTGTGGGGGAAGGAGGCTCTGGCAGATGGGGCCGTCTTTTGTGTTGGAGGGTGACCATTGAGCTCCCTGGTAATGATCACGGCTTCAGTGGCCAGAGGTCAGCTTATCCCCTTGCCCTTCCCTGAGAGCCCCTGGATAGAGGGTCAGGAACCTTCTGGAAGGGATGCGGGGGCTGCCCCTCCCTTGTTCTTGGCTCTGCATGGTCTGGCGATGTGGGCAGGGGTCTTCCAGGGCAATGGAAACTGCACACCCGCTGTAAACGGTCATGGGAAGGCGACAGACAGTCCAGGTGGATAATGACGGGGGGATAAACTAGGCCAGTGACATCCCCGTGACCTCTGGAGGGGCCTCAGGTGGGGTGAAGGTTCTCAGGGCTGCAGGGCAGATGTTGTGACCCACCGGTTCTCCTGTGTCATTGCACAGCACACCATAAGGCGGTCAGCTCCGCAGTGGGCCTTCTGTGGCCTTCCAGCATCTGCCTGGGCTGCTCTCCTTACGTGGCCAATGAGAAGAGGTGTCTGGGAGGCTGGGTGTGTGGCCCCTGCCAGCCTCAGGAGCCACGAGAGCGCAGTGAGGAAGGAGGGCGTCGTCAGAGCTGGGCTAGCCCGGGTCTGCCCCTGGTGTGTGGCCGCTGGTGGGGACAGGGATGGGACCCTCTGGGCTAGCCTGGGTCTGCCCCCGGTATGTGGCTGCTGGTGGGGACAAGGATGGGACCCTCCTCCGCAGCGTGGTGCCCTGCCTCGCCCAGCACGCGGCTCTAAGCTGGTCCTGGGGCTCTTCTGAGTGCCCAGGATTCACAGTGGTGGGGGTGGGGGTGCTTCCTGTCATCCCAGCTTCCGGGTGTTCCCAGGTGCTCCTTTCCTCTCCGTGGCTAACTCTGCTCCTCCTCTGTCATTTCAGCTCAGCCAGCAGATCTCCTGAAGGTTCTAGATTTTCACAACTTGCCTGATGGAATAACAAAGACAACAGGCTTTTGCGCCACGCGGCGATCTTCCAAAGGCCCGGATGTCGCTTACAGAGTCACCAAAGACGCGCAGCTCAGCGCACCCACCAAGCAGCTGTACCCTGGTAAGTGCCGCACCCTTCTGTTTGGGGCGGTGGGTCCCGTTGGCCCTCTGGCCTCCAGCCAGGAGCAGCGCTCAAGCCTGCGTGGTGGCAGAAGCGGGCTCAGCTTTCCAGGAAGCCCCTCTCACGAGCCCGGCTTCGTTTCACTGTAGTGAAAAGGCAGTTGCAACAGTGGGATTTTGTCCTTCTGGACGGGACTGGGCTTTGTCACTGTCCTTCTCTGCTGGATGTGGGTGGGTGGGTGTGGCCCAGTGCCCTTGACCTTCTATCAGCTGTGTCTCTGGTGGTAGCTGGGCCGCCAGGACTCCAAGGGCAGAAAGAGTCGGATGGGTCCTGAGGGATGAGGTTGAGAGAAACCTCGGGGTCGTGGGAAAGGAAGCACTTCCAGACAGAAGCTTAACCAGGGGCAGTGACATTAAGAGACGATGAATCAAACGTCGTGACTCCTAGCAAGAGCATGGGAGGCTTTTAATGAGAGTCAACTGCTAAATGCCGGGTCTCTGCTTTTAATTACATGCCCGGAGCGGGAAGCAGCATTAGCTCTAAGATACAGCATCCAAGTTGTCCCTGTCACCCAGTCGTGGGGCGGCACCTGCCACAGTTAATTAAACCCTCTGGGCTTATCTGGACGTGATTAACGAGCTGTTGATGGAGAACCTCATCGCCTTGACCCAGCCACTTGCTCATGGCCTGGACTAAAATGAGCTCCTCTTTCTGATTCAGATGAGAAAGGGACGGGGGATGTAGGGCAGGTGAGTTCACTTTATGAGATGCTCTGTAATTATTAGAAGACAGCGCAGCATCTTTTTGGTGGACCTGGAGGTGACCCCGGCATTGAACCCACGATCAGGGCAGTCTTTGAATGCTCCGTGGTGTTTCTGATGATCGTGTCCCCACGGGGCCCCTGAAGGACACCCTCTTTTGAGGGGCTGTTTCTGCTTCCACAGACGTGCTCTCTGTACACTCATCCCCAGCCATTGCCCAGCCCTCCTTTACATCCATGTGACCTTGAAGAGTTTGTCTCTGAGAGAATCTGGGCAGTTCTTTTCAAGAATGTTTTTGAGAACGAGTTATTTCAAGAAACACCTTCGAGGCACCGAGTCTCTGCCTTGCAGCTTGGTGGAGGTGAGGTGAAGTGGCCTGGGACCCCTGGCAGCCCATATTCTCTTAAACAGCCCACCTCTGGGTACCAGAGTGGCCCTGGGCTGTGGATCCCCAGCCTCAAGCGTGTGGAACTCATCGGCTCAGACAGCCTGTCCCCGCAAAGGACTGCAGCGGTTTCGTTTCTCCAGGCCTCTGGAGGAGCGTTCATAAGCTTCTGGGAGAGCATCTCTTTTGGAATTAGCCATGGAATCCTCACTTGGACCTTGGCCCAGAAATTGCACCCTTTTCTGCCCCATGACCCCCGGTTTAGAATTCGTGACCTAGAGATCCTGGGAGGGCTGGTCCAGGGAAGGGCTTAGAGAGCTGATTGCCGAGGACCACATGGACTCTGGGTGTGTGACACGCTGAGGGGCACCCTGGGAAGTAAGCGCTCCTGCTTTCCAAGGGGATCTTCAGCCACTTTGTTTAATCTTCTCTGTGTCACCCAATTCTGGGGTGTGGGCACCACACACTCACTGGACTTTGTCCTTCTCTGCTGGATTATCTTGTGGCCAGAAATATTACAGTATCTCAGGAATACGGGCTAATTATTGGATAAATAATCTAGGATCAGCTGGGCGCGGTGGCTCACCCTGTAATCCCAGCACTTTGGGAGGCTGAGGCAGGCGGATCACTTAAGGTCAGGAGTTTGAGACCAGCCTGGCCAACATAGTGAAACTCCATCTCTACCAAAAATACAAAAATTAGCTGGACGTGGTGGTGCGCGCCTGTAATCCCAGCTATTCGGGAGGCTGAGGCAGGAGAATCACTTGAACCTGGGAGGCGGAGGTTGCAGTGAGCTGAGATCGCACCACTGCACTCCAGCCTGGGTGAGAGTGAGAATATGTCAAAAACAAAAAAAAAGGAAAAGAAAGAAATGGCTTGGCCTTCCAGCAGTTTCTGCATAGCAGGCTCTCTGTGCCTCTCTCAGCAGGGACCCCATCCCTGAGCAGGGCTCTTATCTACAGATCAGTTGGTTTCCATGTCTGTTTCCGGCTTTTAACCAGATGCTAGGTGAGCGAGGTTACCGTGACACAGTGAAGCAGTGAGCCGAGATCGCGCCATTGCACTCCAGCCTGGGCAACGGAGTGAGTGAGACTGTCTCAAACAAAACAAAACAAACAAAAAAACCAACACATAATCTAGGGTAAATTTCTGAATAGTCTGCGGGATTTTTTTTTAAGTCCATGTTTTTTTAAGTTTTCCAAAGTGCTTCACTTGCTCTTCCAGAGCCTTCTGTGAATTAGCTTACAGAGTAGAGTGGGTCCACATAAGCCAATTGCCCCATTCATGGCAGATGAAGCTGGAGGTTGCTTGGGAAGTATTGAAGCAGGGCTGTCTACGGAGTCCCTTCTGCAGGTCCCAAAGTGTTGGGTTGGGACCTGCAGAGGTCCCAAGGGACACTGTTGGAGACCAGTGTCATAGGACATCATTTGCCTTTGAATTGACGCCATACCCCGCCTCGCCCCTTCCGCCCGGCCCTCCGAGCAAACTCGCCACCTGTCCTCTGTTGCTCGGACTCTGTCCACCCCACTTGGCTTGTGGGCCCCTCAGTGGAGGGACTCAGAAGCTCACTTCAGGTTTTCTGTTTGAGAAGTGCTCAGTGTGTAGGGGCCACACACAGGAAAGGGCTGTTTGCTTGGGACCGACACGGTCTCGCGCCAGCCACTCGTGTGGGTCAGCCTAAGCGCTAGGGGAGCTGGAGCTGCACCATGCCCTGTCTCGGGGAGCAGCAGCATCTGCGGGATTCTAGAGACCCGTACCTGCCTGGCAGTTGTAGAGGTAGAAGAGAGGGTGCAGCCCAGGTGGCCACGGCAAGGCCTGGGCTGTGGGGAACTGAGTGGAGCAAAAACAGTATCTGTAAGTATCTCTTGGCGAGAGGGGAAGCCCGCATCCAGGCAGCTGTTTCCCCGGCATCCGATCCCCTGACAAAATCCCTGAGCAGGCTCCCCAGACTCCCCGAAGAGCTCACACACCCCTCGGCAAATCAGCAGCCAAGTGGCCCTGGATCACGGGGGTGGGGGTTTGGAGACTGAGCTGAGCAGGTGACTGGGAGCCTCCACCTGGGTGCAGTGCCCGTCCCCGCCCAGGCCGCACAGGCGTTGACCTCTGCCCTCCACCCACACTGGCACCACCTGGTCCTGTATCCCCCACTGGGCACGAACTGGCAGAGTGATCTGGGTGCCAGGGAGACACAGCCATGAATAGAACAGATGGAGCCCGGCCTCCTCTGGCCTGGGAGAGCGAGGTTCCCTAGGCCACCCTCCTCAGGGGCACCGCCCTCCCTTCTGTACAGGGGAAGAATCCTGTTCCCATTTTCTGCACTTGGGGGCAGGACAGAGGCTAGAATTTCCCCCCTCATTCGAAGAGGGTTTTCTAGTCTTGCTGAGACCCAGCAGTCTGGGTTCTGGGATCTGTCCGACCAGGGAGCTCAACCCTGAGCCACGGTTGCTGACCGATCATGGGTGCTGGGTTGTCCTGGCACCAGGGAGATGAGGCTGCAGGGACTGAAGCCCAGGACTGTGACACAGGGGCTGCCAGTGAAGCGGGGAGGGTTGGGACTTCCTTCCCAGTGGGGTCCCAGGCCTCGGTCCCCTGTGTCTGCAGTGCAGACATCGCCTCACGGTGAGGTGGCCTGAGACCCTGAAGGCAGCGGGCCTGGCTTCCTCACCAGGCGGCCCGAGCTCTGGGATCCACGTCCCCACTGGGGGCCCGGGATGGTGTGCTCCCTGCCTTGTTGACCCAGCACTGCTTGTTTGTAATGACCCAGATCTGAGCTGTCCCCTCTGAGGATGACCAGGCGAGGCAGTGTCCCCCCTGGTCACCTGACTTGGGGACCAGCCCCACCTGAGCCCACTTCCTGGATCAGCACGCATCCTCCTCCTCGGCTCTGGTGCTGTGGGTGGGGTCCTCTCTATTTTGTCCTCTGTAGGTGCCTTTTCCTCCGTACCCCTCTTCAGACCAGGCCTCTGAGATTTGCCTCCTACTCAGGACACCCAGGGTTGGGTGGAGGCCACGGCTCTGCCCACACCCCCCTGCCCCTTGGCCAACACCCTGTCTTCGCCTGTGGCTCTCCTGCACCCTGGGGCCTGGGCTCCAGAATCAGCCTCCCTTAGGCAGAATGTCCTGCTGCCCCTCGCTGCCCCCGCCAGTACCTTCCTGCCAGAGAGCAAGGGAGCAGCCAGTTGCGCTGGGCCCTGGGACCCTCCACAGGATTGCGCTGAGTGCTGGACGAGGGTGGCAGGGACGGCCGAACAGGGTGCCAGCTGCAGGGGCAGGCTGACGTGAGGGGAAGATGG
Organism: Homo sapiens; assembly: GCF_000001405.40. Classification (NCBI taxonomy): domain Eukaryota; kingdom Metazoa; phylum Chordata; class Mammalia; order Primates; family Hominidae; genus Homo; species Homo sapiens. Next base: position 134,695,519 of record NC_000009.12, read on the forward strand.
AGGCAGCGGTGGGAGGGTAGTGTCCTCAGCCTGGGGGCTTTGCAGACCCTCTACTCACTGAGCAGATGCTCCCCACTCCCCTGTACCCCCATAGAGCAGGATAGGGGTTCCCTGATGGCTGAGAGGAGGGGGGTCCCATGAAATAAGATGCGGGGTTCCCACCTGGGAATCTACCTGGTGAGACTGGAGACCGTCTCTTCCTCACTCTATCTTCGACCCCATGGGTTAGTCCAGCCCAGGGAATGTAAACTTCACTTCTGGCCATGACAAATGCAGTAAGTTTGGGTCCAGGCCAGAAGGTTCCAGAACCAAGTTATCCCTGCAGGGGCTGCCAGATGGCAGCTTCCTCTCTGGAGCCCCTCACCTGTCCCACCCCAATGTGGGACTGAGAGCCCTTCTGGTCGGGACTGAAGATGGCTGGTGAAATTCCTTCTGCAGGGCTGCCTCGGTGCCCCTGGATCCTGGGCCTCTGCCCTGGGCCTGCCATGCTCCCCTTAGCCCGGCCCCTCCTGGGCTGCCAGGGTCCAGCTGAAACCTCAGCCGCCCCCCAGGTTCCTGGCCCCCTGTCCAAAGTTAGCCACACCCCGCATTCATTTCCTATCCTCTGACCTCTTTCTGCCACCCTGCCCCACTGCCCCCTGCATTATTTGCAATTATTATTATTATTATTATTGAGACAGAGTCTCACTCTGTCGCCCAGGCTGGAGTGCAGTGGTGTAATCTTGGCTCACGGCAACCTCTGCCTCCCAGGTTCAAGCGATTCTCCTGCCTCAGCCCCCCGAGTAGTTGGGATTACAGGTGTGTGCCACCACACCCGGCTAATTTTTTTTATATTTTTGGCAGAGACAGGGATTCACCATGTTGGCCAGGCTGGTGTGGAACTCCTGACCTCAAGTGATCCTCCTGCCTTGGCCTCCCAAAGTGCTGGGATTACAGGCATGAACCACCTCGCCCAGCCTGCAATTATTTAACTAACTGGTTTGGTTTGATGATTTCTGTTTGTATCGTGGGAGTATCACTTTCTGAGGTCAGGGACCATATCTGTCCTTTGACTGTGTCACCCCAGCGCCTGGCACCAATCACTGTTTATTAGGGGATCAGTCACTGTTTATTGATCACGTGATCCACTGTAGTGAGCAATCGGTATGCTTAGTAACTGTCGGCTCAGTATGATTTAGTTTCAACACAAATGCATTTATTGTACTCCTACTGCATACCTAAAATGCTCTAGTGCCTTTGGACTTCAGCAGAAGTAAAAGTGAAAAGCTCTGGCCGGGCGGGGTGGCTCACACCTGTAATCCCAGCACTTTGGGAGGCCAAGGCAGGCGGATCACGAGGTCAGGAGATCGAGACCATCCTGGCTAACACGGTGAAACCCCATCCCTACTAAAAATACAAAAAAATTAGCCAGGCTTGGTGGCGGGTGCCTGTAGTCCCAGCTACTCGGGAGGCTGAGGCAGGAGAATGGCGTGAACCCGGGAGGCGGAGCTTGCAGTGAGCTGAGATCACGCCACTGCACTCCAGCCTGGGCAACAGAGTGAGACTCTGTCTTAAAAAAAAAAAAATGAAAAGCTCTGAGGGAGTCCGGAGCCCACCCCTCAACTGTGACTTTTCTTGGAGAAATGAAACATGAAGTGTTCGACAGCCGATTCCCTCCTCCCAGAGTGCCCGGACAGCGTAGATTATAAAGTATCAGCGTCCCAGCTCATGTCATGACTCGAATGGGCCATCTCACAGTGACAATAAATCCATTGTTATTTTGCCAGGAGAGAGATTAATGTTAAACATAATTTATCCTTTCGGGTTTTATCTGAGCTGAGAAAATTTGTTACCATAGAGATTTCAAAACTTGAGAAACGGCATTTTAATGAGCTGCGGAGATGGGGGTTCGTGGGCCTAGCGGTGCCTTGTGCCGGAGACATGAGTGTGCGCAACTCGTTCTTTGATCTTTTAAGACGGAAGAATGACTCTGGCACTCAGGGTGGCGGTGGGGTGGGGACGGGAGCCAGGTGGCCCTTTGCAATGAGAGTGAGGGAGTGGACTCAGATGGTGACTGTGCCATCTGCCCTGGGTGTGGACGGGGACCTGAGTGCTTCAGGTGAGACCCCACCTGGCCCTCAGTGCCCCATGCACTCCCAGGGATCACGTGGGGCTGCCATGGTCCTGCTGGCAGCCTTGCCATATGGGGTCCCTACGGTGGGTGGGCATGGCAGGTCCCACTCCCTTGCCATAGGTGGGACCAGCTAAGGCTGTCATCTCCAGAGTCCCCCGCCCACATCCCCTCATGTGGAAGGATGATGCAAAGCCATAATCGCAGCAGTTTGGGAGGCCAAGGCGGGTGGATCACCTGAGGTCAGGAGTTCGAGACCAGCCTGACCAACATGGTGAAACCCCGTCTCTACCAAAAATACAAAAATTAATCAGGCGTGGTGGTGTGGACCTGTAGTCCCAGCTACTTGGGAGGCTGAGGCAAGAGAATTACTTGAACCTGGGAGGTGGAGGTTGCAGTGAGCCGAGATCTCACCACTGCACTCCAACCTGGGCGACAGAACGAGACTCTATCTCAAAAAAACCCCACAAAAAAACCCAAAAAAACAAAGCTGATGGCTTGTGTCTAGACATGGGAGTCCTGAGCCAGTTCCTCCGTGAAACCTGCCTTTCCCAGATGGCCACACTGACTGTCATCACCCCCACCTGGGGCTGTCCCCAGCTTTGGGGGCAGGTGCCTTGGCCAGGCCCACCTGGGGCCCAGTCTCCTGTGGGAACAGCTGAGTCATGGCTTGGAGCTGGTCAACACAGGGTGCCCGGCCACAGCTGGGCAGCCCTGTTCCCTGTCAGTGCCTTAGTGAGAGATTCGTGACTGCAGGATGAGCCTGCTGCTGTGGCAGCTTCCAGCGCTCACGCAGGCTCTGGGTTGGCCTGTGGGGGCCTTGGAGGGTTTGCCTGGAGTAGTGGCCCCTCATTTTGCAGAACCTCAGGAGATCTCCCTGCAGCACCTTACAGAGGATGCAGAGGCTGTGACAGGCAGCATTCTCCTCCCCCTTGGAAGCCTCAGGATGCTGTGGGACGAGGGGGCCTTCAGCGTCCCCTTCCTCCCAGTGTTGTACCTGCAGCTGTGCTGGAGTGACCAGGGGCAGAGGTGGTGACGCTGCTGCCCGCCTTGCCACAATTTCGCCAGCAGAGGGTGCTCATGGATAGCCGCCTTGCAGGCGCTGCTGCCGCAGATCCAGACTCTGCTGCCCCATGGGGTCAGGGGCCTCTGGGCCACCTGGTTAGCCTTTGTTCCCACTTCTAAAGAAGGGGTGGGTCTGGTAATGGATTCACGATGGCTCAAGCCCACCCACCAGATCCCAGCCCTCCGTAGTGGTGCTGCTTGTGGGGCGGCTCCAGCAGCAGGTCCTGGGCCCCCCTTCCTTGGCATGTCCCTGTTGACACCCTCCTGGGACACCGCTCCTTCTGGCCCGTTCTGAGCAGCCCACAGCCTTAGGCCCAGCACTTTTGGCTGGCCCACCGGCATCAACTAGCCACAGGCCCTCCATCAGCCCCAGGCTCTTGGCAGAACTGCAGGTGGCCCAGGGTGAGAGCATCGCTGCCTTTGCCACCAGGATCGATGGACAGGAGGGGCTGGGGCTCCCGGTCATGCCCACGGATGAGGGGCAGATATGTGGAGTGGGCTTAGGTGCTTGTGGCCGGGCCAGCCTGGGTCTGCCTTTTAATGACCTCAAATTGCTCCTGGCATGTGTTGTAAGAGGTAATTCCTCCCGTTAACATACTAGGGATATATTTTTTTCTAATTTTAAATTTGGATTAAATTCTTTTGATGAATTTCCACTTTTTCTCTGTTTTGCGTATCAACCAGGAAATGTCACAAAGTACAATTCTAGTGGCGGTTCGAGGCTGTTGCTTCCCTTCTCCCTTCCTCTCTCTGCTTCCTCCCTCCGTCTCTCTCCCTCCCTCCCCCTCCCTCCCTCCCTTCCTTGCATGCTGAGTGGTGTGACCTCATGGAGCGTACTAAGACACCTCAGAAGCAGCCTCCATCCAGAGGCAGCTCACAGCCTGAGAGGTTCTCCTGAGGGTCAACACACAGATGTGTTAGGCGCAGGAGCTGAGGGCAGGGTGTTGAGGGCTCCCAGCTGGAAGGACCAGTTGTGTTTCATGGAGGAGTTTGCATTTGCACTGAGTCTTGAAGGGGGCAGGTTTGGCCAAGTGGGAGCAGGGAAGGGCTGCAGGAGCAGTTTGATCAAGGGGCAGATGTGCAGCAGATGGCAGTGCCCCACGACGGGCAGCACAGCTTCCCAGGGTCCCGGGCTGGCTTGTTTGCAGAGAGCCATGGCTGGGTGTGGTTGCAGGGGCTCCCCGACTGCCTTCTCACCTCTGTGCTCTGTTCCAGCGTCTGCATTTCCCGAGGACTTCTCCATCCTAACAACTGTGAAAGCCAAGAAAGGCAGCCAGGCCTTCCTGGTCTCCATCTACAACGAGCAGGGTATCCAGCAGATTGGGCTGGAGCTGGGCCGCTCTCCCGTCTTCCTCTACGAGGACCACACGGGGAAGCCTGGCCCGGAAGACTACCCCCTCTTCCGGGGCATCAACCTGTCAGATGGCAAGTAAGTGGGCACTTCTGGGCAACTGTCCCCCTGCTGGAGGGGGGATCAGGCCAGCTCATACCACTGACCAGATGTGGGGCACAGTAGAGGACGTGCAGCAGCCGGTACTGAGACTCCCACAGACGCCGCAGCAGAGGAGAGGGTGCTGGGCTTGGAGTCCTGAAACCTGGGTTATGGTCTTGATTCATCCTCTGTGGCTCTGGGGAGTCACTTCTCCTCCCTGGCCCTCCATTATCCCTTTGTAAAGTGCACTAAAGCACATCAAATTCCCGCCTGTTTGTGTCAGAAGGGACACAGGAAATTGTGAGGTTATACCCAACCTTTTCCAGAAAGGATTTCAGGTATCCTTCAAGGACACAGGTGTGTTAGGAGTGGGAGTGAGCATGAGAAAAAGCGGGTCGTGCCAGCACGCTCTGTTGGGTGCAGACCTCAACACCAGGGGTTGTCAGTCTCCTCTTTCGTGGTCAGCACGTGTGAGGTCATGCCCTGATAATCTCCGAACGTCTTCAATACATGATTTCTGAATTCTTCGCCAAGACTTTCAGACAGATCCACTCCTTCCACCATTTCCCGTCCACACCCGGTCTTCTCTGGCTGCCTGCAGTTTGCCATCGGGGTTCAGAGGGCACGTGACAAGTGCTCGCATGCACACAGCAAAATACAACGGCCGCCGCCCTGCCATTCTCCCGATGGCTGTGACCGCACCGCAGGGACCACGCTCCCAGGGACCACACTCCTGGGTCCCGAGCCAGTGCCGAGTGCTGTGTGCTCCCCCTTCCCCCTTTCACTTGGGCTCCCGGCTGGGCTTCCAGGGTTCAGACAGCCATCCTTGTCTGAGGGACGAGGGTTCTGGGGAATGAGTAGATCTCATGGCACGGGGTGTTGCCCTAACTTGTCTGATTCCAGAGGCTGGGCCTTGATCTGCTCCGCCCCACCACGATCGTGCAGGAAGTGGGCCTTCTTCCTGTGTCTCGAGGAATTTGCAGCAAAATTGCTTGAGCTGGCATCTGTGATCCAAGCCCTGTCTTCACCATCTGTTTCTTTGCAGGTGGCACAGAATTGCTCTCAGCGTCCACAAGAAAAATGTCACCTTGATCCTCGACTGTAAAAAGAAGACCACCAAATTCCTCGACCGCAGCGACCACCCCATGATCGACATCAATGGCATCATCGTGTTTGGCACCCGGATCCTGGATGAGGAGGTGTTTGAGGTGAGCAGGAGGGCAGACCAACCCCTGTGCCCACCAGGGCACTCCTCCTGTGGAGCCACTGTGACTGCTGTTGGAGGAGGCTCCTCGGGCCGGGACCGGCTGGCGGTCCACTGTGGTCACCGTCTCTGTTGGTCAGAAGCCTCTGCTGCCATCCTAAGAGATGTTTGTGGCTTTCGGAAATGGAGGGGCCAGAGCTGCTGCCGCCTGTAGGCCGCGTGGGGATGGCAGTGGCCGCCCTTGTCCCAAGGGCCCAGTACGTGAGTCTCCTGGGTGCTGGCTCGGAAAGGACAGGGCCTTTGTCCAGCCTCGTGCTGAGGCTCCTGGAAACCTGCACACTCCTGCCGTCTGTATCCGAGGCCATCCTGGGACAGGGGCAGCTGTCCTCTGGGTGAGCTTGAAGGGCAGAGCTGGGCCACCGTGTGGACGCACCAGGGAGACCTGTGCCGACCCAACTCGGGCTGGCCTCACTCCAGTCTAGCTGTGTCCAGCCAGGGGCCTTGCTTTCCCGGGGAATGCCTCAGAGGCTTGGGAGTCGGGGCCTGAGCTGAGTGGGCTCTGGGACCCTCACTTCAGCCCATGGAGCCCTTCATAGGTTGGGGTTCTGCGTGAGAGAGCAGGAGAATGCCCCGTCCCACTGCCAAGAAACAGGTTGAGAGCTTCTGCAGGTGACCAGTGATCCCCAGCTGCCCCGGGTGGGGGCGTTGGAGTCACCAGGAGCCTGTAGGGGTTCCAGGGCCCTGCCTCCTGGGGTGCTGGGGCGACAGCCTGCACAGGGTCCTGGACTCTGCCCTTCCCAAGGGCACTGCAGTGACCGTTGCCTCCGCGGCTTGGGTTAGGCGGCAGCCAGGACCCCTCCACTGGGCTTCCTTGTCGTTTATGTAAGTTGGGTTTTGCAGAAGATTTGGTTTTGCACCCGGGTCTCTGTGGCTAAAACCTGTTCGAAAGCCACTGGCTTAAATGGCCTCCGAGGGCCATCCTGGCTCTGGGATTTCCTCCTCCAGGGCTGCAGAGATGGGACAAGTTAGGGCAGTGTCTCCTCCCTAAATCCCCGAGCGCTGCCGTGAGCTCCTGGCTGTGTCTACACATCGGTTCTGCATCCGGCTGCCCCCGTTTCATGGCTGAGGTGGGGTCCCCAGGGCCATGTTTCTTCTCGGTGACTCGGGGTCACCAAACCAGACACCGTGTTGACTCAATCTTGGTGTTCTGCCAAGGGCACGCGAAGGAGACATCACACGTACTAGTTCATTTCTGTGTTAAAGATATCGATGTCTGCTCGTGGGGACGGGCACGGTTGAACTGACCCTGGGGCTTTGAGCGTGTGAGAAGAGGGCAATTCTGAAAGTCTCACCTTTCTAGGAAATCATACTGGGGACCACGTAGTGTCACTGTGAACTGGACATTCAGCAGAGTGCTGGCCTCAGGGCAAGCCCACCTGGGCTCTGTCGATTGTTGGATTTGGGCCTCGGGCAAGCTGCTCTGCTATTTCTCTGTCTTAGGGTCTCCGTCTGTAAAATGGGATCACAGATGTGGCTGCTTCATGAGCTGTGGCAAAGGTTCCATGAGGTTGAATGCAGTGACACAGCAGCGCACTGTCTCCCTTATAGGAAGCCCCGGCTTAATGTCAAATTCAGTTGTTCTGGATATTAATACAGTGTCAAGGCAGACAGAAAGGCAGGACACAGCCCCGCGGCCCAGTGCAGACCGCAGAGGAATGATCAGAGCAGCCACGCTCTGTGGAATGAGATGGGCCTGTTAGAAGAAGGCAGGGAGTAGGTGTGAAGGTGGTGGAGATTCTGCTGAACGTGCAGTTGGCTCTGGGTCAGTTTCCAGGAAGCTGTAGCCTGGGGCTTCGGTAGAGCAGGGCGGGTGCTTGGATCCTGCTGGCACAGCCAGATTTTGCAAGCTATTGAGACACACCCTCCGGGCACACTTCTGAACAGACCTGCCTAGGCGCCTGGAAGGAACTGCGGGCACAGGAGCCGTCCTCAGCCAGGCAGGAGGCAGCTTCTGGGCTATTCTGGGGAGCTGGGGTTAAAAGCTGCCTTGGAGTCACACAGACTGGGATCAAGTGCTGGTTTTGCCTCTTGCTGGTGGGAGGATCTAGGCAAAGCAGGTGACATTGATGAGCTTTGAGACTCATTTGTAAAACATTGGTCACAGTAAGGCTACCTGCACAGCTGCAGGGGAGGTTCTGGGCTTGGCCTGGGCACCTGCCAGAGTCACCCCCACCGCTGCCTGTTGTTCTGTGGGTCGAGGCCCTGCCTCTGGATGGGAGGCCACGCGGTGGCCTCGGGTTTTTTTTTTTTTTTTTTTTTTTTTTTTGAGACGGAGTCTCGCTCCGTCGCCCAGGCTGGAGTGCAGTGGCACGATCTCGGCTCACTGCAAGCTCTGCCTCCCGGGTTCACGCCATTCTCCTGCCTCAGCCTCTCGAGTAGCTGGGACTACAGGCGCCCGCCACCACACCCAGCTAATTTTTTTTGTATTTTTAGTAGAGATGGGGTTTCACTGTGTTAGCCAGGATGGTCTCGATCTCCTGACCTTGTGATCCGCCCGCCTCGGCCTCCCACAGTGCTGGGATTGCAGGCGTGAGCCACCGCGCCCGGCCTCAGGGTTTTAATGTTTGTCATGCAGTCTCTTTTTTGTGCTGTGTCAAATCTTTGTAATTTCTAGTGTGTTCTGTTGTAAAGATTCAGGAAAAAGCTTTATTTTATCTTTAAAAAATTAGGATCCTAAAACAAATAGTGCTTCATTGATATTCTAACTGAGCAGGAAAAGCTGTTTTCCCAAAAGCAGATGTATGTGAAGAGTCCCTTACCCCAGGGAAGCACTAGAAATCCGTGTTCAGGGCTGGGTTTGCATCCTGGCTCCACTGTTTCCCAGGGGTGAGATCTTCGGTGAGTTGTCTGACCGCTCCGAGACTCAGTTTCCCCATCTGTAAAATGACAATAATAGTACCCGCCGCAGTTTTGTGTGTGTGGGAGGCACCGTGAGAATTAATCCATGAAAAATGCCTATGAGTGGCCGACAGCAAACATGCCAGAGTTTACCTCCTTTATCAGCAAAGGATGAAGGTAACGTGTGGTTTTCAAAAGGAAATGGCTCTTGAATGGAGGAGGCTGTTTTCCTACCCTGGCTTGTTCTTCCAGGGAACCGTGCAGGTCTCACTCTGCAGCTGGCGCCTGGCAGGCTTCTGGTCGAACGGTAAGTCACAGATAGGTTCCGAATTCTGTGTTCCTGGTGAGCCATTTTTTCCTGTCGTGGAATTCGATTTGAGCCAGAGTGGCTGCCAGGAACGAGAGGTTTTTATTGACCACAAGTTGTTAATGGTCTGGAGGAGGTGTTTTCCTAGCCCCAGAGTTTCCTGGCTGTTAGCTGTGCTCACGTTGGAAAATTGGACCTGTCTTTCTTAATGAAGTCCAGCAGGATCAGCGATGCCTTCAGCTGCCCCAAGCATCTTTTCTTTTTTTTTTTTCCCTTAACAGTGTGAGGAGGAAGTTCGGTGAGTTGGCCTCAGAGTCCCAGCCACCTTTTGTCTCATTGCAAGTGGAAGAGAATTTCTATTTCTTTTGAAGTAAAAGTGATTTATCTCTGCTTTCCAGCGGGCTCTGCATAACGACACCTCCCATCTCAGTCGCTTGGCTGCTCTAGAAGGCTCTAAAAATGAGGGGCTGGCACTGTTGAGACATATTCCTCCAGCAGCCCCAATCTTCCCCTGGAAGGACAACTTCCGCTCATTCAAAGCCAATCTGTTCTGTGTTTAGAGTTATACTGAACAAGGATTCACCAAACTCTAAGAGAGTTCGTTTAAACAGGGACTGGGGGTTTTTCCTGGGGTGTCTGTGGCCCCACAGAGGCCCCCTTTGTCCAAAGTGATGCGCCCTTGAGGGACAGAGGGAGATAGAGACTCTCAGGGCCAAGACACATGTGTCTCCTGCAGTGCAAGGCCAGGGCTAACGGCTGGTGCTGTGCCCGCAGCCTCCCTGGGTATAGACGCGGAGCCTGAGTGTGTGGCTTTGGCCGTGTCAGCAGCCCCCTGCGCCTGCAGACCAGGCCCTCACTGCCTCCCAGCCCCTGAGTCTGGTTCTAGTGGGGCAGCCTTGCCATGCAGGGGAGGTGGGACACTGCTGTCCCTCACAGAGCCACGTACGGAGGAAGTGATGGGCATGGAGGGCATTCTGCCGGCAGGTCCCCCCAGCCTTGGACTTCCTTCCCTGCTGGTGACTTGGAGCCCCGTGTCCTCATCTGTAAAATGGGGCGATAGGGCCAACGCTGTCGGATTTTGGGTTGGTGAGATCAAATCTGTGTTAGATGTGAGTACCTCCAAGGGCCGCAGGGAACCACCTTGTCCTGGGTCTTTGGCGGTGAGAGCTGCTCTCTGGCCCATTGTCAGTGGTCATCTGCCAGTGACAATGGGCCAGAGGTGGCCCATCGTCCACAGTGGCACTGTCATGAGCTGTCCCTTTTCTCAGCTTTTCTGGACTCCCCTTATGAATTAGATGCTGTGAGTCCTGCCATAAAGATGAGACCCCTGGGCCTTCAGGAGGATGGAGCCGCTGAGAGGTCCATGGGGAAAGAACTGGCTGAGGGTCCCGCCAGCCCCAGCTAGGGCGAGTGCTCCGGGGCGCCTCCTGCCCGTACCTGCACCTGCCATCACAGCAGCCCCTCAGCAAGGTTTGGGTTCGCAGGCCCCTGTCCTCCTCCCCTGGCAGAGTGCCCCTGTGGAGCTGGCAGGAGATCCCCCTGGCATGGGCTGTGTCTCCTAGGATGGGGTGGGATGGCCAAGCCCTCTCATGCTGCCTGTTCCCAGGGCGAGTATGCCGGAGCTGCCTGGGACATTGTCCTGGGAAGTTCTCATCCCAAGTCTTGTCCCTTCTGGATGTGCCGGTGCCCTGGGGCCAGCACTGGTGTCAGAGGAGGACTCAGGGCATTGCTCCCTAAGCCCCAGGTTTCCAGAGGTGCTGGGCAGGCCCAGGACCACCGTGCAGGAAGGGGAAGGCAGAGGGGCTGGGCTCCCCCCAGTGCAGGAAGGTCTTTTTATCCAGGGCATAGTCAGGAACGAGCTTTGTGTTTTCAGAAACATGGCCTCAGTGGCCAGGGTGAGCATGGGGCATCCTGCAGAAGGTGGGGATGTGTGAGTTATCTTCACAGGCAAGGAGAAGGCGGATGGGAGAGCAGCCAGGGCCCACCCCCACTGTGCCCTGGAAGAAGAGAGTCTTGCTGCCACTTCATAGCTTGGGAAGCCAGCACCAGGGAGGTTGAGTCACTTGCCTAAGGTCACTCAGCAACATGACAGCAGATTGGGACCTCGGAAATCATGACACAACTGTCCCCAGCCTGGAAGGGATCCCGGGGACCAGTGGCAGGAGACTGGACTCAGGCTGGCCTGACAGCACTGTGGGCCCCCGCCTGGCATTCTGTTCTCCTAGCCCTCCCCGCACAGGCCCTGAGGACCCTGGAGTCCCCTGGCCCATGGGGTCTGTGAAACTCTGGAACCTTCCAGGAAGAGCCAGCATAAGCTGTTAGCAAGGGCAGAGGGCCCAAGAGTGTCCCTCCCGTGTGTGACAGGTGACCTGGACCCGCCTAGCCCCTGTCCCAGCACCTTCCCCAGCCTGTGGCGGGCAGCACGGGGCTACCTGGCTGCTGATCCGGAGGGCTCCATGCACCTCTCTAGAGTCTCACCTCATCTATGGGCCCTGAGCTGGCCCAGTGAGCCACGTCAGGGAGGCTGGGAGGCGGGACTAAGAGGGGGCCTGGGGTGCCTCTGCCTTGAGGCCTGCCGTGGAAGGCCCCTCCTCTGTGGGTGAGCTATGACCAGGAGGGGGGCCGTGGAGGGGATGAGAACTGCCCCGGGGGACAGCCGGCCAGCGAGTTCTGGGCCAGGAGCCAAATGTGCTTTTAAGCTGTTGAAGGTTTCAAGGGGCAACAAGACCAAACAGACTATAAACTCCAGCTCTCCCTGCAAAACCCCTGGGTGCTGGCGGGAAAGTGATGGCGTCGGCTCCAAGCTCTAACGGTCCTCCATCTGTCTGCCTTCATTTCAGCCTTTGAAAAACACCGAGCGGTTTACCTAATCCCTGATTCCCTTTTTCCAGGGGCCTGGCTTTTCCACTGACATGTTCTTTCTGGAATTTCACTCTCCCCGGGGCAGGAGTGGGGCCTGTGCTGAGTGGGCCTTTCTCAGCCATCCACGGAGGCACCCTGGGATTCCTGTGAGTGGGAACAGAGGAGCCCTGGGATTCCTGTGAGTGGGAACGTCCCCCAGGGCGTCAGGCCCTTCAGTGTTAGGGCCTCGAAGGGGAGAGCAAGGGCTTTGTTAGAGGCCCAGGTCCACGTTTGCTGTAACTTCCCAGGCTGGGGCCTTTGGAGCCTCTGGATCCTTCCAGAACTACCTTGTTGCTCACTGGCTTGCTGACGGCTGCCTGGGCTGCCTGTGGGACACAGCAGGTAGGACTCAGGCTTGGGTCTAGGGCAGCTCTGGAGCCCGCAGCCCATCACTGGGCAGCCGGGGAAGCCCCAGGGGAGGGAAGCGCAACCGTGAAGATGAGCAGACTTCCCGGCACACAGGCGGGCGAGACTGGGTGCTGAGCTGTGTGCGGCTGGCGGCTCCGGGACGTGAGGGGATTCTGCTGAGGACCTTTCCTCCTGGTCGGGGGAGGGCTGCGGAGCTGGGAAAACCCACCTCGCCAGACCTTCCCTGGGCCCTGCTGCTCAGCCTCTGCTGGATGAGCTGCGTTCCCCTGTGAGAGGACTGGGGAGGTGTCCGGGGAGGGAGGGCTTTCCCCGCCTTGGAAGCTGCCCAGAGGGGCACATTTGGGGGGCTGGCTGGGCCAACTCTGACTTCGGACATGAGATGGATGTGATGTGTGCACCTGGGCAGGGCAGGGCACTCCACCGCCTCGGGCAGCCCCAGGCACCCTGCTATGTCGTCTCTGTGCCTCCATCACTGGCCAGGCAGCATGGATAGGCCAGGTGTCCCTCTGCCAGGGCTTCTCGGAGGCAGTGTGTGCCTGCCCCTCCCGAGTCCTGGCCCAAGTCCCTGCTGCTGCCTGGCCAGTGCGCCTGCCATTGCGGCTCAGAGCAACTCCCGGGGTGGGGGCTCTGGTGCACCTGCACTGACACAGGACACTGTCACCCTTCTAGGTCCTCGGTCCAAGACCCGCATCTACCCAGCCCTGCTGTCTCCTTAGCATCCACTGGTGCTTTCTGTAGGATCCACCTCCGCTGTCTCAGGCCACCTGTGTGGCAGCCCAGACCCCACCCTGGCAGTGCTGAGGCAGCCCCTGGCAGCGGAACACCAGCAGGTGAAGGGCAGAGGCCCCTTGTCGTGTCTTCAGCTCTGCCTGCTTTGCTGAGACCTCCTCTTGCCCCTGGAAGGGACAAGGACATTGCACTCTGCATGATCTCCTGGGACTGCTGCAACCAACTGTCACAGCCCGGTGGCAAACAGCAGAGATTTATCCTCTCCCAGCTCTGGGCCAGAATTCCAAGATCGAGGTGTGGGCGGGGCCGTGCTCCCTCTGAAGCTTCCAGCGGGGGACTCTGCCTGCCGCTTCCAGCCCCGGGTGGCCCCAGACACTCCTTGGCTTGTGGCCACGTCGCCCCAGCTTCTGCCTCCGTCTTTACACAGCCTCTCTCTTCCCCCTGTGTCTCTCTGTGTGACCCACAAGGACATTTGTCGTTGGATTTAGGGCCCATCCTAATCTAGGATGTTCCCATTTCCAGATCCTTCATTCCATCTGCAGTGATCTTATTTCTGGACAAGGTCACCTGTGGATCTAGATTCTGGGAGTTCCGACCTGGACCCATCCCTCGGGGCCATGATTCAGCCACTTCCCTACACCAGCGTGGAAAAGGGGTTTTTCGTCTCTTAAATTGCCACAGAGCACGTGTGCTTAAAAGTGAGCCTCTGGGCATGCATATTTGGGGCCTCTAGCTGAGGCTTCGGGGTGGGCTGCTGAGCTGTGCCTGGCTGAGGAGGGGTGGGGGGGCTACTCCTGGCTAGCAGGCGGTTGGCCAAGCCCCGTGGGCATCTCCCTGGTGCAGTAGGCAGCTGCCTGGCTGGCTGGAGCCAGTGTGCAGTGTGGCATTGGGGTGCAGTTTGGTATCGGGGTGCATTCTCATTTGCAGTTCTGGTCTAGGGAGGCCTGAGTGGTGAGCGAGTGAGGCCTGGACTCCTTCCTGCTGCAGGTGGCTGGTGACCCGCCTGGTAGGTGCCAGTGACCCTGCTGGTGATCTGTGTGGCACCCAGCAAGGAGGGGTCCAGAGACCCCACAGGGTTGGGCAGGGCCTGCCTCTTCCCATGTGCTGTGGGGCCTGGCCCCTCCTGCTGCCTGGCCCGAGGTTTGGGCTTCAGGTTTGTTCCATGGAAAATGTGAGCCACAGACCCATCTCCCAGCCCAGACAGGAATGATGTCATCTTGGGAGCCGGCCTTATCCAAAGATATCTTGCTGGGCTGACGGCGGATGTTCTGATCCACAGTTCCCAGAAGATGGCACTGAGGGTCTCTGGGAAGGGACGCATGATGCTGGAGGGTCTCTGGAGGGGAGTGCCCAGGGCAGGCAGGGCTGCGGTGGAGGGGGAGCAAAGGGGCAGGGCGTCCCCTGTGGGAGGGTCCAGTGGCTGGGGGAGCCGCCCACCTGAGCGGAGGAGCTGCCCTCACACGGCTGACGGGCGAGGGGGCCCACGAACGTGATGTCCTTCTTTAGCACCGTGGCCAAGGGGGCATCTGAGGGAGCCGCAGTCAAGCCCCAGCCCTCCGCCCATCCTTCCCATGGCTTTGAGCCAGCCTGAACCTCAGTTTCCTCAGCTGGAAAGTGGGGATGTTAGGCTTGTGGTGCGGATGAAAGGAGGCAAAGCCGGTGCGGCCCGCCCCGTGCTCACTCAGCGTGGTGGCAGGTGCGCCGCTGTGTGCTGGCAGGCTCTCCTGCCCGCGCGAGACGGTGGCTGTTGTGATGATGATGATGGTAGTCATAGTGATTGTGCAGTATTTTCATAGCATCGCCGTCAGTGCCGTTAACCCTGTCTCATTGAAAGGGGTGTGAAGGGTCTACAAGCTCAGTGGGCAGGTAGGGGAGCCAGGACCTAAGCCTGCTCCCCATCGAGACGCCCCGTCTGTTGGGTGCAGTGGTGGGGGAGGGGCCCCGTTTAGTGCAGTGGTGGGGGAGGAGCCCCATTTGTTGGGTGCAGTGGTGGGGCAGGGGCCCCATTTGTTGGGTGCAGTGGTGGGGGGGCCCCATTTGTTGGGTGCAGTGGTGGGGGGGCCCATTTGTTGGGTGCAGTGGTGGGGGAGGGGCCCCATTTGTTGGGTGCAGTGGTGGGGGAGGAGCCCCCGTCTGTTGGGTGCAGTGGTGGGGAAGGGGCCCCATTTAGTGCAGTGGTGGGGGAGGAGCCCTATTTGTTGGGTGCAGTGGTGGGGGAGGGGCCCCATCTGTGGGGTGCAGTGGTGGGGGAGGGGCCCCGTCTGTTGGGTGCAGTGGTGGGGGAGGGGACCCCATCTGTTGGGTGCAGTGGTGGGGGAGGGGCCCCATTTAGTGCAGTGGTGGGGGAGGAGCCCTATTTGTTGGGTGCAGTGGTGGGGGAGGGGCCCCGTCTGTTGGGTGCAGTGGTGGGGGAGGGGCCCCGTCTGTTGGGTGCAGTGGTGGGGGAGGGGCCCCGTTTGTTGGGTGCAGTGGTGGAGAGGCCCGTTTGTTGGGTGCAGTGGTGGGGGAGGGGACCACTTGGGGGGGCAGCCACATGGGAAGCCGGGAAGGGAGCTCCCACAGCTGGTCTCTGTCTTCCACAGCTGGCCTCCGCCTCTGGGCATGAATTGTTCGGTCGGTGGTTTGGTGCCTGGAAGAAGCCCCTGTGGGCCTGCAGAGTCAGCTCGGAGGCCAGGTTGGCTCTGTTTCTCCCCCGTCTAAGGGAGGCTGCCTGGCTCTTCCCCAGACCCAAGCAGACGGTCCAGGTGGTCAGGCCGGTGACACCCCACTTGCAGGGCCTGGGTGCTGTCGTATAGACCGTGCGCCTGGGGTGTGGGGCTGTGTCTTGCCAGCCAGGTGTGCTAATGAGTGAGTCTTGATCCCAGAGCACATGGAAAATCTGTCTCAGAATCACTTTTCTGCCAGCACCCTCCAGTCTGTTTGAAGATCCAGCAGTTGGGAAGGGCTGCTCTGTTCTACCACTGCACCCCATGGTGCCCAAGCACTAGGCTGGATGGGGCACTGGGGGCTGGTGCAGTGGCCACCGCTTGTTCAGAAAACCCAAGGCTCCGAGATGGAGGTAAAGCCAGAGAGGTAAAGCCACCTGCCCACAGTCACACAGCTGGGAACAGTCAGGGCAGGACTTCAGCCCAGGCCTGGATCTTTCTGGGTTAAGAGTTCCCATACTTAGGTGAAGAGGGGCACGGCTTGGGGTCCCGGATAGGAGGCTTCTGCCTGGGTCCTGTCTCCTTATTCTCATGACCCCTTCTTGCATCTCCTGATCCAAATCCCCGCTCTTCAGTCACATCTCCTGTGTCCCCTTTCAGCGTCTCGTTCTCCAGCCCCATAGAGCCACTGCCTGGCCCTCCCCGCAAGTGGATGGCGCTGGGCCTGAGTCTCACACCCTGGACTCCTGGGCCTGTCTGTGAGTGCCTGACAGGAAGTGAACCCCCTTTACCCTGGCCCCCTTCCTGTCCCCACTCCTTCCCCCTCCTTCCTGTCCCCCTCCTTCCTTCCCCCCTTCTTCCTGCCCCCTTCTTCCTTCCTCCCTCCTTCCTGTACCCCTCCTTCCTGCCTTCCTTCTTCCTATCCCCCTTCCTTCCTTCCCCCTCCTTCCTGTTCCCCCTCTTTCCTGTCCTCCTCCTTCCTGCCCATCTTCTTCCTTTCCCCCCTCCTTCCTGCCCCCTTCTTCCTTTCCCCCCTCCTTCCTGCCCCCTTCTTCTTATCCCCCTTCTTCCTTCCTCCCCCCTCCTTCCTGACTCTCTTCTTCCTGTTCCCCTCCTTCCCCCTTCTTCCTGTCCCCCCTCCTTCCTGTCCCCCTCCCTCCTGCCCCTCTTCTTCCTGTCCCCTCCTTCCTTCTTCCCTCCTTCCTGTCTCTCGTTATCCCTGTCCCTGTTCCTTCCTTCCCTACTCCTTCCTGTTCCCCCTCCTTCTTATTCTCCCTCCTTCTTGTCCCCCTCCTTCCTATTTCCCCTCCTGCCTTCCCTCCTCCTTCCTGTCCCCCTTTCTTCCTGCTCCTCTCCTTCTTGTCCCCCGTCCTTCCTGAGCCCCCTTTCTGTCCCCCCTCCTTTCTGCCTCACTTCTTCCTGTTGCCCCTCCTCCCCTCCCCCTTCCTTCCTGTTCCCCCTCCTTCCTGTTCCCCCTCCTTCCTTACCCCTTCCTTCTGCCCTCCTCCATCCTGCCCCTGGCTTTTCTGCTTCCCTTTCTTCTTGCCCCCATCTTTCCTGCCCCTTTCTGGCCCTAGACCCTGGTGCTTCTCATGTTCAACCCTGAGTTGCTGCTTTTTGTTCAAATGGCCCCACCCTGTTCTCTGCTGGGGTTTCCTTGACCACGGGGACCAGGTCTCCCCTGGACGCCTTTTTCCAGGTGCCCCCAGCCCATACCCATCCTGGCTCTGTCCGCAAACCTGTCCTCCAGAAGGGCCTGTGGGTGACCAGGCTGCAGCCGGGGACTCCCAGCACTCCTGGAGCCCTGGACTCTCCAAACCAGGCGTGATTCCCGCTGTGCTCCACGGCCTCTCTCCAGAGCCCTGGCTGCCTGCCGTCCATGCCTCTGGGAGGCTGTGTGTTTGGAAATACTTTTTGGAGCTGAGAAGTGCAGGTTTTCCTGCGAGCTAGCCACGTGGCCTCACCCTGCCCTTCTCCTGTCCGATAGTGAGTTTTACCCTAGAGGCAGTTTGAGCCACGCCACGTGGTCTTCTTAGCAGGATGCCTGAGCCCTACCCCACTGGCTTCATGCTGTCAGGGAGGCTGGGTCACAGGCCCATTTACTCACTGCAGGGTGTGATGGTGGGGAGCATGTGGAGCAGCCTGGCTCCTAACATAACCCCAGAGCGCTCCTCCCTCCCAGTCTGCAGCCACAGCAGGGCTGTGTGCGCTCCACAGAGAAGTGAGGGTCTTCCTGACGATGGTTGATTTGCAGAGACACCCGGGAGTTGCATCTGTCACTGTCCCATCACAGGTAAAGCCACCTTACTCTATTGGTTGACAGAATGAAGACTCAGAAGATCTTTCAAGCTGGGACTATGTTCTCGAACTGAGAAAATGAAATTCAATCAGGATAAACGTGAGCTTCTGCACTTGGGTTCAAAACAATCAATTGTACAAGCGCAGGGCCAGGAGAAGCGGCAGTGAAGTGTTTTATATGAAAAAAACTTAGGGGTTTGTGGGTGTCAAACCCATTAACGATCATCAGTGTGGTGTGGCGGCCACAGGAATGCACGCTGTCACAGGTGGCGTTAGGGACAGAGGGCAGGGTGATCTCAGGTCTGGAAACTGTGCTGAACAGAAGCTGAATAGAAAGAACTGGGGTCTGAACCCGGGACAGAGAAGGTGGGTGGAGTGGAGAGTGGGTGGCCCCAGTGTGGGGTCTTGTCCAGAGGAGAGGGGATGAGACCACAGCAGACTGAGACCAGTGATGGGATGTGAACCTTGTAGCAGCCACCTTCTCCTCCTCCAGGCCCAGCTCTGAGCAACCTTCTCCGTGACGCTCTCCTTGACCTCCCAGGCAAAGTCTGTTGCTTCTGTGCTGCCTCCCAAGTCTTCTCCCTTGAGACTTACAGTCAGAGACCCAGATTTTTTTCATCTTTATGTCCCTAAGACTTATCAGAGAGATGCAAAAAATACTGGTTGAATGAACAAAAGAATGAACAATCAGAGCTGGTTGCCTTCCTGCAGGCCTTCATGCTACAGAGGCATGTTCGGGAAAGGCTGGTGAGCCTTTCTCAGGGATCCAGGACTGTTGATGATGGTGGTGGTGGTGGCGGAGGAGGTGGTGGTAGTGATGATGGTCATAATGATGCTGATGGTGGTGATATTAATGGTGAGTATGATGATGATGATAACAGTGGTGTGGTGGTAATGGTCATGATGGTAGTGATGGTGGTGGTGGTAGTGGTGGTGGTGAAGGTGATGGTGATGTTTATGGTGGTGGATATGCTGATGATGGTGATGGTGGTTGTGATGGTGTGATGCTGGTGAAGGTGGTGGTGGAGGTTAAGGTGGTGAAGGTGGTGATGCTGATGAAGGTGGTGGTGGAGGTGATGTGGTGGTGATAGTGATTTTGGTGAAGGTGGTGGTGGAGGTGATTGTGATGGTGTGATGCTGATGAAGGTGGTGGTGGAGGTGATGGTGGTGGTGGTGGTGGAGGCGATGATAGTGGTGGTGGTGGTGATGCTGGTGAAGGTGGTAGTGGAGGTGATGGTAGTGGTGGTGATGCTGGTGGAGGTGGTGATGGAGGTGATTGTGATGGTGTGATGCTGGTGAAGGTGGTGGTGGAGGTGATTGTGGTGGTGGTGGTGGTGGTGGAGGCGATGATGGTGGTGGTGGTGATGCTGGTGAAGGTGGTAGTGGAGGTGATGGTAGTGGTGGTGATGCTGGTGAAGGTGGTGGTGGAGGTGATTGTGGTGGTGATGGTGATTCTTGAAGGGTGGCCTGCCCCACCACACCTGTGGGTGTTTCTCGTTGGGTGGGACGAGAGACTGAGAAAAGAAAGAGACACAGAGACAAAGTATAGAGAAAGAAAAATGGGCCCAGGGGACCAGCGCTCAGCATACGGAGGACCCCTGCCAGCACCAGTCTCTGAGTTCCCTCAGTATTTATTGATCATTATCTCTACCATCTCAGAGAGGGGGATGTGGCAGGACAATAGGGTAATAGTGGGGAGAGGGTCAGCAGGAAAACGTGAACAAATGTCTCTGTATCATAAGTTTAGAAAAGGTGCTGTGCTTTGATGTGCACATACATAAACGTATCTGGTGCATTAAAGAGCAGTATGCCGCCAGCATGTCTCACCTCCAGCCCTAAGGCGGTTTTCCTCTATCTCAGTAGATGGGATATACAATCCGGTTTTACACCAAGACATTCTATTGCCCAGGGACGAGCAGGAGACAGATGCCTTCCTCTTATCTCAACTGCAAAGAGGCCTTCCTCTTTTACTAATCCTCCTCAGCACAGACCCTTCATGGGTGTCAGTCTGGGGGATGGTCAAGTCTTTCCCTTCCTATGAGGCCATATTTCAGACTATCACACGGGGAGGAACTTTGGACAATACCTGGCCTTCCTAGGCAGAGGTCCCCGCGGCCTTCTGCAGTGTTTTGTGTCCCTAGGTACTTGAGATTAAGGAGTGGTGATGACTTTTAACAAGCATGATGCTGCCTTCAAGCATTTGTTTAACAAAGCACATCCTGCATAGCCCTAAATCCATTAAACCTTGAGTCGACACAGCACATGTCTCTGCGACCACAGGGTTAGAGGTAAGGTTACAGATTAACAGCATCTCAAGTCAGAAGAATTTTTCTTAGTACAGAACAAAGTGGAGTCTCTTATGTCTACTTCTTTCTACATAGACACAGCAACAGTCTGATCTCTCTTTCTTTTCCCCACAATTCTGGTGAAGGTGGTGATGGAGGTGATGATAGTGGTGGTGGTGATGCTGGTGATGGTAGTGATGAAGATGATGGTGATGCTGGTGGTGGTGGTGGTGGTGGTGGTGGTGATGATGTTAGTAGTGTGTTGGTTCTATGGTTTTGGTGCTGGTAGCACTGCTGGTGGTGGTCATGATGCTAGCAGTGTGGTGGTTCTGTGGTTTTGGTGCTGGTGGTGGCTGTGGAGGCTGTGCTAGTGGATGCTGATTGCTCTGGGGAGTGTTCTGGTGCAATCCCATTTAGTCCTCTGCTCTATGAGGTAGATCTTATTATCCTCTTTTATCAACAGATGGAGGCCTGGAGTAATTAGTCATACGCTGACATCCTCACAGATGACAAGGGAGGGACCCGGTGCCCAGGCCTCCTGTGGTCAGTGCCTTCCCTGTGCCATTCTTCTCGGGCAGTGCTGCCAAGGGTCAGGTGGCTTCCTTCTGGGGAGCCTGGACCGAGTGAACATCCCCTGTGCTCAGCGATGCCCCGTGTGCCATAAAACAGTGTCTGCAGGCCCGCTGCTCCGAAAGTCAAGATGTGGAGAAGGAGCAGCTCAAGCGTGCACTGCCCAAGCCACAAGTGCAGGCCTTTGTGAGGTCACCACCCTTTGGGTGGCGAGTCTTTGAGGAGGTGAACCCCCACCCTTTGGAGAGAGCAAGTCTTTGAGGAGGTGGACCTGCCCCCCAGCCCCTGCCATTGGTGCTGCCATTTCGTCCCTTGGTCTAGAGATGAGGCCCCCTCTCCGAGTTTGCTGAGCTGACCCTTCAGTCCCTGTGGCCAGCTTCAGGGTGTGCATGAGGCTGTGACCTGATCATGCCCCTTCTCTGCACCCATGCGGCCCACCCCCATGTTGGAGACACAGATGTGTCATTTTGCAGCCTTGCACCCAGAGCTGTTGTGAGTAGACTTGACCCTACACGTCTTGGGCTGGTGGCTGCAGGTGAGAATTGGACTGGGACTGGAGGCAGCGAGCGAGGACATGGCGGGGACAGCAGAAAGCAATTTCCGACGACATGAAAATATTTCTCTGACACTCTCGTTAATAGTGTGAAACTCGTTCTCACAGGTGCTGTGAAAACCATGGAAAAAATTATTTAGACCTCACTGGCTTGGGGGCATTTTGTTTTTCCATTTTGTATGACTCACGGATGAAGAACATCAAAGCGAGATTGTAAATGTGACTGGTCTGGCCCCTGGCAGCTGGAATGGGGGGATCTGGTGGTCTCCTACGTGCGCAGCGCTAAGGACGTCAAGGAAGTGCCTCGTGGAGAAGGGGCACCGGTGGCGTCCGGCCAGGCTGCTCTGGCAGTGTCTGTCAGAATCCGCCGGGCCCAGCGGGAGGGAAGCCCCGTGCAAGAGACTGCTGATGATGGCACTGTACTTGCGGGGAACGCAGTCGTGTTCTTAGCTCCTGTTTGCAGAGCCCAGGGCCAGACTCCACCCTCCCAGCAGCCTCTGGGGCCAGCGTTGTTCCATCCCCAGCTTCAGAAGGGGAAAGAATGGTTTAACGTGGTTTGCGAACACACCTGAGATCACTCAGCCAGCAAGGGGCAGGATTCAGATGTGGGCCCAGGTGAACCCAGCTCCAGACCCTAGCGCTGCCCGTGGCTCTCCCGGCCTCCGTCCCTCCCAGTCAGCGTGTTAACTCAGCTGGGCTGCGTTTTGTATGGGAGGTTGGACAACGTGCCCGCCTGCCAGGACAGGGGAGGTTTGTGGCAGGGCCTGGCAGTGGCAGAACAATCTCTCATGGACAACATGCTTGCCGACCGCTTCTCCCACAGCCTCGAACAAGAAGGGTTTGTCTTAAATAGTTATTTGTGTCTCTCTGTTTACCAGCACGAAGTGCTCTGGCTAAAATTAGATGATAAAGTCTGTGGGACAAGCAGAGTGCTCAGCTGGGATTCCTGTGGACCCTGTTTCGGTTGGACGAGGAGGGGGCCTGGGTGCCAGGCAGTCATGGGGGGGCTGGCTCAACCCAGGGATGGGGGATGGGGTTGAAAGGAGGAGTGCATGATTAAATGGCAGAGGAGGCACTGAGCATGCGATTAGAGGGAGCAGCAGCATGAGAAGCAGCCTGGGCTGGGGGGCCGCGGCCACGGGAGCCTCTAATTTGGTGAGGTCCATGTTTCCCGTCTCCATGGCTCCAGGCTTATGGGGCTCTCCAATGAAAACTTTGCAGTTTCCTCAGCTCACAACAGAGACGCAGCCTGGATACGGTCTCATTAGCAGAAAAGGCAGAACTGATTCTCTCAGCAAAATGCTCCCATCTCTGCCAGAGCCAAGGACAACATGCTCCCGCCGTGGCCGCCGACCCATCTTCCGTCGAACGTGGCCGCCAACTGTGCCGTGGGCAGGGGCTCTGCAGCAGAGCGGAATGGCCGTAATGACCCTGGCCTGGTGGCGGAAACTTCCAGGGCACTTTAATGACCTGGCAGGGGGCAGAATCCAGGAATGTAAAGGGGGAAAATGGTCAGTTATCAGAGCGAGGGATGGCATGAAAACAGCTGCCACCTGCTTCTTTGGGCAGCCACAGGGCCAGCTGTCTGGAGCCGCTGGTGCTGGGTCTTGGCTTTTAAAGTTGAGCAGAGTGGTTCAGGGGCTCAGCCCGGGAAGCCAAGACGTGGAACAGGAGAAGCCTGAATCTGCCAGGCGAATTGGGCAGGTGCCTGCCCCTGCTCCTAGGGCTGTGTGGGTGATGGGACAAAGTTTTGGGAACTGGGAGCCCACGGCCGTTCTGTGTGCAGGATGTGTGACTTGGCACGATGTCCTTGACTCCAAGGTGGGCAGCTCTGGGGTGGGGACTGTGGGGGCTGCAGGCAGAGACTCAGGAGCCCCAGTCAGCCCTCCTCCCATATGGCCTGCGAGAGTGGCGCTGCCTCTCAGACCCTCCATTGCTGCATCTGTGAAATGGGGATGGGAGAGTGGAAAGGAGACCTTGCCTTCCTCCTGGGGGGGCTGCAAGAATGGGAGTAGGGCCAGACCTGTAAGGAAAGTCTCTTTTGCCGAGGCGTGAGGTAGGGCTGGGAATTGGGTCAGTGTGAAACACCAGGGTCTTTCCCGAAGCATGCCGGGCACAGGCGGTGCACGCTGAGGATATCTGACATGTCAACACAACCTGTCACGTTGGAGCGGGGAAGTGGGGTGGGCTTAGGACAAGCAGCCTCAAAGAACTGTGGGCTGTTGTTGAGGGAGGGGACTGAGTCCCAGGCACCTCGGGGCCATCTCCAGTGCTGTGCCAGGACCCATGTGTGCCACACACATGCATACCTGTTCACATATGCACACAAGGCATGCCATACCATATACATATGCATAAAAGTGTGTGCATGCACCCATGTCACACATACACATGCATGTATACTGTGCACACGACGTAGGCATGTATGTCACGCACACACACCGCACATGTGAATGCAAAACATATGTGCACAGTACACATATGGCCTCCTGCACCCATGTGCACACCTGCATCAACACGGTACCGGACACATGCACGCACACGTATGTATGCACACACACAGTGACACAACACACCAGCCAACCCCAGATCCTGGCGCTTGGCCTGCAAGCGGGCCATGGGCCTACAAGTGTGGGGTTGCTGGCTGGGCTTCCCTGCGTCCAGTGGGTGTTTGGCCCTGCAGGAGGGCTGGAAAACAGCACGAAGAGGACAGCAGCAAGGGAGACCCAGCACTTCACACACTCATCTCATGGCCAGGGCAGGACAGGGGCAGGGCGGCACATCATGCTCCATATCCTGGGTGGTGATCGGCCTCTGCCTTTCCAGGGCAAGGGGGCGGCTCAGGAAGTAGGCGGCTGCCATCGTTGGTAAGAGGACGGAGGATGGGGAGAAAGCAATGAAGGGTGGAGAAGGGGCGTGTCTGAAGAAGGTCGGAGGTGACACCTATTGCCCTGCTCAGGGATTGGATGTGTGCCATGAAACCTGGCAGTTAGATGTGACATCAGAGGAGAGCCACAGGCCACTGCTGGGCAGGGCATCAGGTTGGTTCCTTGCGCTTGTGTGCCAGGGGCTCTGATAGCACCTGGGAGGGGGACTGTGGGGACCATGGGCCTTTCTGAGGTCGTGGTCAGGCTGCTTGGAGGTTCTTGGGGTCAAAGTCCACCCGTCTGAGAGGGCAGCTGCAGCTAAGAAATTCCTGGGGTGCCTCAGTGCCTCAGGAAGGGTCAGGGCACGGCCCACTGGGCAATTCTGACCTACAGCCGGCCTCTTAGAGACCCAGGGTTGGGTCCTGGAAGGCTGCAGGCTGAGGTCTCTCTGGGGTTTCTTTGGCTGTGCGTGCGCGTTGTGACCCAGCCCCAAGCTCCAGCTTCCTGTCCCCATCCCCTGAAAAGCCACGAGCTCACCCAAGCCCAAGCAGGGGCTGCCCACCAGCCCCTGGCCCTTTGTTTCCAGGCCGCCAGCACCTCCCGCCGGCCAGTGCCGGGCAAGGCTCCACCAGGAGAGGAGGCTTCATCGACCAATTTTCCTGGTCTGTAGTTTGGAGCTTGGTTTCATATCACAGGATGCACTGTGAAAATGCTCTCAGCATACAACATGAAGTCGTGATCCTAGCTTTGTATTTGAAAGACAGTGTGCGCCAGATTATGGCGGTCGGGCTGGGCATGTCCTCTCCAGCACACTGGGGAGTGGCTGCCGGAAGCCCTGGGTTGAGAAGGATTCTGAGGGCACCAGGGCAGAGTTCTGCCTAGGGCTTTCGTGAGCTTCGGGCAGAGCTGTGTGTTTGGTCCACACAGCCTGGAGGGGGTCAGGGGAGGCTGAGATTTCCTGTGATGAAATGGGGAGACTGTGGCTCCCAGGGGCTGGTTGCCTGGCTGGTAGGTGGCTGGGCTGGACGTCTCCACATGCTGACCTGGCTTCCAGAGAGGAGCCGACTCTGAGTGAATGTTCCAGAAGGAGGAGTGCAGGCTCAGGAACTGCCAGGGTACCACTGACAGAAGGAGGGGCGTCCCCGCATCCACAGCTGCCTTCAAGGTCTGTGAGGGGCGGCTCCAGGCCTGGCTGCATCTTAGAATCTCATGAGCAGTTATGGCTCCTGAATCCCAGTCCCCGCCAGACCCACCACATGGAGTCTCTGGGGATCCCAGGGTTCCGCGGGTGTCACCTGCTGGGTAGGACACAGTGTGTGGCTGCGCGTGAGTCAGGGAAGATGCCTCTCTCACCCTGGACCCATCACATCTTTCATCAGTCTAGTGATGGACACAGGTCTCAGGGATGCAGGAGGACTTCAGTGTGGCCCTCACTGTCTCCATCCAGGACCCCCCATGATAACCCTCTAGAGCCCCCTCAACTGTCCCCATCCAGGGCTGTCAGATGTCCCCCCCATGGGACCCCCATCCAGGGCTGCCCAGGCTCCCCCATAGTACCCCATCTAGGACCACCCTGTAACCTCCCCATAGTACCCATACAGGGCTGCCCAGGACCCCCCATGACCCCGTTAGGGCTGTTCTGTGCCTCTCGTCACCCCATGGCACCCCATGACTGTGTTTGGATCCCATCACTATCTCGTCTCTGCTCTGAACACTGGACTAGCCACCAACCCACAGCCCCGAGGGCAGAGCTGGAAGTCCCATGCACCTGGGCCTCTGGACTCGCAGGAATCAGGTGGCCCCAGGGGTGGCCCAGGGCAGAGGCAGGTGTCTCACTGGAGTCCTGCGGGGTGGGTTACAGCCTTTCCCTCTGCTTCAGCTCCTCCTCCGCCCAGTCCTTGTGGGGGT
Source organism: Homo sapiens (assembly GCF_000001405.40). Classification (NCBI taxonomy): domain Eukaryota; kingdom Metazoa; phylum Chordata; class Mammalia; order Primates; family Hominidae; genus Homo; species Homo sapiens. The sequence continues at coordinate 134,721,660 of NC_000009.12, forward strand.
GCAGACATCACAGAGCCCTCTTCTCAGCCCTGCCTGGAAGGTGGCACAGAAGGAGCGCTAGCTCGTGCAGCCATGGGGCTGGCCCGTGGGAGGTTGCTGGGCTTCAGGGGAGGCATCCGCTCTGTCTTGGAGCCTGGAGCAGATCCCTCACTACGGCCCCATCTGCCTGGGGTCCTGCAGAGAAGCTCCTCCTCAACAGCCTTGCTGGGCACCCAGGTGTTCAGGGTCCCCTCCCTCACCTGCATGTGTAGGGAAGAAGCAGTGGGTGGGCTGGAAAGAGCCCTGGGCCAGGATCCAGGTCTAGAGCGACCCTGCTTCTGCAGCACTCTGAGCCTGAGCCTTAGCACCTGCGCCTCGGTTTCTCCTTCTCCACGGGGGTGGTGTAGGGCCTGGCAGACCCTTGCCCTTTGGCAGTGGTGCCCGCAGAACACACCGGCTCTTTCTAGTGTGAAAATCCACCTGAGGATTTGGTGGGGAAATGATTCGAACGAAGCACGTGCATTTGCAGAGGAGGGGGTTCTCGAAGTGAAGGGACCTCATGCCCAGTCCTACTATTGTCTGTTCACTGCTGCAGTCTGGGGGTGTGGTGGGCAGGCCACAAAGCAGGGCTGGCTGAGGGCCAGGTCAGCCTGGGATCAGAGCGCCGGGCACCTGGGGACACCTCAGGCTTTGTCCCGCTTCGTGGGTGTTCGTTACCTAGCCTTGGGCCCTGATGGTCGTGCAGGTGTGCCTGGGTGCTGTGTGCCCACAAGCACTGAGACCAGTGCCAGCACCTTATGCAGGGCCTGCAAGGTATGGCCGCTGTGCTGGACACCCTGGGGTACGGGGTTGTGCCGGACACGCCCATGATCCAAGGAGCTTGGGGCTTCCGGGGAAGCAGAGCTGGATCCAGGGGTGCATCAGGGCCCAGGACCACAGCTGCCCCTGAAGGCCCCTGAGGCTTCTCTTCCTTCTTTGAAGTGCCTTTGGAGAACATATATTCAGATGTCAAATTGCCAGTTGAAAGGAGAACATATTTTATTTGAATTGGATGAAATGTGATCCAGAAGTCATGTTGCTTAATAAAAGTGTGTGGTTTTGATTCACTGTTCCTCCTTGTCTGCTGGAGAATTTGAAACATGGGCCAGGAGCCTCTGACATCCAAAGATGGGGGAGAGAGAGAAGGAGAAAGAGGGAGAGGGAGGTGAGGCAGGTGGGCAGCTCTGCTGGCCTCAGCGGGTGGAGAGTGGGGCATCCCGTTTGAGGGTTGGTGTCGGGGAGGGAAGGTGTGAAATGCTGAGGGCTGCGCTAATCAGGGCCCCACTCTTGCTTCCTCCTCAAAATGCCCCCAGTTTACTGTGATGGGGTCTCAGGGGCAGGGGGCAGCAGCAGGTAGCTGTCCTCGGTCACTCCCCGTCCCCGTGCTCTGTCCCTTTGTGGGTCACAGCCCCCGAGGTGAAGTCTGGAAGGAGAGGAACCTGTCACCCAGTGCCCTCCTCAGCCCAGCAGATGCCCCAGCCCAGGGAACAGGTGCAAGCTCAGCTCCCGACGACCGCCAACCCTCAGCTGCTTCCTGCACCGCTGTCCTGAGGCACCACTGTCCTGAGGCACCCTGCGGAGAGGAAGGACCCGGGTTGGAGGGGGCTCGGCGGTGCTGTCCATGATGTGGGGTGATGCGGGGGGTTCAGTCCCTGAAACTTCAGATGAGGCAGTAGGTACGTGGCGGCCAGGGACGCCCCATGCTCTGGGCCTGATGCCTGCAGGGAGAGCACCCGTCTCTGTGCTGCTCCATCTGTTCTGAGATGTGGAGACAGGGGAGGCAGGGCTGGGTCAGCTAGTGTCAGGGGCCCCGCTGCACACATAGGCTCCAGGTCCTGGCCACTGCTTCTGTGGCTCTGCAGTTGGGACCAGTGATGTCTCCTGTCCCAGCCTCTTCTATCTGTTAAATGGAGGTGACAGAAATTTCCCTTGTGAGTCCTGAGTCCTGCAAGGGAACGGGTGCTGGCGTGCACCCAGGCACCGGACGGACCCCTGAACCCTGGCTGCACCCTTCTGGATGGGGCGAGGCAGGGGCAGGTGGGCAGAAGGGCTGTGGCCAGGCTATGGCACAGTAGTGCCGAGAAAGGTGGGTCCGTCTGCCTCTGACCCAGAGGCAGGTATGGATGTGGATGTGTGGCTGAAGTCAGGAGCAGGAACTTACCACCTGGCAGAGCTGCTGCCTGGAATGTTGGGTGGGCTTGGGGAGGGTTCTGAGCTCCTCGCTCATCATTTGAGGTTTTTAAACACAAGTTGGGGTCACCCACGATAACCACAGACACATACCCCACTCTCTTCCCCTTTTTGGTGCTGAGAGCCGTTTCCTGTTGAGCCCCGAGGTCCTCCCCTCGGCCCCTGCCTCGCACCACTCCCTCCCCTCTCAGGAGCACTGTCCTGGCTGCTGTGGCCTCTTCCCTGCCACCCTCTCACACCTGCTGTTGGGCCCCCACCCTGTGTCCTGCATCAGCCCCCTGCTGACCCCCAGTTCCTCCAAACCTACTGCCTGCTGAGGGCTTTTCCTGAGCACATGCCTTCCCCCATTGACCTCAAAATCTTTTGCATTACTTATTGAGTGCCTTCTGCATACAAGGAGTTTTGCCTGGAGGACTCTACAGCTCTGTGAGGTCAATGCTGCCGTTTTATGCTAATTTTTTCAGAGAGAAAGCAGGGAGCAGAGAGGTGTGTGTGAACAGGCTCATCCCAGGCCACACAGCCAGGCAACGGCTGGAGCTGGCATGTGGGCCGGGCCTGTCCGGCAGCACAGAGCTTACTGCTTTTCCAAGTGTGCCTGCGGGCTGGGATTCCCTCCGCCCCGCCCGTGTGCGCAGTGGTTGTGATGCTCCCACCCGCTCCATCCAAGTCTCAGTGCCTGTCTTGCTGTGGCCAGACCCTCGCACCAAAAGTCTTCGTGGAAGAGAGCAGCCCTCGGAACAATGATGGGTGTGCGCACAGAGCTCACAGCTGTGAATGTCTCCCAGCCCTTCCCAGAACACTGGCACCCTGGGAGTGAGGGTGACTCGCCAGGGTCAGAAGTACACAGCGCAAAGCCACGTCACAGCCACCGCGGCTGCAGGCCAGAGTCTTCAAGGCGGAGACAAAGCTGTCACTAGACTCCTCCTGGCCCAGAGAGGGGCCTCGGCGGGGGAGGTGGTGCCTCTGCTTGGATGGAGTGAAGGTTCCGATGAACCAGGCTCAGGTGAACCAGGCTCGGGTGAACCAGGCTCGGGTGAACCAGGCTCGGATGAACCGTGGAGAACTTGCCATCCTCCAGATGGGGTTGGGCACCCTGACCCTGCAGCCCGCTGGCTACTGTGGCTCTGGAAAAGTGTGCAGATGTGATGCAGGGTGGCAAGATGAGCTCCAGACCCAGAGCACTCAGCACCTGGCCCTGCCCCAAGTCCCCTTGCCTGCGGCACCGTCTCTGGTGGCGGGACCGGAGACGCCACCGTCTCCAGGACCGGAGCACCTGGACATGGTCCTCCAAGTTCTTTTCCCTCCCTTGAGTGTGGTGGGGCGTGTAGTGGTTGGCATCTTGCAGGCTGCCTTGGGCTGATCCTGCCCCAGCTGCTGGGGGACCCTGGACAGGTGACCTCACAGGTCCTCGGTTTCCTCTGTTGTAGAGTGGGGATTAGTCGGACACAATTCATAGGGTTCTTGAGGGCACAGAGAGACCAGGTGCAGGCTCTTTACCTTGTACTTGATCTGTGGTAAACATGATCTAATTCGTCATCACTGTCATTACTATAATCATTACTATATTGGTCGGCTTCTATGCATCTGATTATGGTCAAAAGATCCTCTGCTTTGGAACACCCAGGGTGCTGCCAGGGTGACTCCTAGCGTGCCTGTCATCTTCATCTCTGCAGATAGCGTTTATGAGACCTGCATTTCTTATTCCTACTAGCAGCCCTTTTATTTCTCCTGTGTACACATTGTGGTGAGAGAATAATGGAATAAATTGTTTACACATCATGGTTAGAGGAAGAAGGAATAAGTGCTTGCATGCTTTTCCCGGCTGACACAGTTAGAGTGTAGGCTGCTCACAATGAATCCGAAAGTTCAGTTGTTAGCAGTGTGGGTTCATCCGCCTTGTAGTGTGGGGCAGTACTTCCTTCCCTTTTGTGGTTGAATGATATTCCATTCTATGCATATACCACACTCTGTTTATCCATTTAGCTGTCGGTAGACATGTGGGTTGCATTTATCTTTTGGCCATTGTGACTAATGCTACTATGAACACTTGTATACATTTATTTGTTTGAGTCCCTGTTTTGTTTGGAGGGTGAACTGATTTGGGTGAATTGTTTATGCATCTGTTTCAGTTCCGGAGATTGGAATTACTGGTCATATGGTAATTCTAGTTTTAACTTTTTGAGAAACCAGACATCACCTCTTTAAAAATACTCTCTTCCCCAGTGGTTGAGGGGTAATGGCAAAGGAGGCAGGGTACCTCCAAGCCCTCGGGGTCTAGGGCGGGTGAGAGTGCAGGCTGTTTCTCACAACAGGCAAAAGCTGCCAGCACTGCACTGGCATCTGGCAGGTGCTCAACAGGTGTCTGGTAAATGGATGAGTGAATGGGTGGTGGATTGATGGGTGGGTGGGTAGATGGGTGGATAGACAGATGAATGGATGGGTGGATGGGTGGAAGGATGAGTAGAGGGACGGAGAGATGGATGGAAGGATGTATGTATCTGGATGGATAGATAGATGGATGAATTAATGAGCAGATAGATGGCTGGGTGGATGGATGGACAGGTGGATAGGTAGATGGATGAATGGATGAGTGGATGGATGGGTGAATGGGTTGAAGGATGAGTGGATAGATGGATAGATGGATAGAAGGATGTGTATGTGCAGATGGATGGATGCATGGATGGATAAGTGAATGAGTGGACAGACGGATGGAGGAGTGGATGGATAGAGGGTTTAATGGATGGATGGACAGATGAATGGGTGAATGGATGGGTAGATGGATGGATGGGTGGATGGGAGAATGGATGGATGGGTGAATGGATGGAAGGACTGGTAGATGTAGATGGATAGGTGGACAGATGGGTGAATGGATGAATGAAAGAGTGGATGGATGGATGGATGGATGGGTAGATGGATGGAAGCATGTATATATGCAGATGGATTGATGGATGAGTGAATGAGTGGACAGATGGAAGGATGGATAGATGGTTTATGGATGGATGGATAGGTGAATGGGTGAATGGATGGATAGATGGATGGATGGGTGGATGGGTGAATGGGTGGGTGAATGGATGGAAGGACTGGTAGATGTAGATGGATAGGTGGATAGATGGGTGAATGGATGAACGAATGAGTGGATGGATGGATGGATGGATGGATGGGTAGATGGATGAGTGAACGGATGGATGGATGGATGGATGGATGGATGGATGGGCCAGCCTAGCTTGAGTGTCTTTTGTGAGTGGCAGCTTCTAGGGAGAATGTTTGGCTCTGAGGACAAGCTCGTCTTGTGGCTTGGTCTGGACTTTCCCCTGCTTCAAGGCATGGGGCTGTGTCTCCCAGGTCCCCATGCGAGTGCTCTGTGAGCTGCTTTTTCATGAGCGTCTCTTCTTTTCCAGGGTGACATCCAGCAGCTGCTCTTTGTCTCGGACCACCGGGCAGCTTATGATTACTGTGAGCACTACAGCCCTGACTGTGACACCGCAGTACCTGACACCCCACAGTCGCAGGACCCCAATCCAGATGAATATGTGAGTTAACTCTGGCTGGGATCTTGGGGAGCATGAGCAGACTACTTGGGATGGTTGGTGAAGAGACACATAAGCCATGGGACCCTTATTTTAAATAAATCCACTGGGTGAGAATTTGGAGGGACCTAGGAGGTAAACATTGGGATATCTGACTCACTTTACTAAATAGCACTGCCCAGAATGATAGGGTCACAGAGTTTGTCATCAATAACCCTCTCCTTTAACCTTTTGAACAAGCTCCTTGATGGTGAATGCCCAGTGCTCTCTCACGCTTGGGCTTGACCTTGATGGGGTATTTGTGAGCACAGATGCCACAGGTGTCCCCCATGGACTCGATCCACTGGAGGGGCCATGTGCAGCTCGCCAAAGAGGACGGAGCCTGGGCTTGTCTACTGTAGAATGGCCAGCCCTCGGATCCCTTGAGTGTAAAGTGTACTGTAGAGTGGCAGCCGTGCCTGACACCTTTGTCCCTCTTCCTGGGACCCGCCATGTCCATGGGTCAGCTGTCCTCCCCCTCCCGCTGCACACCCTCGCGGCACTGCAGTTTTTCTTATTTGCAGTTCTTCCTATCACCTCTGCATGAAAATGCTCTCCCACTCCCTGGGCCCACTGCCTCTCATTTCTCATCCGTAATATTAAATCCTGTTTATTTCTCCTTGGGTCTTCCTTCTTTCACCACCAGTCAGGAAAGAAGGAAGGGTAGCTTTCAGGAAGCTGTGGGACCCCGTGGCCCAGGCCACATCTTACAAACCCCAGGAGGGGCAGGACAGAGCTCCCAGCCGAGTCCCTGCTGCCCCGGCCTCCTGCCAGGCTCCTCCCAGCTCCTGGTGTGGGAATGGGCTCAGGACAAGGCCTACTCTGTCCCACTGAAGCCCTACCCGTGGGGTCCCTGGGCTTTGAGGCTTGGGGCTGAAGGCCCGGGAGCCTGCTGGAGACATGGTGACGGCTGCACAGACTGCCATTCTGTTGGTTGTTCTGGCCTGGGTTCCAAAGGGCCAGAAGCCTTCACCTTTGAGGGCTCATCTTTCTCTGACTGCTCGAGGGGACCTGGTGTTCCCCCTGCTTTCTCTCTTGTGCTTCTGATGAGGCTGCGTCAGCTTTCCAAGGAGCTGGAGAGGGAGGAACCCCATCCGGGGACCCACAGGGAGGTTCACGCCTGGGGCTGGACGGGGCGTCGTGGCGTGCAGATCTGGAGGTTGCGGAAGGAAGGACAGCAGGCTGGTCGCTCTGCGGGCTCCGCTGCTTCCTCACGGGGCCGCAATTCGCTTTCAGTACACGGAAGGAGACGGCGAGGGTGAGACCTATTACTACGAATACCCCTACTACGAAGACCCCGAAGACCTAGGGAAGGAGCCCACCCCCAGCAAGAAGCCCGTGGAAGCTGCCAAAGAAACCACAGAGGTCCCCGAGGTCTGGGCTGAGCGGGGGACTGGGTTGGGCTGGGCCCCTCGAGGCCATGGTGCAGGGGAGGGCGAGGCCAGGAGAGGTTGTGTCAGGGTAGAGGGTTGGGGGCTGTCTGGTGAAGGTTGCGGGGGCAGCTCAGTGAGGGAGCCGGCTGTTGCCATCCGAGCTTTGCTGTCACGGGGCGTATCGGGCTTTCCGCAGTGAGGAGGACGTTGGGAGATGCCAAGTATACAGGGGAGCATCTGCCAGCATCTCTGGGCCCTGGCCCCGGTCCCCACCCTGTACGAGGCACAGGGCTCTAGCAGGCCCAGGATGAGTTTGGTTCTCGGGTTCCTTAAGTGTGGGTGCAGCTGTGGTGGGAGAGGAGAGAGGAGAGCTCAGGGGCTCCCCCGGGGGGTGACGCAGTCTGAGGTCGGCCTCGGGTCCTCCCCGCTCTGGGCTGTCATCCCCTCACCTCTGAAATTGGGGAGGGTTGTGAGGGTGCGTGAGCGGCAGTGAGAGCCGGAGGGTCACACCTAGCAGGGCCCGGGCCCCGTGCAGGAGTGTGTATGGGTGGGTGTCCTCCTGGGGAGGAGGCTGTCCAGCCTCAGAGCCATTGTCAGAGGTAAAGAGGGTGGGGTGTGAGCATGGGCGGTGTGTGTGTGTGCATGAACGAGTGTGTGTGAGCATGTGGCATGCAGGCACGGGTGTGCTTGAGCCTGCGTGTGTGTGAGAGTGTGTGTGAGCGTGTGTGCATGCGGGCACGGGTGTGCATGAGCCTGTGTGTGTGAGCGTGTGTGAGCGTGTGTGCATGCGGGCACGGGTGTGCATGAGCCTGTGTGTGTGAGCGTGTGTGAGCGTGTGTGCATGCGGGCACGGGTGTGCATGAGCCTGTGTGTGTGAGCGTGTGTGAGCGTGTGTGCATGCGGGCACGGGTGTGCATGAGCCTGTGTGTGTGAGCGTGTGTGAGCGTGTGTGCATGCGGGCACGGGTGTGCATGAGCCTGTGTGTGTGAGCGTGTGTGAGCGTGTGTGCATGCGGGCACGGGTGTGCATGAGCCTGTGTGTGTGAGCGTGTGTGTATCCTTCCAGGGAAAGGTGACCTGGTCATCTCACATTGCTCTGAGAGCCTGGAGTGTTTTGCTACTTTTGTTTTTTAAATACTGAGATATGATTCACCCTTTTCTGGTGTGTAACTGGGTGGGTTTGAGTCCATTCTGAGCACGCTTAGTAACTGGGGGCTTGCAGCTGGGCTGCCTTCTTCCCACTTGCTCTGCCCCCAAGCCCCATGGATGGGGGCGGCCCCTGCACCCAAGAGGTCTCTGGGCCTCTTGACAGGCCTGGGCTCCAGGCGTTGCCACTGAGATGCCTGCACCCGGACATGCGGCAAGTCCCAGACCTGGCACCACTGCCGGCCTCCGCCCTGACTCCAGCTGTCTCTGTCCTTGGCTCCCAGGAGCTGACCCCGACCCCCACGGAAGCTGCTCCCATGCCTGAAACCAGTGAAGGGGCTGGGAAGGAAGAGGACGTCGGCATCGGGGACTATGACTACGTGCCCAGTGAGGACTACTACACGCCCTCACCGTATGATGACCTCACCTATGGCGAGGGGGAGGAGAACCCCGACCAGCCCACAGACCCAGGCGCTGGGGCCGAAATTCCCACCAGCACCGCCGACACCTCCAACTCCTCCAATGTAATTTCTTTCCTTCCCATTGGTTTGGTCTGGGGCAGTGGGCCAAGGGCCAGGGCTGGGGCCACAATGCTGAGCTCCCTTCTTACTCCAGTTCTCACCTTGGTGTCCTCGGGTGGCCCCTGTGTTCCACCACACCCTGGCCCTGGGCCCTTTGCAGCTGGGTGGCGTAATACTTCCCAGGGGAGGCCATTGCTGAACAAGTTTGGAATCCCTGGTTTGCTGAGTTCATCTCAATGTTGTCAATTTTTTGCCTGGAAAATGGGTAGAATGACCCTAGCCCTTCCGGTCTTTGAGGATTCAGGTGGAAATTGGATGAGGAGGGGGGTGGCTTGTGGACAGAGTCCCTGCCTGTGGCCTGGGTGTGGCCAGGCAGGATGGGGCTGGGAGCCAGGATCCAGACAAATACAGCGAAGCAGGAGCTGGGGCCGCCCTGGCTGGGACGGGGGCTGACTGTCAGCAGACAGGCCTGAAAGCTCTGCCCGAGACCTTGGAAAGTTAGTCTGCGTCTCTGGACCTCGCGGTTCTCCTTTCCAACATGGCACTGACAGTTCCTGTCTCTGGGGGCTGTGAAGTTTTCAGATTCAGGAGGAGCCTTGCGTAGTGTGTAGCACATGGCCGATGCTTAACATAGCCACTGTGTGATGCAGAATCTCCACTGCCAGAGAGGACACCTCGTTCCAGCAGGTCCAGACCCCTGCGTCTGCAGCACCGCCCTGGGATGCATTATCGCAAGACCCTGGGGCTGTGGGGTGCAGCCCCTGCCTGAGCGGGTGCACGGGTGTGCCAGCTCCATGGTGTGCCAGCTCCGAGTTGTCAGACCTGGAGCCCTCAGAGGAGGTCTCTCCCAGAGGGGGGTCTCTGCCCAGTTGACCGGGTAGCCATGGTGCCAGCACAGGGCCTGATGGATCTGGGATCTCTGCCCAGTTGACCGGATAGCCACAGTGCCCGCCCAGGGCCTGATGGAGAGGCAGTGCCTGGTGCGTTTGCGAGGCAACCCTGCGCCTTCCTCTCCCTCTGCAGCCAGCTCCGCCTCCAGGGGAAGGTGCGGATGACTTGGAGGGGGAGTTCACTGAGGAAACGATCCGGAACCTTGACGAGAACTACTACGACCCCTACTACGACCCCACCAGCTCCCCGTCGGAGATCGGGCCGGGAATGCCGGCGAACCAGGATACCATCTATGAAGGGGTGAGAGGGTGCAGGCCCCCGTTCCGGGTGGGGTTGGGGGGCTGGTGGGGCATCATGGGGGCTCCTGCCCAAGAGCCTCCTCAGGGGTGGGCCTCTACGGGCAGCTCAAGTGTTACACCCTATTCCCAAAACTTTATTTTTAAAGAGACCTCGGTGCCTCGAATTTGCTCTGAATAACGTGTGTATCGGAGCATACTCTCCTCTGGGCCTGTTTCTTCGTTAGTAGTCACATGGGCTCCCGTGGGCCTGGCCTCTGTCACGCTCCTGCCATCCTCCTGGGCCTGGGGAGATGCCCAGCTACGATAGTGCCCTCGGCCTTGCGAAATCGGGCAGATTTTGTGTAATCTGGACTTTCTTTCTCACTTTTCTCTCTGATTCTCTTTCCATCTGCCTTTTATCACCCCCAGATTGGAGGACCTCGGGGCGAGAAAGGCCAAAAGGGAGAACCAGCGATTATCGAGCCGGTGAGGACATTTTCTCATTCCCTCCCTGCGCCGGGGTGTCCGCTGCTCGGGGTCACAGCGGGGTGTGTAGGGTGTGAACAGGTCCGTGGGCCCCTGCACCTGCGCGCACTGGGTCACTTCGAGCAACCACCTGGTCTCGTGGAGTCCACGCACCACTTGTCCCCAGGACTTGTGAAGAATCCCCTTGGGTAGGGGATGTTCTGGACTGTGATGGAGGGGGCGGGATAGGTGCTGATCAAAGCCGGTCCTGCACCCAAGCTCTGGGCATCTCAGTGCTGGTCAGTTTCACCTGGGATGAAAAGCAGCTCAGAGCTATCGAGGCGGAGGCGGAGTCCCCTTTGAGGGGTGGAGGAGAGGATGTAAATGGCCCATTCCGTGTAAAAGATGCGCGCGGCAGTGGTAGGGAATAGTTAACACGTGGTCGTACCTCTCTGCGTCTGTTATGCAACCGTTTGGAGTAAGTTTACAGAAGCTGTTGAAACATGGAATACTGTTTATGAAACTTTATCAAGGGAATGAAATAAAACAGCACTGTGCTGAAATTCCAGCTGAGTAAAACCCAACTATGTTAGGTAATGAGATCACGGGTGAGTTCAAAAAGTTACTGTTGATAATGCCCTCAAGCGTGGGACTGTAGCGAGGACGTTCTAGATGCCCCTCCTGGTTGGCGCGTTTGGTGGGGGCCCTGCCCCATACTGGGGTGTCCTTGTCCCATAGGGGGCCATGGCCTGGCTGGGAGGCCTCCAGTTCTCCCTGGGGTCTCAGAGCCACTAAGGTCTTGATGCCCCGCCCCGCCGCCGGCAGGCAGGATGCCCTGTGATCAGCTGGGCAGGGAGTCCTGCCGCTGCATGTGGTGGGCACGACCGGAGAGCAGGGAGGAGCCAGCACCAAGGCCCACCCTGCCATGTTGTCCAAGTGCCCACAGGAGGAGGTGTGCGTCCTGCACCACGGCCAGTCATGAGGCTGGGGGCAGCTGTTTGTTCTGCCGCCAGGACTCAGTTCCTGAGGGCTGAGCTCAGGATACACCTTGGGTCTCCCAGAAGCCCCCTGACCTTGCAGTTCCCAGAATGTGCAGTCACAGTGACCCGCCACCCTACTGTAGAGCTGGGGACATTCTCTTGGAACCTTGACGGATGGCACTTAGCAGGCCTTTATACCCCTGGAATCTCTTTGAAGCCCGTGGCCAGGGCAGACGGGATGTGTCCCATCTCTGGGGTGGAATTCCCAGGGTCCAGGGCTTCACCCCTTCCTGGCCTATGGAAGCGTCTGGATGGCTCTTGTGGGGCTCTATGCCCTTGCTCCAGGCCCAACCCAGGGGTGGGACCTGCCGGTGCCTACAGACACATCCTTTTCTCGGACCCCCTTTCCAGTGCTCTCTGGGGGTCCAGGGAAGACAGAGCTTGTCTGAGGCAGAAGGGTCATGGGCTGCAGGGCAAAGGGGTGCAGAGGCATGAAAGGAGACTCTGAGGCCAGGATCCCCCTGCTCAGCATTGTGGAAAACCTCAGAGCCAGGCCTGGGCTCAGGGACCAGAGCAGCTGTGGGGGAGAGTGACTGCCGTCCGCCTGGGCGGACTCACCCAGAAGCAGGGGGCTGCGGGCCTGTTCTGCTCTGCCCAAGGGTGTTTGCCAGAAGGTGAACAACAGCAGAGGCTACATCCAAGGTCCCAGCCCCAAGCTACACTTGTTATTGAGAGGTGGGACATCCGGTTGCATTTCCCCAGACTTGGCCCCCAGGTAGACTTGAGGTTGGCCTTGGGCTTCTTTTGTGCTGTCCCCATTGCTTCAGTGAAAGGGGGTCCTTGCTCGGGGAGGAAGATGGGATCTCAGGGTGGGCAGGTGCCCCTGGCTCTGCAGGATCCCAGTTCGGTTTCCCCTCCCCGCTCTGGGAGGGCCGGACTGAAACCTTTGAATGAGCTTCGTGTTGGCTCATGTTCCCGAGTAAGCTGGCTCTGTGAGTGTAGACGTGGTGTCTGGGCTCCAGGAGGGGGTTGGGAGTGTGGGGTGGGCACAGGTTTTCCACTGCCAGGCACCCGGGAAGGCAGCAGTGGGCAAGGGTGGGCCAAGGAGAGGGCCGAGAGTCGAGGTGGCCCCACAGGAACATCATGGCTCTGGAAAGTCCAGTTCACCTTTGTTGGGAAAAGCAGCAGCCGTACAGGAACATCATGGCTCTGGAAAGTCCAGTTCACCTTTGTTGGGAAAAGCAGCAGCCGTCTGGGTGCAGTTAGGAAGGATTCCCTCCCCCGGGCCCCAGCCTGCTCCAAGTGTCCTGGGGCCTTTGGCCAGGCCCCCTGCAGAGATCACATAAACAGTTGGAATTTCTCAACCTGGAACGTTGCCAGATATCCTTGGGTCCAAGCTGCACATAAACAGATGGCCAGGTCCTGGGGCCCTGCGGGCGTCCCGGCCTGTGGAAGGGGGTGTCTGTTGTCTGCCCCACCTGAGCTCCCTCTTGGGAGATGCATCTGTTCCAGGGGCATGCCCAGGTCTTTCCCACTCAGTCCCGCTCCCTCTCATTGTCAGCCAGACCAGAGGCTCCCTAAAAGGACAGGAATCCACGGAACCGAGAGGAGACAGGTTCATCCTTATCCTTGTGCTTCCAGGCAGGAAGCCCCCAGACTCAGTGGCTGATTTTACCTGGGCCACATCCATTAGGGGCATCCAAATCACCATCTCCACTTGACACTGTTTTTTGTTTTTAAAATATGTGCTGTTTACCAGATGGGTGGACCCTCCATTGAGATTGTCTTGAGTTCTGCCAGGTCTGAGGTCTTTTATTTCTTTTGTTAAAATTGTATGCATTCGGCCGGGTGCGGTGGCTCACACCTGTAATCCCAGCACTTTGGGAGGCTGAGGCAGGCAGATCACCTGAAGTCAGGAGTTCGAGACCATCCTGACCACCATGGCAAAACCCTGTCTTTACTAAAACTACAAAAAAATTAACCAGGTGTGGTGGTGGGCACTTGTAATCTCAGCTACTCTGGAGGCTGAGGCAGGAGAATCAGTTGAACCCAGGAGGCGGAGGTTGCAGTGAGCCAAGATTGCGCCACTGCACTCCAGCCTGGACAGCGTGAGACTCCATCTCAAAAAAAAAAAAAAAATTGTGTGCATTGAAGGTGTGCAGCATGTTTGATAGAGTTACCCAGGCACAGACAGACACAGTGAAGTGATCCTGCACCCACCACCACCACCCCATAGCTGCCTCTTTTTCTTCTTTATGGTAAAAGTGCCTAAAGTGTACTCTTTTGGCAAATGACATCTACAGTGCAATATCATTAACTATATCGAGGCGTTTTCCTCTCGTTCCTCTTTCGCTGGGTCAATTTTGAGAGTGGCGTCCGTGGTTGGGTGGGCCGGGGCGGGAGCGGGGCCACAGCTTGCCTGGGAAGGTTCAGGCATCCCCACCCTCAGGCGCATTCATCCAGCTGTTCCCAGCTTCCTTCAGACGCTGACCTGGGATGATCTGGTGTTGGCTTCCCTGCAAGGTCCCCGCCCGCGTTGCCCCAGTTCCCTGAGAAAAGCAATTTGCGTGTCTGGGAAGGCAGCTGCTGTCCCTGGCCCCTTGATGGCCAGTGGTTTCTCCCTTAATCCCAGCTCAGCCCTGGGCTTTCTCAGCTGCCTTTGTCAGAGACGGAAATTGGAAAACTGGCATCTTGGAGGCTGCTTGGATGAGCTCTCTGTGTACAGCACACACACGGGTGTCTCTCTGAGTGTGCATCTGTGTAAACACAGTGCAGAGCTCCCCAGCTGGGGCAGGATGGGAGGGGTGGGGAGATCGGTGTTCCCCCCAACCGGGAGTCCCCTCATCAGCCTGGTACCCAGCACCTCTGGTGACAGCCTCTGGTGGCCTGTGGCCTGGCTGGACATCTGCGGCCCCCCCAGCCGGGAGTCCCCTTGCCAGCCTGGCACCTAGCACCTCTGGTGACAGCCTCCGGTGGCCTGTGAACTGGCTGGACATCTGCAGCCCCCTGGCCGGGAGTCCCCTCACCAGCCTGGTACCCAGCACCTCTGGCAGCAGCCTCCGGTGGCCTGTGGCCTGTGGCCTGGCTGGACACAACCTTTGACTTGTCAGAAGTGAGCTTAGTTCATTGTGAGCTGCTGTTACAGCACACCACAGTCAGGGTGATTTAGAATGAACAGGACTTCATTGGCCCACAGTTCTGGAGGTCAGGAAGTCACATATAGAGGGACCACATCTGGCGAGGGCCTTCTTGCTGTGTCCTCACATAGCGGAAGGCATCGCATGGTGAGAAGGAGCGGGAGAGAAGGTGACTGCTGCCATCCTGTCATCAAGAGCCCACTCCCACCCTAACGAGCCCGCTCCCATCGTAGCTGCATTCACCCATCCAGGAAGGCAGAGCCTGGTGACCTAATCACCTCCTGAAGATCCCACCTCTCAACACGGTTGCATTGAGGATTCAGTTTCCAACACATGACTTTTGGGGAGACACATTCAAACCCTAGCACATTCTGTCCCAGCCCCCAAATTCATGTCCTTCTCACATACAGTTTACATTCACTCCATCCGGTACCCACATCATCTCAAAAGTTCGAAGTCCAGAGTCTCACCCAAATCAGGTACTGATGAGACTTAGGCTCAAATTATCTATCTTGAAGCAAATCCCTGTCCAGCTGTGAGCTTGGGGAATGAAACAAGCCTCATGCTTCCAAACTACATGGTGATGGGGAGGGGGACAGGTTCCCATTCCAAAAGAGAAGCATGAAGAAAGGGGTAGCAGCCCCGAGGAAGTTCAAAACCCCACAGGACGAACCTTTCTAGAATAATCTTTCACTTGGTGTGCCACCTCCTGGGCACACTGGAGGGAGGCGGCCCCAGGGCCTCAGGCAGCACTGCTCATACAGCTTTGCACAGCAGGTCTCAGGAGTTGGAGCCTCGTCCTTGCTGCCCTCCCAGGCTGGCGCTGTATGCTGGTGACGCTACAGTCCTGGGGTCTCAATGGTGCCTCCACTTCCATAGATCCACCAGGCGTCATCCCAGGGAACTCTCTGCAGAGCCTCTGCCCCTGTGGCTGGTTTCTGCACGGGACCCCAGGCTGTCCATGCCACACTTTGACCTCTACGTGGAGGGCGCCATGGCCGCAGTTCCTGCCTTCCTTCCCTGCAGCTGCAGGATAATCAGTACCCATGGGTGTCGCCGAGGCCACACCCACACCCTCCAGAGCTGAGCCAGAGCTGCCCCTGGGCCTGCTGGAGCCTTGGCTGGGCGGCTGACGGGTGCTGTGTCGCAACGTGGGGAGCAGACACTTGAGGGGTGCAGGGCAGGGAATGCTGAGTTCCTGGGTACCTCTTTGAAAATGTGGTCCCCCAGGTCCTAGCTTGCCTCAAAGATCTCTGGCTGCCTCGGGGTCATTCTCCATTGTCTTGTTGAGTAGCACCTGGTTCCCATCTGTCAGAGCAAGTCCCTTGAGGAACAGTCGCCCTGAAGTCGTCATGGAACACGGAGGACTCTTGGGGCATTGGGGGTGCCTGACCCTGGCGTTGCCAGGTCAGAAGTGGAGAGAGGAATCCCGCCCTGGGGAAGGGGTCGGAAGTGGGGGTCTCAGGGCAGGGAGCCCCGTCCTGCAGGGAGCCGCTCCCACTGCTGCCTTCACAGCTGTCCACATTGCCTTTCCCAGGGCTCAGGCTGACCCAAGAGCCAGGAGGCCCTGTCCCCATTGGGGTTAGAGTGAGGCCTGGGTGTGCTTGAGGCAGATGGGCCCTGTGGTGAGGTGAGGGCCAGAGGAGGAGGGCTGAGTGGGCAGGTGGACATGGCAGGGTTTCCCATGGGTTCTGGGCTGCTGCGTGCATGGGAGGATGCACCTCTTACCTGGAGGGAGGCGGGGTCTGGAGGTTGCAGCCCTGGGGCCTGACGGTGGTCCTGGCTGGGGACAGAAGTTCAGCCTGGAGCTGGGGCACCTATTTTTCCCTTATCCTTCCCAAATCCACCCGAGTCCCCTTGTCCTGGCATCCACCTCCTCCCTCGAGTGGCTTTGGCCTGGCGGACCTGCCTGGCACTCCCCTTTGGGGTGATGCAGGGAGCCTGGCGGTCTCGGCTCCTTTTCCTCATCTCGGCGTCTTCAGGTGCTTCTCGTGGCGCTGGTCTTGCGGGAGCCTGTGTCTGTCACTGGCCGCTGGCCCGGGTTGCTCTTCTGCCAGCGAGTGCCAGGAGGACAGCCACTGAGGCCCCACCACAGGCCCCCTTTGCAGTCTGTGCTCGTGACTCCCCAGGACAGCAGGAGCTGAGCCAGGGCCTCTTGTGCATGCAGCTGAAGGCCGTCCACACCACTGGGGTCTGGGGTGTCGGGAGGGATGGGCTGCGGTCTCAGACGCCCTCTCTCTGTCTCCCCAGGGCATGCTCATCGAGGGCCCGCCTGGCCCAGAAGGCCCCGCGGTGAGTATCCGGCTTTATCCTGTGACTTGCAGAAGGTGCTCTTGGTGGGGTGGGGTTGGTGACACCCCTTATGTCTCCTGGATGGAAAAGAGGGGGGCTCTCCGCTTTTGCAGATCCCCTGGGAGCCGGCGCTATCCCACCCCCACCTCTGCCTTGGTTGGCCAGTTGGAACTTGGACCTTGCCCTGCGGCCCCATCTTCTAACTGCCCCAACTTTATTTTTAATTCTAGGGTCTTCCCGGACCTCCAGGAACCATGGGTCCCACTGGCCAAGTCGGGGACCCTGGAGAAAGGGTAAGAGGTTGACTGTGTTTCCTGAGATCACACAAGGTGTGGGGCTGCCCACGCCTCCTCTCCACACTGTGACCCGAGCTGTCCCTGCCTGTGGAGGTGACCCAGAGGCTTGTGTCTTCAAATCCCCCCTCACCCAGGCACTCCTCACACCAGCCCCGTTCAGATGTTTCTGGGGCTGAACTGTGGCTATGGGGAGAGTGGGGCCCCTCGGGGCCCAGGGAGCCTGCCAGTGCTCAGCCCAGACGGTGGCCTCAGGACCCTGCAGTTGCCCAGCAAACGGCCGCAGCAGCAGTAACCACAGCAGATGGCTCCGGGGCCTTTCCCACTCCTCGCCCCTGGGCAGCCACACCACGTGGAATTGGCCACCCCCCTTGCTGGGTTTGGGAACTTCCTTGGTCTGGGTTGCACCTGGCTCACAGGCTCAGAGGCATCCTCGGGTGTCCCTCGCCGCGGGAGGAGATGGAGGGAGAGCTGCTCCCTGGCTGCCGCGATTTCCTTCTGACACCTGGTGGGCGCTCCAAGTACTGCGGCCTCCTGGTGTCCGGCGGGGCGGGAGTTTTCTCTTCCTGCTGTTGGAATGAATGTGGATTTGAGTGCAGAAGGACTAAGAACTGATTCCTGGACAGCTGGCTTGTGGGTGGGAGAAACAAGGGCTGCGTGCGGGTGTTCGCGGGTGTTCACGCCAGGGCCCTGCCTGCTGTCCGGGGCAGAGTGAGGACCCTGTGGGTGTTGTGGTGGGTGGATGCAGGGCAGGGTCTGGTCGTGTGAGAAGGTGGTTCGTGATGTCAGAGCGCAGTGGCTAGGGATGCTTCCCAGGTTACTGCACGGGGAGGCGTTTGGGGAGTGTCTTGTGCAGTGCCTGGTGGCTTTGCAGCAGTGCTCAGGAAAGGCGGGCCAGGGCGCAGGACAGTAAGTCCTGGCCTTGGACCTGGAGGTTCTTACAGGTGCTCAGTACCCCTGGAAAGCTGGGGAGGGGCAGGACAGGTGAGGTCAGGCAGCAGGATGCAGGGGCAGGCGGCGGCAGCCTTCTTGGGAGCAAGAGCCGAGCCAGTGGGGATGCTTGCTTGGGGAGGAGATGGGAGCACTGAGGCCGGCCTTTGGAGGAGAAGGATTCAGGTCAGCTATGCGGGAGGAGGTTGTTATCGTTCTGTGTGGCTGGGTGACCTCTGAGGGCAGTACGCATCAGATTGGGCCACACAGTAAGATTCTCTGCCACGTTGCTTTTCACGGTCAGGGATTTGGAGGTCCAGAAGAGGCGGGTCTTGCTCCATGGCAAGGGCCGTGGCGGGAAACAGAGTGGGGTGGGGGCTTGGCTGGCCTCTGGAGCACAAAGCTTTCACAGCATCCCCGGCCTGGCAGCCACATTTCCAAAACTCCAGACAGGCAACAGCGAGTGGCCGCTGCTCTTGCCCAGCCAGCACCGGCCAAAACTCCAGACAGGCAACAGCGAGTGGCCGCTGCTCTTACCCAGCCAGGACCGGCATGGCTGGAGCTCTGTGCTGGGGGCTGCAGCCACCCCAGCTCGCTCTGGAGACCCCTTCCCCCAGATTCGCGTGAGATGGGGCAACGGCCAAGCTCCTCCTCCGCAGAGCTGCCTGCGGATGGGTCCACAGGTGTGGCTGGGTTCGTATGCAAAGGAGAGTGCATTGCATGGCACTGGGAGCTGTTTTCTCTCCCAGATGTAGGACAGGGTGGTACCCACAGGGCACAAATGCCGGTTGACACACAGGGCACCCAGATGCTGACTGACACTGCCTCAGTGGTGTTCCACGGCTCCGTCCTCCTTCTATCCATCCAGCGTACAGATTTGTACTGAGTGCCTGCAGGGCTGGGCACTGCTCTAGCCTGGGGATCTCAATGGTGTGAACCAGAGGGGTGCTGGTTCACACCTCACCATGCGGTCCCTGCCTTTGGGCTGATCCTGGCTTGGGAGTCACTGGTGGGTGGCCCTGCCAGTGCCTTGTGACACCGTGACCTACCCAGCTGCCGTGGAGGAGCCAAGGGCCCTGACTGGAGAATATCGTTGGTTTAGGAGCTGGTCCTCCTCAAACTCACATCAGGGTCCAGGAGCATGAGGACTGAGGTTGGGGTTGGCAGAGGAGCCAACTCCTCCAGGGTCTGCCATCCGTGGAGTCAGAGGAGAGACCTGGAGCCCACCGGCCTCCCCAGGGCCCTTCCAGTGAGAGGGGTGCTGGTTCCAGGAGCTGAGAGCTGACCACCCCTCTGGGTCCAGCTCCGGCCAGCCTTGTTCAGGAAGCCATCCCTGCTCACCGCTCAGCGCCCTCTTGATGTCCAGATCTTGCTCGATGCCCGCTAATCAGCTGTGAAAGATCACTGGCTATGGGGTGAGGCCCTGCAGTGCAGCCTGCGGTGGGCCGGGCTCAGGTGCCTGTGCGGCGGAGAAACAACATTGTCTCTGCCCTCGGAGGTTGAGCATCTGGGGCCTCCAAAAGACAGATTAACAAGAGAAGAGGCATACGATTTTAACACTTTTAATCTTCTATGCACGGGGGCTTCGCAGACAAGAAGTAAAAACCAAAAAAAGTGCTTGGGTTCGGGAGCATATATACCATTTTAACAAGCAGCAATAGGATGTGGAGAAGTGGCTAGACCAAGGAAAAGGGGGTTTGGGCTTCGCGGGGTGACAGATGGTGGGCAAGTGACTAGGAACTCCATGGAGGAACGAATGGAAGATTAAGGTTATCTTGGCAAAGTCTGTTGATGCAGATTCACTGGGGGCTGGCCTCCCTCTCAGGTGATAAGGGGCGCTCTCCAAATCCTGGTACAGAAGCAGAGGCAGGAGGGTGGGGTGGGAGGAGGGGGTAATGCCCTGCTTTTAGGCAGAAGAGGGGAGGTAAGAGAACTCTTCTTGCGTCCGTCGATTCTTACTTGGCTTCAGCAGAAAATAGTCGTTCTGCAGGGGAGTGGCGTGCTCTGTCCCCTCCGTCTGCTTGGCCTCCTGTGCCTCTGTCTGGGAGGGCCTTTTCCCTGGGGTCTGGAAGAGCCCTCTTCTCCCTGCCACTCCCAACCTCCCGCCTTGGGCTTCCCCAGCCCTTCCTCCCTTCCCCAAGGGCCGTCTGGCCGTGACCGGTTTGTGCCTTTTCTTCCTCACTGGATGGTGAGTTCCTCAAGACAGGCCTCACTTCTGTGCCCTTCCTCACACCCTGCTCCCTGTGGGCAGCCGTGGGCAGCCGTGGCAATTGGCTGGGAGCCGTCTGTGCACCTGTGCCGTGGCATCCCACTGGGTATCATGCAGCCCTGACCAGCTGCTGAAGCCCACACCCTGTGCCTCCACTGGCTGGCCCTGGGTGTTGCTTCCTTCACACACTCTGGTGAGCCCTGCACACTCTCCCGCTGCTCCCCTTGGATGACCTTCCATGCTGCATCTGCCTTCTAGCACCTCAAATCCTTTCTTGCTCTTGTGCCCACGGCTGCCCGCAGGGAGCAGAGTGCAAGGAGAGGCACAGAAGTGGGGCCTGCCTTAAGAAACTCACCGTCCAGTGAGGAAGAAAAGGCACAGACCAGGCACGGTTAGACAGCAAGAATTAATTAGTAAAGGCATTGGAGGAAGAGCTGGGAATCCCGAGATGGGAGGTCTGGAGCGGCTGTGTCCGGGTGGAGAAGGGGCTCGAACCATCATCCCATCCAGTTTCCCTCAGGTGACTGGTGAGCAGGTGCACAGCTGGGGCAATGTGCCCGCAGGGAGATAGAGGTAGACCTGGGGTTGAACTCAGATCTCCTGTGGCAGAAGGAAGGTGGCCACTCTTACTTTGAGGTTCAGAGGAAACCCAAGAGAGCTGGGAGTCCCCAAGTGAGCTGCAGGCCAGGTGGCCGTTACTCAGCCCCTCTCTGGCCTGGGTTTCTTGTGGGTCTGGCTTCTGTGCCACCTGCCAGTGCGTTTCTGTAGGGGCTGACTCTTTTGCGCATCCGGGAATATAGTGAGATATCAGTGGGTCTGAAATCATGAGGCTGTGCATTTGTGAAGGTTCCCTATGATGCCATGGTGGCAGTGCCGTGCCCCTGTGGGTCGCTGAGCAGTGTTTGCCCAGCGAAGCCCTTCCCTGGGCTCCTCGGGCAGGTGGGGGAAGGAGAGGGCTGGGGACCATCAGTAAAGATTCAGGCCCCAGTGAGTCCCGCCTTCCATGGACTTCCAGGGCCCACACCTGCTAGCCTCGATAGAAACACCCGGAAGGCAGGCGCCACCTCTGTGCTGCTTGTGAGCGCCCCCTACATCCATTCGCGTGTGTGCCCCAGAGCTGGTGTCCACGGATATTTGTGCCTAAGAAATGTTCCCTGTGATCAGAGCGTCTTTGAGGCGAGTCCCTTCCTTTCCCTTCCCCGTGTGCCTCTCCAAAAGCCTTGCACCCCAGGCACTCCTGTGTTTTAAGGCAGCTCCTGAATACCGTCCAGTGTTACTGTGGATTTGATTGCATTTTTCAGGATGCTGTGGCCAAACTCCTCCTGAATCTCCGCAGTCCACTGGAGAGTTTAACGTTTTCATCTAGAAATAAGCTTGCTTACCGTCTAATTGACTCCCGAGAGCGCCAGCTGGTGTTGACCAGCCACTCATCTATTGCTCTTAAGAGAGACTTCACACAGATCTTTCCACCTACAGCATATTTATTACTTTTGGGTAAAGTAGCGATCTGCTTCTGGGTCTGTGGGCAGGTCCCACCTGCTGGGGGGCCTGGATCCTCCTCTGGGAAGCCCCAGGGATTCAGTATGCAGGTTTCTTTCCCAGCCGCCTCAGGGTCAGAGTGGAGGCAGTTTCCCAAGCTTTCTCCAAATTGCCACACAGGGGCACCTCGCTCCCTGCACAGTGGGATGCATTTGATGCCTTGGGAGGAGGCCCCCACCCTTCAATGACCCCATTATGTGCAGAAGCAGCCTGGCAATAATGATGCTGCCCGGCGCTGTCTTATCAGCCCCTCCTGTCACTCAGCAGGGGCTCAAACCTTCTCCCCCTCTTTTTTATGTGTCCAGGATTAGCCTTCCCCATGGGATTTTGCGTGAGTGCATTTTCTGTGCCTTGAAAAGTTTCGTATGTAAGCCATGCCCTGAAAAACAGCAGTCACTACCTCCCAGCCAGAAAGTGTGGCTCACCTCTACCTAACAGGTTCTGGTGTGGTCTCCCCAGGACCAGCCTTGGGGTGATGCCCTGCTATGCCATCCCCTCCCCATGGCCTGCTGGTGCTACACCCAGGGTGGGAGAGGACACAGGCTAGATCACTGGCAACTTGACAGAGTGAGCAAGTCCACTCACGAGCACGCAGCTGCTGTCTGACTCCGAAGGAGTTAGCTTCGAGAAAAGCTGTGGGGAAGAAGCAAGCAGCATGGGATTCATTTGCTTTCCTGGCTCCCAGGCTCCTGTGGATGGGACACGCCAATCCAGTCTCTCCTTGTCTTTAGAAGTGTTCAGGACATCTTGGCAGAGCTGCTCAGAGAGGTTCACACACACACTCAAGCACACACGCTTGCACACTCACCCACACATGCACTCACATTCACATGCACTCATGCACACACACTCATGCCTACGTGCACGCACTCATGCATACATGCCCACACATGCATACATGCACACACTCAACCGTATATGCACACATGTACACACCCACACACGCACACACTCATGTGTACACGCACACACTCACCTATACATACACGTATGCATGCACAGTCACCCACACCTGCACACACTCATGCACACCCCCATACATGCACACTCACACCCACACATGCACACACATCCACATATACATGCATGCACACACACTTACACATGCACACTCACCCACACCTGCACACACACTCATGCACACACTCACCCAGACATGCACACAGGTACGCTCACACACATGCACACACATTCACACATGCATGCACACACCCATACATGCTCTCACACAGTTACACACACATGCACTCACACACCTGCACACACATTCATGCACATGCTCACTCATACATGCACACACATACACCCACACATGTACACACATTCGCACACTCATGCATGCATGCACACTCATCCATACACATGCACACACATTTACACACATGCACTCACACACCTGCACACACACTCATGCACATATGCACACACCCAGGCGTGCACGTGCACACACATCTACATGCACGCGTGCGCTGTCTGGGTTCACCTCCACACGGCCCTTCCATGGAGGCTGGTCTGCAGGCTTGTGTGCCCGAATCCCCAGCAGCCTGGTCGTGAATGACTTCTGGCCATTTCGAGTCACATTTATCTTCAAAGCTTAGTCCCCTGAGGCCACTGATAGGAATCTGTCCAAGCCTCAGGTGCCATACCAGGAGATCAGTGGGAACTGTGGGTTTCTCTGCTGTAGCCCTGGAGGCAGTGTGTGTCTCCCAAAGCGAGCTCAGTGTTGAAGATTCATTGGAGGGTATACATTATCATATGGAAAAGAAAATCAAGTACAGTTTGTGGAGAGAGAGGTGAAGGGAGCAAAGGCCTCGGGACATTTCTAGAGTGAAGGGACAGCTGGCAGGAGCTGCATGAATGGCGCCAAGTGCACTATGCTGTAGGACCCCATGCAGGGTCTGCCAGGGTGTTCATCACGGTCAGTTAGTGGCAATGGCTGGGTGAGTCCAGGAGTCTTTCTCACGTGGGCCCCTTAAGGCCGCAGGTCTTACCCAGAGCCCCGATTATTGGTGGCCTATGGATAAAGAGCCCCTCCTGTGGATTTTCTGGTTGTTAGTTCTGGTTGAGGGGTGCGGTCTGAGGCATCAGGCTTCTTGATAGGGCCCCGCTTCCAGTCTTTTAGATGGGCCCTAGGGCTCCTGGAAGAGTGTCTGTCTAGCTCTTGGAAGGGGCTCAGTAGGAACCCTCTCAATGAACGAACGAATGGTGGGTTCATTTCTTTGGGATCCTCGGACAATTGATGACCAACTTGGGGTTTAAAGCAACAGGAATGTCTTCTCTCTTAGTTCTGGAGGCCAGAAATCTGAAATCAAGGTGTAGGCAGGGCCGCACCCCCTCTGGAGGCTCCAGGTGAGGGTCTTCCTCACCTCTTCTGGCTCCTGGTGGCCACTGGCCGTCCTCTGCCCTTGTAGCTTGCCGGCGCATCTCTGCAGTCTCTGCCTCTGTCTTCACCCAGCCCTCCCCTGTGTCTCTGTCACTGCCTCCCCTCCTCTTCCCTTACAAGGACTCATCATTGGATTTAGGACCCAAGATCTCATCTCAAGATCCTCACTCCCATCCTCAAAGACCCCAAGTAAGGGCACAGTCACGTGTTTCAGGACCTGGATGTACCTTTGATGAGAGACCCTTCAGCCCACCGCGCGTGGTCATGCACGTACGTGTTCTGCACAGCCAGGAGATGTCCAGCAGGAAGTGACCACTGAGAGCTTCTCCCAGCCACTCCCGAGCTGGGCCTGCCCAGGGTCGGGCCTGGACAGAACCACATGCACACAAAGGTTCTGGAGAGACGCCTGCACACTGCCCTCCTGCTCCAGCTCTTTCCGAGAGTGGAAGGGAGCTTTTCAACACAAAGCCTCCTGCAGGCCTACAGCTCCTCCCAAACCTGCCACCACCATGAAGAGAAAAGGCTCAGAGTTCTCTGCTCACTGCTTTGACCCAAATCCCGGCCTGGAAAGAGGCCTTGTGCCTCTCCCCTGAGGTTGAGCCGAGGGTCTCGTGGGGACAGTTTCACGTGCTGAATCTGCAGTGGCAGAGGGAGCCACTTTGTGAGGCATCTGGTCACCCAGCCACATCGTCTCTGTGCAAAGGACGTCTGGACGTCCTCAGGAAAGAAACCCTGTTAGATACCAGTGGTGCCTTCATTTGGAAGTAGGCACCTGATTTCTTCACCTGGTATAGGTATGACACTGAGAGCCCTCCTGTGCCAGGGCCTTCAGAACATTGCTGTTTGACCAAGTTAGGGCACTGATTTGGGGGCCAGCTAATGGAGTAACAGGAAAATACATGCAAATAGCAAAGGCAAGGTGGGATTTCTTATTTTGCCATATTTTGCCTGTGGCTGGAGCCAAGCAGCATCCGCATGACCTGTGTGTGGGCCTGCTGGAGCGTTCCCTTGGTGTCTGACACCTGCCTTGTCGCAGACAACAGCCACATCGCTGGCCCGTGCTTTGTGTCATGAAAATTGGAAATGTGACTTTGAGGTGTAGCCGTGTCTTTCAGCCCAGGGGTCAAAGTCTTTACGTTAGAGACCACAGGGCTTGGCAAAGGCTTGCTGACAATGTTTCTAAGTGATAGCAAATGCAGGTTCATGTTGGTGGCCCTGAGGACTTGTGTCAAATTTGAACACTTCGGAAGGGTTCATGGGGGTGGCGACATTCTTTCCTTTCTTCTCCACACTGTCTCCTTCTTCTAGGACTTCACGTTATCCTTGTTCATCTACGTTCCCATTCTTTGGAATTGTTCCGGGTGTCGGTGAGAAGCGGCATCAGAGGGAAGTTGCTTTCACAGCCTGGGGATTGGATTTTCACCACCGTGGCTTAGAACAGGCAGGAAGGATGCTGAAAAGAGGGTCTTTGGAAATGGACAGCAGTGGACAAGGAGTGGCCTTGAGGAGACTTCCTGGCTTCCTACAGCAACACCATGTGAGCAGGAGCATGCATGCACAGACACACATGCACACACATGCATTCCCACACAAACGTACACATGCATACACACATGCATTCACACACATGCACACACGTACACATTCATATGGACGTTCACACATCCACACACACCTGCATATGCATGCATACATGTATTCACACACATGCATTCATACACACATGCATTCACACGCACATTCACACACATGCAGATACATGCACACATGCATTCATACACATGCAGACACATGCACACATGTATTCATACACACATGCAAACACATGCACACATGCATTCATACACACATGCAGACACATGCACACATGCAAACACATGCACACATGCATTCATACATGCAGACACATGCACACATGCATTCATACACACATGCAGACACATGCACACATGCGTTCATACACATGCAGACACATGCACACATGCATTCATACACACATGCAGACACATGCACACATGCATTCATACACACATGCAGACACATGCACACATGCATTCATACACACATGCATTCATACACATGCAGACACATGCACACATGCATTCACACACACATGCATTCACACACACATACACATGCATTCACACACATGCATTCATACACATGCAGACACATGCACACATGCATTCACACATGCACACACCCACAAACATGCATGCACAGACATGCATCCACACATGCATACACAGACATGCATCCACACATGCATACACATGCATTCACACATTCCACACGTGCACACACATGCATTCATGCATACATTCACACACATGCACACACCCCATGCATTCATATGCACACCCACACACATGCACACATGCATTTACACATGCACACACATGCCTTTACACATATATGCACATGCACACACACATGCATTGATAGTCACATACATGCACACACATGCATTCACACATTCACACACATGCACATACATACACTTACATTCACACATGCACACACATACACTTACATCCACACATACATGCACACACACTTACACACATGCACTGCACAGACAGCAGCTTGTCCTTGGGAGACACTGACCCCAAATCTTAAATGCAAGGTTTGGTTTGGAATTGATTCCGACACAGGAATCTCAGCTGTAAGTGGCTATGAGGATTGTATGTCAATGACAAAACCTGGGCGGCAAACATGTTTTGGATCTTTATTTTTTAAACACGATTTTTGTCTTCTGAGAGTGTTTTCCAAAATGGCAGTTGGGAGCAATTGGGCAGTATCCATTAGCAATTCAGAAATATACACATATATACATTCTTTGACCCAGCAGCACTGCTTTGAGGGACTTACCTAGTAGAATATGTTAGCACGTCTGTCGGGCAGTGTTTGTCATAATGCAAACTGGAACCAATCCAACGTGCATCGGCAGAAGACGGGTTAAATAAACAAGGAGTCCATTGTGCCTGGGAGATGCAACAGATGTTGCCAAGGATATCTACAGAGACAGGCCATGATTTCAAGAGCAAATTGCAGAATATTTAGGGACAGTATCATTAAAAAGAAAGAGACTGGGCGCGGTGGCTTATGCCTGTAATCCCAGCATTTTCGGAGCCCGAGGCGGGTGGATCACGAGGTCAGGAGTTCAAGACCAGCCTGGCCAAGGTGGTGAAACCCCGTCTCTACTAAATATACAAAAGTTAGCCCACGCTGGTGTGGACACCTGTAATCCCAGCTACTCGGGAGGCTGAGGCAGAGAATTGCTTGAACCGGGGAGGCGGAGGTTGCAGTGAGCTGAGATCATGCCACTGCACTCCAGCCTGGGCAACAGAGTGAGACTCTGTCTCAAAACAAAACAAAAAAAACAAAACTCCGAAGCCACACAGCCTCATAGTGATGAATGTGTTAGTTAGTGTGTCCAGCATGTGCGTCTTCATCTTTGCCTTTGCACTTACAGAACTTGAGCACTGGTTACATCCGGAGATGAAAAGGGACCTTTCACTTTCACTGTATAAATGTGTACCTTAAGCCATTTCACAAGAAATGGAGTTACTTCTGCAACAAAAAGCAACCAGTAAAGACAAGGCAGGCAAGTTTAGGTTCAGGCCCAGATGGCTCCACAGCCTTCTGGATAGTTCCAGAAAAACCACTCAGGTTCTTGGTCTTTCTGTCTGGGAGTTGGGAATCCATCATGGGTTTCCTGGCAGGGAGCGTCTCACTCAGGTGGTGTGAACACACATGCTCAGTGTAGCTGTTGCTGATTCGGAAGACTGCAGCCAGCACCCATCCGCTACACTGGAGTGTAACTGGAGTGTAGTTGGTGGAGGCTTTTCTCACTGGGGAGAGGGGGTTAAGCTCCAGTCTCTATGCAAGACAAGCCTCATCTACTTTAGGCCAGCTGAGAATCTGCTTGCTTTTGTGAAATAGCTTTGTGATCAAATATTATTTTGAAAATAAATCATCTTACTGGTTTTACATGCGTATAGTGGTCTGAAGCTGGCTGGAATTGGTCTAGAGAATCCAGTCCTAGGTATGTCTGTGTGGCCAGGTTGGCTGGGCGTGAGGAGGGCACTGTGTCGTTTACATATAAGTGGGTTCTTGAAGTTGCTGTGGCTGAGTGTGTGCTCTGCTGTGTTGCGTGTCCATCCACGCAAGTGGCTGCTCCATCCCGTCTTCCATCTGAGCAGGCACAGGCGGCTCGCTCGGAGCCCATTAAGGACAAGTGCCCACTGGGCACAGGAGGCACTGGGCCTTGAGCCTGGAGTCTTTGTTTCCTGTTGGGTATGGAGACCTAAAAGGGGCGTTCCTGGAGCGACAAGAGCCTGACACTGCCTCCTCACCTTCGGGCTCCTTGTCTCTGCCTTGAGGCCCCAGAGGACGCCTGCTGGGTCTCTGGATTTCTCTATATCCAGCTCAGACCTCCCTCCCTTCTTATCCCTCCCTCCAAAGCCTTTCCGATCCTCAGCCCACAGCCGTGCCCCTCCCTTCTCCGGGTGGGGGTTTCTGAAACATTCCTGCCACGGGGTCTCACAGCTTCTGTGCGTGTCCAGTGCATTTCCCGGGTGGGCCGCTTCTCCGACGCCCTCATTCTCGCTGCAGCCCAGCCCTGGCCTGGTTGCACTCTGACTTGTCTCTCTTGGCCCCTTGTCTTCAGGGCCCCCCTGGACGCCCAGGCCTTCCTGGGGCCGATGGCCTGCCCGGTCCTCCAGGAACCATGCTCATGCTGCCCGTGAGTACCCTTATCAGTCGGAGGTGGGGAGGCAGCTGGGGCAGGTGGGATCCAAACCAGACCCTCTGAGGCTGCGCTGTCACTGGAGAGGCCTGTGGGCCCCGTCTCAGTCTGTGGTCTTGCCTGGGTGCCACGTCACTGCTCCCAGAGTGACCCTTGTCTTACACTTGCAGTTCCGGTTTGGAGGTGGCGGCGATGCGGGCTCCAAAGGCCCCATGGTCTCAGCCCAGGAGTCCCAGGCGCAAGCCATTCTCCAGCAGGCCAGGGTGAGTACTGCTGGGTCCCAAGAGGCCTGAAGGGGACAGAGCCCAGCCCCAGGGGCCAACAGGAGTGAGTGAGTCAGGCTCAGAGCCCAACTTGGAGGGAAGCAGCTGTCTTGATCCCAGAATGCCTGCTTGCTGGGGTCAGGAGCTGTGGGAGCGTCCAGTCCTCAGTGTCCAGTAGGGACCCCGAGAGCATGTCAGTGTCCAGTAGGGGCTCTGAGAGCATGTCAGTGTCCAGTAGGGGCCCCGAGAGCGTGTCACTGTCCAGTAGGGACCCCGAGAGCGTGTCACTGTCCAGTAGGGACCCCGAGAGCGTGTCACTGTCCAGTAGGGACCCCGAGAGCGTGTCACTGTCCAGTAGGGACCCCGAGATCATGGGGACTGTTTGGGGAGTTTCTCAGCAGTTCTTTGTCCATGCTGAGGGTCCGGGTTCTAACTTTACAAGGGGCTTCTGGGCCCCTCCACCTCTGACCCAGTAGGCCCACCTTCCACCGTTGGTGACCTTTGCCTCTGTGCTAGGCCCTCTGCTGGGATCCAGAAGTGGAGCCGGAAACCCACGTGGCTCCTGGAAGGGGCTGCCTGGGCTGGAGCTGGGCTCCTCTGGGAGAGAGCCCTTGGGCCCCAGAGCCCCTCACTCTCAGCCTGGGGGGTCCTAAGGAGCAGGGTCCGCAGAGGAGCACTTGCCTCCCTATTGTGAAGTAGCTCATTAGTGGCCTGTGTTTTCTGTAGACTTGGCTCCGGATTGCTGATTGCCCACGATAGGTGTAAACACTGCCCCGTGGGGCGGGTGGGTGGGTGGGTAATCCTCCAGCGGAGTGCAAGAAAGCTGCTAAGTAATCCCTTGTTTGAGAAATATTTATGCAGCTCCCACAGCAGCCAGAGTAGATGTTAATGATCAGAGTGCTTAGGTAATTACAGGACAGTGTAAGCACAGAGTCGTTACCATGGAGCAAATTGCCTGAATGATGGAAGGTGGTGTGTAGCAAACCCCACTACCTGCCACTGGGTTTATGGGCTTGGGCCTGCCTGGCTGGCCTTTTATCTTGTGTATTTTAATTGAAGCTAAATGGATGATAGGCTATAAGATTTTATAATGCAAAACAAAATATTCTAAAATTCAGATGGCATCTGCCAGGGAAACAGAGTCACTTGGCAGCTGCAGAAGCGGCTCTGTGGGAAAGCGGTGGGCCCTGCACTGGTGCAGGTGGGGGCCACATGCAGAGGGGGCAGGTGGGTTCCTACCCTCCCAAAATACTTCCCCAGTGGCTGGGAGTGCTTGAAGCGCCTCCCATGTGAAATAAAATATGTCATGACTCAGCTTGAGCTCAGGTGTAAAATGTACTCCCTATGCCCAGAGTAAGAGGCTTATTTCTGACCTAGCCAAGGGTGATGGGCTGGGAGCAGGCCCTCTCTGTGTGGGCTAGAGAGACAGGAAGGAGGGATGGGGCCTATCCCCCAAGGGAGGAAACGGGGGCCCACTGGCTTGCACCTCTGCATGTCCCACGTCACTCCCGTGGATGCTGAGAGCCCCATCGAAGTCGGGGGGGGGGGGCCCTTGGGGAGTCATCAGACCTCCTTTTCCAGAGTCTCCTGTCCCTCCTCTGTCCAGTCTGCCCGTTCCCTCCTGCCACATCTCACGGCTCAGGCGCCAGCAAACCGGAGCACTGCTGCTGGGGCCCTGTCTCAGCGTGTCTCACTTTCCTTTGCAGTTGGCACTGAGGGGACCAGCTGGCCCGATGGGTCTCACAGGGAGACCTGGCCCTGTGGTAAGTCATTGGCAAATCTGAGAGCTGGGCGTGGTGTGGGGATTGGCCCACTCCCTGTGTCGTTGGCGGACAGTGGCAGGTGGCCCTGGGGTCCTGTGGACACAGAGCGGCCCTTGGTCCAGTGCCTGTTCCCAGGAGGGTGGCCAGGGGGACCAGGGGCCTCTCTCGGTGCTGCTCCAGCCCCCTTGTTGGTGGGGGGTGGGGATGGGTGACTGTGCCTCGAAGTCACTTGAGGGAGTTCAGCGGGGTAGAGCTGACATCAGCGATCCTGGGAAACAGCCTCCAACTCCATCCTGAATGGAAAGGAGCTGGCAGGAATCAGAGGAGGAGGCCCCTCCTCACCCCTGCATTGGAGTTCCAGGCTCCCCCTGCAGAGAACACGCTATGAGCTGTCACCAGAGGAGTGGCTCCTTAGAGGGATGGGGTCCTGCTGCAGCCAGGGGCCTGGGGAAGTCCCTCGCACAGGCTGTGACTGCCTTGTGGAGCAGGGGCCTCCATTGATCTTTACAGCCCTGTTCCAGAGTTGAAGATAACTAAGTGTGGGGCAGAACGCAGGATTTCCAGCCTCACCCGCCCCTGCCCTGTGGCCTCAACTTAGCTCTCATCTGGGGTCCTCGATGCATGAGAAACATACAGTGTGTGCCCAGGGAGACTTGGGCTGCCAGTGTCAGGCACAGGGGCTGGGTTCCGGGGCCTCTGGGGAGGAGTGTGGGTTTGCAGGCACACAGAGGAGTTCAACACCACAGGGGCCCTCCTGGCTTTGCCACCTGCCACTGGGTCTGGGCTCGGTCGCCTCCACACAGGGCCTGACTCAGGGCTGGCCTCCCACATCTGGGGGATCTGGCCTTGAGGGGCCTGTAGCAGGTGCATACGCTGCTCGAAGCTTTGGGCTGTAACGGACCACGGTCAGGTTCACCCCGGAGAGAGAAACATCTCCAGGAGCTTTGTGGTGTTTGCGAGCCCCAACAACTAGAATTGTATTCCTGATTAGGAAGAGATCCAAACAACTGCATTTCCCGGCTCCTGGAAAGTCATCGTTCTTCCCCCCGGTTCTGTTCGAGGCAGACAGGTCGCGCTTTGTGTGCTGAGCACCGTGGCCGAAGCCCTGTCCCCTCCCCCTGCCCCTCCCCTGCCACCCCCAGCCCTTCCTGTGTTCTCGAGTCCCCACCTCGAGCAGACATTAACACACACCATGTCTCCCTAGGGTCCCCCTGGGAGCGGAGGTTTGAAGGGCGAGCCGGGAGACGTGGGGCCTCAGGTATGTGGGATCCTTGCCTTCGCTGTCTGGTGGGCGCCTCCCGTTCTCCGGCGGCAGCGACGGCGAGCATGGAGGGACCCCAACTGCTGCATGTTTTCAAGGAAATTCGTGGGAATTGTCCTTGCTTTACGCAGTGCTGAGGGTGGAGCACAATGAACTCTGACACCTGCGGCAGAAATGAGCTGGCTGTATTCTGTCCCTGGCCTTCATTCTGGGCAGCAGATCCGTGTCCCGTCCCCGAAGTGCCCACATGTTTGTGGCTTGGACAGCCAGGCATGGGCAGGGTCGATGAGCACAGGGACAAGGCTTTGCTCTTTCTCCTGAGAAAGGCGGACTCGCCACTGACCCTTTGTCTCTTACCCCTGGCAGGGTCCTCGAGGTGTGCAAGGCCCGCCTGGTCCGGCCGGGAAGCCCGGAAGACGGGTGAGTGGTGCGAGTGTGTGTGGTTTAGTGACAGCAGCTTGGGCGCTGGAGGAGCCCAAATCTGGGGTGCGGGCACCCCCAACAGCCAGCTGGGCCACATGAAGCCAGGTGGCTCCCCTTCTTGTGATGGGTGCGTCCATCCCCAAGGCTGCCTCTGAGCCAGCTGCCTGGGAGGGGCGCTCTGTGTCCTGGGCGCAGACACAGCGGACCAGGCCTCTTCCCTGGGCACATTCATTTAGTTTAATAAACCTTTCTAATTCAAGAAACTTCCCAGGCCCTTTGGGAGCAAATGTTAAGAAGACAAAACTATCAGCGGGCCTTATATATTTCGGGCAGCACTGGGACTCCAGAAATGGCCTGATTCGGGGGCATGGGCGGGCCTTCCTGCGCCTTACCTGCTGTCTTGCCTCCTGGAATTTTCTGTCTGGTGCATGGTTCTCCTGGATGGAACTGGTTTGTTTGCACATGACCCTGGCTTCTAAAAGAGGACACACGTTTCCCGAGTGCTGACCACCACCCAGACAGGCTGGGGCAGGCCCTGGGAGCCCAGATTGTGCTCTCAAAAGTGGACCTTTTCAACCAGCAGACCTTTCTGGTGAACGAGAGAAATTTCGGTGCAGGGTTGGATTTGTTTCAGTGTGGACCTCTTCCCAGTATGTTGTCTACCTAAGCTACCCTTGACTGCTATAGTCTGAGTCAACAAGGCAAAAATGGGTCCTTCCCTAGTGGTTCTGGATGCTCCTGACTTGGGGAGCAAGCTGTGGTTAGTGGGTAGAAATGACCCGATAAGCCGCAGTTTGGCAGGTCCGAGGGTCTATGCAGGGATCTGGGCATGAAACAGAGGCCTGGGCTGGATAATTCCAGGAGGATTAGCAGCTCTGGAATCGACTCTTGGTAGACAATTGGGCCATTTATTTGGATCTGATTCTGAAAAATGTTTTATTTCCTTAAGGTGTTTTTGTGTGTCTCCGTAAATCCTTCCCACCCAGTTTCACTAGAACTGGTTTCCTAGAGTGAGGTTAAAAACTGGAACAAGAGGAGACTCGGGAAATGCTGTCTAACATGGCCAGCTGCAGAGTTGCATGGTGTCGGGGCCATGCATATGCGTGTGTTTTAAGGCATTAAGTATGCCCAGAAGATCTGCTGCAGAAGAAAAGATGGTGGTGAGAGAGGGGCTTGGAGCTGAGGGGTCGATTCCAAAGTGGTCTGAGCAGCCTCTTCCATTCTTTGCTAGCATTTCCTGCAAGGAACGCTCGCTTGTGAATTGTAGAAGCATCTGGGTGCTTTGCGGGGCTGAGTTGTGCTGTGAAATCCTGTGAAGTTTTCCGACAATCTTCCCTTGGTTTCTAAAAGTGTTTGGAAATCTAGAAGAGGCTCCCAATGGGCCCCTCCATTTGCCCAACAGGGCGATGTCTTTTTGGGGAGCAACGGGAGCACCGACTGTCTCCTTGGGGTGTGTTTGGATTTCTCTCTTTTTGCTTCTCGGCTGTTCTCGGGTGCCACCTTGTCTGTCTCCAGTGCTTTGAGACCCTAAGCTGCCACCCTCCAGATCTTCTCTCTGCTTGGTGGTGGGTTGGGGGCAAGGGCCTCATATGAGGAGGAGCCCCTGGAAAATGGAAGTGCAGGGTGGCAGCCCTCTATACTCGCTGGCTGGGGTGCCTCGTTGTGCAGGGTGGCAGCCCTCTGTTCTCGCTGGCTGGGGTGCCTCATTGGCGTGGAGGTCTGGCTGAGTTTCATAGAGACCCTGTTCCCTTGCAGGGCTCTCCTGTGGTGAAGGTGGGGCCTGCACAGTGGGCCCCGGAAGGTCTAGGTCCCCTCTTCAGCCCCATGGCCAGTCAGTTGGGCACCTTGTCCTTGACTGTGTCCATAGCTGGCCATCAGGAACAGGGCATCTGCTCACCGTGCAGATGCTGCCTCCCGTCGCTGTGTGGTCTGAGTGAGACTGGGCCTCACTTGGGGCCTGGGCCTCTTCCTTAGCCAAGTGGACAAACCAGATGTGTCCTTTCTCTCTTTCCTCTGACCTCCAAATGGTGGAAAGGAGCTGTGCTGTCTGTGATGTCAGTGGCCTGCACTCGCCTGAGTCCTAAATTCACGGTCCCCTAGACTGACGCAGCTCCTCCAGCCGGGTCTCCTCTGCCACATTGTGGCGTCTTCTCGAAGCCCAGGGGCAGTGGCGTGATCCCCCTTTGACAGTCTGGGATGACGTGGTCCGGAAAGACCAGCCCCGTGTGTTCCATCCGTTGGTGTGAGGCACAGAACAGCCCCGCCCGGGCTCCTGGATCTGGGTCCTCGCAGCAGCCCGGCCACTCGGGCTGTGACCTTGGGGGTGGGCGCGGCTCTGGTGGAACGCTCAACTTGGTTTAACGGAAAACCATGGCCCGGGGGTCTCAGTGAACCGGGGCTCTTTTGCATTGACGGTTTTGCCTCCTTTGTTCCAGGGTCGGGCTGGGAGTGATGGAGCCAGAGGAATGCCTGGACAAACTGGCCCCAAGGTAGGTCACCCACCACCCTCCTGGTGCCCTGGCATCACTGTCATCCCTGGGGTCATGTTGATGATGTAACCAAAATGCTGGTTATGTGATGACTACGATTATGATGACAGGTGGCTCCGTCACTGGCATTTGACGTGAAGATAGGGTTGGTGGGTGAATTTCGCCAGCAAGCGTGACAGTTGCAGTTCATTTTCATAAGGGAGAAATTTGCTCCCTTCCAGCAGTGGCGAGCAGGGATGGGGGTGGGATCCCGACTATGAAAACCATCCGTGGCCGTGCAGGTGACGAGGCGCATGTAGGGCAGAGGCGGGGCATATGGCAAGTGCGGGGGCCAGGGGGTCTTGTCCAGTCGGGACTCCTGGGTGTTGTGGAGGTGAGTAGATGTTGCCCGTGGCTAAAGGCAGGGCTGTGTGTGTGGCATGAATGAGGCTGCACCAGGCATGCACCAGCTGTTGCTGTCGCCACTCATGCCTGCCCGCTGCTGTGCTCAGTGTATCCACCCCTCTGCCCCAGCACTGCTGTGAGCATTGCCCCGGTCTTGGCTCACCCCTCCTCCTCGCCTCTTGGAAGCATTTGTCCCAGGCCACGGGGGGCAGGGGAGATACTGACCTTCCGTGAAGAGTGCACCTGGGGACAGCAGCTGTGATTTGGAGATTGGAGACCGGGCACCAAAAAAATGCCAGGGCTCAACTACACCTGTTCCCTCTTAACGGGCGTGGATGAGCTCTGAAGTGCATCCCGTCAGTCCCAAGCTAGTGAGGTGGCCTGGGGTGACAGGAGGAAACGCAGTCTTGTTGACTCTGTCTCAGAAGACCATGGTCTTCTTTCAACAACATGGCTGAAAGCCTAAAATGTCCCATCATCGACATCACCCCAGATGGTGTGCACACCCATGAGACAGGGCCCTGTTCCCGGGCTCCAGGGCATGCAGAAGAGGGGCCGGCCAGAGAGCCAGGATGCCTGAGGGTAGCCAGTGCTGGCCCGTCCACCAATGGGTACGCGTACCTCCTGAGCGCGGGCAGCCCCTCGGCACCATGGATACAGCTGTGAGCGGACACACCGGGACCCTGCTCTCCTGGAGCCTCCCTGGGGTGGGGGAGATCAGCAGCAGACACTCACACACACGGGAAACTGCAGCGGTCGCTGAAATACCGCATGACTAAGGACCCGTCGGGGCCTGGGACTTGGGGATGAAAGTCATCTCCCCCTTTGCAGCCCATGTTCATGTTTGCAGGGGAAGAGGCTGAGATTGTAGATGCAAAGTGGGGGCCTATGGGGAGAGGGCTGGCCGATGGGGTTCAGGGTGCATAGATGCTGTGTGAAACGTGGTCCAAGGCGGGGCGGCCATCACTTGGTGGACACCAAGGCGGGGTGTCCACGTGTGCAGGGTGGCGTCTGAGGCAGCCTTTCTGTCCTTTTTGCAGGGTGACCGGGGTTTCGACGGCCTGGCTGGGTTGCCAGGCGAGAAGGGCCACAGGGTGAGTATTTCCTCTGTGAGACACAGGCATGACGATGGGCAGCAGAGGTGTCTCTCGGGAGGCCCTTCTCCTTCCAGGCAGCCTCAGATTTCCTGTGGGGTCAGGTCTCCGCCATTCCAACAGTCAGTATACAAACCTCACGGGAGTCAGCAATGGCAGTGAGCCCCAAGATGATGTCTTTGTTGATGGGTGGCCAGCCCAAAGGAATTGGAGCTCTTATCTACAGTTTGTGACAAGTGAGCCAGATGGGCCTACCCACCTGAGGCGCGTGAAGGGGGCAGGGAAGGAGCCCTTCCTTTTAGAGATCTGTTTAATGGAGTCCTTTAACATTTCAGGAAATCCAAGCAGCTGCCATTTCAGGGGCGGCCAAGGACACTTTGCAATATTAAAGTGGTGGTCCCAAGGGGGTGGGGACAATCTCAAGTGGCCATGTGGAGACCAGGTCACGAAAACATGCCAGGTGTCCCCCTGTTCCCTGTTAATGGGCGTGGATGAATTTGAAAGTGTGTCCCGTGAGTCCCGAGCTAGTGCGGTGACCTGGGGGTCTTCCTGGCTGCGCCGTTTCTATGTGGTTGTTGGAGAACACAGATGCGGCAGCTTTGGATAAACGGCAACAGCCAAGCCCCTCGAATCTTGAATCTGTCTCAATAGACTGTGGTCTTCTTTCAATAACAACGTGATAGAAAGCCTACAATCTCCTGCCCTGTTGAGGAGGTGTGGTGGGGAAGGCTCGTCCTGGCCGCCTGCCCTGCTTTCTCAGCCCATTTGGGGGCCTGACATGAGGGCTCTTCACAGCTTGTGGGGTGTTCCTTCTCTGACCTGCTTTCTGTGAAGCAGATTTCTCTGATGGCTCCTTTATATTTTAGCACACTGAGGACATACAGGCACATGAGTATGTGAGTGCACACCCCCCATGCACACACACACCCACACATACACCACATACACCACACATGTGTGCGCGCACACACTCATACACACATGCACACACACGCATACACACCCACACACCCCCACACTCATACACACATGCACACAAGCACACACACACACCCACATTCATACACAGATGCACACACACCACACATGCACACATACGCATACACACCCACACACACCCACACTCATACACACATGCACACACCCACACCCACACACTCATACATGCACGCACACACACCCACACACACCCACACTCATACACACATGCACACACACATACACACACCACATACACCACACATGCGCACACACACTCATACACACATGCACACACCACACACCCCCACACATGCATACACCCCCACACCCCCACACACATATGCACACATACACCCATATTCATACACACATGCACACATACGCATGCACACCCCCACACCCCCACACTCATACACATATGCACACATGCACACACCCCCCCACCCCCACACTCATACACACACACCACACATGCACACACACCCACGCACCCCCACACTCATACACACATGCACACACACCACACATGCACACACGCATACACACCCACACCCCCCCACTCACGCACACCCCCACACCCCCACACTCACACATGCACACACACCACACAGGCACACACACACCCATGCACCCCCACACTCATACATGCACACACACGCATACATACCCCCACACCCCCACACTCATGCACACATGCACACACATGCACACCCACACACCCCACACTCATACACACATGCACACACACCCACGCACACACGCACATACACACCCACACACCCCCACACTCATACATGCACACACGCATACACGCCCACACACCCCCACACTCATACACGCCCACACACCCCCACACTCACATGTGCAGACACCACACATGCACACACATACATGCACACACACATACACCCCCACACCCCCACACTCATACACACATGCACACACCACATGCACACACACGCATACACACCCACACACCCCACACTGATACACACATGCACACACGCACACACCCCCACACCCCCCACACATACACACATGCACACACCACACATGCACACACACCCCCACACACCCCCACACATACACACACACCACACATGCATACACACCCCCACACCCCCACACTCATACACACATGCACACACACCACACATGCACACACATGCATACACACCCACACACCCCCACATTCATACACACATGCACACACACCACACATGCACACACGCATACACACCCACACACCCCCACACTCATACACCCACACACACACGCACATACACACCCACACACCCCCACACTCAGACACATGCACACACACCACACATGCACACACACACACCCACACACCCCCACACTCATACACTCATGCACACACACACACCACACATGCACACCCCCCACACTCATACATGCACACACACACCCACACACCCATACACACATGCACACACACCACACATGCACACACACCCCACACATACACGAACACCACCTACACATGCACACACACGCATACACCCTGACACACCCCCACATGCATACACACATGCACACATGCATACACACATGCACACCACCCACACATGCACACAGACGCATACATACCCACACACGCATACACACATGCACACACACACGTACACACATGCACACACATGCATACACACCCGCCACACACATACACACATGTATACCACCCCGATACACACATACACGTGCACACCAGCCACACACGCATACACACGTGCACAGGCTCCACACATGCCCACACTCACACCCACATGCACACACATGCACACGTGCACACACCCCACACATGCACACAACCCACACATGCACACTCATACCCCCACATGCATACACGCCACGCACACGCATACACACCTATACACACATATGCACCCCCCATCCCCCCACATGCACACAGGCATACACATGCACACACCCCACATACCCCCACACACTCCACCCACACACGTGCACTCGCATACACACATGCACTCACACAAACACACAGGCGCACCCACACATCCACCCACACCCCACTGCTCTGTTGATTGCTCCCGTAAGCATGCCCTGCAGCCCTCCATGATGCCTTGAGAAGGGGCTTGGCTGTTGCCATTTATCCAAAGCTGCTACATGTATGTTCTCCAACAACCACATGGAAACAGCACAGCCATGAAGGCTGTCCCTGACTCAGCTCCAGCCCTTTTGCACGACTGATGAGCACATATTGAGCACCCACTGCGTGCGAGCTCTGAGGCTGCAGGCAGGCGGGGCTCCCTGAGGGTATGAGCGTGAGGCTGCTTCACCTGGAGCACTTGGGCTGAGGATAGCTCAGACCTCGGCTCAGTGTCCTGAGGCTGCCCACATGTGTGGCCCTGCCTTGCGCTGCTGGGTGCTCAGTCCAGCACCCTCCTACCTTCAGGCCATCGTGGTGAGACTCAGGTGAGAGTCTGCAGCCTGCATTAGCCCGGCTGAGGCACACGTGATCTTCTAAGGAAAATTCCCCCATTCTGGAAGGGTCTTTTGAGAGCTTGGGAATCTTACTGTCAGAATTAGAGAAAAACAAAGTGGGACCTTGGACAAGCCCTGCATGACCTGCTCAGGAGAGGCTGACGTTGACCCTTTCACTTCCTAGGGTGACCCTGGTCCTTCCGGCCCACCAGGACCTCCGGGAGACGATGGAGAAAGGGTAGGTATTCTGCCGTCCCTCCGACTGCTCCTGCCTGCCCTACTCCTCAGTGATTTGGGCAGGAAAACCACAGAAGAGAGGCCCAGGTGTGGGATTGGCCTGCCGCATGTGGAGGGCCAGCTGGGAGAAGGCAGATGGGGATTCCAGTGGGCAAAGCGATTGATCAGATGCCAAGAGGCTGCGGGGCATTGGAGAGACCCTGACTGCAACGTTTAGTTACTCCATCGGTCCTGCTGATGGATGGAGCTCGGGGCCAGCTCTCAGCTCTCACTGCAGGATGCAGGTGCCCCAAACCCCACTGGGAGGAAAGGTGGCCAGAGCGTTTACTGAGCTCAGCGTCTCTGCTTATCTCGTCCAGATGAGGAGTTAGCTGGAGGCATGTGGGTGGCAGAAAGCTGAGATTTGGAGGAGCAGAAGAGGGTGGGGGGATTGGAAATAACCCTCTGTGGGCCTGGAGGTAGGGGAGCGAGTGGCTGTGGCCATGGGGCCAGAGCACAGGAGGGAGCTGTTCTCCAGCATGGACGCACAGGCCGGGGTCTGGTATCTGCCACGCCGTCTTCATGTGTGGAGGCGAAGTGGGATCTCTGGGCCACAGCACAGTGGGATTGGGGCATGGGATGCACGAGGCTGTGGGTTTCCAAGCTCTTCCCTGCAGGCACCGCAGTCACTCAGACGCCTTCTTTGTATGTGAGAGGTGTTTAGGGGGAAAGCTTTAAGGAGCTCTGGAGGGTGAGAAAGAGGAGCAGCTCCAGGGGCATTTCTGTCTCACCAGCTTTCAGGCTGACATGGACGGGGCACCTGCTCCTGTGTGGGCCTCAGCACAGTCTGCTGTAAGATGAGGAAGGAGAGAGGGACCCTTCTAGATGTCAGTGCTTCTTGATTGAGAGGACGTGTGTGTGTGTGTGTGTGTATGCGTGCATATGTGTGGCTGTGTGCATGTGTATGTGCAGGGAGTGCACGTATCTGTGTGCATGCATGCACGCATGGCTGTGTGCGTGTGTATGTGGACAAGCATGTGTGTATGGCTGTGTATGCATGTGCATGCACAGGGTGTATGTGTGTGCACAAGCATGTGAGCATGGCTGTGTATGCATGTGCATGCACAGGGTCTGTGTGTCCATGTGTGTGTAGGCATGTGTAGGCAGGCTGTGTGTGAGCATACATGCTTGCATGTGTGAGGCGGGCGGGAAGGTGCAGTGGTGCTTTGGCGAGGGACAGTGTTTGCAAACAGCCCGTGGGTTGAAGCAGTGAGCCAGGGAGGCATTCCCTTCTGCAGCCAGGAGGAAGCCTCTTGCTGTACTTTCCAGGCTGTTTAGGACCCCGGCAGGGACACCTGGTTCCCCAGAGGGTGGCCCAGGGGATCTTGTGACTCTCCCCTGATGCCCTGTCCTGCCCCAGAGGCTGTCATTCAAGAAGGTCACCAAATCCTTTCAATTAGATGCTCTTTCTGCCCAGCCTTTCCTCTGGAGAGCTGTGGCATGTGAGCTCCTGAGCCGGCATCTCAGAGCCTGCAGGCTTCACCTGCAGTGTCTGCACACCTAGCAGCTTGCTGGGAGCGAGGACATTCCAGGCCTTTCCGGCTGGTACCAGAGCTGGTAAACCTGGCGTATGTGAAGCAGCCCCAAGCCAGAGAACCCTTGTGCACCACTGAGGGGAAGCTGGTGTCCAGGCTAACAGCTCATTTCTCTAACCTTGCCTTTTTTCTCCTCTGCAGGGTGACGACGGAGAAGTTGGGCCCAGGGGGCTGCCTGGGGAGCCCGTAAGTCTGTGAGCTGAGTGGGACGGTGGGGGCTCAGTGTGGAGAAAGGCTTTGTCCAAGGCTCCTGCTGGAGCAGGATCTGGGATCAGCCAGGAGCTTAGAAGAGAGAGAGCTCGACCTGAGAACAGACGGACCTGGGCATCTCCCAGGGAAGCCAAAGAGAGGAGGCACAGGCGAGGCTGGCTGGCAACTCCAGGAGGAAGTCTGAGCCTGCCTACAGGAGCAAGCCTGGCCCTCAAGGGTTGTTGTGGGGGTCCAGGGGCAGCGTGGTGGGGTCTGGGGGCATTGTGGGGAGTCGGGGGCAGTATGTGGGGTCCATGGGCATTGTGGAGGGTCTGAGGGCATCGTGGTGGGGTCCGGGGTCAGTGTGGGGTGTCCGAGGGCATGGGGGTGGGGGGTACAGGGGCATCATTGGGAGGGTCCAGGGTCAGCATGGGTGGGTACAAGGGCATTGTGGGGGGTCTGAGAGCATTGTAGGGGGTCTAGGGGCAACATGGCAGGGTTCAGTGGCACCATAGGGGGTCCGAGGGCATTGTGGGGGGTCAAGGGAGAAGCATGGGAGGTCTGAGGTCATTATAGGGGGTCAGGGGGCGGCATGGGGGGTTCAAGGGCATTGTGGGGGATCTGAGTGCATTGTGAGGGGTCCCGGGGCAGCACAGTGGCATCCAGGGGCATTGTGGGGGGGGTCACACACCTGAATCAGCCCGAGCTTGGGCCCGTTTCAATGGCCACCCTTCCAGAGGCAGATTCCTCCAG
Source organism: Homo sapiens (assembly GCF_000001405.40). Taxonomy (NCBI): domain Eukaryota; kingdom Metazoa; phylum Chordata; class Mammalia; order Primates; family Hominidae; genus Homo; species Homo sapiens. Next base: position 134,764,494 of record NC_000009.12, read on the forward strand.
CAGACTCTGCCCCAGCCCTGGGCATGGGAAAGCTCTTCCCTAAGCAGACATATATTTAGGCCCAGAGCAAATTTCCTGATGGATAGGACATTAATTACTATTCATTTACTGTTGCTTTAAAGCATCTCTTTTCTCGTAGCCAAGTCAGCCCGGCTGCGTGCGTCAGGTGGTGCTAATTGATGAGAAATATAGCAGGCACTGCATAGAGGAGGCAGGGGTCGGTGCCTGCAGACTCATTTGGGACTAAATTATACCCCAGATGTCTGATTAGCCTCTAAGGAGAATTCATGAACTCCACTCTCTCCTTAACACATGTCCAAGTAATACCTTCTGGGCTGTTAGCTTCCAAGAAATGTTGCTATAACTAGGTATTAAAATAACGAAGGAAACATTTAAGAGGCAGTAAGTGGGGGAAGGAGTTCTCTTCTACAGAATCTGAAAAGGTTCTGTCAAAATTAAGGGCACTTGAAGTCCACGTACCTGGGGTGAAGCCTCTGTAATTCTCCGTGGGTGGGGGGTGTGAGTGCCCTGTGGCAGGCAGTTCTCCCGGAATCTCACTCCACCTGCGGTAAAGGGGAGGTTCTGCACGAGCCTCGCCGACCGGAGAGGGCGTGCCAGCTCTTGCCCAGAGTAGCGTCCTGGAAAAGATCTGTACCCCACGCCTCCTTCTGCACATTCAGTCTTGGGGTTCCCACCAGGGACTAGTTTCACCTGGTGCTCTCCTGCCCGCACCCTCTGACCCTGTGATATCATAAAAACAATCGTATGTCGCTGCGGAGGGGAATTCAGGAGCGAGCCGGTAATGAGGATAGGGCACAAGGGCTCCGTGCAGTGGAATGTTATAGCGTGGTGATTCTCTGGGGGAGCGTCTGCTCACCTGCCCCAGCAAGTGTCAGAGGAGCCGGTCAGCTTGAAAGCCCCCCTTTCCCTGAGGGTGCCCTGTGGTGTCCTCTCTGAGTTCTCACCAATTCCAGACACCTGCCCCTGGTTCCCAACACCAGGGTGGGGTGGAGGGAGGCAGCGCAGCAGGCTGGGAGGGAGTCTGGGCCTCACTCCTGGGAGGCCAGGAGGCCTGAGTCACCAGCTGGGGTTCTGGGTGGAGTCAGGGCCAAGTGGGCATAGGGGACAGAGAGGAGGGCTGGGATTTCTGCCCGAGTTTAAATCCTATTTTCCCTTTCCTCTTACAGGGGCCACGTGGTCTGCTTGGGCCGAAGGGGCCCCCAGGTCCTCCCGGACCTCCCGTAAGTCCCATTACCGCCCTGCTTGTCTGCCCCCATCTCGGCCTTTGAGACCCCGCCTCCCAGCCGGTGGACGCTTGGGCACTGGGGCAGCAAGTCCGTGCTGGCCCCTCTGGCGCCTGCCTGCTGCCAGTGTGAGGCGTGAGCGGGACACTGATGTTCAGACGCTGTAGACACGGCCCCAGCAGGTGTGGCCTTGCAGGTGGAGGCCCGAGGCTGCCGGCCTCACGCCTCCGCTTCACCCTGGCTGCACTTCCTCCTGGCAGACAGCATGTGCTATTTCAGTTATAAGCAGAAACCCAGGATGTCACGTTTCTTCCCTGCTAGAAAGAACTTCCAGCAGCTTCTGTGAACATTCTGGAAGGAGGCTGAAGCCCTTGATTCCAGTGGGGCTGTGTCCCGGTGGGCAGCTCCCCCAGGGCCAGGCCTGCCCCCTTCAGCCTTCCCAGCCCCGTGACCTGGTTTTCTAGAACCTGAGGCCTGCCCCGTGGAATGCTAGGGCCTGGCAGTTCAGTTAACCTTTAGCTGAGGGTTACTGGGGCTGATCAGTGGACCTCTGGGAAGGGATTTGGAGTCAGGTCCTTCCCTTCCCCAGAGAGCATCCCGTCCTCTGATTCGTCGTGGGATGGGCGTCTGAGCTGAGTTGAGTGGGATTTTCCTCTTGAGCACTGTGAGTTCTTTCGCATTCAGTTACATGTTTTTCTTCTTAAAATCGTACACAGGGTGTCACGGGTATGGACGGCCAGCCGGGGCCAAAAGGAAATGTGGTAAGTCCCTGGGGTCCCGTGGCCTGGCTTCAGGGGCACTTTCCCTGGGCACACTCCTTGCCTGGCTAGGGAGGTCCATCGCTGTCCACATCAGCTGGGAACATGAAGGGCAGGTTGCAGACCCTCTGCTGTGGTGCCCACCCTCCAGTGGTGAGTGGCACCTGGAGACTTTAGCATGATGGGGTGACTTGGGAGTTTTCTGCCCAATAAATCATTTCTGGTCAGTTCCTCTCACGTGTTCCTTCCTGGTCGGATGTCTGGGCATATTTGCATAAACGAGTTAGTGCTCACTCCATCAGAGTCAACCTCCACAGCCTCAGAGGCGCTGAGTCCTGGGGCTGCTCTCTGTGGTGGGACCCGGCCGCCTTTCCCTTCCCGCTGGCATTAGGCAGTGGGGAGCAGTTTGAAAGGATGGGAGGCCAGTGAGGGGGCACACGACACCCAGGAAGGGGATACAGTTCCCAGAGCCCCCTTCAGTGCCTTTGCTCTTGTCTCCTGTAGGGTCCCCAGGGAGAGCCTGGCCCCCCAGGACAGCAGGGTAATCCAGGCGCCCAGGTAAGTGAGCCTGAGAGAGGCAGCTCGCAGGGATCCGGCCGTGGGAGGCACACGTCTCCAGTCCGGAGCCCTGGGAGGAAGCGGGGAGCTCTGTCCCCTCCAAGTAGCAGCCCCTCCCCTTATCTGGAGGGAGACTAGGACCTGGGTTGGTGCCTGGATGAGGGAGACATCAATGAGAAGATGGACAGATGGCAGGGGAGGGTTCTGAGTCAATCAGCGCCCTCACCTTCCCTTTCTGGCTCTTTCTCCCTCTTAGGGTCTTCCAGGCCCCCAGGGTGCAATTGGTCCTCCAGGAGAAAAGGTAGGTGGGCCTGGGCTGTGTTGCAGGCCACTGCCCGCCTGCAGGTGGATTCCCTGGCCCCACCCTGGGAGGACCCCTGGTATCCACCAGCTCTCAATGTATATCTTGGTGCTCCCAAGAGACGCCAAAGCTCAGAGTGCCAAGAACTGGGCCAGAAGCATGAGGAGGATTTTGGATCCGTGTCTCATTGATTCATACGTTTATTCATTCATTCATTCTCTAGTATGTATAGGGGTTGCTGGATTTAGCAAGGAACAAAAATACAGGACATGCAGTTAAATTTGAACTATTGTGTATCTGAAATTCAAATTTAACCGGGCATCTTGTTTTGTTGTTGTTTATTTTGGTTTAGTCTAGTTTTGCTAAATTTGGCAACTTGACTGTATCTCCAGAGCCTACTGTGTCCTAGGCCCTGGAACGAGAGCTGGAAGTGCTTGCCCTTCTAGAGCTTGTCGCTTAACCAGGCACAAGATAGTTCAGGTAGCTCCAAGTGCCTTGGTTGCGATCAGCAAAAACACCTCCAAGGGGCTGGTTCTGAGTGCATGAGAATCCCCGGGGGGCCTGAGAAACACAGAGGGCTGGGCTGCTGCCAGGCCTGGGACCTTCCAGGAGCTGCTGTTTATGGGATACTGAGGCTGTGGGCCTTGCACTGCAGGATGCCCTGCCCTGCCCTGGGGTGTTGATGTGAACAGACCAGGGAGGACAGGGTGGTGGGAGCACTTGAAGAAGGCACAGCACTGTAAGAGCAGAGGAGGCCAGATGATGCCCCCCCGGGCCCCAGTATGCAGCAGGTGGATGTGGAGAAGAATGGGGGCACTTGGTGGACTGATTCCGTTCCTACAGCAGAACCTGAAGGTGCTGAGAACAGTGGAGCCGCCTCCTCCTGGGCGCTACCGTGGCTGCACGCCTCACAGCCAGGGACCCAGTGCCTCTGACCACACTTCTCAGCAAATGCTGTGTGGGCAGAAATGTTGAAAAGTAACCTTGGTGGCCGACGGAGAGGTCAGGTGAGCCTAGGGAGGGCATCTCCTCATGGAGTCTCTGGTTTGTTCTAGGGTCCCTTGGGGAAACCAGGCCTTCCAGGAATGCCCGGTGCTGACGGACCCCCGGTGAGTAGCCCTGCCCACCTCATCCCTCCATACTCTCCCCACCTCCACCCTGCGGATAGGGCTGCAGGCCCAGGCTCTTTGGGGTTGTTGTTGGACGGCATTGACTCATTCTGGCTCTGTTGATGAAGACCCGTTTGGTCTCCAGTTGGACTGCTCGGTCATTCTTGGGTTCTGGACACCCTTAACATCATGGATTTTAATCAACGAGTGGCGATTGCGCGAGTAGGAATATTAGCTATTTATTAGGTTGTGCTGATTAATTACCGGAAGTCAGGCCTGCGTGCTGAGCCGTGAGGAGGGCTGGGCCGGGCTCCAGGCCATCGCTTGCGTCCCCAGGGTTGGAAGCGAAGAGGCAGGGTACGTGGTGTGTATTTTTAGTGTTCACACACTGAGAAGGGAGGTGGTGAGCAAACGCGTTTGCAGTGTGTGCGCGCACAGCTGTGGAGCCAAATTAGATTCTGCCTGGAAATAGCGAGTTGGTGACAAATCCAATCTGTGTCTAAGCTGTGTGGAGGGGGGAGGTGTGAGGAAGTAGAACACACTCAGAATGCGTGCGTGCGTGCACACGTGCGTGTACATGAGTGTGAGCTGATTTGCACCCACACCCTCTGTAAGTGCCTGCTGTGGTTTTGGTTTTGATTATTCCGTTAATGCTGAGTCTGTTTCACAAACGAGATTAGCAGAATTAATTATTGAAGATGCAGTATGCTTTATGGTTTTAATAACACTGTTAAAAACTAAACAAGGAAGTTAAATATGTTGATGATTATCGGTGACTGCTCACCACACAGCATCCCTCAGGCCGAGTCAGTTGGCCCAGTGACTCCCACATCACAAACTGCCCTTTCTTGGTCAGAAGAAGCAGAGTGGAGCCTTCTCATCCCCACGCGCGCAGCTGTGGGGCCCCGTGGTCACCTGGCCACATGGGAGTTTGCATACTGAGTGGTTCATCTTTTCCAATGTGTTGTGTCCTTTAATTTACATTTATATTTCATTGCCCTTTCTAATGATCAGAACAGCACATCTTGTTATAGAAAATTAGGAAAATAAATAAAATTACAGTAAAATTATAGCCACCTTTGATCTCATCTCCTGATTTAGCCATTGACAGCGGGTGGACGTGTGTCCTTCCAGGCTAGTTTTCTGTTCCCGTGCTGCTGGCTGTGGTGTCCATGGAGTATGGGCCGCAATCTGTGGGGACAGTGGCTGGGCCCAGAGCCCTGCGGGGAGGAAGGGGACCTGGGTGTGAAGCAGGCCACACGAGGAAGGGGGGCCTGGGTGTGAAGTGGGCTGTACCCCTCTTTCCTTCTGCGGGGAGGAAGGGGGCCTGGGTGTGAAGGTGGCTGCACCCCTCTTTCCTTCTGCGGGGAGGAAGGGGGCCTGGGTGTGAAGGGGGCTGCACCCCACCTTCCTGCCAAGATCATTCTCTCGGCCCTCAGCTGACCTAACTTGTTCTCCCTGGAATTCCCCTCCCCATGTTGAAACCTCCAAAGAATTGGGGTCCCTAAAGAGCCTGCAGTTTCCTTTTATATTCTTTGGGGGAAGGAAAGGCCTTTAAGGTGTCCCTTCCCCAGCCCGAATTTAAAGCTTAAAATGTGAGCGTAGGTGGACCCCATTCACATGAAGGTGCTTCGAGCAAAAGGAAGCAAAGGGTAGGCCCAAAGACAGCCCCAGCCATCTCCCACGAAAATCTGGAGGAAAGAAAAGATGTTTAAAAATTCTCCTTTGCAAAGGCAGCACATTGAGGGTAAACCCTACAGAGAGAGTTTTCTTTTTTTCTTGTTTTGGTTTTGGTTTCAAAGAAAGGAAGATTGCCTTAAAATCCATCAAGAGGTATGAGGCACTTCAGAGCAGACTCAGTGCCTAGAAATATGTTGTTGAATAAATCCTGATAGCACACGCTGGGGAAATGGCTAAGTGAATTATGGCTCAGTGGAATATATTCCTGGTATCACACGCTGGGGAAATGGTTAAGTGAATTATGGCTCAGTGGAATATTACAGAGCCAGTAAGAATTGAATTTAGACAAATACTCCGTGACATGAGAAAAATGCTCACAATGTAATATTAAATTAAAAATAGATCTACCATGCCAAGGGCGCATGCATATCTGCAGAGACGACAGATGATTCTATCATACAATTAGCCACAGCCACTCCGAGTGGTGAGGTGATGAAGGATTTTAATTCCTCTTCCAGTTGCCTAATTGTCTATGATGAACATACGTTACTTTTTTAATCAGAAAATATCAAATACAAATAATGTAAGCTTTATTATTTTCCCATTACAGAAGCACTGCTCATTATAGAATATTGGGAAACACACACAAGTAGAAAGAAAGGGGAAAGCGGCCCTGCCCGGCTTTGCAGGAAAATCAGTCGTGGTTATCTTGTTACGTTTCCTTTCTGCCTTTTCCTGTTCAAACATTTTTTAGTAAGGGAGCTTTGTGCTTCCCCCCACTGCTTTACTCTCATTCTCTATCTGTAACTGAAAATATACCTAAAGGAATTTGGCCTGGATGGGAATGGAGGCCGCCGTGATGCCGGCCGCTAACTCTGCTTGGTGCTCCCTGGGTGGGCGCAGTTCTGAGCCCCTTGCAAACGCTCTGTGCGTCTCCGCAGCGGCGCTGTGTGCAGATGTGCTGTTATCTCCAGCCTGGAACTGAGGAAATGACCACGTGGAGAGGCCTGGGGGCTTCCTCGAGCAGCCGGGGCTGGGTCTGCCCGGTCCAGAGCCGGGCTCTCGGCCCCCCTGCAGATCCACCCACTAGGTCCTTCACAGAAAGGTGTCTGTGGCTGATAGAAAGTGTAATAAAGGGCCACAAAGAACCCCTCCTGGCCACCCTGGACCAGGACACCCTCTAGTTGGCTCTGTTCAGGTCCAGCCCGGCCACTCTGAGGTGCTGGCGCCATGAGCCTTGTTTCCGGAAGGCGGCGTGGTGGCCAAGCACGTCCCCTCCCAGCTGGAGCAGCGGGTGAGGTCCCGCAGGTGCCTGGACTTCCTCAAAGCCTCCCTCAAGGGGAACTTTGCGCCCTCCCACTCACTTGCTGCTAGGATAGGCTGTCTGCTAGGATAGGCTGTCTGCAAAGGCATCAAACCCAATTGGACAGCTAATAAAAACTTAAAAGTCACACACGAACCATTTAATTGAGGCAACGAGACTTGGGTCTTCTTAATGCTACTGTGTCTAGAAAGAGTCTCAGATCAACGTTAGGCCACTCAAGGTAGAAGAGCATCTTGCCACCCTCTCGTGTTATACCTGAGGAAGCGGGAGGCCCAGAGAGGGCAAGTGACCTGCCCAAGCTCACACAGCAGGTTGAGTGTGTCCAGGAGTAGAACCCACCCTGCCAGCCTTCTCATCACCCTGCCCAGCCTCTTTCCTGGAATCCTCGTTGGTGGAACTGCATTTCTGCACAGTGAACATTGATGATCTTTCTGCTTTTATCCTGGAAGTTTGGCTCACCGATCCTGAGCTCACAGGCATTAAACCGAGTGACCCGCCTGGGTTGGAAAGTCAGAGAAACCTGCATTCCTAGGAATGGAATTAGTACAGGCCCAGGCAGGCAGGAGACACAGGTCCTTCCTAGAGCCTCGGCTGGGTACCTGTCACATGGGGCATAGGTCCTCACCTTCGCTCAGCTCCCCTCCATCCCCGAGGCCAGGTGGAGACCCGAGGGTGTGGGTCTCAAACGAGGCAGCTGTTTGAAGACTCACGGATGTGCTGGGACCCCTCAGTCAAGTAACACGCCTTAGCCCTCCACCCCGCACCAACCTTGCTTTGCTTTTGGTTCCCCAACAATCAGAGATTCCAAGGTTTGCAGACAGCTCAGCAATTGCTAGTCCGGGAAGCAGGGATGCCAGGAACCTGGTCCCAGCTCATTATTGTGCAGATTCATCTTGTCAGGTGACCTGGGGAAGAGGCCCTTGTTGGCCCTGTCCCCACTCGTGGGTCACTGGTCTGTGGACCTGCACTGGAGGGCGGGCTGGCTCTGGCCGGGTCAGGAGCCACCGTGCAGGTCACCTGTGCACTTGGGGGTTGCTGCATACTCCCCGCAAGTCTCTGGCCTTGGCCGGGGTTGGGCCAGGGTCAGGCTTATTGTTCCCATTTTGCAGATGGAGCAGCCGAGGTTCAGGGCCTGGCGGCTCGGGGAGGCCGGGCTGTGCTTGGCTGCCTGGCCAGCTGCCTTCGACTTCTGGTGCTCTCAGTTTTCCTGGGGAGGAAGGGAAATGGGCTCCATGATCATGGATGCTACGCAGGGAGGGGAAGCGAGGGAGGCTGCTTTCTGGAGTGGCACTGACTAATCAATGCTTCTTCTTTTGTGACAGGGACACCCTGGCAAAGAAGGCCCTCCAGGAGAGAAAGGAGGTCAGGTGGGTGCTCGCCACGCCCTCCTACCCTTCAGCATCCAGGTGGGGCGGGTCCAGGTGCTCTGGGCTCAGCCTCTGCTCAGGGACATCCAGCTTGGAAAGGAAGGAGCCGGGGACACTCAGCCCTTCCTCAGGTGTCTCCGCCAAGGGACCCAGCCTGGGGGGGACACAGGCCTTTTCCCCAAGAAGCGGGGCACCCCTCTCTGGGTCAGTGCCCCTCACCCCACCCTCCAGTTGCTGCCCATGACCGGATCGGGTGCCCATGACCAGATGGGGTGTGGGCAGCAGGGCAGTGTCTCCGTGTTCAGCCCTGGTCTTGACTCTGCACAAGCTGGGTGGCCTTTGAGTTTTGGGGAGATGCTATTATGAATGGGGACAGACCTACCAGGTCACGCCGGTGCCAGGGATGGAGTCTTTCTATGGATGACTGTGTCCGACACTGTGAGCGGCTTGTGGTTCCTCCTGCGGGGCCTGCTGGGCTGCGAGGGTCCCATGCAGCACGTCCACCAGCGCCTTCTCTCCACTGCGATTCATGACAAAGCTGCTGGGCTGCAAGCACCTCTGTGGGAAGAGCCTCCAGACGGGAGGAGTAGCCAGTGGGGACTGCTCTTGCTGTCCTGGTGTGCGCCAACCTTCGTTCACCCCAAGACTGCTTTTCTTGTGTGTTGAAACCGCACACCGAGCTCATGGTCGTCGGGAGCCTGGGGCTGAGGGCAGAGGCCCACCTGCTCCAGGGTTCCAGAGGCCCCAGTTGTCACAGGCTCTGGAATCGGGCCTGATTAACATTTATCTCTTGAAGCAGGGCCTGTGCAGGCAAGATGGGGTCTGGGGCCTGGTCCCAGCTCCCCTTGCCAAGGGTGTGGTAGGCCAGGACTGACCCTCCAGGGCAGCAGAGCTAGCGCCAGTCCTCACAGGGAGTTCAATTTCCAGTGCCAGGCCTGCTGGGCAGTGGCACTTCTCCAACGTGCTGCCTCTGAGACCCAGAGCGGTCTGAGATTCGCCACTTCTGCCCCGTTCCCTCTCTTGAAGGTCGCAGCAGCCACTGGGGTGAACCCTCCCCTCGGCCCTTGGCTTCCGTTCACCATGGGAGACCCAGTTCCCGCTGCCTCCAGTGGGGAGTTTACCAGCCCTCCTCCCTGGGCACAGCCTCTTATCATCAGAGGTGGAGGCAGCACCTGGGGCCACCAGAGCTCGCACAGTGCCCGGAACTGGTGCTGACAGGTGGTTGGCACTTGGAGCCCACAGCACAGGCCCACTGTTCTGAGAGCTGGCTTTTCAACTGGAACGAGAGGCATTCACTTACTCCCTGGGACTTCCTGAGTTCCTCTATGTGCCAGGCATCCTGTTAGCGATGGGATACAGCAGGGAGCAAGGCAGACCGGGCCCGGGCCTCAGAGCTGCAGCCTTGCAGAGGAGGCCACCAAGCCCATCCTGCCTGGGAGCTCCAGCCGCTGCCGTGACACCATGTGGAAAGGGGGCTGGGAGGGAGGCGGTGGGAGCCGTTCATCATGCTGGAGTCTTGGGCTGGGGGCATGGGGGCTGGATGCCCACCCCCATGAGCTCTAGTTGAGCATCGGCGAGGCCCTTGGCTGCTGGAGGATGTCTCTTCCCTGTCTAGCAGCCTTGTCCCTTCTCCCAGCCGGAAGCTCTCCTGATTTATTCCAAGGACCTTAGGCTGGGAATGCATTTCTTTAGGGACAACACTCCTTGCAGAGCTCCAACGCTGACCTTTCACCGTCTCACTGTTCCCCCAGCCTATCCCTTATTTCCCTGACTGCCGGGGTGGGGCCAGCGTTTGCTTCACCTCTGTGTCCCGCTCAGCATGAGACACAGCCACACCTCCACTGTCAGTGCAGGCTGTGAACACCTGTGCGAGTCTCCCACGGGGGGCCTCTCTGGAGGCTCTGAGCTGGGATGTTCGCCCTGCTCTCAGCAGGAGGGGTATGCCGAACTCTGGAGTTTCCTGATGTTCCCCAGGCACCTCCACACTGGCATGGGGCTAACGGTCTTTTTCTGTTTGGTTTTAGGGTCCACCTGGCCCCCAGGGTCCGATTGGCTACCCAGGTCCTCGAGGAGTCAAGGTGAGAGAGACTCACGCCACTCCAGGTCGTCCTGGAGGTCAGGGTTGGGACTGTGGGCCTTGGCGTGGCTGGTTTTAGGGAATTCTCTGTGGTTTAATGTCCCTGCTATTCAGTCTGGAGTAGCCCAGTCCTCCCAGTCACTTGTGTGGACGCTAGGTCTCAGGACAGCGGGCCTGAGCAGGTGAGGGTGTGACCAGCTAGAGTCAGGAGGGCTGATATGGAGCACAGGACAGTCTGCAGTCTGGTGACGACGCCAGGGGCGCGCTGGCGGCCATCTGTCAGGACGGGACACGTCCTTTTGCTTCTTGCCTCTTTAATTGTTGCCATTTGTCAGGCTTCTGTCACTCTCCTCGCAGACAGCAGATCCCGGCTGAAGCCAAGAGCCTGGCCTCTTTCCTGGGGAAGCTCGGAAACATTTCTTCCCAGCCATTTGCACATTCCGAGTGAGAAACAGAGTCTGTCTCCACCGATAGCATCTGGGTGGGCCAGCGCTGTCGCAAGGCGGAGTTCATGGGAGCTGTCCATTTATTCACAATCATTCGTGTTTCTGCCATGACGGGCTCTGACAACCTCGTTACATGGGGCGCACAGCTCCAGAGCAATATCCCAGACACAGGTCCCCTCTGTCACAGCCCAGCTAACTGTGTTTGCTCTGAGCTGGGTAATGCAATCTCGAGTTGTGCTGCTCTCTGGACACGGCACGTTCTGTGTAGACAGACATACCCCTAGGCGCACGCGGACCAGCTCTCCTCTTCCTCTGAGAATGGGGACTTGCGGTATCTTAAAGGCTCATGATGATTCTTTCCTTCAAGATGCTTTTAACTGGATGTGAAGGAATATGTGTGTATATATAGCAACTAGTCAAGCTTGAGGGATTTGTAGAAATGACTCACCAGCTCCCCTGCCCCTCACCTCCCTGGTCTGAAGGGCTTTATGCTTTTCAAACATTGTTGCACATCAGAAGTGTGTGGCCGCCCTGGGGCATGGAGGCCAACTGGAAACTGTCGTCTGCTCCGAATCAACCCTCCTGACTCTGGCTGGTCACCCCTCACCTGCTCTGAGAGCCCAAGACATCAGTTTTCAGTGACATGCCCCAGATTACACTAAAATCGAGGCTGCTGTCAGAAATCAAACCAGGTTCCAAATCAAGTGCCCCACCCTTGTCCCCCGGAGGCCCCGACTTCCATTTCCCAGGAATGAGGACCTTCCAAGTTCACGAGGTATTGAAGAGAGACCTCCCAACGGTTGGGAGCCTTAGGCGAGTCAGGTTTTTCCCTAAAGCCAGCTTCTACCAGCAAAATGCCTAGCGAATTTTATAAGGGTGATAATTTAGTAGAAATGCTGATTATGTGAGTTCTATAGCATGTTTATTTTACAAATTCCTGTCGCATAGCAGAAGCCTCTGCCAACTCCCATACATGGCTAATTGCATAACGCTGCTTCTGTGAGCTAAAAAGGTGTTTGCTTTAAAATGTTTATGGAGAATGCTCTTATCTTGCCTATCTGATTAAAATTCATTCATGACATGAGCAATCCAGTTAGACTTGGAAGCAGAGGGTGGAAGGAAAACCGAGGTTTAAAATTATTTTCATCGGGGAAAAAGTTTCTCATACTCCTGTGCATTTGGAAATGTGAGTGGTGTCGGCGCCTCACGAGTTTGGCCCGGGTGGCAGTGATGGTGGCAGGGCGTGGGATTGCGTGGGCCGAGCTGCCGCCATTTGAGGTGAATAGTCCTTGGTGAGAGGGGGCCCGTTATTTTCCACCAAAGCCCTACCTTCTTCCCAGGAAAAGGTTCTTAGTCCAGTGGGGCTGCTATAACCAAAAGACCCTAAAATGGGTGGCTTGTAAACAACAGGGAATTATTTCTCACAGTCCTGGAGGCTGGGAATTCCAAGATCACAGCACCAGCAGATGCAGTGTCTGCGGAAGGCTGCTGTCTAGTTCCTTGATGGTCCCGTCTCACTGTGTCCACACATAGCAGAAGAGGGGGGACGAGCACCCTGGGGCCTCTGGTAAAGGCATAATCCTAATCACAGGGGCTCCACCCTGTGACCCAGTCAGTCACCTCCCCACAGCCCCACCTCCTAGTTCCATTGCCTCAGGTATTGGGGTTCACCATATGAGTTTTTGGTGGACACAGACATTCAGGCCACAGCAGGCTCGTGTTCCTTTGAGTTCACTGACCTTTAGCCCACCTCCAGGCTTCCCTCTGCCTTGCACGTCTGAAGGGGCACCTGTTTAAGCTTGACTGTCAGCAGAGTCAAATCCACCCCTCGTTTAGCCCCCAGCTGCTAGGGGGTTGCCAGGAGGCCCCAAATATGAGTTCACATCCAGGCCTTGGGCGAAAGCCTGTCCCTCTCTGGGCTGTGCGCACATCTGGTCCCAGCCGTGCTGCAGCTCCTGAGTGCTCCTTCCCGGGGCGGCTGGCCGGCCGAGTCACGGATGCCCCAATCCAGCCCTTCCCAGCCAGGGCCACTTCCTGCATGACTGGGGAGTGCCCTCTAATGGGAGGTGCTGCTCACCCCACCACGGACACAGCAGCCCCAATGTCAACAGCCCCGTGGCCAAGAAGCCCTGGGAAGTGCTGGTTCTGTCTAGTTGGTCCCATTCCTCCTACGGGGATCCTGAAACGGTAGAACTGTAGGACCGGGAGGGGTCTCAGGAGGCTGCGGCTGGTTCTGTCTAGTTGGTCCCATTCCTCCGATGGGGATCCTCAAACGGTAGAACTGTAGGACCGAGAGGGGTCTCAGGAGGCTGCGGTCCTACCTGCCTGCTCTCAGCAGGGCATGGGCAGGGAGGGAGCAGCAGCGTCCCCCAGCCTGCCCAGCCAGAGGGAGGAGAGCTGGTGCCAATGCCCCCGGGTGCTGTGCCAGGGAGTTTAGTGCTCCTGGGAAATAATGCCAGCCACACAAACCCAGTCCCCCAGGACTCAGGGCAGGGAGGGGCAGCTGGACATCACCTTGCATTCAGGATCAGACGCTGCTGAGCAGGCTCAACCCTGATTGTATTCTCAGCCACACCTGCGATTTTCCTGTGCGTTTCAGAGGAAATAAGCAGAATCCAAAGTTGCTCTTCTATTTTGCAAGTATGGTGAGGACTCAAAACTGCCCTAAGAAAAGAAAGTAGCTCATCTCCTAAAAAGCCCTTCTTGGTGGGGTTCTGGGGCTGTTGTCTCTGAGGCGATGCCACGCCGTGGTGAGACGGCAGGTGGTTTTCTGGGGCCCCCAGCTCTGTGTCAGCCAGCGTGGCCCTACCTGTTCTCTTTTCAAAACTCTGGGGGCTTCCAGCCAGGATTGCTTTGGAAGAAGGCATCTGCTAGGAAAAAAACACCACCAAGTGCTTAGAAACCACTCGCCTCTCAGCAGCTGGCCCAGCTGAGTCACTTCTCACCTTCCTGGGCTGCCCGGGCCCACAGGTGCTGCCAAGCGCGTGCTGTGCTCAGTGGGGGCAGTGGCCTGCAGCAGGCTGTTCTGAGCCTCCTCGCGGCTTGGCTGGTCGTTCCCACTCAGCCCTGGAATACGCAAGCTGTGTTTGTCCGGCGCTTCCTCTCCATCTTGAGGTCCATGTCCCATCTCAGGCTGGGGTAGAGACTAGCGTAGGAGAGGCTTGTTTGGAGTCGGCCTCCCTGCTTGGGCCAGTGCTGTTTCTGAGCTGTGCCCTGTCCCCCCAAGGCGCTCCATGCTGGCCCACATTAGTGTGCCAAGTGCCAGGCCAGACGAACCAGAGCTGCTCCGAGCCCACCTTGCCCTCCCGGCTGCCTCCGCCCTGTGCTGGGCGTAGAGGGAGGTGTCCCAGGCCTCTCCACTAGTGGTGGCGGCCAGGTGTGAAGCAGACATGACTTCAGCAATGGTGCCTGCAGGTGTAGTGGCAGAACTCTTGCTTGTCTCCGGTGCTCCAAATCCTCCAGTGATTATGGTTCAGGGCAACCACGCCGCTGCCCTGTCTGCGTGGCTGGAAGTGCCTTGCAGCTGGCACTGGAGTGGAAGGCGTTTCTGCAGTTACATCCGCAGCTCCTTGGCAGAGCCAGGGCACGCAGCCCAAGGCCAGCCACCTCTGCAGAAAGGAGCTCCTCCGTGTCTCCATCCCTTCCCAGAGCCCCTCCCTCTCCAGGACCTGGGGAAAGGCCAGAACTGCCAAGTATGTGGGAAGTTCTGACCACCAGAGGGCAGCCGGCAGGCCCTGCGTCCTCCAGTGCTCTGTGGCCCCGGCTTCAGCCTCAGCCTGGAATCCCGGTGCCGGGGGCAGTGTGGCTTCTCTCTCTCTCTCAAGTCCCACGGGCAGGTGGCCTGAGGTAGCCCGAGGTAGTCTCTCTAGCTAAAAGTCACCCTGCTGGGAGGGCTGAAGTCAAAGACATTAACAGCAAGGGTGTGGCTGCGTAATTCCACCCCACAGATTTACCTCCACTGCCCCAGGCGCTTGGCACAGTGAGAGTGTCAGAGAAATAGTCCTGGGCCCCGTCCCAGAAACTCCTGTTCAGCAGGGAGGTGGGATGGTGTGTCCTGAACTCATGACAACTGCAATAAATATGTTATCATCATTCATTAGTAATATCACAGTATCATCTCTTCATGTTAACACGGAGTTGAAATACATGGCACTGGGCTTCTGTTTATTGACACCTGCTGTGTGCTGGGTGCTAGGTGCTGTTCTGAGAGCTTAGCAGGCATTTCCCTCCCAACAGTGGTAACGAGGTAAGGGTTGTCGTCCTCTCCACTTCCCAAATGAGGAAACTGAGGCACGCAGGAGTCTGGGGCATTGTCAGAGGCCATGGAGGGGGAGCTGGGACCTAATCAAGTCTGCCTTAGACCTCACCTCCTGCTTCCTCCCCAAACCTCTGAAAGGTGGGGGTGTTTCTAGAAGATGATGCTATAATGGGAAGCAGGAGGGGTGTGTTGGCTGCCGGGTGTGGGCCCTTGGAAGGGCGGGTCCAGAGCTTGGGCTGGAAGGTGGGGGATGGGTTTGGGTCTTTGCATGAAGAACAGGAGTCAGTGGAGTCAGCCCAGGAATTGTGGACACGCTGGGCCTCCTGAGGCCACAGGGGGACATATGGGAGGAAGTGTGTTGAGGGCAGGGCGCTGGCCTCATCTGTCAGCTTCAGCGAGCTCAGCCTGTCTTGACACGCCTGCGACAGCTCTAGAAAGGCTGAGACTTGTAACCATTCACTCCTTTTTCTTTTCCCACCCGCACAGGGGGCCGATGGCATCCGTGGTCTGAAGGGCACAAAGGGCGAGAAGGTAAGTCTCTCCTTGCAGCCACGGGGCCCCCTGCTTAGTCCGGAGCCGAATTCCAGCCAGCGGGGCCCTCCCACAATGCTTCTTCCATGAAACCAGCTGAGGTGGATGTCGCCTCTGAGTACTGAGGGGGATGGATGCCACTCTGTGGAAAGTGTCTCTGTTTGCAGACGGAAGAAGAGTAAGTTGAGGATAGGCCCTCGGGTCCCCAGGGGCACATCTCCTAGCAGAGCTGAGTGGGTCCAGGGTTTGTGTCTCTGCACAAGGAGAAGGCCTTGGCCCCAGAGACAACACACGGCCCCCCACGTGCCTGCAGGGGCCAGTGGACACCTGTCACCCTCCCCACTCCCAGGTGGGCCGCCTTGCATGGCCGCTGGCACGAGGGTCCACTTAGTTGTTAGATGTTCATCCCTGGGCAGCCCAAGCTGCAGAAACTCACAGTGTGCAGCAGAGCCAGGCAGGGAGGGAGAGAGGCCGTGCCATTGGCCATGGTCCGTGGGGGCAGGTCAGGCCTAAGCAGATCACTGTGGTGAAGACAAAGCTAAACTACACCCCCATGCATGCCTGCCAGAGTCAGAAGCTTGGGTGCAGCCTGCAGCGGCGACAGCCTGAGCCACATGGAGCTGCGTGGCCGGCCACCTTTCTCTTCTCACTGTGGTGGAAGGAAGCTCAGAGCCAAATCCAAGGCCCAGTTATGACACAGATTTAGGCCTCAGGGGCGGCCTCACCGTGCCACCCTCCCCACCGTGGCCTCACGCTCTGTTGTGGGTTCGCCCTGCCATGCCGTGTAGCCATGCAATACTTGCTTTCCGTAAGGCATGTTGGTCCCCTTTGCTGGGCAGACTCTGGGCTCTCCCCTGGCCACGGCGGCCTGCGGGGCTGGAGTGCGGGTGCTGGCGTGATGGTCCACGTGCCGAGACTCCTTATTTGCTACCTGTCGAAGATGTCGCTTGGATCCTTTCTTGTGAAATCTGCCGGCCTTAAAGCCATTCCCGAGGGGACGCATTGAGTGGCCACAACTGGATCAGAAATGATGTGGCAGCAGGAACGCTCTTGTTCCACGGAGTTTGTTGAGCGTGCTGGTCCCTGGTTTCTGTTCTTAGTGTCTGCCCTTGTGGGAGGACCGGCCAGGAGGCCTGAGCCTGTGCCATCTCGGCTCCTTCCCAAGGGCATCCGCACAGCGGAATCCTAAGTCCTCATCCGGGAAAGCTGAGCAGTTTGGCCTCTCCAAGAGCACTGCTTTCTACGTGGAGCCCGTCGGGGCTTCGGAACACGAGGGCCTTACGAACACAGGGTCCCCATCCCAGAATTCCATCCCGTTGGTCCCCGGGAGGCTCCCTCACCTGAGGACCTTTCATCCTTTCCAAGGTGGCTTCACAGAGTCCAGCTTTGCCGCTTGATCTTGTCACGTTTGTCCCTAGCCAGAGACAGGGCTGCCTGAGATGATACTGATTGGGCTGTGCAGGGGATGCCTTCTTGCCAGGAGAGCTCCCGCACTGTTCCCGAGGGCCACGCAGGCAGCCCGACATGGTCTGGGGAAGGAGTGGGGCAGTGCCAAGGGACCGTCTTTGTGGACTTCTGCATTATTTGTGGCCGCTGCTCAGCTTCCAGCACTATGTGAACACTGTGAACAAGTGCCTTGAGGCCCTGGGAGCCCCGGGAGCTGGCGCTGGCTGGAAAGGGCTGGATTCTCACTGCACAGAAAGCTGCCTCCCTTGCGTGTGCCCCCAGCCGGGCCTTGAATGTTTACGACCGGCTGAGTCCCCAGATCCTGTCCTTTCACTCTTTTTGGATCAAGATGTAGCCCCTGAATAATGACAGGAAAAGCCCAGCCAAGGGTCCCCTCTCTGGGAGCCACCCGTGCCCTCTGCTGAAGGATCTGAGGGCTTTTGCCCTGCGGTTTCCGGGATGGGGAACGTCTAGACCAGGGACTCAAACGGACAGCAGGGGGCACTGACGCGCGGCAGCCTCACTTGGGTCCCAGGTTCACCAGTAACCCAGGGGTGCGCGGGCCGCTGACTTCCCCCGCCACCCCCGGCAACACCCCTACCCTTCAGAAAGCACTGCCTGTTACTGCAGTGCCGGCAAGAGCAGGCGTTAGGGATTCTTTGCAGGGGCATTTTCATCCAGCTCCCCGTCCTCAATTGTCACCCCCTTTACCCGTCACTTCAGTGCTTCAGTGCTGATGGGACGCCACAGAGTGCACTGAGAAATGATACCGGGAGCTCAGGGGCCTGGGCTTGCTGAGGCCTCGCCATGCAGAACATTCAGATTCAAACTGGGCCTGCCCAAGAAGCAGGGACGCAGCTCTCTCCAGCTTCAGAACGTTACAGCTGGGAACGCAGAGCTCATGGGAAAGCCATTCTCGAGGGATGGGCCCCAAGCCCACCCCGTCCGGGCCATGTGCTGCCCCCCAAGCGTGGGGGACCTGGTGCTGAGTGTGGTTGTTTGGAGCGGGGAAGGGACCGCCAGGGAGGCGGGTCCTCTTGCCTAGACTAGGGCACTCTCTTGTCCCATATTCAGGGTGAAGACGGCTTTCCTGGGTTTAAAGGAGACATGGGCATCAAGGGTGATCGGGTGAGCATCTCAGGTTTGGGATTTGGGCTGGGGAAAGCTGGGTGGGCTTGGCCGTGTGGGAGGGGGTGGGGATGTTTGCCGCCACAGGGCAGCTTCTCAGAATGGAGGTAAACTCTTGGTAGAGATTCCTGGTGGGAAGGGGACAGTGGCGTGGAGCCCAGGGCCCGACTCTCTCCAGCTCCTCTTCACCTCCTCTTCCTCAGTTTGCCCCTTGGGGACTGGGAATAACCTGTGGTCGCCAGCTCCTCCGCCCAGTGTCCCACACAGGGGGTCAGTGGGGCTGGGTTCACTTCTGACTGCACCTGTGGACTGCAGAGTTACTCACCTGACTCAAGAGGGATAAGCGGTGCCTGGGAAGAGAAAAGAGAGCAGCTACGGAAATGACCCAGCCTACCGAAGGAGCGCAGCTGCTGCCCAGGCCACACGGCCGGCGCCCACAGGGCAGCACGCGACGTGGGTCTAGGATCCCTGTGAGCCTGGGGAGCGTCCTGGTCCCCAGACAGTTCTTCAGGGTCCCTGGGACTCCCACACAGTCCTGTGGTCTGTGATTTTGGCTCAGGAGACCTGGCTTATTTTTAAATGAATAATTTAGCTCGGCTCCAGAGAAAGCCGGTGGGTGCTGGGAGGGACTGGGGCTTGCCGGCAACCACAGAAAGTGACGGGCTGCACGTTCCTGTAATTAAAGAGAAGGTGACGCAAAGGGCACGAAGGAAGGGTAGGGAGCTCTTAGAGCAGCCAGGGTGGCCAAAAGACTCTTGGAGGTTTCCCCAGTAACCTCTCAGCGAGCAGAAGCCCAGCAGAAGGAACCGAAGACGCCTCGGCCTCCGGTGGGCACAGCCGTGGTGACAGCTGTGCACGCACCGGGACGGACATCTGTCGGCTGCAGCAGGGCTGTCACCCAGCTGCCGCAGTCATCCCCCTGCAGCACCGGCTCGCAGGTGGCTTTCCAGAACAGGAAAGCCCCACACACTTGGCACTTCGTCCCAACCTGGCAGGCAAAAGGCAGAGGCAATCTGCACCTCTGTGGGAAGGAAGGGGGAGGAAGGAGGGGATCTCTTGCGCAATGTTGTCCCAGTTAAGTTGCTGCTAAAGGCACCCATTCTAGAACTTCTTTCCTAGTAGAAGGCTCCTGAATCCCCACATCCCAGCGGCTTCTCGGTTTGATGGTGAAAGTCCTTTTCTCCTCCTTTCTGATGCCTCTGTTCACACATGTGGCGTCCACGTGACGAGGGTGCAGCTTCAGAAGAGATGACACACGTTCCCGTGCCAGGGCTCCGAGAGTGGAGCTCTCGTTGCCATGGGACGAGGGTGGGATGCAGGGGTGGGACCCATCCTGAGCCCAGGGAACAGGACCCCATATGCGGACCTCTTCAGAGAGCACAGCCTGGCACTTTGCACCTTCTCGGTGCTCTGTAAATGTGTGCCGGGTTATTTTGTTGAACGAGAGGAACACCTCTTAGGGACAGAGAGTTCCTGACCCGATGACAGATTAGAGCCTCAGAATTAGGAAGTTATTCATTTTTCTCTATCTGAGCAATACACATTTCTGTTGTGGGCTTGCACCACTGCTTTACAGCTGCTCTTAGAGACAGATGATCAGAGGAGGATCCATCCATTGCTGGACAAAGAGTGCCGGGAAGGGCATTTAGAGACTCTGCCGTAGCGCTACCATTGCCTGGGCAGGCTCCAGAGCCCTCTCCCCTTTCTGAGCCCCGAGCTCCCAATCTGTAACTTGAGGAAGTTGGACGAGGCGGAATTTAAGCCCGTCTGTTCCTGGGACGCCTCCTGAGGCCCTCCCGTGTGCTCGTTATGCCCAGGTAACTGCCCCATCCGGGGCTGGGGTCCACTTCCATACCTCCTGGGGTTTCAGAAGCAGCAGCAGCTCCCAGTCACTCTGCTCTATTTGGAGAAACAGCAATTCAGAGCTACTATTGTTAACCAAAGTTATTTTAGCTAAGAGGCACTCAATTTAGAGAAGGTAATTGGGAAGTAGGAGCCTGCAGCCTTGAGAAAATAAATAGCAGGCAACCTCGGTGCAGAGACCAGCTTCCGCAGAGCCCGGGAGCCCGGGAATTCGCGGTACAATGCGCTCGCTTTGTCAGTGGCTCCGGGAGCAGCTCCGTGGTCTGAGTGAGGCCGAGCTGGTGGAGCAGCTCTGACCACAGGGTGCCTGTGACCTGTCCCCTTGCTCCTTGCTCTCAGAATGGTGGTGGAGAATAGTGTGTGTGCGGGGGGTGGTCTTCTCACCTCCTCTTTTCTGGCTTGCAGGGGGAGATCGGCCCACCCGGTCCCAGGGGAGAAGATGGCCCTGAAGGCCCAAAGGGTCGCGGAGGTCCCAATGGTGACCCCGGTCCTCTGGGACCCCCTGGGGAGAAGGTTTGTGATGTGGGACGTTCAGCCACTTTCTTGGGAGGGATCTGACAGGCCCTTCCCCATGGCCTCGGGCTCCCGTTGGCTGTGGCTGCCCTAGGCATGGGGTGGGGGTGATTCCTGAGCGGGCTCCTGTCTCCACCCTGGGTTCTCTCTGCTGTTCCTATGAAGCTGTTGGTTGAATGATGACCCTTTCCTTGTCCCGGGTTCGCCCTTTCCCAGCCCTCCACCATCGCCTTGGAAGGCTCCTTCCTCCCGGTGGCTACAAAGCCTGCGTTCTGAGCCCCAACATTCCAGGACCCCGTCCTTGTCACATTCCCGCCTCCACAGCTGGGTAATAACGGTGTCCCCACCATGGCCTGAAGGTGTGGCAGCCTGGCAGGAAGGAAGGCCGGGGTCCTTGGAGCAGGCTCTGGGCATGCAGCCATCAATAGGCCTGCAGTTTCCAGCTGTGGGAGGCTCCTGGGCCAGCCACACACCCTGGCTCCACCCTGTTTCCACCCTGGGCTCAGGCAGGAATGGTGCATGCAGTGGTCCAGACTTCCTGCCCTATCCTGCTACGTGGACCCATACAAAAGGGCTCAGAGGTGCCCCAGGATGAACACGCTGAGTTGAGGCATTTGCCTCTAATCGCTTTGCTCCACAGTGGCAAGACCTCTCCTCCAGGGGCCTTCGCTTCTTCCTCGGTGCAGGGACCATCGGGTACCCCCTGGATTTCATGGGTGCTGGCAGTCACCCTCCACCTAGGGCAGGCAGGGCTTCTGCATAATGACGTGTGCCCCCGCCTCTGGAAACCACACCCTCCTCCAGGCCCCTGCCAGAACGCATGTCCTTTCTCTCTGCTCCGGGGAAACGGATGGAGCAATACCGTGCTGGCCATTAATGCAACTCTTTCTTCCCCCAGGGAAAACTCGGAGTCCCAGGGTTACCAGGGTATCCAGGAAGACAAGGACCAAAGGTAACTTCTGGCCGTGTTAGGTGTCCCGGGACAGGCGGAGGGATGTTCTGCCCGGTCTCCCCACCCTGCATCCGGCCGTGTTAGGTGTCCCGGCACAGGTGGAAGGATGTTCTGCCGATAACTTCTGGCCATGTTACGTGTCCTGGTGCAGGCGTGGGGGTTGTACCGCCAGGCCTCCTCACCTTGCATCCAGCTATGTTAGGTGTCCCGGGACAGGTGGAGGGATGCTCCACCGGCCGTCTCCACCCTGCACAGGTTCATCCACTCCCCATCCTTGGGGGCGTGTGTGACACTGTGGCTCTCAGCCTCCACCGTGTTCACTGCCTTCTGCATTAATTTGCCGAGTTGAAAGGAGGCTCTTGGGCAATGAGTCTTCTGCCCCAGTCGGCACAGACACCTGGGGTCCTTCTGGGATCCTCCTGGAGTCCCCTGCAGTCTTCTGCACCTGTTGCTTGGCTGGTGGCCCTTTTCCCCTGGGTTGTCCATACCCAGAATCCGTGGGATGGTCGCCTCTCAACTCTACCTCACCGGCGATTTGAAGGCTATTTGCTCATAATGGAGTATAAAAGAAAAAGGAAACCTTTCTTATGTGAAATCATGTTCAGGTTTAAGTGAAACAGCTCCTTGAGGCTTTGGAAATCATTGAAAATGTTATTTTTTTTCAAATCTCACATTTTATTATTCATGGTTCTTCCTTAAAGAATAACCAGCTGCCTGCACTGGAGACATAATTAACAGCCGAAGCGGGGTCCCGTCTTTCTCAGATCTGCCTCTGCCCGAGGCATCTCCTTTTAGCCTCAGCACCTTTTCGGTCTCACTGGAGCAGTCTTGTTAACAGGAGGACGGGCGTGGTGGGCTGAGGCTGCCCTCCAGGTATTTCCATTCTCATTAAGGAAATGCTCCTGTCCGTCCTTCCTGTGGAATGCGAAGCCCCCTGCTCCGTGTGTGTGGATGCACACCCCATATGCAGGAGAGGTAGCTTGCTGTGAAACAGGAATTTCATTTAGGATCTAACAGTGGCTCGTTGAACGTGGGTGTGATGTAGCTGCTGACCGCAGCATCGTCACTGAATGTGGTCAAAGGGGCTGATGGGCACTTTTCCTCTCTTAATATACATCCCTCTGGGGATGGAAAGAAGAGAAGTTTGGGAAAGATGGGTGGTCTAAATCAAGTCCAGGCAACTTTTTGGAAAGGAATGGTACATGTGTCCTGGGCAGAGACTAGAAGTAGCCATCAGCACAGTGACCCGGTTTCTGAACTGAGCTCTGTGTCACCTGCACTGAGGTTTCCTGGGTCCTGCCCCCTGCCTAGATTGGCAGGCGGGCGTGTGAGTGGCTTGGCTGAACTCAGTCCCCTGTGAGAAATACAAGGTTTGGACATGTGTGAGCTCTTCATGGATACAAGTGTGCATTCAGGACAGGATTTTAAGCCAGACAAATAGAGACCTGCCAAAGACAGTGGCCAGCGCCAACCCTGTGGGCAGCTGAGCGACCTCACTGCGGTGCTGCTTCCTGTGTGGGTGTTTGGATATTCACCAGGTCAGAGTCCCTAAATCCATCTCTGGTCTGTGTGCACCTTGCAAACTTCTAGAATTAAAGAGCTGGTAGGTGCTACAGTCAGTGCATAAATTTGCATTCATTCCCAACTCTGCAAGCTGCTGTGCTTTATTTAAAGGGATTGTGGGACGCCAACACAACGTGCACGAGGCACAGAAAATACAATGTCACAGTGCAATGTTCATGTCTCACCTCAGTTCAGCTCAGCAGTGTGTGTCCCTTTCTCCCAAACACCAGCCACCCTCCTATGGATATGGGCGCGTGGGGGATGGTGGCAGGGGAGGGAGCATGATGAAACTCCATTTGGCTTTCTAGAGCTGAAGCCTGTGAAATGCTTAGGAAATATTTATTGAGTAGAGAGGATGGATAAAGAGATAGGTGGCTGGGTGAGTGGAGGGGTGTGGATAGGTAGGCAGATGGATGAATGGGTAGGTATGTGGGTGTGTAGGCAGATGGATAGACAGATAGATGGGTTGGTGGGAAGAGAGGTGGATGAATGGATGGGTGGGCAGGTGGGGTAGATACATAGATGGATGGATGAGTGGGCAGGTAAATAGACAAGTGGATGAATGGAGGGGTGGGTTTATAGGTAGGCAAATCGATGAATGGGTAGGTGGGTAGGTAGACACATGGATAGACATAGGTGGGCTGCTTGGCAGAGAGGTGGATGAATGGATGGGTGGGCAGGTAAGTAGACAGGTCGATGAATGGAGGGGTGGGTTTATAGGTAGGCAAATCGATGGATGAATGGATGGGTGGGCAGGTAAGTAGACAGGTGGATGAATGGAGGGGTAGGTGGATAGGTAGACAGGCAAATGGATGAATGGTTAGGTGGGTAGGTAGGCAGGTAGATGTATACATAGGTAGGCCAGTGGGTGGATAGGTGGGTGAATGGATGGGTGGGCAGGTGGGTAGACAGTTGGGTGAATGGAGGGGTGGGTGGATAGGTAGGCAGATGGAATGAATGGGTAGGTGGGTGGGTGGGTAGGTGGATAGACAGATAGATGGATAGAGAGATAGATGGATAGACAGATAGATGGATAGACAGATAGATGGATAGACAGATAGATGGATAGACAGATAGGTGGGCCAGTGGGTAAACAGGTGTATGAATGGGTAGGTGGGCAGATGGGTAAACAAGTGGATGGATGGGTGGGCAGATGAGTAGACAGGTGGATGGTGGATGGGTGGGTAGACAGGTGGATGAATGGAGGCATGGGAGGATAGGTAGACAGGCAGATGGATGAGTGGGAGGATAGGTAGACAGGCAGATAGATGAATGGGTGGGTGGGTGGGTAGACAGGTAGACGGATGAATGGGTAGGTGGGTAGACAGGCGGATGAGTGGGTGGGTGGGTAGACAGGTAGATGGATGAGTAGGTGGATAGGTGAGAAGGTAGGTAGACAGGTAGGTGGGTGGTTGGGTGGGTGGGCAGGTGGAGTCTGGGGCAGAGGCTGTGCACTGGCATGCAGGTGGTCCCCCAGGCGGCCCATGCAGCATGACTCATTCCTGGCCCAGCTCTGATGCCTCCTCCTTAAACTCTCTTTCAGGGCTCTATTGGATTCCCTGGATTTCCTGGCGCCAATGGAGAGAAGGGCGGCAGGGTAAGGATAGCCTGGCCCCTGGGCAGGCAGCTTGTTCGGCTGCCTCGGTGCCTAGCAAGTTGGTTCTCCAGCCGACGGCCTGTTTATTTCTCACTCTCTTGCTTCTGAAACTGCTCTCCTGAATGGCTGGCCTTAAGCTCTTGAACTTCAGCACCACGTGTTGGTGACACTCTCCAGACGCTGGGCTGGGCAGGTATGTGATAGGAAGGGGCAGAGGCAGGAAGGAAGTGTGCTGAGAAAATGGAGCTTTCTAATTAGCACCACAATCCAGAAGGCTCTTTCAGGTCATTCTGAAAATCAGATTCTTCTCCTCTACCCAAGTGGGCTTTTCCTCCAAGCTAATTTTAAAAGGAAGGGAAAAAGGAGATTGTTTTTTCCCTTCAAAAATGTCCTGCTACTTAACCGTCGTCCAAATTTAAAGTCATTTAAATTAACATTAACTTGGACGGGATTAGCAAGCTGCCATTGTCATAAACACCCACCAGCTT
Organism: Homo sapiens; assembly: GCF_000001405.40. Classification (NCBI taxonomy): domain Eukaryota; kingdom Metazoa; phylum Chordata; class Mammalia; order Primates; family Hominidae; genus Homo; species Homo sapiens. The sequence goes on from NC_000009.12 coordinate 134,789,697, forward strand.
GCAGTGTGGTTTGAGTCCCCTTTGTCCTCACCCTCAGCGAAGGAACAGGGGGCCGGGCTGAGGGAGCTGTGTTCTCCCTGCACCTTCTGGAGCCCCCGCTGGCCCAGGCCTCCCTGCAGGAGCGGTCCTGGATGCTTGTTAGTGAAATCACAGTGCCTGAGCATTGCCACTTGGGAAAACAGGAGAGAGATGGTCCTCAGGCCTTGGACTCTGAGCTGGCCTTGTCCACGGGGCATATGGCGGGGACAGAGAAAGGCCAGTCTGTGGTGTACATGCAGGACAGCATCTGCAGAGCAGGCCTGGGGGACATGCTCCCCGAAAGATGGCAGAGCTCACACCTGCCTTGTAGCCCCAGCCATGATCCTGCAGCCCTGCCCAGCCCATCCTCCTATGCCCCATCCTGCTGTCCCAGGGCAGACAGAGCTACAGGGTTGCAGCTCCCTCTTGGGCCTGTCCCTCCTGGCCAAAACCTTATGAGCAAACAAATGTGTTCTGCCAGATTCACAAAATAGGAAAAAGAAGTCTGTTCTGAGTGTAAGTTGGCAGCACAGACCCAAGGAGACTATTATCTCCATCTCCACCCCTCTCTGTCTCTGTCCTTTTACCCATCCATCCATCCACCCACCCATCCATCCATCCATCCACCCACCCACCAACCCATCCACCCATCCATCCATGCATCCATCCACCCACCCACCCACCCACCCAGCCACCCAGCCATCCAGCCACCCACCCATCCATCCATCCACCCACTCACCCATCCATCCAGCCACCCACCCACCCATCCACCCATCCACCCACCCACCCACCCACCCATCCATTCATCCATCCATCCACCCACCCATCCATTCATCCGTCCACCCACCCACCCACCCATCCATCCATCCATCCATCTATCCATCCACCCACCCATCCATCCATCCATCCATCCATCCATCCATCCATCCATCCATCTTCTATTATCTGTCTATCTCTGTCAGTATCTATCCAACCCATCCACCTCTCCATCTGTCTCTATCCAGCTGTCATTCTTCTTCTGGAGAAGCCCTGAGTAGTGCCTTTGGGAATACACTGTCTTCTGAAATACTCTTAGGTACCACTGTGAGAAACATGGGGAATGTGAGGTACCCCGGTGGGCTGCTCCTGTGCTGGGGGACCTTTCACACTGCACTGCAGTGAGAGTGTCTGGGAGAGGATATGGCCTTCTGCAGCTGGTCATGGGCTGTGACTGCAAGCCCTTTCCATGGAGGACTGTGTGGGACCAGGGACCTCGTGGAGCAACTGGAGCCCTTGCTCACTCCCATGCTCCTGACTGGGGCTCTGCCCCTCATGCGTCTCAGCCTCCCCACCGGCGAGCCGAGGAGCTTAGATGGATGCTCCAGATGTCCAGGGCATCAGCACTGTGGGTCACGGGACACAACACAAACCTGACTCAAGCCCAGACCTGCCAGGCACCACATGCCCCAGTCACACATAGGAGCTACTCACAGCCTTTCTGCAGCCTCTGGGTGTCTGGCCCTGCCCAAGGACATTTCGTTCACTGCTGCACCTGGCTGGTGGCACAACCCACAACACAGACCTCAGGCCAAAAGGGCGAGGCCGTGTGCTTCCCCTTGAGCCATGGTAGTGGTGGTTCATGTGTGTGAGATGGAGCCCTGGCCTCCTTCATCTTTGCCATCACAGCTCTTCAGAGCCTCCCGTTCAGGACACTGAGCACAGCCTTTGCCCGCATGAGCCTTCAGTGGCATCGTCACTGCAGAATGAAGCCTGCAGCACTGCCTGGCTTTCTGGACAGGGTTGATGCTTTGTACCAAGTTCGGGGAATGACGGAGAGTGTGGGTGCCCTCTGATCTAGTAGGTTGGGCTTCCCGAATGTCCACAGGAAGCTGAGGGCTGGGCTGTCCTTGCAAAGGGACCCTTCCTCTTTTGTTGACTGCAGAAGCCTCACTTAGGTTACCCAGAAGCCTCTGGGCGCTGGCTTGCCTTCTGCGCCTCGGTGAACAGATGCTGCCTCCCAGGTTTCGCCCTTGGCCGCCCTTCTTTTGCCTTGGGCTTTGGACTTGGTAGTCTTGGGTGCAGTCCATTCACTTAAACAGCACATGCATCGCGAGTCCTTTCTCAGTGCTGGGTGTTCTGCCAGGCTCTGAGGACTCTGGTGGTCAAAGCAGACATCCCTCTGGCATCCAGAGTGGAACACCACCTGGTAAGCAGCACTCAGAGGAGTGGTGGCTGTGATGATGAAGGACAAGGGTGAGTCAGGGAAAGGTCATAGGCACCAGGGTCTGACCCAGAAGGTCCAGGGAGGCCTCCTGGAGCAGTGACATTTTTGCTGAGCCCTGCAGGAGGGACAGAAGTGGATAGGTGAGGTATGGAAAGCAGGCAGAGCTGTGGGGTCAGGAGGTGAGGAGCCGGGGGCCGGCACAGGGCCGAGCCCGGCAAGGGAGACGTGGGAGTGGGCTGTGGGCTGCAGAGCCTGCCGGGGCAGCCAGCTGCTTTGGGGGAAGCTCTTTATCCTGAGGCACTGGGACCTACGGAAGGTTTTAGCCAGGGGGAATGGCACTGAAGATTGTTTGAAACAGCTCTGGTCCCAGTGTGGGGCAGGAATGGGAAGGGGACCATTCCAAGGGTTGAAGGGAAAGCCAGTGGGATGTCTGTGCTCATCCAGAGAGGTCTTTTATTTATTTATTTATTTATTTAGAGACAGAGTCTCGCTCTGTCACCCAGGCTGGAATGCAGTGGTGCGATCTCAGCTCACTGCAACCTCCACCTCCCAGGCTCAAGCAATTCTCCTGCCTCAGCCTCCTAAGTAGTTGAGATTACAGATCGCCTGGCTAATTTTTGTATTTTTAGTAGAGACAAGATTTCGTCATGTTGACCGGGCCAGTTTCGAACTCCTGACCTCAAGTGATCTGCCCGCCTCAGCCTCCCAAAGTGCTGGGATTACAGGCGTGAACCACCATGCCCGGCCCAGAGAGGTCTTTTAGAAGATCTTAGATATTCCGGCCAGATGGATGCTTCTAGGTGCTAGGATGCCAGGCCTGAGTGTCCGCATGCATGCGTGCATGTGTGTGTGTGCGTGTGTGTACATATGTGTGTGTGCATGTGTGCGTGCATGTGTGTGCATGTGTGTGTATGCATGTGTATGTGTGTGTGCGCACACGTGTGTGTGCGCGCGTTTGTGCACACGTGTGTGTGCGCGCGTGTGTGCACGCGCGTGTGTGTGCGCATGTGTATGTGTGTCTGCCTTCCACATGAGGGCTGCCTGCTGTCTGCCTGCTGTCTGTCTGCCTGGTCCTACCTTCTGCAGAGCTAGCGTTGGTTCTGTGGACCTTGACTATGGGCCAGACGTGGAAATGGCAGGAACATAAGCTGCTATGTCAAGCCAGCTGAAGCCAAAGGAAGAGGAGTGGGTGTGAGCAAAGTGTCGCTTTGCCCCTCGGGCCTCGGGCCAAGGAGGGATCCCAGGAGCCCCTTCCCGGGAAGGGGGAAAGACCCGCTCTTCAGATGCACCTGCCCGAAAGTGGAAGGCCTCTCCTAGCTGTGTTTGACTTCCCCAGTAGAAGGTCCCCTCTCAAGCTGCGTTTGGCTTCCCAGCATGGCCATTGCTGGGACTGTCCACTCCTTCCTAAGGGCAAGAAGACAGGTGCCCACAAGCAATTTGCAAGGGAGAAGGAAGGCTAAGGAGGCTGGGGGGGGCATTCTGTTCCACAGCTCCAGTCACAGGGACTCGAGATTCTTTGGCTTGAGTTAGTTTATAAAGAAAACAGATGAGCAAGATGCCTGCTGGGAGCCCCAGATGGCGTTGCGGTCGAGCCGGTATTTTGCTAACTGCCAGGGCCCCAGCGCCTGTGCCTCGGGCACAGTCAGTTTGGGTTGCAGTCATTTTTGTTGCAGGATTAAACCTGTGGTCCAGGTCATAGTGGGACTGTTTTAGGGTGGAGGGTTTTCATTCTAGGGGAGGATGGGAATGAGTAAATCTGGCAGCCCGGGCTCATTCGCACCTAAATGCCAGGAGTCATCAGGTTGGCCGTGGGCATCCTCGCCTGTAGAACGCCTATCACTGGAAGAAAGCAGATGTTTCGTTAATTTTCATATGCAAATATTTATTTGAAGCCAGAGGATATCACCATAGTAATTGAAGAACTGGAACCGGAGCGCATTGTTAAAAAGCTACATAATTAACTCATCATCATAAATGGTTTTAATAAATGCATTTCAAAATGGGAGACTCTAGGAAGCAGTTTTGACTCTGGCAGCAAATGAATGAAAGATGATGAGCGGAAACTTATCTGATGGCCTCCAGCCATACAGATCCACCTTGGGCGGAGCATCAGAAACCAGTCAAGTTCAGCCAGGCACGGTGGCTCACGCTTGTAATCCCAGCACTTTGGGAGGCTGAGGCGGGTGAATCACGAGGTCAAGAGATCGAGACCATCCTTGCCAACATGGTGAAACCCTGTCTCTACTAAAATTAGCTGGGCGTGGTGGCACACACCTGTAGTCTGTCCCAGCAACTCAGGAGGCTGAGGCAGGAGAATCGCTTGAACCTGGGAGGCGGAGGTTGCAGTCAGCCAAGATCACACCATTGCATTCATTCCAGCCTGGCGGCAGAGCAAGACTCTGTCTAAAAAAAAAAAAAAAGAAACAAAAAAGAAACCAGTCAAGTTCAGGAAGCTGAGTTGGGACACGGTGGGGGATGTAGGGGCCCCTGCGTGTTCAGCCCGTGGCTTCCGTGTAATGTAGCTTAACTACATTTTCCAGCTCTGACATCTTTGCACTGCATTTGTTTTCTGTGGTTTGGAAAATGCAAAACAACAACAGAAAAAAGAGTATAAATTCTATTAGAGGAGAAGCCGATGACTCTTGGATATATGATTTATATATTAAATTCCAAGTTTGCGCGTCTGCAGAGCCTGTTGAAAATTTAATGGCTAATATTCTTAACTGTAGCAAAAGTAAATTATGTATGAAAGGGGTTGACTTTCTTCTCTTTTCTTGCAATAATGATTTCCCTCCCTGCTGAGGACAGAGAGAGAAAGAGAGATGAGGAGGAGGGGAAGGAGGGAGGAAGGAGGAGGAGGGATGTAGCGGTGCTCTGAGGAAAGAAACCAGATAATAGTATAAACATCCATCAGACTGCAGGAGGAAAATTGGATTTCAGCAGGACTTGTGCAGGAGTGCAAAGCTGTGTGTGTCGGGTGTGCGGTGAGCTTCTCGCCCTGATAAATCTCCTATTAAAACACGGAAAAGGTGGGTGGCGGGGAGGCCCAGGTTCCTCCTATCCTGCTCTGAATTCACAGTCTCTCAATAACCCGGGAGACAGCTGCCACCTGAGCAGGGCCGGGCATTTAGAGAGTGACTGACCAGCCCCTTCTCTGATTCTAGGGGACCCCTGGAAAGCCAGGACCGCGGGGGCAGCGAGGCCCAACGGTAACCACCCTTTCAGCTTGTGGGCATGTTTGGGAAACGGGAGCATGGTTTAGGGAGCACGTGCCAGGGGCTGGGGGAAGGCAGTGTCTGTGTGTCGGGACTTGAGCTGACCTTCCTTCTCTCCCATCTGTCCAGGGTCCGAGGGGTGAAAGAGGCCCCCGGGGCATCACTGGGAAGCCTGGCCCCAAGGTATGTTTTTGGCCTCCTGGGCGGTGGGCGGCGTGAACCCAAGTTGCAAGGCTACAGAGACGTGGAGCGTCTGAGGGTGTCTGTGACCTTTTTTATTAAAAAAAAAAAAAAAGGCAGGACATTTTCTTAGGTGTGTTTAAGAAGCTTGTCCCCTCCAGCAGCCTCTGGATGCCTCAGATCAGATGTAATTAAGTGGCTGAGAACGATGGTCATGAGAAGTGGCCCCAGCAGAGCAGGGACAGGGCCTCGCCCCAACACCTGGGACCCCAAAGACGGCAGCAGGGGGCCAGGCCCACCGCAGACTCACCCGCCCTGGTCGGGAGGCCCCATTTCCTCTCTTGAAAGGGGTTTGAGAGCTGCAGAGGCCTCTACCAGAACCTACAGAAAGTGCTTTCTGGCAGGGGAAGGCCCAGGCCGGCCTCATGCACATTCTTCCCACCGAGGGGCATTGAAGCCACTCCTTGGGTGGAGAATCTGGACACAGACCCAGCAGGCAGGCTACTCCTACCTGTCCAGGATGCCACTCCAGAGCGGGTTCCTGCTGGGATGAGTCTTCCAAGGGCTGAGGGGCCGAGCTGGCCCGTCCCTCGGCTGACCGGAATGCACCCACAGGCCACCCTGAACTCCTCCAGGACAAGCTCTGGGGCACTTCTCGTGTGCCCCGTGACCTGACCTGAGGCTCACCTATGAGAACTCAGAGCAGCAGCTGTCACATGGGGGTGGCCCTAGAGCGGGTCCCTGCGTTCTGCCTTTGCATGACTTTTCCAGGTGCTCGAGGCTGGGGCACAGCCTTTGTCCCACTCAGGAGACTGTTCTGGAAATGTCCAGCCTTGTAGACACTGGGCTGTCAGCTGCATGCAGAGGCACGGGGACAGGCAGGCTTTGATAGCCACAGATCAGCGCCAATGCCTTCTGCCCCTTACTGAGGGTCAGGGCCACCTTCAGGGGTGCACACAGGCAATATTTGACTCAGACGTTTTGATGACGTTGTGGGCCAGAGTCTTTTCATCCAAATAATAACAATCATAAGCTTTTCCCCCCTCTCCTTCCCTCTCAAGGGCAACTCCGGAGGTGACGGCCCAGCTGGCCCTCCTGGTGAACGGGTAAGCAGCTGGAGCCTTCGGGGGTGTCTCCAAGGGCAGAGCCTGCCTCGAATGCCCCCTGCACTTTGTCCTGGGGTGGGCTGGGGCCAGGGAGGCACGCCTCAGACCCTGCTGAAGGGTAGGGTTTTCCTAAGATCCCAAGGGTGGGTCACGCCCTGGGAGTGAACTCTTCCGTAGGTCAGGGGCCTCGACCGCAGCCCTGGTCTTGGGGTTTGGGAGTGGCCGAGATGACAGGAAATGGGTCCTGGGCCCCATCCTGCCCCCGAGGGTGAGGCAGGGTGAGGGAGGGGCTGGAATAATGGAGGAAAGGCCATGGGGGTGGGAAGAAATGACACCTGCGTTCAGAGAGCCACCGGCACAGGCAGGTCAGCGGCAGGAGCTGCTCGGGAGAGACCTCTTGTCCTCAAACTGGCCTTTCTCTGTTCCCAGGGACCCAATGGACCCCAAGGACCCACAGGATTTCCTGGACCAAAGGGCCCCCCTGTAAGTAATGGCTTCCTTGCTGGGCCAGCACTGCCTGTCCCCTCCAAAACCCACCTGTCCCCTCCAAAACCCGCCTGTTTTCTCTGAGGTCTGCTCGGAGCTCCTCACAGTGGCCGGTGGGTGGAGGGAGGCCCGAGGTGAAATTCTGGCTGGTCAGATGAGGGGGAGACCCCCCCACCGCCAAGGCGGCTGTGGGGCAGTCTGTGGCTGTGTCCCACTGCCGGGCCCGCTGGCACTGGAGAGGGCTGCACGCTGGGGTCCTCTCTCCTTGAGACTGAAGTGATTTTCTCTGAGTTCTGTGTTAGTGCCCTGGGGCCGCCATCACAAATGACCAGGAACTGGCTTAGAACTGGGTGTGGCTCTTCTGTCACAGCCCTGGGGGCCAGAAGTTGGAGAGCAAAGTGTGGTCAGTCAGAGCTGGCACCTTCTGGAAGCTCTAGGGGAGATGGGGTACCAGGCCTCTCCCGGGGGCTGGTAGCTGCTGCCAGTCCTTGGCACCCAGTGGCCTGTGCACACTCACCCTGGCCACTGCCCCCATCTTCACGTGGACTTCCGTCTGTGTCTCTCTGTCTTCTAATCTCTTTCTTTTTTTGTTTTTTGAGACAGAGTCTCGCTCTGTCGCCCAGGCTGGAGTGCATTGGCTCGATCTCGGCTCACTGCAAACTCTGCCTCCTGGGTTCAAGCCATTCTCCTGCCTCAGCCTCCCGAGTAGCTGGGATTACAGGCATGCGCCACCACACCCAGCTAATTTTTGTATTTTTAGTAGAGATGGGGTTTCACCGTGTTGGCCAGGATGGTCTCGAACTCCTGACCTCAGGTGATCCACCTGCCTCGGCCTCCCAAAGTGCTGGGATTACAGCCACCGTGCCCGGAGCCCCCACGCCCGGCCATCTCTTTCATTTTATAAGGACACCAGTCACTGGGCTGGGCCCACACCCATCTAGGTTGGCTTCATCCTAATTCAGTTACACTGGCAAAAACCCCATTTCCAAGTGAGGTCACAGGCACAGGTTCTGGGGGTCAGAGCTTCCACATGTCCTTTTTGGGGACACACGTCGCCTTATGGCAGGTGTGATGTATCTCCTCCAGTATGGACAACCATCTAGCAGTGGGATTATGACCCAGCAGGCATGGCGGGGCTGGTGGGAGGAGGTTGGACTTTGCAACTGGACAGACTTGGGTCCTGGCACCGGCTGTGTCACCTGCTGGCTGGACCTCAGGATACCAACTGGCCTCTTATGCCTCGGTTTCTCCCTTGGTAGATGAGGGTGACAACAGCACGTCCCATGGGGCAGTTGTGAGGATTTTGTACGAGGACAGGCAGGAGCCAAGGACAGCTTTAGATTTGTTGTCACTGTCCCCGTGCCTGCCAGGTGATTGCTTTTCTCAGAGGATGTGCAGGGGCAGGAGCCATGGAAATAACGGTCACTCCACGTGGCATTAATTCTCAAAGGTGGTTGCTTCTCAGACACGAATGAACCTCCTTTCCTTTGGTTTTTTCTTCAGGGCCCTCCAGGCAAGGATGGACTCCCAGGACACCCTGGACAGAGAGGCGAGACTGTGAGTATCGAGGGTGCTGGGGGACGTGGCTGGCTGGCTCTCTGACCACCCTGCACGTGGGCACAGCCCTCGCTGCCCAGCGCCATCTAGGACCCTCCTGGCCTGGGAGAGACAGGTTGGCCTCAGAAAGGCTCCCAAGGGCCGGGCCGGCTTCCGCTGACTCAGAGCCAGGCTGTGAGGCAGGGCCAGGGCAGAGCAGTCATGCAGGCCGGCAGCGCCTTATGGCATCTGTGGGCAGAAGGCAGGTGTTGGCTTTGGGCTGGTTTTGGAAACTTTGGTGAGAGGCCACATTTAAAGACACACACAGATTATCCTGGGCCGACTGAAGCCTCATGCATCCAGCCTTATTTTCCCTCTAGAATAATGCTGAGTGCTACCCCGCTTGAGGGATACGTCTTTTAATTGAGAAAGTGCTGGGAAAGGGTCTACATGTTACTCAGCGTCATTCAGTCATTCGATGCTGCAATACTTCAAGAGGGCGGCTGTGGGCCATGCACCAACCCCACCCACGTTCACCCGGGCCCTTCCAGCTCCAATCCAGGGGGTCTGGAGGATGCCTGCAATGTCCCTTTTTACACTAAAGAAAACAAGCGCCAGTCAGGTGGAAGTGGCCTCTAACTAGTCACTCCGCTGGGCACATGGTCTTTGTAGTCAGAGACTCCCCTTTGACCTTGCCCTTCACTTTAGAAATGCATATCACAGGCTACTTCATCCAGACCAGAAAGGACTCCAGTGTTTTCAGTTGGGAGAAAAAGCCCTCATCAGAAATGGGATCATTTTCCTGGCCCCATCAGCCCTTCGAAATTTGGCCCAGCTCCCTAAAGGTGTGTTTCAGGAAAGGGTGCAGGCACGCCTGTAACCTGGCCCACACCTACAAGCTTGGGGCTCCAGGCTCTGAATATCTGGGGACGTGCAGTGTCGGGTGACTTCCTCGTCACCACGCTGTGTTCCTTCTCCGAGTGCCCACCTACTCTGTCCAGCTTAAAGGATGAATTGCACAGATGCAAACATTTCCCACAGAGGAGAGTGAGGGGCATGCCAGGATCACTGCAAGGGTCCCTGCAGCCAGGTTTCTAGGGATCAAGGTCTCTACAGGACTCTCCCAGCAAAAGCAGGTCCCCTCGTGGAATGGGTCTCTGAGTGCCCTGTTGAATATATTCTCCATGCCTGCTTTGAAAAAATCCCCTTTGTCTCTCTTTGGTTCATCGTGATGAAACCTCTTTTAATTATACCTTCACTGGTGTTCTGCACGGCGCATGCTGCCTGATAAATGGAGATTGCTTTGCTCTTTTGTTTATAGAGAAAAATTAAAACATTTCTTCTGAGCTTTGCATATTTTTCTCTAATGCCTTTTCAAGGAGACAAGATAGAAGGTTTTACATATTATGTGCTTTTCTCCCTCTGACTTATTCTGGACGGAGGCTGGTGAAAGAATTAAGCTGCTTGTCTCTGCTCAGAAAGTTGCACATGTACTTCCGGCTGCCTTCTGCCACCCCGGCCACCTCTCTAGACACATGGCGCTGGAGTGATGCCTGTGTCTCTGAGAGCCACTTGGGACATAGCATCTCCTCCATGGGCTAGTCCAGACAAGCCTTCCAGAAAGAGCTTCTCTGCAGTGTTGATTTCCTTCTTTTTTAAAAATATGAAACACCAACGGTCATTATTTCTCCTAAATGTGAGCCAGAAACTTATTTCTCAGCAAAGGGCTAAGGTCATATTCTGTCCTCAACAGCCAGGGTGGCCGAGGGCCCTGGGGAGGCCTTTTTTGTTTCGTGTTAACTTTGACATTAGCAAAACTTAACCAAGGCTCCGATCTCCCTTCAGGCTCTTGAGCTCTTCTCCCCGGGTCCACTGAGCAGGGCATGCCCTTGACACCCATCCACCGTTCCTTACTTCTGACCCCATAAGTGCAATGAACATTAGAAACGATCATTCTAGCCCACAGCTGAGCTGGGCTTAAAGAGGCGAGCCCTCCTAGAGTTTGCAAAGAAGCTAAGTCTGGGCTGGGCACAGTGGCTCACGCCTGCAATCCCAACACTTTGGGAGGCCGAGATGGGCGGATCACCTGAGGTCGGGAGTTTGAGACCAGCCCGGCCAACATGGTGAAACCCCGTCTCTACTAAAAATACAAAAATTAGCCAGGCATGGTGGCAGGCACCTGTAATCCCAGCTACTCAGGAGGCTGAGGCAGGAGAATCGCTTGAATCCGGGAGGTGGAGGCTGCCGTGAGCCGAGATCGTGCCATTGCACTCCAGCCTGGGCAACAGGAGTGAAACTCTGTCTCAAACAAAAAAAAAAAAAAAAAAAAAAAAGAAGCTAGTCTGCTGTGGGTTCATGTGGCCCCGTGGCTTGGTGTGAGGTTTTGCCTCTGACTGCTGGACAGTGAGTCAGTGAGCCCAGGCCTGAGGCCGCTCACCCTCCAGCCCTAGCTTGGCCTCAGGGCCAGCCACCTTCTCCTCCAGCGTCTAGAGTTTGCCTCGAGGCCTCCGGGTAGAAGGTGTGCATGTCTCCACCAGTGTCATGTGGCACCTGCAGATGGCTTCTCGCTGGCACCTGTCATGCTCTGCAGACGTGCCTGGAAAAGAAGCTTATGTTGCCTTAAGGTCATCTTTCTCCTTTGAGGGAGAGTACAGAAGTCGTGGCGACACCCACAGCCAAGCCAGGATCGTTATCTACGCGTGAGCATGCAGAGCGGGCGTGAGATATTCCCGCTGAATCAAGCTAAAAATAACGCATCCAAGCTGCCGAGTTATGAAAGCAGCTGGCCCTCGCTCTTGCCTGTTTTAAATACATGCTGAGGAGCACGCGGGCAGAGTCACCCGTCGTGCATCAGAGGCGTTCACGCCAAAGCAGGTCAGTCGTCACAGAGCCACTGCTGAGAAACAGCCAGAGGTAGTCGCGGGTCCAGAAAGGGCACCAAGCCAACTCAGAAAAGGAGCGTTTGGTGACATGATAAAGGCGAATCGCGTCGGCCTAAAGATGCAGAGGCAGGAGAGCAGCCAGTGAGATGAGCTTGTGTGGCTTCGTTACCCTCGTGAAATTAGTGCAAACGCACGGTGGCTCACGCCTGTAATCCCCGCACTTTGGGAGGCTGAGGCAGGTGGATCACGAGGTCAGGAGTTCGAGGCCAGCCTGACCAACATGGTGAAATCCTGTCTCTACTAAAAATACAAAAATTTGCCAGGTGTGATGGTGTGTGCCTGTAATCCCAGCTACCCAGGAGGGTGAGGCAGGAGAATCACTTGAACCTGGGAGGCAGAGGTTGCAGTGACCCAAGATCGAGCCACTGCACTCCAGCCTGGGCGACAGAGCGAGACTCTCCATCTGAAAAAAAAAAAAATGAAACAAGAGACATGGGCCTCTTACACAAAGTCTGGAACATCTACTCTGGGGGGAAGGGAGGTGGGGGGCAAGCGTCCTGCTGAGAACAGTGCAGGGCAGGGTGGCGCAGGCCACTGCAGCACCGTCAGTGCAGTGACTCTCTCTTCACAGGGTTTCCAAGGCAAGACCGGCCCTCCAGGCCCCCCCGGCGTGGTCGGCCCTCAGGTAAGCTCCAGCCTTCCCAGATTCCATGGGTCACTCGGTGTCACTTGCCCACAGGGAAGAGGGTCCCAGCCCGGGCATCTGTTCCCTCCACGATTCCGGAGGTGCAGGTACTGCTGAGAGGTTATCTTAGGTCCTGAATGTTGGTCAGCGTGAGGCTCGCCCCACGCAGGAGCAAGCACAGATGTGTTTGCCCTCAACACAAACCCAACACGCAGGGCAAGGAAGGCTGCCCAAGGCTCACAGGGTGGCTGGGGCCAGACCTGGGCCAGCTCAGGAGCTGGGCTCATCCCTGCTGTGGGTGTCCAAGGCAGCCGAGTCCTCCTGCCACTGGTCCCTGTGGGTGTCACGGGCCTGCGATTCTAACCGCAGACCAGTGGCAGATCAGTGTCAGGGGCAGCTTAGAGCCAGGATTGATGGCTTAGAGCTGCAGAACGGGGAGGGGTCACCTTGTGTCCTAGAAAGCGCACACCTCATGTAGCGGTGAGTAAGACGTAGACCTGCTGCAGCCACAGAACTGAAGGGCATGTGGGCTCTGCCCCTGGTGTGGCTTTTCTCCCATCCTTGGCCTGTCCTGTGGCTGAATCAGCCTCCCTCAGGGCACATCCCAGGAAGGCAGGCTTGGCCGTGCCTCCTGAAGGCGCCAGGTGGGGGAAGAGGGCCACGCGGGGCCCAGCAGATGCCAGGCAGTGAGCAGCGTACCAACACCCACCCTCTAGATTTTTGCCGGGAAGAGAAGGCTTGCAAAGGCACTTGGAGGTTTGGTGTGCCCGCAGCAGACCTTTGCGTCCATGACCAGGGCTGTCCTTAGATTTAGGAAGAGATTCTCACTCCCTTGCAAGTCACTCGAAACGTCTGTGGCTGACACTGATTTTCCCCACAGGGTCCCACGGGAGAAACGGGCCCAATGGGTGAGCGTGGCCACCCTGGGCCCCCTGGACCCCCCGGTGAACAGGGGCTTCCGGGCCTTGCTGGAAAAGAAGGGACGAAGGTGAGTTTCTGGAGCCTTCTGTGTCAGCTCAGGCGTTTCCTCAGGAATCATTTTGGGACTTTGTGTTTTTCTTGCCCTTTTCTGATGAATGGGTAATTCGTCAAACAGACGCTTCTCATGCCGGTTCACTCCCCAGACCGCACGTTTTGCTCACTTTTCCTTGATTCACTCCAGGAGTCGCGCTGACCTGCTCAGGGATGGGCTTGAAGGGGGAGCGCAGGGGTCACCACCATCCTCCACCCTCTGCTCTCTCCCCAGCTGCCAGCCCTGCTCCCAGAAATGGATAAAAAGCTCTGGGACTTCATGTGTCCATAACACGTTTAGCAGAAAGTGGTCCTTTTAAAAACCCCTCACCCCAGCCAGGTGCAGTGGCTCACGCCTGTAATCCCAGCACTTTTGGAGGCTGAGGCAGGTGGATCACCTGAGGTCAGGAAGTTGAGACCAGCCTGGCCAACATGACGAAACCCCATCTGTACTAAAAATACAGAAATTAGCTGGGTGTGGTGGTGCGCACCTGTAATCCCACCTACTTGGGAGGCTGAGGCAGGAGAATCGCTTGAACCCGGGAGGCGGAGGTTGCAGTGTGCCAAGATCGTGCCAGTGCACTCCAGCCTGGTTAACACAAATGAAACTCTGTTTTTAAAAACAAAAAACAAAAAACACAGTGAAACCCCGTTTCTACTAAAAATACAAAAAAATTAGCTGGGTGTGGTGGCGGGCGCCTGTAGTCCCAGCTACTCGGGAGGCTGAGGCAGCAGAATGGTGTGAACTCGGGGGGCGGAGCTTGCAGTGAGCCGAGATCGCGCCACTGCACTCCAGCCTGGGCGACAGAGCGAGACTCCATCTCAAAAAAAAGAAAAAAAAACAGCCCTCACCCCAAGAGCCTGAGAAATTATAAAAGTGAAAAGCAAACGTGTTTTTATCCCACCTCTTGGTGCCAGCTCCAACTGCCCCCTTTTCATATCTCCTCCCCTGGGCGCCCCAGGTTCACTGGCCATAACTTGCTGTGTTAGCACAAAAATAGCCCTTCCCTTTCAGCTCTTCAATAAGGAATGCAACAAAGGCAAGCTCTCCAGCCTGTAGGACCACAGAAGAGTAAACCTGAAAAATAATAAAGTGAAGCAAATGAAGAAATACTGAAAAAAATCACACACCCGGGTGTGCATGTAGATATAGGAATAAATACACATGTGTACATGCACACGTGTGTGTATTCTAGACACAAAGAGAGCTCTCCGAGCTTGGAAAGGCGGCCACGGGCATTTGACCTGCTCGTTTGAAAACAGCACTGTGCTCCATGTTGGACCCCAGAGAACATTTTGGAAGATATCAAAGCTTTACTGTACCTCAGGGAAAGTCGAGGCTAAGGGGTGACTTTTTTTCAGAAAATGTGGTTTCGGGCTTGAAGAAGTTCCTTAAGTGATAAGTCCATTTAGGACGATGCTTTTAATGCTATTTCGACCATGGATTTCTTTGTCTGAGCACGGTCTTACAAGGAGCCCCAAATCTATGGAAAAGATAGACGTGCCCTCAGCTCCCACATGGCCCATCGTAGCCCTTAAGGGCCTTGGGAGGAAGGACCCCGGAACTCCGTGGAGCAGGGGTAGAGTCAGATTTGCACGCAGAGCCCGCCAGATGAGCGTGGCTTCCAGGTGGAGGCTCAGGCTGTGCTCCCACGTGTGGGCTGCTGAGTCCAGTCACGACTCTGAAAAGTGGCCAGGAGAAGCCCAATCCAACCCAAGTCCAGGAGTGTCTGATGAGAAGGCCCCGACCCTTGGCCTTGCTCCGGGGCTGGTGAGAGGTCTGTGTCGCTGGCTCCAGGAGAGAAGGCCCCAACCCTTGGCCTCGCTCTGGGACTGGTGAGAGGTCTGCGTTGCTGGCTCCAAGAGAGAAGGCCCCAGCCCTTGGCTTCGCTCTGGGGCTGGTGAGAGGTCTGCGTCACTGGCTCCAGGAAAGCTCATCTCTGACTCTGTTTTCAGGGTGACCCAGGCCCTGCAGGCCTCCCTGGGAAAGATGGCCCTCCAGGATTACGTGGTTTCCCTGGGGACCGAGGGCTTCCTGGTCCAGTGGTGAGTGAGAGGCCAGGCGGGGAATGAAATGGGACAGGTGCAGCCCTGGAGGCCTCTCCCCACGTGCCCTTGACCAACCTTTTCATGGCTTTGCAGGGAGCTCTTGGACTGAAAGGCAATGAAGGGCCCCCTGGCCCACCAGGCCCTGCGGTGAGTCAAAGCCTTTGTCCCATCCTCTTTCTTGAATCCTACTCTCCAGGTCAGAAGGGGCAGTCCCCGAGAGCCCAGAGCATGCAGCTGCCCCAGACCCCCGAGGAGCCTGGGGAGGATGTGGAGGGGGGAAAATGGCCTTCAGGGAGATGCGGACGGCGCATCCCAAGCTGGCAGCCAGGATGACGAAGGGTCCCAGGGGCACACCGAGGAAAGGAGAGTGCTGGGCAGCCTGGAGGGCGGGAGGAGCCACTCTGTGTTGCCTGTGGAGCATGCTCCCTGGAGGAGCAAGGAGAAAGCCTACACACCTATCGTGGGTCTGGGCTGGGCCAGCAGGGGAAGAAACAGACACGGGTCTGCAGGGACTCTGAAGATGCACGCTAAAGCCAGGCTGCCCACGGCGGGGGCCCACTGGGCAGGATGGCCCTCACGATTAGGCCAGGTACCCACCCATCCATATGCCAGCCCCCAGGCAAGGCATCCCCTAGAAAACGCACCCCATGGAGGAGCACAGCAGAGAGGGGAGTGGGTGCCCCATGGGCATGGGGGCCCTGGAGGGGAGGGGTTGCCCTGCAGGCATGTGGGCCCTGGAGGAGAGGGGGTGCCCCGTGGGCTCTAGAGGGAAGGGGGTGCCTCACAGACATGTGGGCCCTGGAGGAGAGAGGGTGCCCCGTGGGCAGACCCTCAAGGGGAGGGGGTGCCAGGCTTCTAGAAGAGGGAGCCCATTGAAGGCAAGCACACCACAGGGCACACTGTCAGACACCAGGGGGAGGAGCACCTGGGAGCTTGGAGTTACAGGAAGACACAGAGCCCCGAACGCTAGACCAGGTAGTCTGTGCTTGCAAAGGGCCATAGGGAGCCACTGTGGGCTCTAGAGTGAGCAGGTAAGTGGAGTGATCAGCTGGTGCTTTACAAAGTCACGACCACGCAGTCTGAGAGCCTTTGAAGCAGACTGTTTTCTTGCTCCACCTCAGGGATCTCCAGGGGAGAGAGGTCCAGCTGGAGCCGCTGGGCCCATCGGAATTCCAGGGAGACCTGGGCCCCAGGGACCCCCAGGGCCGGCAGGAGAGAAAGGGGCTCCTGTAAGTACTGCCTTGGATTGGGGGAGCCCTTCCCTCAGAGATGCTGGGGTCGTTCCGTGTCTGGCCTTGTCCCTCCCCCTGTGATGTCCCCAGGGGTATTTCCTTGGGATTGGGGATGGGGTGGGGTCTGCGGCCCTCTAGGACAGAGCGTGTGTCCCATGGGAACCTGGTGACCTGCCTGAGGAGCACAGGAGGAGTCCTGGTGCCGGCCACATTCTTTCCGCCATCAGCTGAGCCAGAGGAGCCCTGTGGGATGATGTTGGGCCGGTCTCAGCCTGTCCACGCGTGCATGCTGGTGTTCCCCACATGCGTGGACAGAGGAAGGGGCCGAAGACAGTCAGTGCGCTGTGGACTTGGTCTCCGTCCAGCCTCAGTGCCACCTGTGTGGTCGGGCCACAGCTGCCCACTGTGTGAACTGTTCCCTGCTGCTGGCCCAGACCCATGGCTGGGCTCTTCCTAGGAAAGGATGTTTGGAACCGGGGAGTCCTGTTTCTTGGTTGGGGGGCAGGTGTAGAGAGCAGATGTCCAGCAAAGAAGGGGCAGGGGATGGGTGGATAACGGAAAGACAAGGCGCCTCCCTCTGTGTCCAGGAAAGCCCACCTGCTGGTAAGCCCCGAATTTTGCAGGCTTTGTGAAGCCTCGGGAGTGGGGAGGAGCATGTCTTGAGGCCACCCAGATCTTGGTCTCCAAGAAGGAGATGAGCGAGCGCCCTTTTTGCCTAGATGCTTCCTGCTAGCCTGCTTTCGTGAATAACCCACAAAATGCCACTTACCGTCCAGAAGTGGTCCACCCTGACCCGTATTTGGCTTCTGCCACACAATTTTGCAGTGTCCCCTACCTCTGCATTCAATCAGCTCTGGAGACCAATTTAATCTCAACTTCTCCTTCCCAGTACAGAGGGTCAGAATGAGCTTGAGTTCTCCAGGGGAATTGGCAGATAATCGGTGCAGACCATCTCAAATTGAGTTAGGTCTGAGTGCTGATTGTTAGAAAGCTGTTTTCTTTCTCTTTTTTTGAGATGGAGTCTTGCTGTGTCACCCAGGCTGGAGTGCAGTGGCGCAATCTCGGCTCACTGTGACCTCCACCTCCTGGGTTCAAGCAATTCTCCTGCCTCAGCCTCCCCAGTAGCTGGGATTACAGATGTGTGCTACCACACCCGGCTACTTTTGTACTTTTAGTAGAGATGGGGTTTCGCCATGTTGGCCAGGCTGGTCTCGAACTCCTGACCTCAAGTGATCTACCCGCCTCAGCCTCCCAAGGTGCTGGGATTACAGGCGTGAGCCACTGCGCCCAGCCAGAAACTGTGATTTTCTTGTACGTTTCACTCTCAGTGGCTCATGGGTGGCAGGAACAGCCTACATTCCCTGGGCAGGAACTTCCCTGGAAACCACATTGGAAACATCTGGGCCATTGAGAATCTGTTCAATACATTATTGGCAATTTTGGTGTCTTCTAATCATTTCCAGTGAGGCACCCAGGACATGGATCCAGCTGGATTCTGTGCCAGAAAACTGAAGCCAACTGGGCAGTCAGTGTATAGAGTGCACACAAAGTCAGCTGGAAATGGCTTGGTTCACAGTTTCAAGAGAGTAAATATTTGAGCAGAAACCTTGCAAGAGTTGCTCTATCCAGGCAGAAGCTCGTCATCCTCCCAGAATAGCTCCAGAGGGAAGGAAAGGCCAAGCAAAGGTTGGACGTCTCTGAGAACTCCCGACCTGACCAGGAATGTAGGACAGGAAGCTTCCACAAAAGCCCCACACGTGGTCTTTGCATTCTCTGGCTTAAGTAGGGTAGACATTTCTATGAATAGGAGCTCAGTTTGAGGAGCAGGACATGAATTGTGGAGGGAGGAATGGTAAGACGAAATAGTGATGGATGACTAAATCCCGGCTACATTTAGACCAGAACATTGAATGTACATTCTCTATTCCATGTTTCCCTTCCCAATGTGCACACCCTCCTTCTGTGTATCTGTCGGAAGATAGGGATCCCTGTCTGCAGTGAGAAAATATAGGCTGCTCACAGAGTGATGCGATGGCTGGTCAAACTGAGCAAAGCAAGAACTTAAGAAGGATCATTTGAGATTACCAAGCAGGCAGTTAGGAGGAAAATGAATCAAAGTTACAAGGACAGGAAAAATAGTGTGTGCGTATGCCTGCAAGCATGTCCTGTGTGTGTACCTGTGCGTGCATACTCATGTATGCATGCACATACATGTCAGTGTGCTTCTTTATATGTCCTTGTGTGTACATGTTGGTGCATATTCACACGTGTGCACATGTTGGTGCATATTCACACGTGTGCACATGCGAGTATGCTTGTTTTGTGCACATGCATGTGCATGCATGCATACCTGTGTACATAGGCGTGTTCACATGTGTGCATGTATGCACATGTGTGTGCGTACATGTCTTCATGTGTGAGCATGCATGTCCTTGTGTGTGTGTGCAGGGAGAGTGTCTGCAGAGAATGTAAAGAATCAGAAAGCTGGTGAAAGCTGGAGCTCAGGCTATCCTGGTGACTGGGCTTGGCTCCCGGTCACTAGCTTAGACAATCCACATACAGGCTCAAGAATTTGGCCGGCTGGATTTGGATCCTGTCTCTACTGCTCACTAACTGTGCCTCAGTTTCCCCATCTGTAAAAGAGCAGCCTTTCCTAGGATGAGTGTGGATTAATTGAAGCGATGCACCAGAAGTTCATGGTCCAGGGGCGGGCTCAGAGTCGGCCCTCAGTGGCCCTGGCTGAAATCCATTAGGACTGTGGGGACGGTCACCCTCACCAACTCCCACTTCCTGCCAGCGGATCCCTCTCTTGGGTAATGAGCTGGTGGGGGGATGTTCCCAGGTTGGAGCCACGTTTGACCTGAGATCTTCTGTATTCTCTAGGGCGAGAAAGGCCCACAAGGCCCAGCTGGCCGAGACGGTCTCCAGGGGCCTGTGGGGCTCCCGGGTCCAGCTGGCCCTGTGGGTCCCCCTGGAGAAGACGGAGATAAGGTAAGGCAAATCCAGAGTGACCCATGGCTGGGCCTGGCTGGGCAGACGGGTGTGGGGGAGGGTGGTGAATTTAAAGGACAGGATGCTGGCAGGTAGAGCGGCTCAGCCAGCGGAGTGATGCCACACCCACCCCGCAGTCCTGGCATTAGGGGATGATTTCACAGCAGCCCACTGGTAAATGGTAATACACGCCGTCCCCGGCACGCTCGAGGGACTTAGAAACCACACCCTCCTGTGTCATTTTGAGGTTGCCTGCAACATTTGCTGTGAGTAGCCACAGCAGAGAAAAATGCTCCCCGGTCCCCCCGAATAATTTCAAATTCCGAAACTGCGGAGCCCGGTTTAATGAGGTTTTGCTCAGTATCTATTTTTAAATGTCTCCGCTTGAATTATCCAGGCTCCCGTTCATTAAGAATGTGCTTTATAATTCCAAAACGATGGCTGCAGGAGCTTGCATTTTATCCTTCATTTAACGCAGACAGTGAAATTTCGCTGTGCTGTAACTTTCTATTGATGACCCCTCTCTGGGGACATTTCTGACTTTGTCACCTCTGCATGGATAATGCCTTACATCTCCGGGCGGGAGACAGCCTTGCACCGACAGGAACAACAGAGAGGATTTTAATAACTTCTTCGGCAACATAGTAATTGAGTTGCCTGTTGTTAGGTTGTCATGGTAGTGGCCCAATTTGAAAAACAGAGTAAATATTTTCAATATGACTTTTCCCACATCTTCAAGTCTACTAAAAGCCTGTCGAGCATCAGATCGAGACCTCGTCCCTTTTAGCCCTTGTATTAAAAAGGAAATCAAGCTAATATATGGAAACATTTATTCGTAGGAAAGTTTTAGGGCCACCTGGAAAGGACACTGTTCTTAATCTCCAAGAAAAATTCATTACGGGGAACAGAAAAGGTCCAAACGGTTGTCAAGCTTTCTAACCGAATCCCCCACACCTTCCCCTAGGGAGAGATCGGGGAGCCGGGGCAGAAAGGAAGCAAGGGGGACAAAGGAGAACAGGTAAGTATTGGCACGGGGGCGCGCGGCAGCCCCCAGGTCCCGGGGGGCCTCGTCGCAGGCTGTAGGCCGTGTGCCATGCACGTTCTCTTCCAACGTTGCTGATGACTAGCGGGACATGCTGTGAAAATCTCCCGTGCATGTGTGTTCCCACAACGTGTGTGTGTGCACACGCGTGCATATCTGGGAGTGAGTCTCTCTGTGTTAGAATGAACAGGAAGCATCCACCGGTTTTGCGAAATTAAATAAATGGAGTGTTTCTGTCCTAGAGGGCTTGGGTTCTGCAGACACACCCATTGCCCTCTGAGGTGAGGGAACCAGAATGCTCCGGCAGAGACAGCACCATTGACCAAATGCCTGTTCATTTTTCCCCTTTTGGTTTTTTCATCTGTTCAGAAATCCTAGTGGGTTCTTGCAAAAACCCCATGACTCTGCTACCAGCTCCCTCCCGATGAGTGACATGTCTTCTTATCCTGTACAGCCAGGCCTTTCCCCCAGTATGTTGATTCCTAGGCAAGCAGGATCCGTGCTCCTGGGAGGCCTGCCACAGAGGCTGTGTCCTTCTTCCAGCCGTGGGTTGGGCTACCAGGGCCAAGGGCACTGTACCCTCCTTGCTTGCCTCCTTCCCATGGTCCCATGCGGGAGGTCTCTTGAGGATGGCACAGCAGGGGACATGGTGCTGGGCGCAAGGGCTCCAGAGGAGCTTGTGATCCTGGACCCTCACTGTTGAAGGGGGCCTCACGTGCCCCTGTTGTGGGTGCATGATGGGAGCTGAGATGACACACGGTGGTCTCGAGAGACATTGGGGGCAGCTCTTTGCCATCCAGAAATGGGCTCAGGGTGGAACCAAGATCCTCATCTGCTTCCCAGAGCCTGCAGCAGGCTTGCATCGTGGTGCAAGGAACGACACATTTGGAGACTGAACTGACGACGTTGGATGCATCAGTCCCCGGGCTCAGGATGCGGTCCACCCCTCCCTCAGCCTTATCCACGATCCAAGAAGCTACCTATGTCTCTGTCTTGTTCCCCGCAGGGTCCTCCTGGGCCTACAGGTCCTCAAGGCCCCATCGGACAGCCAGGCCCCTCTGTGAGTATCCATGGTCAATGACCTTCGAAAAGCCCCACGCCCCCCCAGAGCTGCTGGCATTGCCAGCATCCTCACCCATGGCCGGTTATTTCCCTGCAGGGAGCTGACGGCGAGCCGGGGCCTCGGGGCCAGCAGGGCCTTTTCGGGCAGAAAGGTGATGAAGGTCCCAGAGGCTTTCCTGGACCCCCTGGGCCAGTGGGGCTGCAGGTAACTGTGGGGTTCTCACCACACCGGGCTCCTCCGCTTCTGACGCCCCCTGTGTCTTCATTGTGCTCTCTCCTCTTGTCTTTTTAAGAATGGAAAACTAAAGCCAGGCTGCAGGGGGCCTCCTGGGCCTCCTCATTCCAACTGGAAGTGCTGTAGCTTCCCAGAATTCCAGACATGCCCGCATTTACCACACTTCAGCAGTGGCATTTATTTCTGTGCTCATTGTGGAAACTGATGATTCGTGAGAAACATAGTAACAGTGACTTCTAAATGCACCTCCTAGAGATGACAACGATAAACATTTGGGCATGTTTCATGGCCATGCCTTTTAAATGTGTGTATTCTCATGCACAGAGGCGCATATGTAATTGTATTTGGTGTTTGACAATGAATCATGTCATAAGTCAGAGAGAAAGTTTGTTCCCAGCTTTCCCCATTTTCCATCCTCCATTCCCGTTTTATGTTACGAGTGTGTTGAATGCCATTACACATGACTTTCTATTTATTTGGAAAACATGATTTTTAGTCACTGCACAGTAAGCCAGCATCTGGTGGTGACATAATTTACCCAGGCGTCCCCTGCTGGCTCCTTAGGCTTTATTGTTTTATGGGTTCCTGCCATAATCACCTTTGTCGTAAATCTTTGCAATCTTCTCTGCTTATTTCCTCGGGCCGATTCTGAGACTGGGAACCCCGGGACGTCCTCGTGGGTAGCTATGCACAGAGAAGCACCTTCCCGGGGCTTCGGGGGCTCAGTGGTGCTGTGTGGGTGGAGGTCGTGAAAGCTGTGTGTGTGTTTGACATACACATGACAGAACAGCGCTTAACTGGGAAGTTTCCTGTTCTCAGGGTTTGCCAGGACCTCCAGGCGAGAAGGGTGAGACAGGAGACGTGGGCCAGATGGTAAGTGTGCCTGAGACTCCAAGGCCTTGCCGTACTAGCGGCTCATGTTTTGGGGAAACATTTGCGTTTCCTCTGGGCTCAGTGGTCTCTCCCTTTTCCTAGGGCCCCCCGGGTCCCCCTGGCCCCCGAGGACCCTCCGGAGCTCCAGGTGCTGATGGCCCACAAGGTCCCCCAGGTGGAATAGGAAACCCTGGTGCAGTGGGAGAGAAGGTGAGGCTCGTGCCTGCTCTGGTGGCAGATTTGCGGTTGTTTGAGGAGTGTGTGTGTGTGTCTGTGTGTGTGTGTCTGTGTGTATGTGTATGTGCGCATGCACACGCTTGTGGGGGTGCATACACGTGTGTGTACCTCTCTGTGTGTACACAGAGATGAGAAGTACTCATTTCTGTGGGCATGGCTGGTTTATTCCTATGAAGGGCATTTTGAAATGTAGGCAGATGCTTGTGAAATGGAACTGGGAACTCTGACTGTCCATTTGTGACAGCCTTTTGCAGAATTTCCAGACGATGCCCCACCAGCAAAGCCCCTGCCTCCTCCAAGACTCAGCTCTGGTGGAGATCATCTATTCCTTAAATAACTGGTGTTTCTAAGCTTGCAGTTTCCATTTCAGCCGAATTATTTTCTCAAATGGGTCCTCTCCATTTGATCTGATTGGTTTTGGAGCCCAGACTCCATGAGCGTCATGGACCCAGTCGTGTGTGTGTGTGTGCCTGTGTGTGTGAGCTCCTGTGTGCACATCGGTGCATGTGTGTGTGCCTGCATGCTGGGTGGGACAGCATTTGCCTGACTGCAAAAGCACCTCTCCCAGTTCCCCTGGACAAGAGGGAAGACAGAGTGTACATCCATGCACTTGAGCCCCCTGTGCACCGTTTCCAGAGCTTTCTTTCTGACATCAATCAGGCCATTAAATTGGAAGACGCCTTCCACCGCTGCTCATTTTTTATGATACAGAAATTAAAGAGGAATATGCCCTGCTGAGACCACAGGGTGATGGTGTGCGGCTTCTGCTCAGAGAGGCGGTGTTTTCCTTGGTGTCCCCGCTGTAGGGCGCATGTTTCTGTTCACCTGCTGCCACTGTGCATGCCCTCTTCCCTGCGTCCCTCTGGCCTGTGTCCCTGAGGACTGCGTGCCTGTCCTCCTGCCTCGGCCCTGGCCATCCCCCACCTGGAGTGCCATCCTAGCCACTTACCAGCTTCTCATAGTTGCCCTCCACAACCCTTGGAGCAGCGCTCCGGGAAAGCCTTCACAGACAGTGTTGCTTGCAGTCTGGACACTCTGCCCTGTATCCATCACGTGCCTGCCACATTCCTCACGCACCTCCAATTCTGGGAGTGTGTGGGGACAGCACTCCCCAGAAACCCCTGGGTCCTGGGTGCCCAGGGGCAGGCAGACAGCAGGCAGGATTTGGCAAATGCTTGAAACCGTAGCACTGCGTTCATCGCGGTGCTCACCGCTGCCATAACCACATGCACTGTCTCCCTAGGGCGAGCCTGGCGAAGCAGGTGAGCCTGGCCTTCCGGGAGAAGGCGGCCCCCCGGTGAGTGAGCGGGCGCTGCGGGAGGGGTGGGATATGGCCGAGCGGGTGTGTGGACGGGGTGCTGGGTTGGAGGCTCTGGCTCTGCCTTAGCTTTTCCATCCACGAAATGGGAGTTGTAACCCCTCTTGTGCCCATTTCATGGAATGACCGTGAACAAGGTGTGTGATGTGGGAGTCAGCATGTACACGCAGACCTAGCAATAGCTACCTGTGCCCAGTGGCCTGCAGTAACTCTACCCTCTGTAGTGTTTGCTCCTGGCCCCTTCGCGGGGCAGCTGCTGTCACCTCGTCCCCCCGGACCTTGAGGGCCAGACTAGGAATATCCAGGCCTTCTCAGGCCAGATGAATGTTCACTATGAGGCCAGCCCAAAGGTGGCTTTCAGGCCCAGGACCAGCTGGGTGGACTCGGGTCTTCTGGTTCTAGCTGCTCCCTCCCCATGAGATCCGTGGAGTCTGTGGGCACCCCTTGTGGTCTTCACTGACTGATGTCTGGTCCAGGAGTCAGTCCCTCCCACCCAGAGCTGAATCTCAGGCTTTGAGGGCCCCAGAAAGTGAAGGCTCCTCAGGTCCCCCTCAGGGTGCACACAGGAGCTGATTCTGCCCAGGGCTTGGGGAGCGACCTGGCAGCCAGCCCCCTGCAGGGCTCAGCAGATACTTGGAAAGGCTGGTCTGAATGGGGTGAGAAAACCGGGGAGGCCCACCTTGCTCTGGGCGGCGACGTGGTTGGCTCTGAGGACTTGACACTGGCCTCTTTCCTCCAGGGACCCAAAGGAGAAAGGGGAGAGAAGGGCGAGTCAGGCCCTTCAGGTGCTGCCGGACCCCCTGGACCCAAAGGCCCTCCCGGAGATGATGGTCCCAAAGGCAGCCCTGTGAGTATTCCAGACACACCTCAGGGGCCCTGCAGCAGGGGCGGGGCTCTGCACTGGGATCATTCTGACTCACTGGCGGTGCACTCTGCTCTGAGAACAGCTTCAAGACCATTCCATGTGTTGGGTAAATTTTCTAGACACTAGAGGTTTTCATACCAGCTACTGAACCAAAATAGTGGAGATGAGACAGGGCGTGGACTGGAGGAGAAAGCCCTGAGTGATTCTTCTCTGTGGGCCAGGCGGCCGGCTGAGATGCACGAGTGACAGCCAGGCTTTGGGAAGTTGCCCCCGCCCTTGGCCGGCCCTGATTTTGCATCAGGAGGGGCTTCGGAGAGGCACATTCCGGAAGTCTGAAGGTCCAGGTTCTAGTTGCAGCCTGGAGCTCCCAGGAATAGACCTGTGGGCGGAACGCCTGCCCCTTGCTTGGCTCTGGAAAGCAAGAGACCAGCTGACCCCTGCCATGCCCACTGGCCAGGCTTGCTGGCTCTGGGACATGCTGCACGTGGAAGGGTCTCTGGGCCATAAAGTGCACTGGGTTGTCGGAACTGCTGGAAAGTCTTAGGAGCTGGACGGTGGCAGGTGGCCATCTTGAGGTGGTGACATGATTGGCCGTGTGTGGTCTCAGTCAGGTTGCTGATGGCCTTGGCTGCTTCCTTCTTTCTTCCTTTCAGGGCCCAGTGGGTTTTCCTGGAGATCCTGGCCCCCCCGGAGAGCCTGGCCCCGCGGTAGGTGCTCAAGAGGGCAAAGCCACCGGATCCCCCACAGTGCTGGCCTGCCTCTGCCAGCCCCATTTCCCCTCTTTCTGGTGGTTCTTTGTGATGAACTCCCACTGGGGCAGGCAATGTCCCAAAAGGCACTCGTGTTCCGGTGATCAGAGCAAGAAAACGCCTTTGACCCCACTGACCATGCTCTGTGCTGGCACCAGAATGGATTTGGGTTTTGGGAAGGGGCTGGAGATGCATTGGGAACTGGTGCATGAACTCAGGGTGCCATCCGGGGTTCAGCAAGGAGCTCGCTTTTGCCTCCATAGGGTCAAGATGGTCCCCCTGGTGACAAAGGAGATGATGGTGAACCCGGGCAGACGGTGAGTCCACAATCTGGGCTGGCTTCCTGGTGGAGGTGTCAGTGTATTCTTGGGACCTTGCAGCTTGCTTGACTCATTTCTGGGAAAAACTCCAACCTAGTTGATATTGATTCCTTTATGATATCGATTCCCTTATGATATTGATTCCCTTATGATGTTGATTCCCTTATGATATTGATTCTGGACAGTGACAGAGCTCATGAACTCCCTCTGAGATGCACGTGCTGTCTCAGCAGCAGGTTTGCAGGCAGCCCCAGGGCTTCCACGACCCACCATGGGCTCGCCCGGGAACGTCAGATCTTACCCACAGCTCTGCCTAGCAGGGCCAGTGCCTCTCCTCACCAGGCCCTTCCTGCCTTACCTTGACCGAGATCACACTGGACGTTGCATCTGACGCTTGGCGTTGAGTGTTTTAAACACCGCTTCAAGCCCAGAACGTCTTTCTGGGACGGATCGACCCCCATGGGCCCTGGGCAGGACTGGGCCTGGAGGAGGCCCCTGAGGCCTTGCAGATGCCCTTGCCCCACCTTGCACCCAGCCTGGCCAAGCGCGGGGGACTGCGGACCTGAGGGCAAAGGCCATGTCACTGAGTTGAGAGGAGCGTCCACTCAGAGAAGGGGTTAGGGATCTAGCCTCGGGCTGGATTTCCCTGACAGACACCCCCAGTCCACCACTTCCCGGCCTGTGTCCTGGGACGATTCTTGTCCCCCCTTCTGTGAAAGGGGATGCCAGTGCCTCGTCCCTGCCCAGGTTGTGGTGGGGACCGAACCGTCATTGTGTATCAAGAGTCAGCACTGTGAGTGGGGAAGTTCTCTTCCAAAATGCAGAAAACCCGCAGGATGGGAGTTGGGGTTCCTTACGCTGTCACAGCCCGGGTGCGACACTGTCTTAGGACCCTCTGTGCTAGCCCCAAAAGAAGAGAGAGGCGGCCGCAGGGCTGGCCGAGGAGTAAATAGACTGAAATCGCCATGTGTTTTGCCTCAATTGAGTCTAACGGGCCCCAATTCCTCACACTCTGTTCTTTCTCCCAATACCAGGGATCCCCCGGCCCTACTGGTGAACCAGGTCCATCGGGGCCTCCAGGAAAAAGGGTAAATAATCCTGCAGGCACATCCTTGCTGTCAAATCCCTGCATGAAACACCCCCGCCCCTCCCCGTCACCTTTGCTTGGGCCCTGGGTGCTCTAAGCTGCACTGATGAGGAAGGGCTCGGGTGTGGCATGTTCTCCACTTAGCCTCGGCCACATCATCACCTAATCACAGGCTTGCCAGGTCGACGCAGCTGCTCCTTTTAGGACAGGCCGCCTGCTGACACGGTCAGTGATATCCATGGTGGGAGAAAGACACCCGCAAAGCTGCAAAGGTCCTTTTCCCCTGGCTCAGGTTTTACTGAAAAGCCAGAACAAATGAGAAGGCATCTTTTGCAGATTGAATGGTCCAGCCACTTGCTGGTGGGGCAGTAAACAGCTGCCTGGTGCACCCAGGACGGAGGCCACACACAACTCGCGGCGTGCACTGCGCCTCCCCACGTGGCCTGAGAGGCCTTTACCTGGGACTGGAGTCCATAGGACTCATGCTGAGGACCCGTGTCACTGCGGGTGGCCCGGGAGCAGCCTCCATGACCCTGCACCCCTGCCCTGCAGCCCGGCACACCCTGAGCACCTGCACCCGAGCTCGTCCCTCTGCCCCTGCAGGCCACACACACACACACCCTGAGCGCCTGCACCCGAGCTCGTCCCTCCACCCCTGCAGGCCACACTCACCACCTGCTGTTCTCTTGCTTCTTTCAGGGTCCCCCAGGCCCCGCAGGCCCCGAAGGCAGACAGGGAGAGAAAGGGGCCAAGGTAACGTGTTTTGGAGCCAGGCTGTGACCGCGTAGACCTCCCCCAGGGGAGCCCAGAGGGTGGGGAGTGGACAAGCGTGTGGGCAGAGATGTCCATGGAGGCTGAGAGTGGCTGCCCCAGGGGCACCTGGCTCATGGCCTACCTGGGGAGGAGACCTGGTTCTCTCTCAAGGAGGCAGCCAAGTGGTGGCCACAAGACTGGGGCCGTCTGCCTTGCCCACCTGAGGGAGGAGGCGGGTGGTGGGTGCGGGATTCAGGGAGCCCAAGGCTGAGTAGTTATGTCCCCCGGAGCCCTGCGACCTCATGCCTGGTCTTTGAGTCGGCCAGACCTGAGCCGCCTACCTCTGAAGTGGACCGTGTCCGATGGTGACCGTGTCTGCTGCGGGGCCCGTGCAGAAGATGGGACGCCGTCACCCATGCAGTTGGCTTGGGGCCTGGCCCAGAGCACACGGGAGGCTATTCTGTCAGTGAGGTGATGGCGGCCCGGCCTGGCACTGTCTGCCTCCCTCCTGGAGGCGCCTGTTGTTAAGGAGACGGGAGGTTGTGCGGTTCCATCCCTGCTCGGGCAGTGGCGCTGTGACACCCGGTCTGTGGTCGGCGCAGTCAGCGGAGACGGGATCCCTGCTGGCCTGGGAGATGATCGGGATGGAGACTTGACCAGGGCAGCTTCCACAGGCAATGAAATGTGGAGAATTAGGGCAACCCCGGATATGGGGTCACCTGGGACTCCTCCAGAGGTGCCCAGGGTTTCCGAGCAGTGGTCCTGGGCCAGGGTGCCTGGAGCCTAGAGCTCCGGACCTCATTCTGCCCTCCGCCGTCCTGCAGGGAGAAGCCGGCTTGGAAGGCCCTCCTGGGAAGACTGGCCCCATCGGCCCCCAGGGGGCCCCTGGGAAGCCCGGACCGGATGGCCTTCGAGGGATCCCTGGCCCTGTGGTGAGTAGGCTGTGAGGGGCAGAGGGGTTGCCGAGTGGAGGGACGGGGGACCAGCAACTCATGCAGAGCGTCTCTGTGTTTCAGGGAGAACAAGGTCTCCCAGGATCCCCAGGCCCGGACGGTCCCCCCGGCCCCATGGTGAGTCACATTCCTCATGGTGAGCATAGCGGGTGGGATGACTTCGCCACCCAAAGCCCCAAGGATGAGGACTCTGATCCCCCTGCCTCCTCCCACAGGGTCCCCCAGGACTTCCCGGCCTCAAAGGAGATTCTGGTCCCAAAGGTGAAAAGGTAAGAGGGGCCTCCCTGCCCCAGCAACTGTGACTCGGGGCCTTCAAATTTGTGGCCGTGGGTCTCAAACTCAACAAGCTCTTGATCCGTCACCTAAATGTGTCAAGCACCTGCTGCAGGCTGGTGGTGGGGAACCTGAGGGGTGACAAAGGAAAATAGACACGCTGTGTTTGAGGCTTGGCCCCTGCCTCTGGGGGGTCCTGAGCAGCTCGGGAGATCCCGGAGGCCCCTGCGGTATTGACGGAGAACCTTCCAGCTAGGCACAGAGGCCCCGGCTGATGGGTGTCCAGGATCCCAGGTTGCTGCTCTCCCTGGGCTGAGCGGCCCCAGATCCTTTCCGCAGGAGGTGTGAGGACATTTCTGCAGTGGGAGCAAAGCCCTTTTATTTTTCTAACTGCTGGGAATTGTTTTCCACTTGCATTGATTTATTTACAAACATAAAAGGTACTCAGGAGTGAGATGGTTGTATATGAAGCAGAAGGCAGTGAGGGCCCTCTCATTTCCACTCTGACGTCCGCCACCACTGCCCCCAGCCCCAAGGCAAATGAGAGCTGGGGCTGCCTTGCGAGGCTTGCCCTGGGTTCCTAGAAGACAAACATAGACAGCGAGTGTCATGGATTCTTCTTTTTTTAGAAAAACAACCCATGATTGTAATATCTATAATACTCTGCATCTTTCTTTCCGTGTCAGTCCACAAACTTTGTTTTAGTTCCGTATAGGAGCAGGCGTTCGGATTTGCCATAGGAAATTGGAGAGCGTATACGAAGAGAAAGACAGAGATAAACATTACCACTCAGGAAAACCCCTTTATCACTTTGGTCTGTCTCAGTGTCTGTGGCTCCCTGTCTGTTTTTAGACGTGACTGTGGCCAGCGAAGGGCCACCTCGGACCTGCCGTTTCGTCACCTGGCCCCTCTGTTGAGCCTGTTCCCCTTCCAGGGGAGGCTGACCATGATGTAAAGCTTCCTGTGCCATGGCTGTGCTGCGTGCTAACTGGCCCACCGTGGCCGAGCATGAGGCGTGGCTCCCTCAAATGCCCCTTCCTGTCTTCATTTTCCCACAGGGTCATCCAGGCCTGATCGGGCTCATCGGTCCTCCGGGTGAACAGGGTGAGAAGGGCGACCGTGGTCTCCCTGGCCCCCAGGGCTCCTCCGGTCCTAAGGGAGAACAGGTGCGTGAGATGGCACTTCTTGCATGTGGGCTGTCGAGAGGCATTTTAGATCCCTGGGGCAGGCACCCAGGGGACAGGAGGCCCATCAGAGCCCGGAAGGACGTCCACACGTCGGTTGAGTCCGGTCATCCTGCTTGGCAGATGGGAACACTGACGGGCTGGGCTTGCCCAGGTGCACAGTGAGCTGGGCAGAGCCGTCTCCCAGCTCCATGCCCTGACTGGCAGGCGGGGCTTCCTCCTCATGACCGTGGTGTCCCCCAGAGCTGGAGGGACTCGGAAGTCAGGTCATTCTGCCTGGTTCCCAGCCCTGTGGGAGAGCCTGTCACCCACCGCTTGCCCAGGAGGTCACTGGTGACAACCAGCCGTGTTTGCCAGAGCTGCGGGCAGAGTGGCTGTTCTGGCTCCTGCTTCCACCTTGTCCCCAGCTGCCCCCAAACTGTAGCTCATTGGAGTTTGCAGCCTCTGCAAACCATAGCCAAGGAAACGCCATGCAGAGAGCTTCACTCTGTCCCACAACTCTGAGTGACTTGGAAGTGGCCTGGGGAGGGTGACGTGTGCCATGGAGGCAGGAGAGGGGATGAGGTGACCTGTAGTGCCTCTGTCCTTCCCCCATGAGGGCCACGGGTCCTTATTCCTGTGTGGGAATCTTTCCGTCCCGAGCAAGGTGTGACGGACACACACACGCACAGTATGCTGTGCCCACCCACGCCCATGCCTCATAGGATGCGGGGGACAGGGCAGGAGCAGGCAGAGCCCCTGGAGGCTGGGAGTAAGGTGGCACCCTCACTATGGGCCCGGGGAAGGTTGCAGGACATGGCTGAAGGGTGGAGCTCATTGCAAACCCTACCTCACTGGCCAGTGTCCTCCATGCCATTGACTGTTTTCCTCTGCCGGTATCCCCAGGCCACAGCAGGGTCGTCGGAGGAGTGCCGCCCAGGGTGTGGTGGCCCGGCAACCACGAGAATTAGAGAGGCATCCAGGGTCCCCACGGCCAGCGGGGAAAGCACCCCTGTGTCCACCCTGTTTGCTCACCTGCCCTCACCCCAAACCATGGTCTTGGCGGCATTGCTGATGAAGGTGTCGGGTTGGTGTGCAGGCTTGGGTAGTTGTGGGGTCCTTACAATGAGCCACAGCCCAAGTTCCTGCAGGGACAAGGTGAAGGGAGGGAAGCGCTCCCTCCCCAGTGAAATACGGCCATCAGCCCTCCGCTACCCTCGCCCCCAGCTTCTGCCCGGAGAGAGCTCTGAGTGGAATCCAGGGCTGTAGGGAGAGAGGCTGCAGGTGGCTCCAGCTGCCCGTGGCAAAGCTGGTCAAAGCTGTTCTGTGCCAGCAGCTCAGTCTGGGAGGGAGTCAGTGGGGAGAAGGGGTCTGAGCGGAGGTTCCACGCTCCAAGGATGCAGAAAGCACATTTACAGGCAGGACAGGACAGTCAGCATGGATGGGACTCCCTGCCCAACCCCTCCGGGCTTAGTTCTAGAGGGGAGACTAACACCATGAGCAGGAAACAGCAAGAGGGGCCCAAGCCAGGGCCACAATGTCAGGGCAGTGGTTTCTGTATTTCCAAATGAACGTGAAAAGAGGTGCTCAGCCTGAAGTCCTCGGTGGCCTGGGGGATGAGAGTGAGTTCCTGGCAGCCCAGCCGGGGGAGCAGTGCCGAGGGCTGGCAGCCTTGGGGTGGATGCTCAGGTCGATGGCTCCCCTGACATGCACAGCCCAGGATCAGAAAGCAGCCACAGGAGGCTGCTGAGGGGCCAAAGGGCATACCGTGGGGAAGGGACAGGGGAGCCGAGGGGTGTGGCTGGGTAGCAGGGTTGCAGCCCCGCAGCTCCTCCTCGTCTGAAGGTGATAACCTGCATTTTCTGGTCCTTTTCAGGGTATCACTGGTCCTTCTGGCCCGATTGGGCCTCCTGGGCCCCCTGGCCTGCCGGTGTGTATCTGGGAGGGGCTTGGTCATTCCTGGGAGGGCAGGGAGGGTGGGGATAAGCCTTGGGGCCTCAGTGTGGAGCTAGAGAATTGTGGAAAAGTCACACGAGAAGCTGGAATTGGGGCCTCCAGGGTGGATTTGCCCATTAACTCAACATTGGGGTTCCAGGAGACAGAAGAAAGGAAGTGGCGTTGCCCGGCCATGGTTTTTGGTGGGGAAGACAGGGACAGGAAACGGTGGCCA
This sequence comes from Homo sapiens, assembly GCF_000001405.40. Classification (NCBI taxonomy): domain Eukaryota; kingdom Metazoa; phylum Chordata; class Mammalia; order Primates; family Hominidae; genus Homo; species Homo sapiens. Next base: position 134,822,391 of record NC_000009.12, read on the forward strand.
TTTCAGGGAACGAGGCCACTTGTCTGTAGGCATCTGGGGAGGGTGCGGAAGGTAGTAGTTGGCTCTCCAGCCCTCCCAATTCCCAGGAGCCCGGCCAGCCTGGCCCAGACAAGAGCAGTTAGCTGCCCTCCTCTGGCACCGCTGCCTGGGTCTCACATTGCTGGGAGACCCAGCATTCCCAGGGCATCCCCACAGCCGCTGGGCTGCAGGTACACATGGCCCCCGGGGGCCCCTGGCACGCTGAGGGCTGGCCCCTGCTGTGTGCTATCAGGGCTGGGGGGTGCATTCCATCAGCCCCTTCTGAGCCAGGACATGCTCTTTTCCGCTGCGCCCCCCCCGCGGCTGTCTGAGCTGGGGTTTCCTAGCCAGGGTGGGTGGTAGGCTGGCCGGGGGCAGGTAGGACCACCCTGTGTCTCCACGAGGGGTGAGCACCAGCCAGGCCCCGACCCTCCTCCCACTCTAGCCGGGCAAATACAAGCATAGACTCTTGAGGGGGATGCGGGTGGGAGAGGGGCGAGGGGCGAGACCAGGCTGGGCAGGACATGGAGCACGGTGGGGCTGGAGCTGAGACCCGGCTTGCTGACGTTCTGCCCTCCTCTCTCTGCAGGGTCCGCCTGGTCCAAAAGGTGCTAAGGGCTCCTCGGTAAGTAACATGCTGCCCAGCCAGGCCAATGCCTGGAAGGTAGGGGAGGGCGACGGGTCCCCTGGCACGGGAACAAACTACCCAGACAACCGTCCTAGCTCAGGCCCTGCTGCTCACGATCCTCCCATCTTTCTACACTGACCCATGGCGGACTGAGGCAGGTGGGCTGCTCGCCGCCTGCCCTAGGAAGGGCTCCATCCCTCTCTGTTCTCATCTCAAGGATCCAGGAGGGTACAGGGGTCTCTGCCATTCTCTTCTCTGCTGTGGCTGATAGGGCCACCTCCCCCACATAGGTCTCCAGGGACCATTCTAGAGCTGAAGGTGGATTCAAAGTCCCCTCATACCTCTGTGACCAAGGGTTGATTCTTTTCTTTCTCCCCAGGGTCCAACTGGCCCGAAGGGTGAGGCAGGCCACCCAGGACCCCCAGGCCCCCCGGTAAGTAGCCCTTGAAGCCCAGAAAGCGGGACGGGGGCTCTGGCTAGCTCCGAGGGAATTGAGAAAGCAACTGTGTGTGTGTGACCCCTCCTGAGACTCATGAAGCCCATGTGGCATGCCCGGGCCTTGTCCCTCGCACGCAGCCGGGGAAATGAGCCACACAGGTCTATCACAGGAAGCTTACAGGCCAATTGGCCCTGAGAAGAACAGCTGGCCAGGAGAGAGAGGATACACGTGTGTGCTGTGTGTGCATGCATGGTATATGAATGTGTGAACGTGTAGTATATGCGTGTATGTGACTGGGCACGTGTGTGTGCATGTCTGTATGTGTACGTGCATCCTGTATATGTGCATGCATGTGTAATGTGTGTGTACATGGTTTGTATGTGCATGTGTGTGTGCATGATGTGTGTATGGGTATGCATGCATATATGTGGGGCACATATGTGTGTGCATGTGTAGTGTGTGTATATTGTATACGTGCATGCATGGCCGTGTGTGTGTGCATATGTATATGTGTACATGCATGTCTGGGATATATGTGCATGTGTGTGTGTGTGTTGGGATGGGGGAGCACTAGACAAGGCCCTGGAGGTGAAAGGTGAAGCCCAGTTTGAACCAGGGCATGGCGAGTGCACTATTGGACACCCCCCTTTGGTTGTGGAGTCTCTCCAACTCCCATCGTCATCTTAGCTGTGGCCTTCTGGAAGTGAATGGCTCTTTGCATCAGGAGGCATTCATGTGGCCCCACTGTGTTCAGCCCCAGCTAGGGCTGCAGAGGCCAGACTGGGGAGACCTGGTCCCTTTCCTCAAGGCTTGGCCTTTTGTGTGGCTGAGGGCAGGATGGCAGATGCAAGCCCAAGGCTGCAAACTGTTAAGTTTCAGCTCTAGAGAGAAAGGAGAGGTGCTCCATGCTGGCAAGCACCTGGCAGTGGGGATGGGTGTGGAATGTTCCAGAGACTGGAGGAAGGGATGGAAACAGTTCTAAGGCGGACAGATGTCCATGTAGCCCAGGTTGCCAGGCCCCAGGGAACCCCTGCAGATGTGGCCCCAGCTGTCCCTGCTCTGCTCATATCCTGGGACCCTTCCCATCCTCCATCACCCACCGCTGCTCCTGTTCTGTCCCCCAGGGCCCCCCGGGAGAGGTCATCCAGCCCCTGCCAATCCAGGCATCCAGGACGCGGCGGAACATCGACGCCAGCCAGCTGCTGGACGACGGGAATGGCGAGAACTACGTGGACTACGCGGACGGCATGGAAGAGATCTTCGGCTCTCTCAACTCTCTGAAGCTGGAGATTGAGCAGATGAAACGGCCCCTGGGCACGCAGCAGAACCCCGCCCGCACCTGCAAGGACCTGCAGCTCTGCCACCCCGACTTCCCAGATGGTGAGGGCCTGGGGGGGCAGGGGTGGCCCCCCAAAGCGGGCATGGACCTGCAGGACACATGGAGTGTGGCAAGGACAGTTCAGCCAGGCACAGCGGAAGGGACAGGACGGGCAGCCGCAGCCTCCCCATCTGTGGGGCCGGGGTGCGCAAGAGCCTCCCCTCTTGAACTTTATGGAGGCATCTCAGGGTGAGGCCGGGTGCAGAGGCCAAGGCTTTGAGGTCAGACTCTCCAGGTTCTCATCTGGTCTTAGGCATTTTCTGGCGGGGTGACCTGCTTGAACCTCGTGTTCCTGACCTGTCAAATGGGAACAGAAACATCTCCCAGGAAGAGGACAGAGTTGCGTGAGGCAGTGCCTGAGAGGCTGGCACAGTGCCAGTGGAAGTAAGGGTCAGTGTTAGGACCGGCAGCAGACGCTGTGCTTGGGCAAACGGCCTTCAAACTCCGCGATACTGTAAAAACACATCCTTCTCCTCACCATCATAGCCTCAGGCACCAATTGAAGGATAAATTCCCATTAGCTTTTCTTCCCCCTGGGAAGTTTGAATGTTCCCCCTGCAAGATTCGAGGGATGTTCATGGTTCCAGTAGACTCTGATCCTACATGCATGAATTTCCAGAGTTCCTTCCAGAACCCTCTCTGCATTTCTGTCCACCCAGAGAGTAGGCCGGACCCCAACCCTCCTGGCCACCAGAACACGTACCCAGTTGCTTCATGCACCAGCTGTGTTCTTGGTGAATGAGTTTGTCCACATCTCTTTATGGGCCCAGCAGGAGAAGCAAAATGCAATAAAGTAAACCCCAGAAAGGCCCGTGTTGGCGGCATTCCTGGGGCGTGCATTTTAACTGCTGGACTGAAATGTCACAGCGGCTTCCGGAACCATCCAGGGAGCAATCCTTCTGACTCTGCCTGCCTCCCTCCCCGTCTCTGAAATCCAGGTGAATACTGGGTCGATCCTAACCAAGGATGCTCCAGGGATTCCTTCAAGGTTTACTGCAACTTCACAGCCGGGGGGTCGACATGCGTCTTCCCTGACAAGAAGTCCGAAGGGGTGAGTAGCTGTGTCCCTCCATGGCCCCAGCGGGGCAGGCGTCACAGACAGGGCCATGCCGAGGGCTTCAAGCATTTCTTGTATATGCAGCTTTAAGACTGAAAGCCAGAAATGAATCCGTTTCATCAGTGAAACTGTTCTTTCAGAAGTAGACCTGAAATTGTTTTAAGAAATTTTTTAGTAATAAAATAGGTTTGTGCAGCCCGGGGTCAGGAAGGGTTGGAGGGCTTTCCACCTGGCATCCTGCCGTCCCAGGGCTGGGACTTCACTCACTGGTTGATAAAAGCTTTTCTCCGGTGACTCAGTGGTCCCACTGACCTGAGACCCCCATTAAAACCCTTTAAAGGAATTGGGAGCAGGTACAATAACGTGAGCCTGAGACATCTTCCGGAAGCTGCCCTTTGCCTCAATTCTTATTATCCAGCCTGTTTCTGTGGGTTGGCCCTGGTCCCTCCTGAGTGCTTTGTTTTGAAGTCTGTTTAGTGAAGAATTCGGGGTGGGGAGCTGGGCTCTGTTGAGATTTTGTGGCATGTCACTTAAATACCCACCTCTGTGGCCTTTCGGAGGCCTCAGCGCTGTAGCAGGAGTTTGTGTGCATGTGGATGGTGTGTGGGCACATGTGGATGAGTGTGTGGATGGGTGTGTGAATGGTGTGTGTGTGTGTGTAGATGCTGTGTGGTTTTGTAGTTGGGGTGTATGTGGATGGTGTGTGTGTAGATGGCATGTGGATGATGTGTGGGTGCATGTGGCTGGTGGATGGGTGTGTGTATGGGTGGTGGATGGGTGCGTGTGGCTGGTATGTGGGGGTGTGTGGGTGGTGTGTGGGTGTGTACATGGTGTTCGGGTGTGTGTGGCTGGTGTGTGGGTGTGTAGATGGTGTTTGGGTACTTGTGGCTGGTGCAGGTGTGTGGGTGTGTGGCTGGTGTGTGGATGTGTATATGGTGTGTGGGTGTGTGTGGCTGGTGTATGTGGGTGCATGTGGCTGGCATGTGCATGCATGTAGACGGGCGTGTGTTGCTATCCCTCAAGCATGCACCTGAGGCAGGTCCAGCCTTGGCCCAGGCGAGGACTGAGTCTCCCTGTTGCTCCTGGAAGGTGACCAAGCCTGCAGCTCTCGTGCCCCTGCATCAGCTTGAACGGCCTCTCCTTCATGAGCTCGCAGTTGTCGCGTGGCCCCAGGCAAAGGCCGCCCATTTCTGGGGCCGCAGCGGTTTGCTGTGCAGGTCCAGACCTGTGCGCCCCTGCAGCCTCTGCTTCCTAACAACCTCAGTGCCCCAGAAGCAGTTTCCTGCCAGGGGAAGAGCAGCTACGTTCTCCCCAGGGACCGCCATCCCCTTACCCCTCAATCACGCCCTGACCGTGCTGAGCTCAGTAGCCACTTTGGGTTAGGAGCCCACTGGCTGCAGTGGAGGCTGCACATGGCTGGAGATCTGTGGGGCTCCAAGTGCAGGGGTCCCCTCCCCCACCTGAAGTTTTAACTCCTTGAGAACCTGCCTTCCTAGTGACAAACCCTGTTCAGAGAGAATCCAAACACGGGGGCCTTCCATCTCGGCTCTCGTTTCCCTCAGTCTGGCCAGAGGCCCCGCGTGGAATTCCCTTAGAAAAGAGGTTTCTCGGCCCTCCTTCGCGGCCTGCCTCTGCAAATGGGTGGCCTTGCCGCTGTGGAAATCACGGGCCAGACTCCTCCAAACTCAGAGGTTTCCTGGGAAGCCGCGGCTGGTGTTCACGGCACAGCAGCGTGGGGCTGCTGAGCGACCCCAGGCTCCCCCAGTGTTGACCAGCCAGGCGTCCACAGGCTGCAGCCTCGGGCCTGGGCTACAGCTGCTTGGCCAAGGGCAAGTGGAGACGCTTTCCGAGGTGGCCCCCTTGGACCCGGAGGAGGCTCACAGCAGAGGCTGGGGGAGCCCGCGCTTGCCCACATCCCGGGACTCTTCCAGGAAGAAGCTGCCTTCACGCCGCCTGGGCTTGGCATTGACAGTGGCAGATTTGGAAACGAGAGAGGGTGGGAGAGCTCTGGGTGGCGTGAGAGGCAGATGGGACACCCCTTTCCTCCAGGGGATCCCCTTTTCTGGCCTTCTTGGCACAAGGCCAGCTCAAGAAGAAGGCTGGGGGGATCAGCCAGGGATCAGTCTTCTGTGTCCTCATGGCGCACAACGTGAGCCCCAGTCAGTCCAGGCTGGGGACAGGCCGGCCCTGGGGGCCCTTCCACTCCACGCCTGCAGCAAGTGCACCCTCAGGCAGCCGGGGCTCCCCTTGTCCTGTTTTTGGGACCCAGCGTGCAGGTCTCCCCTCAGAGGAATGGCTGCTCACCCACCCATCCATCCGTGGCGTCACTGAGGCCTGCCCTGCTGGGCCCAGCCTGTGTGTCTGCAGCCTCGGCCTCTGTGGAAAGCAGGCCTCAGGTGGGAGCCCTCCCAGGAAGCGGGCACAAGTAGTGCCCCATGGCAGCGTGAGCTGGCTGCACATGATCCAGGCAGGCAGCCGAGGAGCAGCCCTCACCCGCACACGTCTCAGTCCCCAGGAAGGTTCTACCACACACACACACACACACGCAGATGCACACTACACACCACACGCACAGATACAGGCCACACACCACACATACCACACAGATACACGATACACATACCACACACCACAGAGATACGCACCACACACACAATACACACCACATATACCACACCACACATCACACAGATACACACCATACACCACACACATACCACACACACGATAAACACCACACATACCACACACACACCCATAATGCGCCATACACACCACACATACCACATACCACACATAGATACGCACCACACATCAGACACACAGATACCACACACCACGCACATGATACATACCACACATCACAGATACACACCATACACAGACATTACACACAGATACCACACACACACACCACACATCACACAGATACACCCATAACACACTACACACACACCACACATCACACACAGACCACACATTATACCACACACACAGCATACACAGATACACACCACTCATCACACACACAGATGCGTACCACACACCATACCCTTCACACAGACATACCCCCCACACCATGCACGCGCACACACACACGCACACAGTCTGGTGCCGCAGCAGCCAGGCAAGGCTGTGAGGATGGGATGAGGATGCCCCACCCCTCGCCTGCAGTAAATGCTGGCTTTTATTACCATTCCCTTGGTCCATCATTCATTCATTCATTCGTTCATTCCCTCCCTCAGTGAGCGTTTCCAGCAGTGACTGAGCACCAGGCGCTGGCCTGGGGCCTAACATGCAAAACGAGAGGCAGAGCGCACCCTTCCTGGGCAGCAGCAGGGGCTGGAGGGCTGGGGCCAGGCTCCTCACATGGCCTCCAGTCTCTCCGAGGGCTGGGGCCAGGCTCCTCACACGGCCTCCAGTCTCCCCGAGGGCTGGGGCCAGGCTCATCCTCACGCGGCCTCCGGTCTCCCCGAGGGCCCAGGTCAGGCTCCTCACGCAGCCTCCGGTCTCCCTGAGGGCTGGGGCCAGGCTCATCCTCACGCGGCCTCCGGTCTCCCCGAGGGCCCAGGCCGGGCTCCTCACGCAGCCTCCAGTCTCCCCGAGGGCTGGGGCCAGGCTCCTCCTCACGCAGCCTCCGGTCTCCCCGAGGGCCCAGGCCGGGCTCCTCACGTGGCCTCCCTAAGGGCCGGGGCCAGGCTCATCCTCACGCGGCCTCCAGTCTCCCCGAGGGCCCCGGCCAGGCTCATCCTCACATGGCCTTCAGTCTCCCCAAGGGCTGGGGCCCGGCTCCTCACGTGGCCTCTAGTCTCCCTCAAGGCCCAGGCCAGGCTCATCCCCCCAAGGACCTGGGCCGGGCTCATTCTCCTGTGACCTCCAGTCTCCCCACAAGGGCCGGGGCCCTCAGGCTGCACTGAAGGCGCTCGGTGGGTCCTCCCTGCAGCCCCCCCGGCGTGAGGATGCAGGCGCGGGGGCCGGGAAAGCCTGGGGCCTTGCTCTGGAGGCCGGAGAAGTAACCCTTTTGTTCTGTTTCTCTCCCTCCCCACCTCCCCGCTGCATGTTTAGGCCAGAATCACTTCTTGGCCCAAAGAAAACCCGGGCTCCTGGTTCAGTGAATTCAAGCGTGGGAAACTGGTAAGGTGGCCTCTGGCGTCTTTGCGGTTGTCACTTTAAACCCGCCCATCTCGTATCTTACAGAGTAAAATGGCCCGCTGGCCCAAAGAGCAGCCTTCCACCTGGTATAGTCAGTACAAGCGGGGGTCCCTGGTAAGTGGCCACCTCGGCCCGGCCACCTCGGCACTGCCTGCTTGCGGCACGGCTGGCTCGCGGCTCTGCATGGCACCCATCGCTGCCATGTGTGCCACACCGCTCTTGCCAAACCGCTCCACATCACGTGACAGCAAGACTCAGCTAGGTGTGGAGTCCTCTCCCCAGCCCCCGCCACCCTGACAAGAGTGTGTTTCTGCCTGGAGTAGGCAGATGGTTTTCCGTTTCTGTGTAGGGCGCGCAGAGCTGGGTGTGGGCCCCAGCCTGAGCTGATCCTCTGCCCACAGACGGTGCAGCCCCAGGCACCTGAGCACTGAGGTCAGACGCTCCAGAAGCAGGAGCGCTTTCACTGTGTCTGATGGCAGGGCAGAGGACACAGATCCCAGACCACTTAAGCCATTCAGAGCTCCTTCTAGGACCTGCACCACGGATCCCCTCTCCCCAGCTGCTCAGGGCTGAGGGCTGTCTCTCTGCCCACCGGGCTGCAGATTCCCAGTTACACTGCACACCACTGTACGAGTCACGTTTTCACTTTTGGGGATCGAGTCTTACAGAATCCATCCCTGAAAGGAAACGACATTGGCCTCCCAGGAAAGAACCACATAGGAGGTTCTTCTGGCCGGTGTAGTGCCCAAGAGCCAGTTTGGACACATTGATGTGAGGACAGCGGCTGCTTCTGCCGCGTGGAGTGCCCCTAGGAACCCCACCGGAGTTTGATTTGGGCCCTCTCCTGGAATGAAGAGCAGAGTTCTGTCTTTTCTCCCAGCAAGTTAAAGGACCAAGGTTCCAGAACACAAGACGGGTTCCGGGTGTCATTTATGGCCCAGATTCTCCTTTCCCTCCCTTCTTGGGATCCAGTGGCCCCACTCCCAGGTGGTCCTCAAAGGAGGGCCTTGCTCTCAGAAGGCAGCCCGTGGGTTCTGCGGCTTGTAGCCTGACCACTTGCCATGGGTTGCTGCACCCTGGCACCAGCCCCAGCCTCCCTGGGTGGACACAGAGCACTGGCCCTGAGCCGCCTTTGCCCTGTCTGCACCTCTGAAGCCCCTCGTCTCATAACCTGAAGGCATTCACAGCTGATTATTCATCTCTCGTGCCCTCATTGTTGTTGGTTTGAAATCATATACCAGCTCCTTTGCAGACACTCCGAGGGTCTGTGCTCACCGTGGCTGTGTTTCTGGAGGCTTCCCGTTTTGTGGTTTGCCGTGGACTTGCAGTCCTCTCCTCCTTTCCTCTCCTGCTTTTCCTTTTCCCCGCCTCCTCTGTGCTGTGTTCCAAAAAGAGCTGCTGGCATACAGAAGGACCTGAAACACCCGGGGACAGGGAGGGCCCGGGACCAGGGCTGCTTGGCCCGGAGGGACAGAGCGTAGGGGATGCTGATGTGTGGGATCAGGCAAGGAAGGGGCCCTGGGGGTGAAGCTGCTGGGGGCCGAGGTGGCAGGGTCCATTCTGCAGTCTTGCGGGTAGTTACCGCCTGCGCTTGGCACTGCCCTCTCCCCGCAATGACAGCTCTCAGCCTCCAAAAAGAGCCTCTCACAGCATCCTCCAAAATGGGAAAAGCAGAAAGAGCCTATTTTCCTCGCTTGGAGGAAATGGCTGTGAAACCTCATTTGCAGCCTTCAGCCCGAGTAGCCCATTTCCACCTCTCGTCCTGTTCCACAGAGAGTTAATGAAGGTTGGGGTGAAGGGACGACCCAGGGAACACATCAGCTTACTTTAGGATCTTTCCACGGCCTTATTTCTAGCTCTGTGAATATCATACGTGGACAAGAGGTAGATGGGGGCCTCTCAAAGATACCCAGATTTTTCAGCCAGGTGCAGGGGCTCATGCTTATAATCCCAGCACTTTGGGAGGCTCAGGCGGGCAGATTGCTTGAGCCCAGGAGTTTGAGACCAGCCTGGGCAACATACCAAGACTCCATCTCTATTAAAAAACAAAATGCAAAAATGGGCTGGGCAGGTTGGCTCACACCTGTAATCCCAGCACTTTGGGAGGCTGAGGCGGATGGATCACCTGAGGTCAGGAGTTTAAGACCAGCCTGGCCAACGTGGCAAAACCCCATCTCTACTAAAAATACAAAAATTAGCTGGGCATAGTGGTGTGCACCTGTAATTCCAGCTACTCGGGAGGCTGAGGCAGGAGAATCTCTTGAACCCAGGAGGCAGAGGTTGCAGTGAGCTGAGATCGCGCCACTGCACTCCATCCTGGGGGACAGGGTGAGACTCCGTCTCCAAAAAAAAAGAAAGAAAAAACCAGAAATGGGAATTTTATCTGGGCAGGGCTACCCACACTGCACCATACTGAGAGAATACTGCAGAGAATCCCTCCCACCAGGAGAGCAGGGCCTCACTGTGGGACCCTGGGGTTCCAATGCAGGGCAGCGTGCCCCATGCCCCGGGCCCCCCTGCTGCCCCATGGGCACTGGGGGCTTCAGGTCCTTCTGTGTCCGGTGCTGCCCACCGCCGCTCCCTGTGGTGCACACTCTTCCTCGAGTCAGTCACGTTCCCTCCCAGAAGGAGCGCCGGACGGCCCAGCCTGTCGGTTGGTATTCACTTTTCCTCCTCAAGGTTTGCCCGTAAGGTTCTCGTGGCTGCGTCTGAAAGCGTGGAGTTCGCCGATAGCCCTGGGACTGCAGCGTGTTCCCTCGCCCCTGGGAAGGCCCAGGCCCCAGGCCAGCTGCTCACTTTGGGCTTTTTCTAGTGGCATCTGTTGAAAAAGTGGGTCCTGCAGTGTGTTCACCCTCTTCCCACTCCCGGTGCCCAAACACTCTTGGCAATACTGAAGTCAGTTCCCTTCCTCTGTTCAATGGGGCTCTTTCGGAGCAGGCCAGAGGCAGGGTCCAAAACACACCACCACGAGGCAGCGGTTGCATAGGAGTGGGCAGAGCAGGTCTCAGGTGCTGGCTTTAGCCTGCTTCATTCCCTGATGCTGCAAACAGGACAGGCTGCCCTGCCCAGCCAGGCCTTCCCTGCAGAGAGGGTCCTTCAAGGTCCTGCCTAGGCCAGGAGAGATGTGTGCTTCATTTCGGGGAGCTAAGATGCATCGATGTCCCCTGGAAGTGTCAGGTTTTTCAGAAACCTTGAGTTGGCAACAGAGATGCAAAAGTGAGATGCATCATGGCTCAGGATGCCCTGCACGGGCCTTGCACCTGGTGGAGCTGAGCAGCCCAGTCCTGGATACCCAGCTAGTGATGCTGGAGAGGCCACCTAAGAAGCTGCACATTGTCCTCTGATGCCTTCCCTGGATTTGTGCAGAGACTGGGAGGGCTTTCAGGGAGGATCAGTGTCATCAGAGTCCCGGGCTGACCTTTGGCACAGGCAGGGCAGGCAGATGGAGCCACTCCTGTCTCAGGAAGCCTGCTCACTGCCCTGAGGAGACGCTTCTGGGAAGGGGAGGAGTGGTCTTTCTTGAGTGGCCATGCCAGACATCATCCGGGACCCCTGTGCCTCCAGGAGGATCCCCGGTCACCCCAGCCATCTGCACAGCCCTGACCCTCCCTCAGGCTCGCCTCCCCTGAGCACCTCACTACAGCTGGCCCGCTCACTCCCCGAGGCCTCGTGCCCCGTGGCTCCAGCTGCTCACAGTCTCCCTGGCCAGGGCCTTGTACATCCTGGGCACCCAGCAGATGGTCGTTTGTTCACATAATCTTGTGAGCACCTTCCTTTGCTGGTGTTGGAGCATGATGATAGGGACAGGGGGCCAGAGCTGGAGTGGAGGGACATCGGGAGGGCTGGGATACAGATCAGGGTCCCTAAGCCAGCCCTAGAGGCTGGAGGTGGGGAGGAGCCTTCCCTAGGAGCAGTGGTCTAGGCTGTGACCCAAAGGACAGCAGTGGGGGCACCTCCTGCCAGGTGGGGAGTGTCCCAGGCCGAGGGAGGAGCCGTGCAGTGGCTCAGGGGCAGAAGGAGGACACCTGCTGTCCAGGGCTCAGGGAGAAGTGTGGTGCAGCTGGGAGGGGGCTCTAAGACCTCCTCCTCTCACCCCCAGGGAACCTAATGCCCCTCTCTGGCCCTGCACCCCTCTACTCAGGGGAAACCAGGGCTCGCCTGCTGCTCCAGGTGCCCCGACCCAGCGATCGGGTGCAGAGCTCTGCGTTTCAGGAATGAGAGGCAGGTCTTCATGCAAGCCATATTTTTGAGAATGGTTCTCTGTTCACTCAACACATACAAACCTGGCAGACCCAGATCACCATCTGGGATGGAGGCACCCAGGTGGCAGAAGGGGAGAAGAACTGTGGGTGGACGTGCAGGGAGAGCAGCTGCAGCTGGCACTGCAGTGGGTGCTGGCCCAGGAGACACTGGCTGCCGTTCACCATGCAGCAAAGCTTTATCAAGCGCACACTGGGCAGCCATGGGGCGGGTACCACGGCCAGTAACGAGCAAGAAGGATGCCATCCTGCCCTCTCTGAACTTATAGTCTGCTAGGGAAGACAGACACTGTGACAAACTAAGGTTGGGGAGGGCAGCCACAGAGTAGGTGCAGGAGCATCTATTCTGGGTAGGCTTCCTGGAGGAGGCAGCACAGGTGCCGAGCCCTGAAGGATAAGCATAAGCCAAGAGAAGTGGGTGGATTATTTAAGGCCCTGAAGGACATGAGGCATGGTTCCCTTTGTTCCTGGGAACACGCAAGAGAGCCCATGTGCGCTGGCCTCGGCCGGGTCTGTGGGTACAGTGCGTTTCCAGGTAGTTCCCCCGAGAAGACCACAGTGTGAGTGAAGCCCAGGGCAGTGCGGACGTGGGGCTTTGTTGCTGTGTGTGTCCCCACCCTGCTGAGCCCCAACACCCCTGTCCCCCCAGCTCTCCTATGTGGACGCCGAGGGCAACCCTGTGGGTGTGGTACAGATGACCTTCCTGCGGCTGCTGAGCGCCTCTGCCCACCAGAACGTCACCTACCACTGCTACCAGTCAGTGGCCTGGCAGGACGCAGCCACGGGCAGCTACGACAAGGCCCTCCGCTTCCTGGGCTCCAACGACGAGGAGATGTCCTATGACAACAACCCCTACATCCGCGCCCTGGTGGACGGCTGTGCTGTGAGTATCCCGCGCCGCGCCCAGCACCCCTGCTCACGCCTCCGTGGGGCTCGCTCCTCACTCAGCACGGGTTTACCTGTCCCCAAGATGCCTGCCAGAGGGCAGTGAGGGCCCCGGACCAGACTCTCGCCCCAGGCAGCCCCACAGTTGCAGGGAGACTAGGAATCCCAGGCCTATGCAGCTGGAGCTCCGGGAACTTGGGAGAGTTCTGTGGGTTAGGATGGGAAATCTGAGACCTGGCCGGAAAAGCCAGGGGCGTGGGTCCCTCGCCCCATCCAGGGCTGTGGCGTGGAGTGAGGAATGGAGGACCCGTTGTGGTTCCAGTTTGGAGCTGGGAGCCTCCCTCTCCTTGGACAGGGCTCTTCTGGGAGTGGCCAGAACTAAGCTGGGCCTGTTCCCGAGAGCACGGCCGTCTGGAAACACTGCAGACAGTTGCCAGCTCTCCGGACAGCCCGGCCCATGGGCCCTCTCCATGTGGGGAGAGCTGTTCTGGTCCCAGACAAGGGAATGGAGGCCGGAGCGGCGGGAGGCTTGCTGAGACCTCACGGGCAGTCAGGGCTGGTATTGGCGCTCATACCCATGGGCCTTCCCACATGCACGCCTTTCCCCTCCCTACTCAGTGAGCTGGGCTCACCTCCGCTAAGGTCCCCTTGAGACTGCCAGGGCCATCGCACAGGTCTGGGATGTGCCCGCGTGTCCTGGAGGTGTTTAGGGTGCAGCTGTGCCCCAAGAGCCCAGGCCTGCGGGAGCCTCAGACATGTCCCCCTCGTGTGGCCTTTTAGAGGCTGGAGGTGGGAATCGCTGAGAATTCCAGCCTGTGGGTCTTCCTGTCACTGACATTGGAGCCTGTTCTCTCCACCACTTATTCTTGAGAGACCTGCGGAAAGCAGCCCTTAGCGCCTCGCTCCTTTAGTGTTTGTAGAAAGGCACGCCTGAGGCCGGGTAAACGGGAAGCGGTTTACTCCGCTCCCAGCTCTGCAGGCTGTCCAGGAATCGTTGTGTGGTGCCAGCATCTGCGTCCAGTGATGGCCCCAGGCTGCTTCCAGTCTTGGGAAGGTGAAGGGGCCAGTGTGTGGAATGCACAGGAGAGAGGAAGCGAGGGGGTGCCAGGCCCTTTTTAACAATCAGCTCTCATGGGAACTAGTAGAGTGAGAACTCACTCATTACCCCGAGGGCAGCACCAAGCCCCGTGACCCAGACGCCTCCCACCAGGCCCACCTCCAACACTGGGACCACATTTCAACCTGAGATTTGGAAGGGATGAAGGTCCAAGCCATGGCACCGGCCCAGGCCAGCTCCTGAGGGGAACGGGGCCGGCGTTAGGGCCGGCCCTGCAGGGTGCCCTCTTCTGAGCAACACGGATGGGTCCTCAGTGTGAGGCCTGGGCAGGCAGGAAAGCCAGAGGGTGGTGCCGACTGAGAGTGCAAGGCCTGTCTGTAGCCCTGGGAGCAGAGTGGACCTGGGTTCCAATCCCGCCTCCCCCTGCCCAGCATCGCTGCGGAGCACCTGGCCCTCACCCATAGGACGCTCAGCTCCTTTTCTCTGCTGCCCAAGGGCTGCACTGAGGGTTAAAGCTGTGTCTCCCAGGGCCATCCCGCGGCCAGGCCGTGCTCAGCGGGGGCCGCCCTCACCAGGAGTGCTCACCTCTCCTCCCGGCTGCTACTGCCTTCTGCGATTGGTTGGGGTCAGTACTTCGGATCTGACTGTGGAATATGCAGAACTCATCCCTGTGTAAGGTTGATGGATCCAGATCCCTGGAAAGAGGCATTTAAAAATGCCAGGGACCTTACCCGTCCTCCCCAAATGAGTATAACATAGCACCTGCCTCACAGGGCTTTCTGGGGAGCATGTCAAACCATGCCTTTAGAGCTCGGAATCGTGTCTGACCCACTGCAAGCCCTGGATGAGCAGCCAGTTCCTGTGAATATTTTTAGATAACATGGACCACAAATGTAAGGCAGTAAACATGGAGGTGAAGAGAAATCAGGAACCCTGTAAAGGCGAGGCAGGACCTGGAGGGACAGCCTCCTGAGTTTGGCTTTGAGCTTCCTGGCTTCCATGGCAAAAAGGGAAACTAGCTGGCCCAGTGGGTATTGTCTGGTAAAGGGAGAGGAACAGCTTTCCAGAGAGGGGAATGTTCCCTGGAAGACAATGCTAGAAAGATGGATCCCACGAAGGACCCTTGGAGGTTAAAGGGCAGGCCAGACCCCTGCTCCCTAATCTGGCTAAGAGAGGCTTCTGCTGCTTTTAAGACCTTCCTGGAAGATCCAACTTCTTCCATCCCAGTTCCTCTTGAAGCTCCTGCCCCTACTCATTCCATCAGCAAAGCCCACTTCTGCGAGGTCCCAGAAGTCTTCGGCAATGCTTTCTGACTCAGAACCTGACTTCCTGGCTCCACCTGCATCCTGGGATAGGGTCAAGCTGGGATCATTTAAATTCCACAAGCAGAGAGGGCTCTTGCTCAGCCCAGTGTCTCCCGGTGATGAGGGTGTGCTGTTGGCATCTGGGGAAGTGTGGCCATTGGTTTGCAAGACATTCCACTTTGCCAGTCTCGGGTGTGCCAAACGCCTCCAGAAACACTCCCCACGTCCGAATGCGAACCACCAATACAAGTGTTCCCTTCTTTCTACATACGCAAAACCTGAGGCCCAGAGAGTTACGGCGACTCGCCCAAGGTCTCCAGGTGTGACAGAGCTGAGGCTCCTAATTCCCACTGCAGCATTCTTCTCACCATAGCCCCTTCCTGGCATAGCTGCACCTTGAATACCTCAGTTGACAGTGATCTCACTACCTCCTGAGACAGCCCAGGCCATGGCTGCAGAGTCTCAGGATGAGGAAGCTCTTCCGAGAACTGGGCTCAAGTCTACTTGTACTATCCGCCCATCGCCTCCTGGGTCTGGTCCCGTCAGCCATGCAGAGGGAACCGGGTTCAAGAGCAGTTTCCCAGCCCAAGCCTTCTGACATCAAGGCCCGACGGCTCTCTGATGGTGGACAGCAGGCTGTTTGGCATTCTCGGCCTCCACCCACTAGATGCCAGTAGGAGCCCCCTACCGAGTGACGGCAACCCAGAATGTCTCCAGACACATCTCCCAGGGGCAAAATCTCCCCCATGGAGAAGCACCCTTCTACACACAGAACTAAGGTGTGAAGGGAGCGCAGAGGGTTCACCTGCTGCAAGGGCAAAGAGGACCTGCTCCTTCCTGTCTCCCATGGAACCCAAAGAAGCTGGCACTTCTGGGGTGAGATCAGGACCCTCAAAGCCGAGAACCAAGTGCAGCTGCCGTCCAGACCGCGCCACCTTCTCAGGCAGTCAGCAGCGTGGGTCTGGTTAGCCGCCCAGTGCTGCAAGTGCCACCCCAAAAGGAGACCCTGGCTCACTCTCTCGCCCCCTTCCCCATGGCAGGCGTTCCTGAGTTCCACAACTGTCCTTGGAAGTGTCTCTGCGTGCAGAGGAGGGATTGGGATCACGGGGATACCCAGACTGCACTCTGGGCAGGGAGAGGAGAAGCAGCCCCCTCCCCAGGGCTGTTCTACTTCTGGAAAGCAAAGATTCTGACTTTGAAAAGATGGAGAGAGAATGGCCCAAAACTGCCTAACCCCAGATGGCAGGGGCAGGCTCTGCGGCCAAGCTGGACAGGTGGTTTGGGTGGAAAGGTGGGCAGTGGCAGCAGCGTGGAGCTGGGGTGCGGGGCGGCCATGGGGGTGGCATGCAGGGACGCTGGCCCGGACTCTCAGGTGCCCTGCTGACCCCAGTCCCTGACAAGCCCAACCACAATTTGAAAAGTCACAACCGTCTCATTTAATTACGGAGGCTGCTGCAGGAGGCCCTGATGCCCCGAACTCGGGCCAGCGGCAAAAGCCCTGCCTCAGCCCCCGGAGGTCTGCATGATTCATATTGTAATAACGGCCGAAGAAATTGGAATTCCAACGCGGGCATCGTTTGGCTGGGGCGCCTGATTGACGGGGCCGCTGAGCGGGCCCAGTGGAGAGGCACAAATCACCTGCAAGAGGGCCCAGGCACCCCGCCGCATAAATCCTGGTGTTTGTGCAGCTTTCGGCGCCTCTGGGGGGCCGTTCTGGCCTGTAATGGTTATTTATACCCCTGGAATAACGGGGTAACAGAGCGGCTCGCAGCGGCCTACTTTAAATACGCCCCTCTCTAAGCACTCTGATAATTGGAGCAGAGGGGTCCCATAAATCCCATGAAATCACCCGACAGCTCAGCAAATGCTGCCCGTCCCTCTGGGGAGAGACTGGTGCCATCGCTGAGAAGGGCTGTGACCGACGCCACTGCTGAGATGAACTGCTTGCCCAGCCTCCCAGGGGTGGATGAGAAAGGCCGGGCAGCGCCCTGCTGGCTTGCTGACCTGTCGCCGAGCTCACTTGGCTCCCCAGGACAGCGCCACCTTGCAGTGGCCCAGTGAAGCCAGGCCCAACCATCTCACTGCACTCCCTGGGTGGGACTGGGCCAGGGAGCAGAGGCCGGAGGAGAGGCAGGCAGGGTGGTCTCTGGCTCCTCGCCGGTGGGGAGGGTGAGGAGGTTGGTACCCTCAGGGTTCACCCCTGGAGGGTGTGGATGGCCACCTCTCATTGAATATCCTGTGTCCAGCCCCGCTGCCCACCTATCCTTCCCAGCCACCGCAGAGCTGCAACTGGCCCCTGCCCTCCGTTCCACAGGAGAGCTGTGGCCACCCCCAGGCGGGCTTGTGGGACAGCAGCATCCCAGCTGTGTTCTGCAGGGCTGAGCTGGCCACAGGGTGCCGTCTGCCCCACACTCGGCATTCTGTGGAACTGTGTGTTTTGCTGTCAAGTCCGGGGGTGCCCCATGGCGAGGTCCTTTAGGACAGCGTTTCTCAAAGGCCAGTCATGACCACGCCTATCAGAATTGTCTGAGACACCCATTTTTTAAAATGCAGATTCCGAGTCCCACCCCAGCCAGACGGAGTCAGCCTCTCTGGGCAGGGGTCAGAGCTGTAGGGGGTTAACAAGCTCCCTGAGAACTCGCGTTCTCTCTGAAGTTCCAATCCCAACTTGAAAATCATGCCAGGCTGAGCCAGCTGCAGTAACAGAAAGGTGTTCCTATCAAGGCAGGGTTGTGAGAAGGGCAGGGTCAGGGGAGAAGTGGACATTAGGAGGTGAAGTTTGGGACTCTCATGGATAATAGCAGGAACGCATGCAGGGAGGTGAGCTTCATTCCTTCTCACAGCGCCTCTGTGATGTGAGCATGCCCATTTTCCAGCTGAGGAAACTGAGTCACAGAAAGCGTATCGGTTATCCATTGCTTGTAATCAACTAGCCCCCCAAATTTAGCAGCTTAAAACCACAGATGTTCGTTACGTCACCCCATGTCCGAGGGTCAGAAGCCTGGGAGAGGTGCAGCTGGCTGGCTCTAGCTCAGGGTCTGTCTTAGGTCCATTCGCTGCCACGACAAATCTCGCCAGCTGCGTGGCTCATAAGCAACAGAAATTTGTCGCCCACAGTTCTGGAGGCTGGAAGTCTGTGAGCAGGTTGCTGGCAAGGCAGGCTCTGGTGAGCTCCCCTCTGGGCTGCAGATAGCAGCTTCTCACTACACCCTCACAGGGTGGAGTCTCTCGGGTGCCTCTTTTATAGGGGCACTAATACCACTCATGGGGTTCCACCCTCAGGACCTCCTCAACTCCCATCGAACGGCCCCACCTCCTAATACCATCTTTGGGAACGGGAACATTAAGATCATAGTCAGGGAGAATAAGGCCCTTCAAGGCCACGCCCTCCCCATAGGTCAGGGAGCAGAATACCGGGAGAGCTGGAGCTGCTGTCTGCTATCCGAATCTCCGGCCTGGGAGTCTGCGCTGGGCCCTCTGCAGGGCTGCATCCTGGGGTCACTGCCTCCCATCCGGGAGGGAACCCTGGCTGGCCCCTACTTGTTTATCTGATCATTTCTTTTGGGGATGGGGCAGTGGAAGGAGATCCTTCCCAGGCCCAGATCCAGCTGCGACTGTAAATCCAGTCTGGGTCTGAGGTAGCAAAAGCCATCTGCCCAGGATGCGTTTGCAGGCTCCTGGTTTGCGGGAAAGGTGCGGCCTCCAGGGCCCTTGTCTTGGGGGAAGTTGACGGGACAGCAGGGCCAGCTCAGCCTCAGTTATAAAGAACACTGGGAGTTATATTTGGGTGGCTTTGGGGAGGGACCAAAGAATCTCACACCTGCGCTGCCTGTGTTCTGGGAGGGAGGCGGCCTCTCCTAGGCTTCCATCCCACATCCCAGCGCCCAGGGTTGTGCTGTTTTGAGCAAGGGATGGGTGCTGACTCATCCTGCAGGCCAGGTTCATTGCACTACCCCTGCCCTCTGTGCCTCAGTTTACCTAAGACTCCTCTAGACCAGATGGTGTGGAAGGTCCCCACCCCTTCCCATACTTGTGGAGGTGAAGACCCAGCCCACCGAGTGCCTAAGGCAGTGTGTGGCAGGTGGTCGTAGGGGGGTCTTACTTGGCTCAAGGCTCTGCCGGTGCCGCCTCGGACTCCTTCCTTTTCGAACCTGGAGCCCCCGTTTGATTTTCCAGTGTGCCCTGCTTGTTCTGTAGCTGGCCCTGGGTCCTGGGGAGGCTGCCTGGAAGTGAATACCTGGGGCATCACAAGGAGTCTGGACTGGGCACGGTGGGAAGGCTGATCAGCTTCAATCCTGTGTGTGCCTCAGCCACCCCTGAAGCCTTGGGAGGGTCCTGTCGCCTCGCTGATGCCCACACCACCCCACCTCCGACCTGTGCAGGGGGACTCTTGGGACATCCACCGGGGTTAAATGCATGCTCTGATCAGCCATATTTCCTCCAACACTTGCCCGGGCAAGCGCAGCCCTGGGTAGGAGACAGGACACCAGCCTGGGTTTTGGAGCCAGACAGATTGTGGGGGGTGATTGGTAAACCCCAAGACCCCCAACTGTTCTTAACCACCGGCCATCTGTCTCCCTCTTCCCCAGACCAAGAAAGGCTACCAGAAGACGGTTCTGGAGATCGACACCCCCAAAGTGGAGCAGGTGCCCATCGTGGACATCATGTTCAATGACTTCGGTGAAGCGTCACAGAAATTTGGATTTGAAGTGGGGCCGGCTTGCTTCATGGGCTAGGAGCCGCCGAGCCCGGGCTCCCGAGAGCAACCTCGTGACCTCAGCATGCCATTCGTTCGTGAGTGTCCCGTGCACGTCCTGACCCTGGACAGTGAAGGCTTCTCCCTCCCCTCCCACCTGACTTCATCTACGCCTCGGCACCACGGGGTGTGGGACCCCAGCCCGGAGAGAACAGAGGGAAGGAGCCGCGCCCCCACCTGGAGCTGAATCACATGACCTAGCTGCACCCCAGCGCCTGGGCCCGCCCCACGCTCTGTCCACACCCACGCGCCCCGGGAGCGGGGCCATGCCTCCAGCCCCCCAGCTCGCCCGACCCATCCTGTTCGTGAATAGGTCTCAGGGGTTGGGGGAGGGACTGCCAGATTTGGACACTATATTTTTTTCTAAATTCAACTTGAAGATGTGTATTTCCCCTGACCTTCAAAAAATGTTCCAAGGTAAGCCTCGTAAAGGTCATCCCACCATCACCAAAGCCTCCGTTTTTAACAACCTCCAACACGATCCATTTAGAGGCCAAATGTCATTCTGCAGGTGCCTTCCCGATGGATTAAAGGTGCTTATGTTTTTGTGAGTTTTAAGTAAATATTTGTATTGTATTGTTATAAATGTTAAGTGTGCCTGGCTTTCAATCATGCACGGAAACCCAGTCTCAGTCCCACGGACAGAATGGGCGAGGCATGGATTCTGGGTTGCAGTACCGTTCTGATTAGAAATAGGAAGTCTCCCCACCCCCGCCCTGGCCAAGAACGTGCAATAAATTGGAAGTTTGCCCCGGGGCAGCAAGAATTTATGCTGCCATTGAAAAGCAGGTACCAGTGCCCCTTTTCAGACAGTTTTTGATTCGCTCTAGACTTTTTTTTTTTTTAATAGGGAAAAAATTTGATAATTTTCTTTTTTCTACATGCACTTAAGACTAAAACACAGGTTTGGATTAATTTTATTTGCTTCCTTTTTCCGCTTTTCTTCCCGCAGAGCCTGATGGGAGAATGTCCAGGGCAGGGAAACCACATTTTTTGTAGGTGATAACTCAATGAAAATTGGTGCTTATTTTTTACACTTCTCTCTTGTGGCTCTCTTGTGGTGCTATCTATCTGTTTTAAGGTCTCCTTGAAGGCGCACTGGGGACCCTGGCCATGCCTCGTTCTCCCTGCTTTCTTTATCCTGTTATTGCCTCCACAGTCTGTTGCCAAGGACTCTAAGATCAATGCACGTCACTTTCCTTTCCACTGGGCAGGATAGCCAAGCACACTCCCTCCTGCGCTCTCCCGCCCCGGTGCGTCCACTCCCGAGGGCTGTTATGAGGACTGGGTTGTGCCTACTTGATTTGAAAACACACACAAGCAATAAAAAGCCTCTTCCTGCATTGTCTGTGGTGTGACCATAGCAGATTATATTTGGTTCCTGAATGTTTGTGGTGCTAATTTCTGTGTTTGTTCCAAGCCGTTCAGTCATGCCATGCGCTGCCTCGGTAGATGGAGTAATGTACAATGAACTCCATGAGTCTCTCCAGGGCTGCCTGCAGCACGTCTTTTCCAAGTAGCCTATTTGGATTCCCATCTCAAATGTCCTGGATGCGAGCGTCAGCGGCTCCAGAGCTCGGGGCGGGTGAGGTCCCCTTTGGGGAACCCTTTCCTGGCCATCGAGGTCGGGGGGCTGCCGTCTGTGGGCAGGAGGACCCGAGGGGCAGCCAGGAAAGGCGATCTCTTCACTGTGAAAAGTTGCCCGGGTGCAGCGCCTTTTCCTTCTACCATGGGAAATGCAGGCTGGGCCCTTGGGGTGAGCCTGCGGGGCTCTGGTGCTGTCCCCGACCCCCACCACCACCAGAATGCAGTTCCAGCTTAGGAAGCCACAAACAAGCCACCCAGGAGGAACAAAACACCGCCAGCGTGGATTTTCCAAATTTCCCTGGAAAGTAAGTCTCGCTCTTGCCAAAGAAAAGTCTGGCTTGGAGAGTCTCTGGAGCCCAGGATGCCAGCATGTGCCAATGACTGTCACCTTCATCTCTTCAAAAGAAAAGCCATAGCCGAGGACTGTCCCGCGACCCCCGTGGACTGCGTCTAGGTCATGTGATTCTGTTTTCATTTCTCATCCCATCCAATTTGTCCTTTTCTCCTGTCATTTTCTTCCTCTGTGGTCCCTTCAAAGTTGTTATAATTTGTACTGAACTTCAAAATGTGTCCCGTTCTCCCCAGACCACTCTAGCCACAGTATATTGCAATAAAATTACTTCTTATATTTGCAGAAATTCTTTTGGTGTAATTTTATTTTTTCCTCTCAATATATATAATTGGACAAACGCTGGCAAAAAGAAAAAAATGGTAAGCAAAAAACCCAAGATAAAGTTTCGAGGACATCAGGCCTTTTGAAATACAATGTCAAATGACACATTGTACGGTTTCAAAAAATCCGCTAGACATGTCATAAGTTTTAACTGTAATGCCCAGGAAAGGATATCTTAAAATATTCTAAACTTGTGTAACAAAGGAATAATTAACTGTAATAGTTTTTCAATAAATCGAGTTGGGTGTTTCCACCGTAAACAGATGTGAGTGACTCTCTTCTTAAGTGTGGCCAGGCCCCTCCCAGACAGGACTGCACACAGTCCCAGGACGCTAGGAGCTCTGGAGATAACCACACTGGCCACCCAGAGAAAGGAAGGGATGGCCCCGGCTGTCCTTAGGTGGAGCTTGTCCCTCAGGAGTGGCCAAGGCTGGCATGGACAGCTTTGTGCCCTTGGGAGGATGTTAGAACGTAACCGGGCACTAGCCCGAGAAGTGAGTTTCAGCCACTGCTGGGTGTCCACACCACCGTGTACTGTCCTCACTCTTCACTCCTGGCAGTCAGCACCCTGCGAGAATGTTCTTGAAGCTCTCCAGCACTGCCCTTCCAGCTGTGTAGCAGGATTAGACTCCCTAGCTCCTTGTGGCTAGAGGTCGGGGAAGGCACGGGGCTCGTTGCAGCCGATGACCTTGAGCCCACGTGGCATTCGCCTCTTCCGGTCTGAAGGTGTGGTTCCCTCGGGCACAGCACCAGCCATGTTTCGTGGAGGGGCTACGTCACCAGCAGGTTCCCTGAGTGAGCCCCCTGCCAGCTTGTGAGAACTGGTAGCAGGAGCAGGAGAAGCACATTTTTGTTTTATTAAAGCCACTGATGTCAGGGACTGTTGATTACTCTGCCGAATAACCTAGGCCAGTGGGTCTCCAGCAGGGTCCGGGGAATGGCAGCAATGGCACCACCTTGTTAGAAGTGCCAGTCCCTGAGCCCCATCCCAGACCTGCTGGCCCAAATGTTGTGGGAGAGCTGAATCATCTGAAAGCAGGTCTCTGAGCAACTCTGCTGCACGTTCAAGCCGGAGAGCCAGTAACCTAGGTGATCCGGAATTGTGTAGGTGCTTAAGGACGAGGCGACTTTCACAACAGAAGGGTGGTCTGCAGCATTGCCCAGGGAAGCTGGGGCCATTGTGAGAGGATGGGAGGCTGTTGACCCATGTCATCCACAGGCAGAACATTGGGTACAATTGTTTGATCACTGTGATAGCTCAGAGGTAGATTATGAACTCATAACTTGCAACCCTTGGGGAGGAGGCTTGACATGAAATGATGGTGGGCAGGCTGGATGCCTGAATTCCATGTGGCAAGGTACCACGTGGCAGACCAGCTCTGGAAAGAGCCAGGAATGAAAGGAAACGGCCCACGAATCAAGGATGCGCAGAGTTGGAAGAGGCAACCGTTTCCCAACATCAACTGTTTAAAGACCACATTGAGAGACGCCTTGAGGGACAAACGCCAGTTAAAACTCAGTCGTCATGAATTTGAGCAGCCCACCCCTTTCTTAAAATCCTGGAGTAGATTAGGATGGCGCCTAATAAATGCATTTGAGTTGGGAAAGCGACTCCGGCAATGGACGCTCACAGTCGTCAAAGGTTGATGGGTCTGAAGGTCCTTGCCATCGAATCCAGAAGAGGAGAGAGAGCAAGGCAGGTGGGCGGACAGTCGGCGTGGTGCCTGCTGGTGGAGCGGCCAGAAATGCACAGGTGGGCAGCTGATCTGTCCTCCGGAGAGGCATCCTGCAGAGGGGCCCCAGCCTGGTCTGGAGGAGTCAGTGGCTCAGACTCACAATGACCCTTTGACCATCCCAGGCAGCAGGAGGCTTGAGGTCCACTCGGCCGGTGGCTGAGCCATGGCACAGTTGTGGCCCAGAGTTGTGGGACTCCCCTCGCACCCGTCATGCAAGGGGACTCCCACGATTTCTCGGGGTTGTAGGTGACAGCTCTGGGAAGTTTCCTGGGGAGAAGGAACCCTGGAGGGAGGGTGCATGCCCCCAGTCTGCCTTCCTTGCCTTCCTCCTCCCACTGGCCCCAAGGAGTTCTGCCACCACATCCATTCATTCATCTGTTCATCCATCCATTCATCTATCCATCCATTCACCCTTTCATCCATTCATCTATCTATCCATTCATCTATTCATCATTTATCCATCCATTCATCCATCCATCCATCCATTCATCCATTCACCCTTTCATTCATCCATTCATTCATCCATTCATCCATCTATTAATCTATTCATCATTTATCCATCCATCCATCCACACATTCGTTCACCCTTTCATTCATCTGTTCATCCATTCATTCATTCATCCATCCATTCATCCATCTATTCATCATTTATCTGTCCATCCATCTATCCATCCATTCATCTATCCATCCATCCATCTATTCATCATTTATCCATCCATCCATCCATCCATCCATCCATCCATCCATCCACTCTTTCATTCATCCATTCATTCCCCCATTCCTTCAGTGGCAGTTCATTGACCACCTGCTGTGTGCCAGGCGGGAGCAGCAGGGGAGAACCCACCCTCAAGGAGATGCCACTCCAGGGGACACGGGCTGACCAAGACCCACAAGGCAGGGGTAAGGTGTGCCCAGAGGAATGAGACCTGAGGAAATGTAAAGGGGAGGAGACAATGTGCATGTGTGTGGTTGTGTGTGTGTGGGGGGGGTGATGTGCATGTGTGTATGGCACGTGTGTGCATGTGCTATGTGGTGTATTTTGCATGTGCTATTTGTGTTTATGTGAAGTGTATGTGTGTTGTGTGTGTACCTGTGTGTGTGGTGTGCCTGTGTGGTGTGTGTGTGTGCCTGTGGGGAGCTGTGCCTGTGTATGTGGTGTGTGTGCCTGTGTGTGTGGTGTGTGTGGTGTGTGTGTGTGTGGTGTATGCCTGTGTGTGGAGGTGGTGTTTGTGCATGTGCCTGTGTGGTGTGTGTGCTGGCGTGTGTATGGTATATGTGTGCGTGCCTGTGGGGAATGTGCCTGTGTGTGTGGTGTGTGCTGCATGTGTATAGTGTGCATGCCTGTGTGTGTGGTTTGTGCTGTGTCTGTATAGTGTGTGTGTGGGTGTGGTGTGTGTGCCTGTGTGTATGGGGTGTGTAGTGTGTGTGGGGTGGGGATTGAAGTGCTCTCCTGGGTGACCAGGGCCACTGGGAAGGTTCTCTCTGCCTGGAGCCCAGCGGGCAGGAAGGGCTTTGCAGGAGAGGGAACAGCAGGGCAGAGGCCAGAGGGAGTGGGGAGAGGAAGGGGAAGTGGGAGGGGGCTGGTGTGGCCTGAGCAGAGATGGGGAGGGAAGCCACACGGGGCAGTAACCCAGACGCAGGCTGGGGGCGGTGCAGACCCATGAGAGTGGGTCACACTCCGGCTCCAGGTGTTTCAAAGATGGGGTTGATGGGATTTGCTGAGAAGAGGAGGTCGAAAGTGAGACGAGAGAATTCCAGGAGATGCTCAGCCACAGGCATGACCCCCACAGTGCCGCAGGAGCACACACACACGCGCACACACGTTTACCCACTGACAGCTGTGGCCTGGTGAGACCAGGCTGAGGACAGCTGCCTCAGCGACCCAGGCTCAGATGCCACCAGTGCCCCATGTGGCCTCGGGGAATCTGCTGCTCAGAGCTCCTGTCTGCCCATTTGCACATGGGACCCATGAATGGAGGAGGCACTCTGGCCATGTGGCCAGAGGCCCCGCTCCTGTCCTGCAGATGTCTTGGTGACGAAACCCGATCCATGCATGTGGAGGAAGGTGGGGGCATCCCTGGAGCTGGCCTGTGCCAGGCCAAAGTGCTCCTTTGAGCTGCCCAGGGCTGTCCTAGTGAGTGTCCTCAGGCTCTGGCCACCCAGGAGGGCCAGGGGCGTCTGCATTCGGGAGTGGGTTGGAGAAGGGGACGATGGGAGAGCAGGAAGCTTTTGCAACTGCTCCAGGGCCATTGGGAGGGTGCAATTGGCTGACACCCGGAACTTCATTGATGCTTACCCCACGTGCCCTCTGTGTGGGTCCCGCTCCCAGTGCGGACACCACCTCCTAGCTCTCACTAGCTCATGCAGGCCTCTGGGGCCCTCCTGAATCCACACCTCCCAGGGCTGGGTCCTGGTTGTTCCCCAATGGGGAGCTGTGCCTCTCTATCACCAGCAGGCATGTGATCACACCTCCCAGGAAGCACAGGATCACACCTCCCAGGAAGCACGGGATCACACCTCCCAGGAAGCACGGGATCACACCTCCCAGGAAGCACGGGATCACACCTCCCAGGAAGCACGGGATCACACCTCCCAGGGAGCACGGGATCACACCTCCCAGGGAGCACGGGATCACACCTCCCAGGGAGCATGGGATCACACCTCCCAGGGAGCACGGGATCACACCTCCCAGGGAGCACTGGATCACACCTCCCAGGGAGCACCGGATCACACCTCCCAGGAACCACGATATCACACCTCCCAGGAAGCACAGGATCACACCTCCCAGGAAGCACAGGATCACACCTCCCAGGGAGCACCGGATCACACCTCCCAGGGAGCACCAGATCACACCTCCCAGGAACCACGATATCACACCTCCCAGGAAGCACAGGATCACACCTCCCAGGAAGCACAGGATCACACCTCCCAGGAAGCACAGGATCACACCTCCCAGGAAGCACGGGATCACACCTCCCAGGAACCACAATATCACACCTCCCAGGAACCACGATATCACACCTCCCAGGAACCACGATATCACACCTCCCAGGAACCACGATATCACACCTCCCAGGAAGCACGGGATCAGACCTCCTGGGGAGCACGGGATCACACCTCCCAGGAAGCACAGTATCACACCTCCCAGGAAGCACGGGATCACACCTCCCAGGAACCACGATATCACACCTCCCAGGAAGCACAGGATCACACCTCCCAGGAACCATGATATCACACCTCCCAGGGAGCACAGGATCAGACCCCCCAGGGAGCACAGGATCACACCTCTCAGGAAGAACAGGATCACACCTCCCGGGGAAGACGATAGCACACCTCCCAGCGAGTGTGAGATCACACCTCCCAGTGAGCGTGGGATCACACCTCCCAGGAAGCATGGTATCACACCTCCCAGGAAGCACAGGATCACACCTCCCAGGAAGCACGGGATCACACCTCCCAGGAAGCATGGGATCACACCTCCCAGGGAGCACCAGATCACACCTCCCAGGAACCACGATATCACACCTCCCAGGAACCACGATATCACACCTCCCAGGAACCACGATATCACACCTCCCAGGAACCACGATATCACACCTTCCAGGAAGCACAGGATCACACCTCCCAGGAAGCACGGGATCACACCTCCCAGGAACCACGATATCACACCTCCCAGGAACCACGATATCACACCTCCCAGGAAGCACAGGATCAGACCTCACAGGGAGCACGGGATCACACCTCCCAGGGAGCACGGGATCACACCTCCCAGGGAGCACGGGATCACACCTCCCAGGGAGCACGGGATCACACCTCCCAGGGAGCACGGGATCACACCTCCCAGGAACCACAATATCACACCTCCCAGGAAGCACGGGATCACACCTCCCAGGAACCATGATATCACACCTCCCAGGAAGCACAGGATCAGACCCCCCAGGGAGCACAGGATCACACCGCTCAGGAAGAACAGGATCACACCTCCCAGGGAAGACGATAGCACACCTCCCAGCGAGTGTGAGATCACACCTCCCAGTGAGCGTGGGATCACACCTCCCAGGAAGCATGGTATCACACCTCCCAGGAAGCACAGGATCACACCTCCCAGGAAGCATGGGATCACACCTCCCAGGAAGCACAGGATCACACCTCCCAGGAAGCACGGGATCACACCTCCCAGGAACCACGATATCATACCTCCCAGGAACCATGATATCATACCTCCCAGGAAGCACGGGATCAGACCTCCCAGGGAGCACGGGATCACACCTCCCAGGAACCACGATATCATACCTCCCAGGAACCATGATATCACACCTCCCAGGAGGCATGGGATCAGACCTCCCAGGGAGCACGGGATCACACCTCCCAGGAAAGCACGGGATCAGACCTCCCAGGGAGCACGGGATCACACCTCCCAGCGAGTGTGGGATCACACCTCCCAGGAAGCACAGCATCACACGTCCCAGGAAGCACGATATCACACCTCCCAGGAAGCACAGGATCACACCTTCCAGGAAGCACAGGATCACACCTCCCAGGAACCACGATATCACACCTCCCAGGAAGCACAGGATACACCTCCCAGGGAGCACAGGATCATACCTCCCAGGGAGCACAGGATACACCTCCCAGGGAGCACGGGATCACACCTCCCAGGGAGCACGGGATCACACCTCCCAGGGGAGCCACAGGTTCTTAATGGGACAAGGCCAGCGCTTAGCAGAAGTGTTCCTGGTGTTTCTTGGTGTCTGCCCATCAGTGGCCCCCACCTGGCTGCCTGTTGAAGTCATCCGGGGAGCCCCCTAAAAGTACGCATTCTAGGTCCACCTCTAGGCCTTCTAAGCCAAGCCACCCGCGGGGAGGTGGTGGTAGAACCTGCAGTGTGTGAGGTCCCACACCCCACCCCATAGGGTTCTCTGCTCGGCTACACTTGGAGCTCACTTCACTTCAGCGGCATGGAGACAGTAGCCCCACCCGTCCCCACACACCCGCACTTCTGCAGGAAAGGGCCTTCCGTCAGAGCCCACAGCGGGCTGGGCCTGCAGCTGAATGAAGTCAACTACTTAAACGTCCTGAAGAGGGAAGGAAACCACACTGAATAAAGTTAGAGGTGTGCACATGCAACGTTCTGCATGCTTTAGAGTTACAGGTGTGCACAGGTAGCATTGTGTGTGCTTTGGATGGAGTTGGAGGTGTGCACAGGTAGCATTGTGTGTGCTTTAGATGGAGTTGGAGGTGAGCACAGGTAGCATCGTGTGTGCTTTAGATGGAGCTGGAGGTGTACACAGGTAGCATTGTGTGTGCTTTAGATGGAGTTACAGGTGTGCACAGGTAGCATTATGTGTGCTTTAGATGGAGGTGTGCACAGGTAGCATTGTGTGTACTTTAGATGGAGATGGAGGTGTGCACAGGTAGCATTGTGTGTGCTTTAGATGGAGTTGGAGGTGTGCGCACAAAGCACTGTGTGTGCTTTAAATGGAGTTGGAGGTGTGCACAAAGCATTGTGTGTGCTTTAGATGGAGTTGGAGGTGTGCACAGGTAGCATGGTGTGTGCTTTAGATGGAGTTGGAGGTGTGCGCACAAAGCACTGTGTGTGCTTTAAATGGAGTTGGAGGTGTGCACAGGTAGCATTGTGTGTGCTTTAGATGGAGTTGGAGGTGTGCACAGGCAGCATTGTGTGTGCTTTAGATGGAGTTGGAGGTGTGCACAGGTAGCATTGTGTGTGCTTTAGAAGGAGATGGAGGTGTGCACAGGTAGCATCGTGTGTGCTTTAGATGGAGTTGGAGGTGTGCACAGGCAGCATTGTGTGTGCTTTACATGGAGTTGGAGGTGTGCACAGGTAGCATTGTGTGTGCTTTACATGGAGTTGGAGGTGTGCACAGGTAGCATTGTGTGTGCTTTACATGGAGTTGGAGGTATGCACAGGTAGCATTGTGTGTGCTTTACATGGAGTTGAAGGTGTGCACAGGTAGCATTGTGTGTGCTTTAGATGAAGTTGGAGGTGTGCACAGGTAGCATTGTGTGTGCTTTAGATGGAGTTACAGGTATGCACAGGTAGCATTGTGTGTACTTTAGATGGAGTTGGAGGTGTGCACAGGCAGCATTGTGTGTGCTTTAGATGAAGTTGGAGGTGTGCACAGGTAGCATTGTGTGTACTTTAGATGGAGTTGCAGGTGTGCACAGGTAGCATTGTGTGTGCTTTAGATGGAGTTGGAGGTGTGCACAGGCAGCATTGTGTGTGCTTTAGATGGAGTTGGAGGTGTGCACAGGCAGCATGTGTGTGCTTTAGATGAAGCTGGAGGTGTGCACAGGTAGCATTGTGTGTGCTTTAGATGGAGTTGGAGGTGTGCACAGGCAGCACTGTGTGTGCTTTAGATGAAGTTGGAGGTGTGCACAGGCAGCATTGTGTGTGCTTTAGATGGAGTTGGAGGTGTGCGCAGGTAGCATCGTGTGTGCTTTAGGTGGAGTTGGAGGTGTGCCCATGTAACAAACAGTGGGTGCTTTAGATGCAGACATAAAACATAAGCATATATTTTACATACATATCATAGGAAACATACCACTGCATGGAGATGTGGGAGTCAGATTTAAATATTTCTAATATAATGAAACTACCCAGAGCATAAAAGGGAGCCATTCATTCTGATCCAACAATCTCACAAATGAGACTTTGTCACGAGAGCAATTTCAACAGAGGAGAAGAAACAGGCTGAGGATCCAATCAAAGTGAGGCAGGCTGTCCAGGAAGGCCATGTGGCCGTCTGGGGGTGGTGGATGTGCAACTGTAGTACATGGGAAGAGCAGACCCGGCGACAAGGTCCCACAGCCCTGGGGTGACCACTGAGGCATGGGAGGCATGGATGTTTGTCCAGATTTCCCCTGACAAAATGGCCTGCAAGATGAGAAAGCAGCATCCCCATCCTTGCCCAGGGGCCCTGGGAAGCCCATCCTGACCTCCCAGCAGTGTTCAAGGGGACGCTGCTCCCCCAGGAGAGCCCCTCCAGACATACAAGGCTCAGGCACACAGCCTGTGTTTCCAGTATGGCCAGGTCTCCAAAGGACTCTGAGGTCTGGGAGACCATCCCCAGCTCTGTGGGCTGTCCCCATCATGCCCTCAGCCTGGGAAAGATGGCAGGGGATGGAGGGACTGGGCCTGCTCCTCCTCCCCTCCTGCCAGCTCCCCTCCCAAGCTGGGAGAACTTGCAGGCTGCCTTGGCTCGACTCAGGTTGGGTTGTGATGACCCAGTAGCCTCTCTTGGAGACTGGGGACTGTTTCTGTACCCCAGCCAGGAAAACACCACTTTCTAGTAATATCCCAGGAGTGAATACTTCCACAAAAGCCACATGCACTTTCTGCCCCAAACATCTTGCTTTTTTTCTTTCCAATTGGCAAATGGAAATCACGTAGGTTTGGGAGAAGCCTAATTCCCCGACATCTGTTGAGAACTGACATGTTTAACAGAGCAAGAATCTCACTACCCTTTGGGACTTTCTCAAATTCATTTTAAAACTAGAAGCCACTAGACTGAATGCTCCTTAGAAGGGTCGGGATGATTTCAAAGACTCTTCCTAAAGGTGGGAGACTGATCATATAAGGGCAGCCTGCTCTGTGCTTGCGTTCTTTACCGCTGTATCACAAATGATCCCAAAGCCTGGAGGCTCAAAACCACACCTGTGTGTCATCTCACAGCTTCCGAGGGTCAGGAATCCAGAAACATCTCAGAGGATCTCTGCCTCGGGATCCCTCTTGCCCCAAAATTGCAATCAAGGTGTCACCCAGGACTGGGGTCTTATCCGGAGCTCATCTGGGGAGAGCTCCACTTCCAAACTCACTCACTGTGGTTGGCAGCATTCGGGTCCTTGAGTGCCATTGGACTGAGGGCCTCAGGTGGTGACTAGCTGTTGGCTGGAGGCCACCCTCAGTTCTTTATGATGTGGACCTCCCAGCACAGCCACCTGCTCCATCACAACCACAAGAGGAGAGTCTGCTAGCAAGATGGAAGCACCATCTTTTATGCCAATCACAGAAGGGATGCTCCATGTCCCTTGCTATATTCTGTGGGTTGGAAGCAAATTACTACGCCCAGCCCAGATTCAAGGGGAGGGGACTCCACAAGGTTGAGGGAGCAGCTTGGGGAGCAGCGGTGCCAGCTTTGTGTCAGCCTGCTTAGGGTTCGGGAGGCGTGAGTGTCGATGCCTGTGTGCTCTTCAACTCTGGGACCTGAAGTGTGTTTCTTAAACATTCATGCATGGGATGGGTCAGAAGCGAGATGTCCGGCTGCCTGGTTCCCTCATCCACAAAACAGACTGTGCTTCCACAGCTTGTAGGGTCAGATGAGTTCATGGCTGGGACACGCTTTCTCCCAGGGCCCCAGCAACTGTCATGCACTCAATCACACCAGTGCTGCTCACCATGTGCTGGCCAGGGGATCTCAGGGTGCCACTGATCACAGAGCAATCTCTTAGTGTCCAGAACCTGCGGGCTGTGCGGCCTTGGCTTGGCGAGTGCGTATCTTGAGAGAAGAGAATGTCCTGCCTGCGATGACCTCAAGTACACCCAGAGACCAGACTCACAACTGAGACCCCCAACCCCCGAGAGCCACCCAGAGGTTAGGAACCCCCAGGCTGAGCGCCGAGCCTGCTCCAAGCTGGTGGAGTGTTCAGGACGGGCTTCCAGGAAGAGGTGAGATCTCACCTTCCACAAGAAGGTGGAACGTGGAGACGTACCGAAGAAGCCATTTGGATACCTTTCTCAAGCACGCCTTTGTGATGTCTGTCTGTCTGTTGGAGGTCTGCATGGAATGCTGTTCTTGGAAGAGCCCTCTGCCCTTTGCGCTTGGAGGCTGGATCCTAGAGCTGACCCTCTGTAGCTCTCTCCCAGATTCCAAAAGAGGAGAGTGCAAAATGAGAAGAGGTGGCCGTCCACAGTGGGGTAGAGGGAGCCCCCTTTTTCATAGCTGGAGCCAAGACAACCAGGGTGGGAGCTTGGGCCACATGCCGCCAGTCCACATTGGTCCAGCTCCAACCCTGTCCCACGGCAAATGTCATGGGGGAGACAGCCATTCCCTCAGGTGAGGCAGGTGGAGGTCGATGTGGGCCTGGGAATAGGGCCATCTGGCATTCGCTGTGCCCCACCTGAGCTCCCACTGCCCATGCAGCACCAGCAGGCTCTGGGGAAGGATGCAGATCCCAGGTGAAGTGGATCTGACCCAGGCCTGGAATGATGAATTCCCAACTTCCCTGACCCTGCCTGTGTCTGCCTCAGCTCAGGGAAAGCCGCCCTGCTAAGCTGGGTTCCTCCCTCCCGGGGGCATCCCAGGTGTGAGGAGTTCCACGGGGCTGGCTGGGTGCAAGCCTCCCACCCACTCCCAGCCACGGTACTGATGCCAGATGCCACGCCACTTTCTCAAGTTCTGTTGGCTTCGACTCTTCCTGGAAACACACCACTCCCGTCTCATGCTCCCCAAGGCAGGGCAGGCTCCACGAGCCCGTGGCTCTGCCTTACCTCCCTGGAGCCTTGCCCACCCAACTTTCGTGCCAGGCATGGGAGTCGATTAGATCAGTGCCGGGCACGCAATAAAGACTGTGCTAGTGGGAGTCAGCCATGATCATCTCGTTCTGCACTTTCTTGAGAGACAGAGGCAGGGCAGATATTGAAGCAGGAGCGTAGCCTGGCCCAGGGCTTTGGTTCTGATGAGAGTAGGCAGGGAGCGGGGGGCACCGTTTGTCAAAGCTCCACATTCAGGCTCATGGTGGGCATGGAAGGTGTGGATCTAGGCTCCACGCTTGGAGCCAGGTGACAAGAGAAGATTGGACTAAAAGAAGAGAGCTGCTTCTCCTTCACCCTCAGGGGAGCCTCTGGAGACAGAGGGCAGGGCCTGGGAGCCCCCGGAAAGGGCTGACAGTGTTCTCACACTTGAGCCTGCTTCAGAGCCACCTGGAAGTTTTCCTAAAACCGTTTGCAGGGTGCCCTCTAGCTCCCCCTCAACCCCTCCCTCCCTGCTAAGGGCCTGGTTCAGTAGGTATGGGGCGGCACCGAGAATGTGTGTTTCTAGAAAGTGTACAGGTATTGCTGCTGCTTGAAATAGGCAGGATTTGCTAGGCTTCCCAGACTTCTCTCAACCCAGCCAGGTCATACTCAAAGTAAGGTACCTCCTACCCCGTGGATTCACAAAAATACACCCCCAAGCTTCCTCTGACACTAAAATTCCACTGTAAAGAAATTCACTCCTCCCATATAAGGCTTGGAATATCATTAAAATCCAAGCGTCTCGAAGACTCGACAGGTGTGTTGTTGTTGTTTCAGATGCAGTTTCAATGTTTCGTCCAGACTGGCGTGATCTTGGCTCACTGCAACTTCTGCCTTCTGGTTTCAAGCGATTCTCCTGCCTCAGCCTCCCGAGTAGCTGGGATTACAGGCATCTGCCACCACGCCCGGCTAATTTTTGTATTTTTAGTAGAGATGGAGTTTCACCATGTTGGCCAGACTGGTCTCGAACTCCTGACCTCGTGATCTGCCTGCCTCAGCCTCCCAAAGTGCTGGGATTACAGGCATGAACCACCATGCCCGGCCAGGTGTTTTTCTTATAAACCACTCTAGCAAGGTTCTGATCCTTTGGTAGAAATCAATTTGACAACCTTTATTTAGGGTAGAGTTTTGGCACAGAAGAAAAGATCCTGAGAAAGAAGAGAAAGTGTGGAGGGCTCCTCTAATGGATGGAGGCCAAGAGTGTGCTGCATGTGGCACTAAGAGCCAGTCTCACCCACTTCATCACTCATCACGGAGGAAGGTGTTATTTCTCTCCTGTTTGAGACCCCGCTGGATGTAACTATGGGTGGAGGACACTGCGGTCTCACATACTGGTTTGTTCCCCCCTAGTTGGCATCTAATTTCCCTCTGAGAGAAGAACATGATTGCTGCTCAAAAGAAAGAAGAATGAAGCACCTGGACAAGAAGCGGTTTACAGATGAATGAGGGAGGGGAATGCACAGTTGAGACAGCATCATAAGAAATGTCCTGGCGGAAGGGACGTAAACGCATTATGTGTAGATAATAAGAGTGTTCCCCATTTGGTCATAGGGTGGATGAATAGTGAAAGACAGTGCAGGAAATCAGGCGTGGCCTGGAATATGGATCGTGGCTTTGAACCCTTTACAAGGCTTACACTGTGTTCAGGAGCAGTGGACACACATCCAGGGACAGGGTTTGAGGACAGGAGATGGATGTAATCACAGCTTGGCTTTAAAAATGTGCCCATTAATGATAGACTGGATAAAGAAAATGTGGCACATATACACCATGGAATACTATGCAGCCATAAAAAAGGATGAGTTCATGTCCTTTGCAGGGACATGGATGAAGCTGGAAACCATCATTCTCAACAAACTAACACAAAAACAGAAAACCAAACATCACATGTTCTTATTCATAAGTGGGAGCTGAACAATGAGAACACATGGGCACAGGGAGGGGAACATCACATGCTGGGGCTTGTCGAGGGGTGGGGGTCAAGGGGAGGGAGAGCCTTAGGAGAAATACCTAACGTAGATGGTGGGTTGACGGGTGCAGCAACCACCATGGCACGTGTATACCTATTTAACAAACCTGCACATTCTGCACATGTACCCCAGAACTTAAAGTATAATGAAAAAAAAAAAATGTGCACCTGGCATTTGGTGTGGAAGGTAGACCCAGGAGGCACAGAGGCGGCTTCAGCAGTCTAGAGAAATAGTAAGAACATGGGGGAAAGCATAGACGACAGTCACCCTGCTCACTGCCACCCCACTTGGTGCAGGAGGGGACCCCAGGCCACCTATACAGTCAACACCTTCCACGCTGGCTCCCACCACTCCTCACCCCATCTTCTGCTCTCTGACACCCTGGCCCCCTTCCTGTGTCTCAGATCCGCCAAGACTTTTTCCTTTATGTAAGACTTTACCCCAAATATTGCATATCTGACTCATGTTTTTCAGTTCTTGACTCAAATGTCACCTTTTCAGAGAGCTTTTGTGGAACTAAAAGTTAAAAAAAAACAACAACTCACGCCTCAGACTTCTAGCATCTGACAGTTGAGAGAAGCTTACATTAGATTAACTCTCCTGTGAACAAAAATACTCTGGAAAACCTACGAAAATACAACTATTGGAAGGCAATGCAGAGTCACGATGAGGCTGAGGACTTGCTGCCAGAGATTGAGGCGACCGGAGTGGCTGGGACTGGGGTGAGAAATTCTGAAAACGAGGGAGTCATGTGGGGAAGCCCCAGCATCTGCTGACAGAACGTGTTCATAGCCTTGCCTGCCTCCTGGTGTCAACATGCAGAGATGTGGCCTCCCTCCTGGCACCTTCTCTCCTCACCAAAGTGCCATGGGCAAGACTCACAGAGAAACAGTGAGCCCCTCAGAACTGGTAGCTAAAAGCCCATGGCAGGCTGCCCGGATTCCCTGGCCCTTAGTCACCTGGATTCCAAAATACCAAATTGACATAGACTCCAATGAACCTGCTGGGGAGAAGCTGCTGGAAGGCTGGCACGGCTGAGCAGAGATTCCAGCGGCTCCCCAGGGCTGAGGAGACAACTGGAGTTCAAGCCCCACACTTTAATGAATTTGGCAAATCAGGCTTTCCATTGAGACCCAATGCTTAAGCATTATATAAGCACCATATTCCAGAACTAAAGCTTTTACCTTAGGATTAAGGACAACACAGAAGCCTTCTAACAAAGTCTAAAGCCAAGCATCCACATAATCAAAAGTGATCTTCCAGCAACTTGCCTGCCTGCTGGCACAAAGCTCAGCTTTGTCTGAGAGAGGGTACAGAATTCAGAATTCTATGACATAGCATTCACGATGCTTTGCACAGAATCAAGACTTACTAGACATGGAAGTGAAGAAGGAAAATGTAATCCATAATCAAAAGGAAAAAAAAATCAATGGAAATGAATGAATGAGTGTTCAGACGCTGAAATTTGCAAATTATTTAAATAAGTAGAATAAATATGTTAATTTGTATGCAAGAAAATTTAGATGTAATGAGTGGAGAAATGGAGGATTTCAAAAGAGATACAGAAATCTAATGACAAGCAAAGTATAAATATTAAAAGTAAAAATTTTGATATGTAAAATTAAACATTTATCAGATGGGGAATATAAGGAAGGATCAGGGAATACAAAGAAGTGTTGATAGATGTAGAAAGTAAAAAAGTTCCTCTTCAAAGTTTCCCTTCTTATTAAAGAATAAATCATAAGTATTAGAAATAATAGTTTCTTTTAAAGACTAGCTTTATGCTAGACATGCTCACAGGCATGTAGTACATTCTATGTCCTTGTACTTTAACCAAAATATCTGTGCTGGAAGTGCTCACAGGCATGTCCCAGCTCGCAGCCCATGCCCCTTCCTTATTTGGAAATGTTATTACTTTTCTAAGTCCTTTCATAAGCAAATTCCTCTTTTCCTTTGTCTTTCCATTACTTTTACCTATTTAAAAAAGTTTTAAACTGTTAGCCAATCAGGTTTTAGTTTAGATTGTAAGGTCTGGCTCCTGCCAATGGAGACAGGACACAGCAGCAGGGACAAACTGCGTAAGGAATAAAAATTGCTTCCCTCCTTTGTTCGGATGTGCTCTCGCCATTATTCCATCTGCGATGAGCACTCTTTCTGCAGAAAGTACAAAAGGCCTTGCTGAGAGGATTAAATTTATGTTCAAATGCTATTTCTTTGCAGCACTGGGGAACAAGCATTCTGTTTCTACATAAACATTTTTACATGTGACATAGATACCAAAGTTGAGGCATGGAAAATAAAGTTTCTAGAACAAGTGCACAAAGCCTCCGTCTTCACTGGGAAGGTAGTGAGCAAACTGAGAGAGTGCAATTGCAGTCCAAAGAAGGGAGAGGGAAGATGAGGCAGAAGAATCGTTCAAGAAATACTGGCCAAAACTTTCTAAATCTGATCAAGAGCATGAACCTGCATATCTAAGATCTCGATGAAACCCTAGCAGGAGGCCGGGCACGATGGCTCACGCCTGTTATCCCAGCACTTTGGGAGGCTGAGACGGGTGGATCATCTGAGGTTAGGAGTTCAAGACCAGCCTGACCAACATGGTGAAACCCTGTCTCTACTAAAAATACAAAATTAGCCAGGCGTGGTGATGCATGCCAGTAATCCCAGCTACTCGGGAGGCTGAGGCAGGAGAATCGCCTGAACCTGGGAGGCAGAGGTTGCAGTGAGCCGAGATCACGCCACTGCACTCCGGCCTGGGCAACAAGAGTGAAATTCCGTTTTGGGGAGGAAAAAAAAAAGCAAACCCTAGCAGGATAAACACAAAGAAAAAATCGCACCAAGGCGTACTGCCAAAAACAAAAGGTCAAGGGAAAACCTTTTTTGTTTTTTGAGACGGAGTCTCGCTCAGACCTTCCACTTCCACTGTTCTTCCACCTTCCCTACGGATCAGCGTTTCCATCTGGTAACACCTCCCCGAGCTGTAGACCTCCCTTCAGCGTTGCTGGGGGTATGGATCTGCTGGCAACAAATTCTCTCAGCTTTCACTCAACTGAAAAAAGTCTCATTTCACCTTCATTTTTGAATCATCTAGTTACAATTCTAAGTTAAGAATTTTTGTCTTGCAGCAACTTAGAAATGTTCTTTCATTATCTTCTCCTTTTATGATGAGAAGTCGTTTACCCTTCTGATTAATTTTTCCTTTTTTCTTCTTCTCCGGTTATTTTTAAGATTTTCCTTTAAACGGTGTGGTGGCTCACACCTGTAATCCTAGCACTTTGGGAGGCTGAGGCGGGTGAAGGTTAGGAGTTCTAGACCAGCCTGGCCAACATGGTGAAACCCCATCTCTACTAAAAATACATGGTGGCTGTGCCTGTAGTCCCAGCTACTTGGGAGGCTGAGGCATGAGAATCACTTAAACCAGGGAGGCAGAGGTTGCAGCGAGCCAAGATGGCACCACTGCACTCCAGCCTGGGTGACGGAGTGAGACTCCATCTCAAAATAAATAAACAAATGAAAATAAATAAATAAATAAATAAATAAATAAAAAGCCAACAGAGGAGAGAGAATGAAGTACTAAAACATGCTTGACCAGCTCAAGGCAAGATAGGTAAGATAGAACAAAGATAGGATATGAAATAAATAGCAAGATGGTACCCCTAACAGAACCATATCGATAATTACATTAAACGTAAATCAACTAAACACTCAGAAGGCACAGGTTGTCAGGATGGATTTTTTTTTTTTTTAAAAGAAGGATCCAGTGACTCGCTGTTTACAAGAAGGCACTTGCAGGGACAAACAGGATGAAAGCAAATGAATAGAGAAACACACACCACACAAACAGTGACCTTGCGACGTA
Source organism: Homo sapiens (assembly GCF_000001405.40). Classification (NCBI taxonomy): domain Eukaryota; kingdom Metazoa; phylum Chordata; class Mammalia; order Primates; family Hominidae; genus Homo; species Homo sapiens. Next base: position 134,861,681 of record NC_000009.12, read on the forward strand.
CCCTACAGATAGCCTCAGTTCATTTTCCTGCGTGCTCAGCAACCACTGTTTCCTGTTCCCAGTCACACAACCAGGCTGCGTTCCCTAGTGTTCCTTGCAGTCACCCAGCTGTGGTTCAGGTGGGGCCGAGGGGCAACAGGTGGAAGGGAGGTGCTCCATCACCATTAGGCACCAGGGAGTCACCAGAAGCCCCTGCCACGGGCACCCCCATGCTCTCTTCCAGTTCCAAGTGGCTGGAGTGGAGACCCACCTCAGGACAGGGGCCACATATGGAACGTGGAAAAGCCACATGCTAGAAGAAGCTGGGGACCTGGAATCACTGTGGAAGGAGAGGTGTCTGGCCAGGGGCACTTACCCTGTACTTTTATGACAGCAACAAATAAACGTGTGTGTGTGTGCGTGCATGTGTGTGTGTGCGCGTGTATGTGTGCATGCATGTGCATGTCCGTGTGTGTGTGCATGTCTGCGTGCATGTGTGTGTGTATGTGTGTGTGTGCCTACATGTGCATGTCCGTGTGTGTGCGCATGTGTGTGTGTGCGTGTGTGTGTAGCCACTGAGATAGCTGTTTCAGTTTGCTTTTCCTTAATAATACTCTCTACTCGTATTTACTTTGCAGCCCACATTGCTTTCTTGAGATATATGATCTGATATTATAATTATGCATTCATTTGTTTGTCTAGTTGTTTATTTTCTGTTTGCCCTCAATAGAACAGGTTTCTAGAGCACAAGGACCAGTCTTTCTGTTCCCTACTGCACCACAGGGCATAAAACAGTACCTGGCACATAGTAGGTGTTTATTAAACACAAGCCCTTTTTCTCTTGTACTTATGAGACCACAATAGTTGGAAGCCAAATCCCTGTGTGCTGGCGCAGGGAATGCTACTATAGAGCATCCATAGGGAGGCTGGGGGTGGGGCAGGAGCATCTGTAGACCCATAGAGAGCTCTGTGGACCCCGTTTTCTCATCCTTAGCAAAAAAGCCCTCAGAGGTCCCGCAGCCGACCTGTGCCTGGTCCCGGTGATGTGGGTGGTTCCCTCCACGGTATTTTATTGCTTACTTTTATTTCTCGCACAGAGATCACTCTGTGAATTACTTCGTTTTTTAAAAAAGATCGATTCAAATGTAATTTTTTCATTGTATTAAAATCACAATTTCGAAAGTCCAGTGCTTCTTGAGACTTTAAATTTGGCTGATAAACCGTGTTCTACCCGTTACAGGCAAATGTTAATAACTTCCTTTATGAGGCCTGTGGATAATTCTTGGTCCATCACAGACTTAGTTTATTTAATAGCTTTAAACATTTTAATTGCACTTCCAAAATTAATATGTTTAAATTTATGTTTTAGTACTTCAGCATTCCACCTTTAGCAAAACCTTCTGAGTATAAACTAATTTTTCAAAATCTAATAATTTAAACATATGACTGTGGGGGGAGGTCTCTTAAATGTTCCAAAACTACACACACACTACAGTTTTCCACATAAAATCACTAACTCATTCAATTCCTCGATTTCACATTTTCAATTGGATTATCAGGGTGTCACTGACATAGGCCAAATTCTCCAATACTCAAAATACCAAATTGACATAGATTGCTTTACGCTAAAATATTCATACTGTGAGGTTCAATTTCTTGATTCTGTCTAGACTTTAGAAGAAACACACACCTACTCAGGAGGCCGTCTCCACTCAGGGAGCCCAGGTGACTAAGGGCCCGGGAGTCTGGGCAGCCTGCCGTGGGCTTTTAGCTACCAGCTGTGTGAGTCTTGCCCGTGGCACTTTGGTGAGAAGAGAAGGTGCCAGGAGGGAGGCCACATCTCTGGGTTCCGTTTCCACACATCCCTGGGAGCCCGCCCTTCCCAGCCACGTTCTGCTCACACTGGGTCTGGCACGGTCAAAGTCGAGGTCTTTAAATGGCTTTGTGTTTTCAGGCCTGTATGACGCCAGGGACGTGGAGCTGGTCTGCCATGGATGAGCCTCACAGGGCTTTTTCCACTTGGGGTCATGAATCTAACCCTTTTGACACCTGCGCAGGGGCCATTGGTGGTGCAACTGGGGCCACAGCCTGCCACCTCTCCCTAATGGGACCGAACCCGAGGCCAGCATTTGCTTCAGGATTTGCTTTTCTCTAAAAGGCTTTGAAGCTGGGGCCAATCCACCAGTTCCCCTGTTCAGGGGGCAGGTGTCCAATGGCCCCCCGCGGGCAATTTCATGCCACCCATCCCCACCCCTTCCCCCGCCCCCACCTGAAGCTGCTGCCGTCCCATTCACAGTCCTGCGTCTTTGCAGCACCGGCTTGGACGGGAGCCTGATCCAGTGCCAGCGTGCCACCCCTTGGCAAGGCTCCTGGTCCGCTCACACCACTTTTCGCCAGCCAATGTCCTCTAGGGTTGCAACCAACTCCCTGCATGCTGGCCCAGGGAGGTTCCTGGTAATCATCCTGCTTCCCTCTCCCTCCCCTGGGAACCACTCAGACCGCAGTGGACGTTCCTAAACTTCTGTGGACTCACGGCAGATTCTCTGCAAGAGATTTCCTCAAGGGCTGGATTCCACAAGCCCTTCTGTCCTGCTGCGGGCCTCAGGCAGTGTTCCCGCCAAGCTTTCCCTAAAGACACAAACAGGCAGGCCCTTCCCACACGGGCCTCAGGGAGCCTTCTGCTGGGCAGAGCGTCCCTGCCAGGGGAAGCCAGGCTCGTTAAGTGGGAAGCCTGTGGGGCCTGCGGAAGACAGCGGCCCTGAGGCTGTCTCCACCGCCAGTTGGTGCCACCAAGCCTTCGGGAGGGAGTGGCCATCCCCACTGGGGTTGGGAAATGGAGAGAGAGGTTACAGTGGGTGGCTGCAGCCCTGTAAGAACCACGGAGTTCCTTCAGTGGCAAAGACCAGAGCCCCAGGGCTGAGCCGAGCTGCCGTAGCCATGGGACCTGCTCTCCTGGCCCTCTCCTTCCTGTGGACCATGGCCTTGACTGAAGACACCTGTCCAGGTGAGTCAGCCCCCCGGTGGGTAGAACCTTAGAGCGATCACACTCCGGGAAGCTGACAGCGGCCACCTGCTGACCACTCACAGCACGCCAGGCCCGGTACTATGCCCTTTGTGAAGGTTCCTGCCTCATTTTCTCAACAGATTGTTTTAAGCCTCACCCTTTAAAGACCAGACAGAGGCTCAAAGAAACAGATGCAGCCTAACACGGGGGTTAGGAACAGGGCCCTGGGGCCAAACGGGCCAGGTCCCAAATTCAGAGCATGCAGCAGGGCCGTCTCCCCGGGGCCGAATCCTCCTCCGCAGAAGGGCCGTCGTGAGAGTCCCACCAGCTGTGTGAGGAGGCAGTGGGCGTACAGGGCGCTGGCGGGCAGTGGGCCTAGTCAGAGCCTGTGCCACGATCAATGTCACTGGAAGACCACCCAGCTGGACGTGGCCAGCAAAGTCAAGTCCCAGCTCTGCAGGGAATTTGGCCTGGGATGTGCCTGGCACTGGGACAGGTGGTCCCCACTGTGTCCCTGATGTAGCCCAGTGAGGTCGATGTGGCACCTAGGCTCCAGATCTTCCCTGGGCTTCTGGGGGCACTCAGGTGATTCCCAGCAGCTCCACCTTCTGGGGGAGGCTCTGGCCCCCCTGCATTGCAGCCATGCTGGAGTACGTTGCTCTGAACTCAGAACCAGGGATGGCTTCCAAAAACCCTAGTAGGCGCCATGGTCTGAGCCTGCTCGTGGTGGACCAGGGGCCAGGGTAATGGTGGGTCCCATGGAGAAAGGCCCCGAGTGGGGCTAGGAAGAAAACACACACTACAGAGGCCCTTTCACTGGTTATGTTATGGGTGAGTTAACTTTTTCCCCCAAACATGTCTTATTTTCTAGATTATCCTACATTATTAAGTATTCATTGTTTAATGAGAAAAATTAAGCAAATAAAAAAAGTGGTCTACACTTGTTCTGACCAGTGAGCCAGGGGTGAGGACAGATAAAAAAAAAATCCACCAAGCAGTGGCAGCTGCCATGTCTCTGGTGAGAGCACCGCTCTGGTCCATGGTCTCTTAGAGCACCCTTAGCAGGGCATATTGATTTCATAATCAACAAAATGAAAAATATTTTTTCAAAGCAACTTCAGCAAAGTCTCAGGATACAAAATCAATGTGCAAAAATCACAAGCATTCTTATACACCAACAACAGACAAACAGAGAGCCAAATCATGAGTGAACTCCCATTCACAATTGCTTCAAAGAGAATAAAATACCTAGGAATCCAACTTACAAGGGATGTGAAGGACCTCTTCGAGGAGAACTACAAACCACTGCTCAAGGAAATAAAAGAGGATACAAACAAATGGAAGAACATTCCATGCTCATGGGTAGGAAGAATCAATATTGTGAAAATGGCCATACTGCCCAAGGTAATTTACAGATTCAATGCCATCCCCATAAAGCTACCAATGACTTTCTTCACAGAATTGGAAAAAACTACTTTAAAGTTCATATGGAACCAAAAAAGAGCCCACATCGCCAAGGCAATCCTAAGCCAAAAGAACAAAGCTGGAGGCATCACACTACCTGACTTCAAACTATACTACAAGGCTACAGTAACCAAAACAGCATGGTACTGGTACCAAAACAGAGATATAGATCAATGGAACAGAACAGAGCCCTCAGAAATAACGCCGCATATCTACAACTATCTGATCTTTGACAAACCTGAGAAAAACAAGCAATGGGGAAAGGATTCCCTATTTAATAAATGGTGCTGGGAAAACTGGCTAGCCATATGTAGAAAGCTGAAACTGGAACCCTTCCTTACACCTTATACAAAAATCAATTCAAGATGGATTAAAGACTTAAATGTTAGACCTAAAACCATAAAAACCCTAGAAGAAAACCTAGGCATTACCATTCAGGACATAGGCATGGGCAAGGACTTCATGTCCAAAACACCAAAAACAATGGCAACAAAAGCCAAAATTGACAAATGGGATCTAATTAAACTAAAGAGCTTCTGCACAGCAAAAGAAACTACCATCAGAGTGAACAGGCAACCTACAAAATGGGAGAAAATTTTTGCAACCTACTCATCTGACAAAGGGCTAATATCCAGAATCTACAATGAACTCAAACAAATTTACAAGAAAAAAACAAACAACCCCATCAAAAAGTGGGCAAAGGACATGAACAGACACTTCTCAAAAGAAGACATTTATGCAGCCAAAAAACACATGAAAAAATGCTCATCATGACTGGCCATCAGAGAAATGCAAATCAAAACCACAATGAGATACCATCTCACACCAGTTAGAATGGCAATCATTAAAAAGTCAGGAAACAACAGGTGCTGGAGAGGATGTGGAGAAATAGGAACACTTTTACACTGTTGGTGGGACTGTAAACTAGTTCAACCATTGTGGAAGTCAGTGTGGTGATTCCTCAGGGATCTAGAACTAGAAATACCATTTGACCCAGCCATCCCATTACTGGGTATATACCCAAAGGACTATAAATCATGCTGCTATAAAGACACATGCACACGTATGTTTATTGCGGCATTATTCACAATAGCAAAGACTTGGAACCAACCCAAATGTCCAACAATGATAGACTGGATTAAGAAAATGTGGCACATATACACCATGGAATACTATGCAGCCATAAAAAATGATGAGTTCACAACCTTTGTAGGGACATGGATGAAATTGGAAATCATCATTCTCAGTAAACTATCACAAGAACAAAAAACCAAACACCGCATATTCTCACTCATAGGTGGGAATTGAACAATGAGATCACATGGACACAGGAAGGGGAACATCACATTCTGGGGACTGTGGTGGGGTGGGGGGAGGGGGGAGGGATAGCATTGGGAGATATACCTAATGCTAGATGACGAGTTAGTGGGTGCAGCACACCAGCATGGCACATGTATACATATGTAACTAACCTGCACATTGTACCCATGTACCCTAAAACTTAAACTATAATAAAAAAAAAATTGGGGATACTTTAAAAAAAAAAAAAAAAGAAGTAAACAACCTTGGTTTGGCTGCAGCTGTGCCACACCTGGCTCTGTGTCCTTGGACCCCACACTGCCCCTCTCCAGAGGACCTAGAAAGCCCCTTCCAGCCCCGTAATTCTACAACCACATTCCCAAGGTCTGGGAGGGAAAATGCTTTGTCAGCCCCAATTCCCCAAGTTTCTTAGAAATATTGGTGGTCATTAGTTATTGAAAGTGCCCACTGTTTATTAAGCTCTTTCTAAATGCCATAAATTACAATAAGAGATTTAAAATGCACATTCTCTAATCCAACCCTGGCCACAACCTTGTTACTATCCCCACTTGGCAGCCCAGAGCACAAAGCTCAGAGGAGTTAAGTGATCTGCCACAGGACACACAGCACTGAGGACATGGGCCTCCCCTAGATCGGGGTGGCCTCCAACGCCAGGTCTCTGCCCCTCATCACCTCTCCGCCTCACCAGTGCCCGAGGGGTGAGGACAGACCAAGGACCCAGCGGAGCAGATCCAGGCTCCCTGGAACTTCATGGAGAATGCCCTATTTTTCCCTCTGAGCAGGTGATTCTGACACACCACAACAACTACCCCTTCTCCACCGAAGACCAAGACAACGACCGAGATGCTGAAAACTGTGCCGTGCACTATCAGGGAGCCTGGTGGTATGCCAGCTGTCACCTGTCACACCTGAATGGTGTCTACCTCGGGGGGGCCCGTGACAGCTTTACAAACGGCATCAACTGGAAGTCGGGGAAAGGGAACAACTACAGCTACAAGGTGTCGGAGATGAAGGTGCGGCCCACCTAGCCCGGCGCTGAGGTCAGAGGTTCTCTCCACACACCCTGGCTGGAGGAGCGCATCCCTCAGCCCTCACCAAGAGGGCAATGTGGGGATCATGGCCCCCATCCTCATGGGAAGAGGGAGCTCCCACCAGTCCCTTATAGGCATGGCCCGCAGAGCTTTGCACCCAGTGCCAGCATCCAGCCCCCTGCCTCCCATCTGCAAGGCTAGGCGAAGCCCCAGCGTGCCTCCCTCACCGCAGCCATCAGTGCTTGCTTGCCTCACAGACAATGGTGGGATGCCATGGCCGTTTGCCCTGCCCTGACCAGTGACCACACCACTGTGCTGCTCATCCGTCCTTGCTTCCCTGTGATTTGGCCCTATGGGTGGATCAGATGCCCTAGGGCTGAGGGAGTTCCCCACTGGCTAAGACAAAGCAGGGCCACCGTGCCTGTTTGTGAATAAAGTTTTATCGGCACAGCCATGCCCATGGCTTCCATATTGTCTCTGGTTGGTTTCTATCATCCCCGGAAGCTTCCAAGTGCCAGGCAGAATAGAGTAGTTGGGACGGAGACCGTATGACTCGCAACTCCTAAATTGTGTATTAATCAGTCCTTTACAGAGAGTGTTCGCCGACCTCTGCACTCAGAGCCACCTGACCCCGGCCGCCTGGCCCCTGCTCTGCCCACTCGGCCCCCGTGCCGGGGCTTCCTGCCACCTGCCTCCTAGGGTCCCTTGGGACTCATGCATGAGAGCCTCACACGTTGTACCAAAGGTGACTGTGTGCACGTGAATCCCTCATCAAGAACAAAGCAAAGATTTGAAGGGGGCGAGTGGGTGAGAAGGATCTGGGCCCATGGGAGAGGGAAAGGTCCTCCTCCCTCAAGCGCTTCCTCTTGGAATTAGCCAGAAAGCTGAGCCCACAAAACCGTGGGTTGCATAAGGCCTGACAACACCTGTTTTCCTTCTGATCAGCCAAGTAGGCCCTCTCCTGGGACCAGCTGCCCTGAGCCCAGACCCCGCAGAGGGTGGAGGGTTCTCCCCAGCCTCGGTCTCTCTCCCGGAGAGGGCTCAGACCCCCGCAGGCTCCCTTCCCCGCCTCTGGAAATCAGGGCCCTCCCTAGGCCTCTGGCTTTGCTTTTGCTTCTGTTAGTCTCTCCGAGGCTTCCTTCTGCCTTTTCTCTGCTCGACTCAACTCTCCAGGTGGAAATGCTGGCAGGCCCAGTGCGGCTGCTTCACAGATGACTCTTCTCAACCTGTGACCTGCAGGGACCCATAAGCCTCTAGCAGAGGCCTCCGAGGGGCTGAGGCTCACAGGAGAGGGTGTGGGGAGCATGGAGGAGCCTTGGCTCCTGCCCTCAGGTGCTCCTGATGCAGGTGAGGGCTACGTGATCACAGAACAGGCCCCTCAGGTGGGCGCTGCACTGTTCCCGAGCTCCCACTGTCTGCAAGCACCCATAGCCAGCATAAGGGGGACAGATGGCTGCAGGAGGGGGGGGCCCACAAATTCCTGTTGTTAGGGGGCTTCATTCACATGGGGTGGGTTTGCCCCAGGCCTGAGAGGATGAATCGGATCCGACTCTGGTGGTCCTCCTGTCCACTCTCAGACTCCGTGGACAGCCCCTGGGCTAGGCAGGGTTCCTCTGCCCAAGGGGCAGCCTGGCCTGAAGGAGTTAATGTGGAGGTGGCTGGTGGCACCTGGCAAACCCCCCTCTGTGGGACACTGGATGCCGGTTTCCCCGAGTTCTGCTGGCTGCAGCTTCATGTGGGAGACAGCAGCCCCCAGGCCATTGCCCCCCGAGGCAGCAGGTCTCGCAGCCCCACGGTTCCGACTCCGCTGCCTGGAGCCTGGCCCACCCGGCCTAGTGTGGGTGCAGAGGTCCGTGGGCTCACTGGGAGGGCCGAGTGTAGACCTGGGCATGGCAAGGGCCAGGGGGTGCCCAGAAGTTCCCAGCCCCAGCCTTCACCCCCAGGGTGACGCCTGCCACTCCCTGCACCTTCACCACCTGGCCTCTGAGTTCAGCTGTGCCCCTCGGGGGGCCAAGCCCATGTTACCTCAGTGGAGGGAGGCCGTGCCTGAGTGGCAGCAATAAGTGCCCTCGGGGGGTGCCCTGGGTGCCTCCTGTACTGAGCCCCAAGCAGCCACGGTGAGCAAAGGAGACCCTGCCCTGAGCACAGAGCCCGGCCCTGCGGGGGGACAGCCAGCCCACCACTGACCGCACAGCCACTCCACTGTGATGAAGGAAGGGGGACACGGAGAGCACAGTATAAGCCCCCAGACTCTGAGTCGTCAGATGCTCCCAGGGGAGGGGAGATGACACTGAGCCCCAGAAGAGGGAGAGGTTTTAGGACGAAGGTGGGGTGGGAGGGAGGTGGGAGGGAAGCTGGCAGAAGGCAGCTTGTGCACTCAGAGCCTCCTCCCTTAAGCGGGTCAGAATCCTCACTGCACAGGTCTCCCCCAACACCAGCACTGGGCTCGGCGGTGCCCTCTCTCCATTCTCCACCCAGAGGCGCTGCCCTCTGACCCCAGAGTCAGGCGACCTCGTTGCCAGCACGGCCGACATGGTACAGCCCCTCAGGTTTTGGTTTCCTTGCCCAAAGTGTCTTTTGTTTTCTAATATGCCTTGTACTTATTGATTGATTGGTTGATTGAGCGCTACGAAAGCCCCTGAGTGGGCAGGCCTGGGTTTTATTACTGTTACCACTCTTCTACAATTTACTCAACGTGTGATCCCAATCAGGCAGGGCAATATTCCAGGATCGGCGCTGAGGACTGGTGGAATGAATTGTCTCTGCCATGGATTCCCGCGGCTTGGCCACTGAGTGTGGTTTTCGGGGCCTGTGGTTTCTGGGATCTGTGACTGCATCCTGGTCTGGGGGCCACTGTTTGGGCTGTCCCTGTGTCCTCCTTCTCGACAGTTGGATGGGGGGCTCATGCCTGGCATCTCGCGGGTCCCACCTGTCAGGTCATATCATCATCCTGACCAGGAAAAGGGCAGGAAGTGGAGAGGAGCGGGGCTGGGCTGTGCCGCCGCTGCGTGCTCACTCCCCTGTGACCGCACGCTGAGCCCACACCTAGTCCTCTGTTCTTCACCCCTCTCTGGCTCTGGGGCCCCAGACCCTTCGGGACCAGGGAGCTGTGTAGAGTGGGCACTGGGCTCCCTGCCCGGCCCCTGCCGAGCTCCTTCTAGGACCCGGTGCTGAGAGGGAGGATGTGGGTCTGTGGGGAGGTGGACTGGGATGGGCAGGAGTCCTGGCTGCCCCTTACCCGAGAGGAAAGAGCCATCGGAAAGCTTATGCTCTGGGTCCCACAGGATTTTCTTTTCTAAGAGCCTAGAGGGGTGTACTTGACATTGAATAAGCTACATGGCTTTGAAGTGCACAACTTGAGTAGTTTGACAGAGGATGCACCCGTGAAACCAGCACCACAATTGAGACAAGGAACAGATCTGTCACCCCCAGAAGCTTCCTCGTTGCAATCCCACCCACCCCCACCCGGCCCCACTTATCGTGTCCCCAGGCAACATCTGTGCTTTTCTCTGTCACTATAGCTTATTTTCCTAAGATTTTTTACGAGTGAAATCACATCCTATCCACTCTCTGCTGCCTGTCTTCCTCCCCCCGGCAGACCTATTTTAAGGGTCATGATGTTGTACTGTGCACAGCAGTTTGTTTCCTTTCACTGTAGTCATACTCCGTGTGTGGATGGACCACAGCTGTGTATCCATTCAGCGGAGTCGTACCCCGTGTGTGGATGGACCACAGCTGTGTATCCATTCAGCGGAGTCGTACCCCGTGGATGGATGGACCACAGCTGTGTATCCGATCAGCAGAGTCATACTCTGTGTGTGGATAGACCACAGCTATGTATCCATTCAGGTGTTGATGGACATTTAGGTTGCTTCCAGGTGGGGCCATGACAAACCAGGCTGCTATGAATCTCTGTGCACAGGTCTTTGTGTAGATATATGGTTTCATTTCTCTCGGGTTAATATCCAGGCTTGGAAATGGCTGGATTGTACGATAGGTGTATTAGCCCGTTCTCACACTGCTCGTAAAGATTGGGTAATTTATAAAGGAAAGAGGTTTAATGGACTCACAGTTCCACGTGGCTGGGGAGGCCTCACCATCATCGCAGAAGGCAAAGGAGGAACAAAGTCACGTCTCGCCGGGCAGCAGACAAGAGAGAGCGTGGTGCGGGGGAACTCCCCTTTATAAAACCATCAGATCTCGTGAGACTTGTTCACCATCACGAGAACAGCACGAGAAGACCCGCCCTCGTGATTCAGTTACCTCCTACCGGGTCCCTCCCATGACACATGGGAATTATGGGAGCTACAATGTGAGATTTGGGTGGGGACACAGCCAAACCATATCAGTGGGTATGTTTTTAACTTTTTCCAAATTGCAAAGCAGTTTTCCAAAAAGGCTGCACCGCTTAATCCAGCAGTGCAAGAGAAGCGGGTCCTCCACATCCTTGTCAGCACTGGGTACCGTCAGTCCTCTTAGGTTGAACCAATTTCACAGGGGTGTGGTGACGTCTCATCACGTTTTGTTCCCGTTTTCCTTATGACTGATGACGTTGAGCATCTTTTCATGGGCTTATTTGCTATATCCGCACATCTTCTTCAGTGAAGCATCCTTTCACATTGTGTGCCTGTTTTTTTTTAATTGGAGGGTTAGTTTTTTTTTTTACTGAGTTTGAAGAGTTATCTCTGTGTTCCGAGTACCACCCCTTTATCAAATGTATGTGATGCATGAGAGCCTATTGCTGCTGTAAGATAATTACCACAAACTTAGAGGCTTACAATCACACAAAATTATTATTTTACAGTTGTGGAAGTCAGAAGCCTAAAATCAAGTTGTTGATAGGGCTGGGTTCCTTCTGGAGGCTTCTGGGGAGAATCTGCTTCGTTGTCTTTTCCAGCTTTTAGAGGCTGCTGCGTAACAACTCATGGCCCCTCCCTTCATCTGCAAAGAGTATGTCTCCAATCTTGGCTTCTGTCCTCATTGCCTCCTTTTCCTCCCTGACCCTAACTCTACTGCTCCCCATTTAGAAGGACCCTTGGGATTACACCAGGCCCACTCAGAGAGGCCAGGATCATCTCCCCGTGTCACGACCCTTCATCTCATTTGCATTTTGCCATGTACGGTTGATGGCCTTGGGGGCCATTCTTCAGCCTACAACATATGATTTGCAAATATATTCTCTGAGTCTGTGGCTAGGAAGAGTCGACGATGTTAAGCTGCCTATTCTCCTGACATTGATCTGCAGATGCAATGCAGTCTAAATGAAAATCCCAGCAGCCCTGGGTACAAATCAGCTTCAATTTGTAATAAAACAGAGCTGCTGGGATTTTCATTTGAACTGTGGCTTTCTTTTTATTCCCTTAACACAGTCTTTTAAATGGCAGAACTTTTTTTTTGTTTGTTTGTTTGTTTTGTTTTTTGTTTTTTTTTGTTTTTGTTTTTTGTTTTTTGATATAGGATCTTGCTCTGTCACCCAGGGTGGAGTGCTGTGGCCCAATCTTAGCTCACTGCAACCTCCACCTCCCGGGTTCAAGTGATGCTCATGCCTCAGCTTCCTAAGTAGTTGGCAGTAGTTACAGGTGTGTGCCACCACACGCGGCTAATTTTTTGTATTTTAAATAGAGACAGGGTTTCACCGTGTTGGCCAGGCTGGTCTCAAACTCTTGGCCTCAAGTGATTTGCCCAGCTTGGCCTCCCAAAGTCCTGGGAGTACAGTTAGGAGCCACTGTGCCCAGCCCAAACAACAGAATATTTTAATTTTGATACAATCCGTTAATCAATATTTTGCTTTTGGAGATTATGCTTTTAGTATCCTATCCAAGAAATCATTGCCTAATTCCAATGTTTTCTTCTGGAAGTTTTATACTTTTCTATTTCCCACTGAGAGCTATGATCTATTTCAAATTCATTTTTCTATATAGTGTGAGGTAGGGACCAATGTTCTTTTTGTTACATATTCAATTAGTCCAGCACCACTTAATGAAAAGTCTAGCTTTTCTCCACTACATTTCCTTTGTGCTTTTATCAAATATCAATTTCCACATCCACGTAGGTCTATTTCTAAAATCTCTATTCTGTGTCATTGTTCTATTTGTCTGCTTTTACATCCAAACAACCATTTTCTTGATAGTGATGCTTTATAATAATTCTTGAAATTAGATAGTATTGACCTCCCAAATTTGTTTTTTTTAAAAGATGTTTTGGTATTCTACATCCTGTGTTTTTCCATATAAATTTTAGAATCAACTTCAATTTGCATTAAAAAGCTGCTGGGATTTTTGTTTGGCCTGTGTTGCATCTGCAGATCAATTTGGGGAGAATAGGCAGCTTAACATTATTGAATATTCCTATCCATGAACTAGGTATAATCTCTCATTTACTTAGATCTTTAATTTTGTCCAACAATATCTTGTAGTTTTCTGAATAGGTCTTAAACATATTTGATTGGATTTATCCATAAGTATTTTATATTTTCAATGCTATGGTAAATGGTGTTTTAATTTATTTCTAATTATTCATTGGTGATTTGAAAAAAACAACGGATTTTATATATTGAAGTTATATACTACAACCTTGCTAAACTCACTTTGTAGTTCTAGCAGATTTTTCAGATTTGATCAGATTTTCTACAGAATCATGTCATGTGTTAAATAAAAAAAGACAGTTTACTTCTTCCTTTCCTAATATGCATGACTTCTTTTTCTTGCCAGTGACACTGACTAGGACCTCTAGTACCTTGCTGAGTAGAAATGGTGGGAGTGGACACCTTCTCTTGCTCTTGGTTGTTCTAATTGCATTCATTCAGTCTTGTACCATTCAACGTGATGTGAACTGTGGGTTTTTTGTGGATGCCCTTGAGCAAGCTTCCTTCCGTGGTAGACAGGCCCCAGGGTGTTCCCCAGGATCCTTGCACCTCACTGCTCACAGCCATGTCTGGTCCCCACTGGTCCCCACCCCCCTTGAGTGTAGAGAGAATCTATGATTTGCTTCTAACCAAGAGTACAGCAAAGAGGAAGCTGTGTATGTGATTATGTGCACGTGACTATTGCATAAAATGGTAGCTCCCATCTTGCTGGTCTTGTTGCATTCTCTCACTCCCTTGTTGGTTTTGAAGAAGGAAGTGGCCATTTGGGGAACCCCATGGGACAGGAATTGTGGGTAGTCTTTAGGAATAAAGGGCATCTTCCAACCAAAAACCAGCAAGAAAATGTATCCCTCAATTCCTATTAATACAATGACAAGGGTTTGCAGTCTGCCCCTAAACTGAACCAGCTTAAAAACAGACCACTCCCCAGTTGAACCACGGATGAGACTATAGCCCTGTCTGATACCTCAATTGTTGCTTTTGAGACCTTAGCAGAGAACCCCAATAAACTGTGCATGGACTCCTGACCCACAAAAACTATAAGATAATAAACAGGTGCTATTTTAAGCTGCTAAGATGTGGTAATTTGTTACACAATGATAGAAAAGGAATACTTTTTATTCTTCATTTTTGGAGAGCCTTTTTCATCTGGAATGGATGAAAATGTTCAAATCTTTTTCTGTTTCTTTTGAGATGATAGTATATCATTTTTAATTTGGTAAGCTAGAGAATTACATTGATTTTTAAGAGGTAAACAAACATTCTATTCCTGGGCTAAACCTCACTTGCTCATGATACATTATTTTCATAGACAGGTTCAGTTTGCTAAAATTTTGCTTAAAATTGTGGTATCTATGTTCATGAGGGCTATCAGTCTATAGTTATTTTTTTCTTGCAATGATTTTTATCTACTTTTGCTATTGGGGAAATGCTGGCCTCATAGAATGAATGATAAAGTAGTTGTAACTTTCTGATTTTCAGAAGGAATGTGGGAAGAATTGCTATTATTTCTTCCTTAAATGTTTGGTAGATTTCATCAGTGACGCTGTCTGGGCCTGGAGATTTTTTTGCTGGGCTCTCTATTCTGTAGACTCTCTATTTCTTCATGGGCTCTCTTGTCTGTTCCATTGGTCTATATGTCTACCTTCACATCAGTACCACATTATCCTGATAAACTTCTTTATAATAAAAATAAAGGCTTAACTACAATTTCAATTTATTTTATATGTATAGTTTTGTTTTGTTTTGTTTTGAGGTGGAGTTTCCCTCTTGTCACCCAGGCTGGAGTGCAATGGCACGATCTTGGCTCACTGCAACCTCTGCCTCCTGGGTTCAAGCAATTCTCCTGCCTCAGCCTCCCGAGAAGCTGAGATTACAGGTGCCTACCACCACACCAGCTAATTTTTGTATTTTTAGTAGAGAAGGGGTTTTGCCACGTTGGCCAGGCTGGTCTCGAACTGACTTCAGGTGATCTACCCACCTCGACCTCCCAAAGTGCTGGGATTACAGGCGTAAGCCACCACGCCAGTTGTTTGACTTAGGTATTTCTTGAGTGACTTTGGTGGTTCAAAGAAATTGTCCATTTCATTTCCACTGTTGAATATGTTGGTGCTAAAGTGTCTTAATATCTCCTTATATTCCTCATAATATCTGTAGAATATGTAGTGAGGTCATTGATCTCTTCCTAATAGTGATATTTTGCATTCTCCCTCTTTTTTCTCTT